>NC_000020.11:20066335-20694538 GCF_000001405.40 Homo sapiens | reverse complement strand
GACTGCCCAGTGACCAGAAGGGCCTTCGTTTTCTTGTGTTAGGGACACAGCAGAGATGACAATATTGGAGGCTGCTCACAAGCTGGGATAATATGATGATTTCCTGGAGGTAAAGAGGGTTCCTTGGGGAAAGCCACTTCAGTCTTTACTGAGTTAATTTCACAGAAATGCCACCATTTTGAACTGTCTAGGAGGAAGGTCATTCCACCTGCAAACTGGCTCTGGTGTACTTTTTAAACAAACCAACTTCTGGGTGTACTTTTGTATTTAATAACTATTAAGTTCTGTGACTTGTACCATATCTCTCCTGTGTTCTTTTTGTTTTACAGCAAAATAAAACAAAATAGATTTCCAGGCATGCTTCCCTTAACCTCCTCCCTCACTTTTTTTTTTTTAAAGTTACGGTATCTTTTTTGAAATTTTTTCATTTTTTTTGAGACAACGTCTAGCTCTGTTGCCCAGGCTGGAGTGCAGTGGCTCAATCATGGCTCACTGCAACCTCCACATCCCAGGCTCAAGCCATCCTCTCATCTCAGCCTCCCAAGTAGTTGGGACTACAGGCACACGCCACCATGTCCCGCTAACCTTTGTATTTTTTGTAGAGATGGGGTTTCACCATGTTACCTAGGCTGGTCTTGAACTCTGGGCTCAAGTGATCTGCAGGCCTCAGCCTCCCAAAGTACTAGGATTACAGGTGTGAGCCACCGTGCCCGGCCAACTTTCTATTAGTATTACACTTAATTGGGTGAACAGTATGGGAGCCTGACTGTCTGGGTTCGAGTCTTGGCAGTGACCTACCCTTTCTAGTGGGGGTAAGAATGGTACCCACCATCCTGTGGTTGTTGGAGGTTGAGTCAATGTATACAAAGCTGTTTTGTGAGCTGTTATTACTGTTAATCATAATTATTTGACATGAGACATTATTCGACAGCTGTAAACACTCTCCTCATCACTTTCCTGCCTCCTTAGTTAGAGGGGTGGAGGTGACTACAGCTCCTAGGCTGTAGTCATTTTATTTCTGTCTCCAACTTTTCCCCTCAGGAGCGATTTTGATTATAATGTAGGCTAGCTCCAATTCAGATCAAGAAAAGGAGGTCCAAGTGTGCATTGACTTTAAAATGTCTAATGAAACTTGATTCCTGATAGATAAATATATTAAAATGTAATATAACTCACATTTGATTTGGATATCAGTTTCTATAGTGTGTTTTATTATATTGGTATTTGATATCTGTTAAAAACAAAGTTTTAGAATCCTGTATTTGAGAAACGTGTGTCAAAAATGTTAAGTAAAAATAGCTCTACTTTTAAAAACTTTAACACTAAGTATTTGGACTATATCTTTATACAGAATTACTTTTACACAAGGACTATCACTCCTGGATAATGGAGTGTTACTATTTATCTGATTTCTAAGAATTTGATGTTCTACATCTGGTTTACTTTATAGGAATAAAGAAATGAAAACAATATGCTTTCAGAAATGAAGTAGGATTAATATTATAATTTCTGTGATCATTTCAGTTGACACTAGTGTTTGTTTCCTGTTGGAATTGGCAAATTTTATTTCAGCTGTCTGCCTACAAGGATATTTTTGGTTGTAAGTAACAAAAAACTCAAATATAAGCAAGTAATAAGAATTTCTTTCTCCTATAAAAAGAGGTCCCAAGGCAGGGAGGCCCCAGAGTTGGCTAATTCATGAGTTCGGTGATGTTGACAGTCCAGATGCTTTCCACCTCTTGGCTTTGCTATCCTTAGTGTGGCAGGTTTGTCCTCAGGGTGGCAAAATGCCCACAGCCATTGCACCCAGATAGAATGATATCCAAAGGCAGGAAAAAAAGGCACACTTCTTCCTTAAAATCAGTAAAGCTTTTCTCAGCTATCTTCATCAGACTTTCTGTTGTTTTGTATTGATCAGCATTGGGTCACAGGCTTGAGTCACTGGCAAGGAGCATGTTGCCACCATAATTGGCTCAGCAGTATCAGGTCCTCCCTCTGGGGCTGCGAACAGGCCAGGTTCCGAGAGGGGCACTGCTTTGTGGAGGAGGAGATCCCTGAGCAAATGGAGGCTCTATTAGGAAGAGGGAGGGTCTGTTTGTGGTTGGTGGGTGAGGTGAAGGAGCTGGAGAGAAAGCAACAGTGTCTGCTCCAGGCTGCTCTCAGTTTTTAGTTTAAAATACTATGAAGAATGCTTGTGGAAATAAATGGTCAGTTATGATAAATTTTTGAATATATATTTATGGAAAATTTTTTTATAATTTAAACAGGTATGTACAACATGGCTGTAATTGTATGTAAGAAACAAACCTGTCAGTGGAGCTAAAAGATGACTTTGTTTCATTTCCTATGGTCGTAGTCCCTTTGTGTTCCTATAAAGGAATAATGGGTAATTTATAAAGAAAAGAAGTTTATTTGGCTCATGGTTTTGCAGGCTATACAAGAAGCATGGCACCAGCATCTTCCTCTTTTGAGGGCCTTAGGAAGCTTCCATTCATGGTAGAAGGCAAAGGGGAGTGGGCGTCACATGATAAGAGAGAGGAGGTGGTGCCAGCCTCTTTGTAACAATCAGTTTTCATGGGAACTAATAGAGAACTCAGTCATTACTGTAAGGACAGCACCAGGATGTTCATGAGGAATCCACCCCCATGATCCATATGTCTTCCACCAGGCCCCACCTCCAATACTGGGGATCAGATTTCAACAAGAGATTTGGAGGGGACAAATATCCAAACTATATCACTTGGAATAGGAATATACACTTTAGGCCCCACCATACATCCAGAAGTTTTATGTCAGGATTCTAGGCTCCCCTTCCTTCTGATGGACCAGGCTAGTGGTGCTTGGACACAGATTACATGGGTATCTGCTATTGGCCCTGGAGAGAAGTGAAAATTGGCCATTGGATTAGCGGTGTGGAACTCCTTAGCACTGTGTCGGGGAGTGGTGTCAAAGCCTGATTGGACTGGATGCTTTTGTTGGGTGGGTGATTTAAGGTGTTTGTTTTATTATACATCATAAATTATGTATATACAAAACTGGTTTTTTTCACATGGATTAAATATTTAATACAAAATTGTAAAAAATCCTTTGTATCCCGTACATGGCCTGTGCTCTGATAAATACTTTCAATTGAATCAGGTTGAAACTGAGACTGGGGTTTTATTGTGTGAATACGTTAGAGGGAGAAAGAGGCAGAGGGGTTGAAGGACAGTGAAATGACTGACTAAAAAGAGGAACTGTGGAAGTTAAATTGAGAAAGAAGGGAAGTGAGGACTTGAGGGGCATCAGAGATAGTGACAAGGTGGTGGGGTTATTGGATTCAAGGACCCAGTAAGGTTGAAGAGTTGTTGGACTTAGGGTTCCAGAAGGAGTGGGCGGGAAGGATAAGAAATAGCGGGTGACGAGAGAGTGGATTTCTTGAAACTGAGGCTTGCAGGTGGGAAGATTGTAAGTAACCATCAGGTCTAGGATCTGGCTGTGGGTGTGGGCGGCAGAGGTAGGGTAGAGGACAACCTCATTAGAAATGGGGGAGTCAGGCATCATATATATAAATGTTGAAACCACCAGGAGTGAAGACAGTGCTAGTAATATACTGAAAGACAGTCGGGCCCTGGAATCTTCGGGAGAGTGTCTTGGGATGTGGGAAATATTGTGCAACTCCAGTCAGTGAAAGTTGGCACAGATGTAGTTGGAGGTAGATGGTGTGAGCAGCAGAGGAGCACTCTGTGTGTGAGGGAAGGACCAGAATGGTCTGGAGATTGCAGTGGGGAGCAAGGGGGCCACCTATCTCATCTTAGGCCTGGTGGTATGTGAGTGTAGGAGGAAGACAAAAGCCTTACCAGGCAGACTGCAAGGAAGCAGTGTGCTGAGGGGACTTCCAGGTTTCAGGTACAGCTGAAAGGAAACAGCCTTTACAGGTGGCATAGAAGACGGAATTTGGTGAGCTTTATTGGATATAGTGGGTGGGAGGGTAGGGTGAGGAAGCTAGGGTGAGATTAGTGATGCCCAGAGCTGTGTGGGGGTGACAGTCAGAGATGAAGATCATGTGGGAATTGGATTTCCCAGGAGATGGATGGAAACCTGAGTGCAAGGCCTGATGGGATATCTCCTGATGTGTACCTAGGGGGTGGTCAATGATTACTTCTAATTATAGTCTCCTTACTGAGTTTGGTTTCTTAGGCAGCTCATGGTAGCTAGGTAAGGAGGAGGGAATGGGGGGTCTTGCAAGGAGCAAGGGGAGGATCTCCCATCACTCTGGTGGGGTGCTGTGTATTAAAGGAGGGGCCAGGGTTATCTTGAGTATGTTATTACTTAAGTTCTGGATGACTTCAGGAGTAATTCCATATCACATGTTTCCAGTGATGTTTATGCTAAAGTGGGTGCAGATTGAAAGTATAATACTTCAGAGAATTTTTCTGAAATACGAAATCTTGATGATATTAGACAAGTGTACTTGTAGAATACACTTATGTCTTTTGGTTCATAAAGCTTTGCAGAAATTCTATAAATAACCTTAGACTGAAAAAGATATGACAGAGATGAGGGGGGTAGTGGACAGGGAAGGTTTGGGGAAGGGTGAGTGAGGTTAGGGGTGGATTTTCTTGAAGCAGAAAATCCAGGAAGGGATTTGCTGCTGGTATTTCGGTTTGTGGGATGGAACTCAGATGACAGGCCAGGAACTGAGGGAACCTCTGCCCTGAGCTGCTGGCTGAATCTGCAGGAGGAGTGAGCTCCCTAACTGAGAGTGTTTATGTTAATTTTCTTTAATTTTTGAAACTCCTTGTAACAATTGTATTAAGAGTCTTTTTTTGTGATCTCTACCAATTTTCCTCACTTTAATTGAGAGGAGGAAATTGCGGGCCTGAGGACATATTGTATTTTTTTATTTTTATCTTTTTGAGACGGAGTCTCGCCCTGTCACCAGGCTGGTGTGCAGTGGCGCGATCTCGGCTCACTGCAACCTCCGCCTCCCGGGTTCAAGTGATTCTCCTGCCTCAGCCTCCCAAGGAGATGGGATTACAGGCGTGCACCACCATGCCCAGCTGATTTTTGTATTTTTAGTAGAGACGGGGTTTCACCATGTTGGCCAGGATGATCTTGACCTTTTGACCTCGTGATCTGCCCGCCTTGGCCTCCCAAAGTGCTGGGATTACAGGCGTGAGCCACTGTTCCTGTCTTATTTTATTTTTTAGAAAGTGTGATTTTGGTAATATTTACTCATAGTTATGCCTTAAGTTTTACATTTGTAGCAGGCATAATATATATGTGTGTGTAAAACAAATATGATGGTGATAATTCCTTGCTGTTTTGTAAAAAATAAGTTGTTAAAAGGTAAAAGAATATAATTAAATTAACATAAATTCACTTAAAATATATCAACAAGTTTAAAAATTTTAGTGCTGAGGAGGATGTTTCTGATTTCAGATTTTTCTTACATAACATAGAGACTTTTATATAATAGATGGTATATAAAAGGTAATTTAACAATATGAATGCTATTGGTAACTTAAGGGATGAACATACATTTGCTCCATCATTCTTTTGAAAATGTTACTATTTACTAGAAATTAATACTAGCTGCAGGGTGGACCTTCATTGCTTGTTACTTTTAGTAATTTATCATCTGTATCTAGGGTAGTAGTCCTGACTCCTGATTTGGAGGAATCTTTTTTGGTCCATTATTGTAAGAGGTTTTACCTCGATTTTTAAAAAATCATTTTTGTTATTTGCTGTGACCTTCAGGAATGCTTGAAAGGATTAATTATGAAGCCTCTCTGTATATCTAAATTCTGCTGTTTGATGTGTTTATTTAGTACACATGTATTCAATACCTGTGCTTTGGCTGAATGGAGACCTGACACTCTCTGCTAACAGTCTGGTCGGGGAGACTGAGGTATAGAAGTAGGAGGGGATCTAAGAGCAGTATGTGAGGAGCTGGGCAAGGTGTCCTTACCTGTGAACTGACTTGTGGGGATGACTAGGGCTTAGCTAAGGGGACTAAGGGGACTCTGTGCTTCCTTCACAGCCCACTTCCTATTCCATCCTTCCCCACCTGGGCTTGTCACACCGCATCTTTGACCAGATCTCGAGTTTCACGCCATGATAGCACTGGGGCTGGAGTCTTTTGTCTGATGCATTAAGTTTTCTGCTTTGTAAATTAGTATTTTCATCCACATGAATACTTTGTATTTGCAAATAATCAGTCCAGGATACTTTTTTTTTTTCTTTTTTTGAGATGGAGTTTTGCTCTTGTTGCCCAGGCTGGAGTGCAGTGGCGCAGTGTTGGCTCACCGCAACCTCTGCCTCCTGGGTTCAAGTGATTCTCCAGGAGACATTTTAAAGTCTGTATTTATAGGCATTTTTCAGATGTGAATTTCTCTTTAATAATGATGATGATGATAAGAGTGTTGATTGGCCATTAAAGCCAGTCATCCCTGGTATACCTCCTGTTTAATGATCTGATTGCCTGCTGAATCTGGAAAGTCTTATTTTGTAGGTTTTTGCCTCCTGATGTAGATAAGCTTCTAACCTGCAGTTAGCACATTACTGCACGCATAGGAGGTACCGAAACATACTGGCTGGTGTCAGGAAAAGGAATTCCTGCCTTCACTCTGGCTAGCATGGATCACTGTTGACAGAAAGTTTGTGTCAGTGGGCAAGCCTCTGTAACTTGGATTCATTTTTCCTGCTTTTCCTTCTTTAATGGAGGGGATGATGTGTTATACTTGGGGGTATCTCTTCATAGGTTTGCTGGCTCTTATGACCAGTGAGGCTGTTCTGTACTGAGTTTCTTCTTCTGCACCACCATTTCTATAATAGTGTTGCATAACAAACCTTCCCAAACCTAGCAGCTTCCGTGAGCTTTACAGCAACAGGCATCCATTTTTCTCCCTCACTGTGTTGGGTCTGTATTCGCTGGGGTGGTTCTTCTTCTCACTGACGGTTGCCTGGGGTTGGCTCCAGACTGGTGGGTTGGGTTCAGCTTTTCATGAATTTTCTCATTTTGCTTGGATCAGCAACTACTTGCGGCTCTCCCAGCAACCACTGCCACATTTTTAAGGCCTTTTTGGCCAAAGCAAGTCAGGAGATCAGTCCTGGATCACTGTGGTTGGGCACCATCCAAATGTGTGGATGGAAGGAAGGAATGATTTGTGGCATTTCTGCAAACTACCCAGGGACCTAGGCAGCTGTTTAAATGTGAAATCGCCAGAATCATATTAGCCTATAAGTAAGTAATGGTGCATTACTAATGATATCCATCCTTGTCTGCATTTTCTGTCTTGTGTCTGACTAGTTCTTTTGCACTTCATTATTTTCCTTGTTCTCACTGAGTGCTTCTGAATGACTGTTTTATTAAGTTGTCAAGTTTGCCTTACATTCTTCACTTACCCTTTTTCCTATCACCAGCCTGTTATCTTGATCATCAGGCCTTCAGTGCCATTATCCAGGGAATTTCACTAAAATAGTAAAGGACACCTATCTTCATCTACACACAGGACTATAGGCAGGGCTTGGATGGCTCTTAGTTCTGGCTTGGGAATGGAGGGGTGTAGGCAGTATAGAAGGTGCAGGGGGGTCATTCCCTATTAGAGGAGAACTGAACACGAGCTCCTTCCTCCCTTGATAGCATCCCACTGGGGCTCCTGAGTGAGATGAGGACTTTTTCCCTTCCTTTGGTGCTTTCTAGGGGTCTGCTGAAGCAGGTTTTTGTGAGACTGTGTTATGACCCTTCCAAATAAAAAGCAATAGAATTGCTATTGAAGAGGATTATATGTGGAAGGAAATAGATGGATAATCCCACTGGTTTTGTGGGTGTGTATACTGGTAGTACTTACTGCTGTATTAGGATTAGTGACCTTTGCCAGGAGCAAAGTAATTCTAAAACTACTGACATTTCTATAATGCTGACTGAAGCTCTTATAAGCATTCTACATATGCTCATTTTATCATCACAGCAGCCGTGTGATGTAAGAACCATTGTTAGCCCTATTTTTTTTTTTTTTTTCTGAGGTGTAGTCTCACTCTGTCGTCCAGGCTGGAGTGCAGTGGTGCGATCTCGGCTCCTCCCAGGTTGAGTCAATTCTCCTGCCTCAGCCTCCCGAGTAGCTGGGATTACAGACATGTGCCACCATACCCAGCTAATTTTTGTATTTTTAGTAGAGTTGGGATTTCACCATGTTGGCCAGGCTGGTCTTGAACTCCTGACCTCAAGTGATCCACCAGCCTTGGCCTCCCAAAGTGCTGGGATTACAGGTGTGAGCCACCATGCCTGGCCTGTTAGCCCTATTTTTAAGATGAAATTGAGGATTGGAGTGTTTAAATAACTTGTCCAAGGTCCTGTGGCTTCTGCATTTGAATCCAGGCAGTCTGCCCCAGAGGTTTTGCCCTCAACCTTTGCTGTTGCCTTCCAGCTAGATGTGGAGAAATACTTAATCAACAAGAGGTTTAGCTGGACAAAGGAGTGGAAGAGGGTGATTTTGGGTGGTATGTAGAAGATTATCTTTGGTTGGTGGTGCAGGAAAATGAGAAGTTAAAGGAGATTTCTTTAAAAATTCAGAAATGACCTCTAGCTCTGCCAGGCTGTCTGCCGTTTGCTTCTCTGTGGTTAATTTGGACATGCTTCCCTGAGTTCTGTAATAGTAGTAAGCCAGTGTGCTAGCATCCATTCCATGCCAAACCCTGGAAGCCATCCCTTCAAAGGCGGGTTCCCATCTGGACTCTGGAGCGTGGCCTTGCCCTCCCTCCCTTTTCCCTACAGCCCTGAGAGGCTGTGGGGCAAGTTCCAGGAGCTGCTTCTTCAGTGTCACTCAGTCCTGTTTCTTACCTTGGGCTTTTCCTCCTGCTCTTTCTCCTCTGGCTCTCCTGCTCATCCTCAAGGTGATGATTTATTTCTTTTATATTCCTGACTGATTTATTCCCATTTGTCCCTTTGTACCACTCAGTTATGGAGTCGCAGGACCAGAGCAGGGGTTCTGTTGACGTCCCCAACAGGCTGTGTTACCTTGGGCAGGTCACTGGAGATCCTGACCCTGAGGTTTCTTTCTCTTAATCACACCTGCCCATCTATTTCATTGGGCTATGGTGAGGGTCAAATAAAATAAACTCATGAACATTTCCTTTAAAGCATAACACATGACATAAATGTATGACATTAGCATTCCTAGCTTCCCCATGTGGCCTTGTCCACTCCCTGTTTTGGTGTCCAGCATGGGCTTCAGCCATGGTGCCTGTTCTGTTACTTGTTTGTTTACCTGTGCACCCCTGAGGGCCTCGGGTCTTATTCTCTTTGAATTTTTTAAAGCTTAGCACCGCACTTGTTGACATGGATAGGGGCTAGTAAATGTTTGAATGAGTGGGTCAAGATTGCCTGTCTGAAGGAAGTTTGTGGTCATAGTTGTCTTTTTTTTTTTTTAATTGAGCAAAGCCTTCCTGTTATATCTCTGTTTTTCTTGAAATTAGCCTTGTTAAAAATTAGGCTTTTGATCCTTTCTTGTGTTTCTTTTCGCAGGTTGCTAAATTCCATTGCCTGTGATTGTCTTCCCTGAGACCTATGCTTGCTTTATAAATATTCTTCTGATGAGTCTTTTAAAAAAAGACAAATCAAGAAATGATTCTAGATTTTGAATTAAAGATAAAATATCTGATATTTGTTATTTGGTTATTCATTTAACAAATGTGTTAAGTACCTTTCTTGTACCAAGCTCCGTTCTTCAGGCTGGGGATGCAACAGTGAACAAAGCAGATGAGATTTCTGCCTTCATGCCGCTTACATTCTAGCAGCCAGACAACGAGGCAGCAAATTAATAAAGGGATGATTTCAACTCTTCTGAAGTGCTGTCAGGGGGAATTGTGTGAAGAGCGTGCCCAGACCACTGAGGAGTTCTCAACACATGTACATAAACTGAGTGTGCTGTAGATGCTATGCTTCTGGGTTCACTGTGTTTTGGGTTCCCTGGAATGTATCTAGTTGTCTTGTTAGTGAGTACTTAAGCTCAACACCACCAATGCCTTATCCACAAGAAAGATATTGGATGGCTGAGGATAAAGGTGGTTGTTACCTGGACTTTTGGCCTCATGAGGACATCTCAGTGTGTAAGAGGGATCCTTAAACATGCTGAGGACCCTCTTTGTTTGGTTTGCTGATACTTGAGTGTCTGAGGGAATGAGGGAATAAGGGAGGGAAAGATGGGGACTTGTTGATCTCCCAGTAGCTTTCTGTGCCAGCTTGCTGCATCAGCACACCCACCTCCTCCATGCTAGAGAAATTGTTTGCCAGCTTATGGCATTCTGAGGCACGTTCACTGCAGAGCCTACCAAGAGAGAGGGCCGGGGGGAGGAGGAAATGTGGAGTGACACATGGGGGCACTTGCAGGTTTCTTTGAGGAAGTCATGTGTGACCCAGGTTCTGAAAGAGGAGACCTGTTGATTAAAAAAATTAAAGTTAGTTTTATTCAGAAGTCTTGCTGAGGTTCGCAACCAGGGAGAGTCAGAGAGTGTCTGTTAGACTGTTCCAAAGTAGTGCTTTAGCCCACAGTTTATATACAGGTGGCGCACTCTGCATGTGCTCAGAAGTTACATTAAGTGTGCTCAGAAGTTACATTAGAGCAAAATCTTACCAAGGTTTGGGTGTGAGGGTCCATCTGGTTATAGATTATAGAGGCGTAGTCATTAATCCTGTCAGATATTATCTTATATACAGGAAGAGGCAAGGGCTAAGACGAGTGTATCTTTTTTGAAAATGTGGTGATTCAGGCAGGAGATGTGGGAACCGGTGCTGTATCCTGCTTATCATCTTCAGGGCATTCTTCTCAAGGGCTGCGCCGAGTCTTTGAGTCAGGGGCTTTGTAAAATTCTGCTGGCAAGGGGTTTTGTGCAATTCTGCTGTTATGTAAGCAGGATGAACAGACATAGTGTCTACATTTGCTACTTTGTCTCATACACTGAACCAGCTGCATGAAGATCTGGGAGTGGGGGTAGCATCCTGCAGGGGCCCCAAGTGAAGAATATGTTCGGGAAGTTTGGGGAATGGAAAGAATCCACAGTGGTTAGAGGATAGGGAGTGAAGGGGAGAGTGGTGTGCAGTGAAGTTCGTGTTGAGTGGGGGAAATCAGGCAGGGCCTTGCCCGGCCATGGTAAAGAGTTCGGATTTTAAGTACTACTGGAGGCAGATGGAAGGTTTTGAGTGGAGGAGTGGTCTGATTTGACTGACTCTATTAAATATTCGAGTTGGCCGCTATGGGGAATGGAAGAAGAGTGGAAGCAGGGAACCCAGGCAATGGGCAGAGGTCACAGCCTGTGTGAGGGTTCATGGCCACACAGACCAGGCAGGGCCGTGGAGAGCAGAAGCAGTCCAGGGCTGGAACACGTACGTGTTAAAGGCAGGCTAACAGAATGGCATACTGGGGATGGGTAGTGAGGAATGATGCCCAGGCTTTGGCCAGAGCAGCGGGGTGGATGGAGGTTCCAACTTACTGGGACGGAAAAGCCAGAGGGAAGAACAGGATCTGATGGAGGACTTCCCTGTGGACGTGTTTAATTTGAGAGGCCTTTAAGACCCTCACGTGGAGAAATCAGCTGGCAGCAGTCTGTGAGACTAGAGCCCACAGTGGGAGATGTCAGGGCTGCAGATGGAAATCAGAAGTCCTCAGCAGAGATGAGATGAGATTTGTCTTTTGATTGCCCCAAGGATTGAGGGTTAGGCTATTTCTTCCCTGTAGGTTTATAAGTTGTAGTCATTATTTTATCATTGTATGTGTAGGCTAATTCATGGATTCTCAATTCAAGAAAATATTGAACTAAATATTGTGCTAGATGCATGGGACATAATGATTCACGAGATAGACTGTGGGTTCTGTGAGGGCAGGGAATATGTCTCATAGACGAGACAGATTATTCCATCAGAATTAAGTCAGGAATTCAATCAGAATTCCACCAGAATTAAGTAAAGTGTGATGTGTTCTGTGACAGGGAAGCATAGAGTGGGGGCCACACAGCAGAGGTGCAGACCTAGTCTTGGGGGTAAGATGGGGATGTTTTAGCTGACTAGTGAGGGTGAGTAGGAGCCAGCTGAGTGAAGCTGGCTTCAGAAAGAGGGCTCAGTTAGTGGTAGATGGGCTAGCAGTTTGCATTAGAGTTGAAGTGTACTGAACTCTTCCTTGGAACTGGCAAATTCTCCACAAGGCACTCAAGGATTCCTTGTCAAGATTGTATAGATCATAGGAAGGTTAATATTCATGTGGGTTGGTGATACTAGTTTCATTGCTACCTGCTTTCACACAGTAAATTTGTTCCTTGCTAGGAATTTTCACAGCTGTGTGCCCAGTTTTATTTTGGTGCAGTAAATATAGTGTGAAATTGGCAGCTCATAAGACTTTATAAGCACCTTACATGCATTATTTCAAAGAGCCAGGGCACATTTTTGCATGAAAAGCTCTTATACAATTATCAGAGAAAAACAACTCTTCAGAATCATCTGCATTATTGCTAACGTTATATAATTTGAAAATCATAATATGTATGTTCACATAGATTCACAGTGTTAGGACTGCAAAAGCAATTGGTACCACACTGTTACAGACTGAAGAGCAACACATTTTTTTCTTGAGTAATCCTTGCAGAATTTTAAGGAAGCTTTTTATTGTTTGTTTGTTTGTTTTTTGCTTTGTTTTGTTTTGTTTTTAAGAGACAGGGGTTTCACTCTTGCCCAGGCTGAAGTGCAGTGGCTCAACCATAGCTCACTGTAGCCTCAGGAAACTCCTGAGTTCGGGCGATTACCCTGCCTCAGCTTCCCAAGTAGCTGGGATTATAGGTGTGAGCTACAATGCCTGGCTCCAGAAAGCTGTTTTTACTTTTCCTCAGATGCTAGTGTATTCTCCCAAAGTGCCAACTCCTTGGTCAGTACTCTGTAAATGGCACAAACAACCTTGTTTACTGAGGAAAATGTACAAAGGTGTGTTGACAGTGGATAACTACTTTGAGCCCCCAGCATTGTGAGGTTTTACCCTGGCTGATCGGGGCCCTTGGAAGAACTGGCTGTATTGCTAATCAGCCCCAGTGGGAGTTGTCACTGTGCTAAGTTCCCCACACCCCCGCCTATCTATCCGCAGTCTGTGGTTTAGCAAAACTGTCTAGTACAAGAGGGGCAACTCTAGGAACACATGGTAGATCCTACAGTGTCCATACATGAGTGGGGGCAGGTCATCTAGAAGCTTGTGGTTGGGGAGCATGTGCTAGTTCACTTGAGCTGGTTTCTCTTTTCATGCCCAGAGAGTTATGTTGGTGGGGAGGGAGCAGAGATTGGTCCATTTAGGAGCTCCACCAGCAAAGTTGTTTTTCAGAGGTACAAACCCATCCCTCTTCACGGCCTGTGTCAAAAACTGCCTCCTCCATGAACCTCTACTTCCTCATCCCGTAACAGGAAGTCATGTCCCTCCCCAGACCTGCCCCTGCTTACCTCCAGCCTTCTAGCTGGTCCGTTGTTGCTGGCTCCTGTCAGCTCCGACCTCCCTGAATTGGCTCCACGGTCTCCTGAGCAGGGCTGAGTGGTGGGTGGTACTCAAGGTTCAAGTAAGAACTCTCTTAGGTGGAGAATAAACAAACAGGAATACTGTTTTGTTTTGTATTGTCTTATAAGGGAATGAAACTAGTTGTACTTGCCTTCTTTTCTGAGAAGTTTGTTTCTAAATTCTTGTGATTTTATAAAGTGAATTGTCATAAATGGAAACTTTTTCTTTTCAGATAATGTGGATGCAAATGATCTTAAGCAGTTTTTTGAGACCAACTATTCTCAGATATATTTCATCTTCTATGAAAATTTTATAGCACTGGAAAATAGTTTGAAATTAAAAGGTAAGCATTTCAGTAGTTTTTTTTTAAAAAACATTCGGGCATTTTTATAAGTTGTATATATCATGAGCCACAAATTATACATTTTTAAGCTTTCTTTCTTGCCAAGCCTTTAGCAAAGCTGTGAGAGCATGGTGGACAGGGTGGCATCTTTGTTTCTCTTGAGCTTTCACTTATATGGATGTTAATTGAACAACACATGGCTAGCAAAAATAGCAGAAGGAACCCTTAGAAAGCATGATTTTCAAAGGAGTAAGTTACTGAAAAAGAAAGAAAAGTAATACATGCATACTATTAAAAAAATTTAGATTCCATAAAAGGGTCTGAAATGAACACTCAAGTGTCTGTTTTGCCCTGCTTGCAGAGGCAACCACTATTAAAGATTTCCTGCATCTCCTTCCAGATATATTATTAATGTATTATGTTTATATATGTTTGTGACTATATTCTTTGAAAATCAAACCAACAAGGTCACATTATACATTCTGTTCTGTATACATTATACATCCTGTCACCTAAGTGGTAGGATAGTGTAGCCTGGGGAGCCAGACTGGGTTGGGAACCTGGCCCCACCCTTCTAGCTGTTTCTCCTTGGGCAAATTAATCTGTCTCTGAGCTGGCTTCCTCCTGTCAGCGTTAAACAGGTTCACAGGTATCCTAGCATTTTAGGACAGAGTTTGACACATAGTCCATGGTCAGTAAGTAGTAGCTGCTGTCACCATCTTCTTTCATTTTCATGTAGTCTGTGGGCTGAATCTGAATCCCCACAGCTCTATGAAGTAGATGTCATTCATTTATTTAAAAAATAAGCCATATGCATAAATAACTGTGAAAAAAGTTAAAAAGTCAGTTGTTCTGTAAGAGAGATTTAGACAGAATTCTGTGGTTCTTGGGAAGTGGGAGAGATGACTTCCTGCTGAGTATATAGATGAGGCTTTGGGGAAGAGGTGGCCTTGGGAATGGACCTTGAAGGACAGCAGGATTTCAGGTGGAAGAGAGCGGCACTGCTGCTGGAGGGGAGAACATGAGTAAAGGTAGGGCTGTTCTTACGACATGTATGGGAAATGCATTTTTTTTTTCTTGCAGCAAAGGTGTGTGAAAGAGATTTGCAGGAAATTAGATAATGCTTGCAAGGAGCCTTGAATTCTAGGCTAAGGAGTTTGGACTTTGTTCTGGAGGTGGTTAGAGCTCTTGAAAGTGTTTGTTACTATCACAAGTATCTTGTAAAGTAGCGATTGAACCAGAGGCAAGAACACCAATTGGAAGGCTGATGCTGTCATTCATCTGAGGGATGGTGATGCCTGATCCAGGGAGGCAGTAGTTAAGGGAAAAGAAAAGTGTTGTGTCTCAGTGGGTCTACCATCTATGAGACTTGGTTATAAGGGAAAGGGAGAAGTCAAAGATGCTTTCAGGACACTGAGTCTGCTTTGTGAGGTGCCATTAGCGCAGGAACCCTGGAGGGGAGCCAGATTTGGAAGGCAGGAGGGTGAGAGTGGCTTTGGGCAGTCTGTGTTTGAGGTGCATGGGGGATACCTTGGTGTAGGTGTTGGCTGGACAGTACAATATAGGTGACTGGAGCTTGGGAGAAAAGAGGTGAAATCGTGTTATTGCCAAGGGAAAAAGTATATACAGAGAAAGAGAGTGATGGTCAGAACTTTTAGATAATTCCTTATTTTATTGGGTATATGCAAAGGAAAGCGATGGAGTAGTAGGAGGGGTACCAGGAAAGGGTTTTGTCACAGAGGACCAGGGGAGAGAGAATTGAAGGCATGTAGAGTCAGCCTATTGGTGCATGAGGTGCAGCTGGGCTGGGGAGTAAGAGCTCATCAGTGTGGTTGTTAGTGAGTGCGGAGAGAAAGGTTCTAGGTGAGGAGCAGGTCGGAAGCCAAACAGATGGACATGGAGTCACAGGGCGGTGAGCTGTTGAAGGTGACCCATGAGAATATCCTTTCAGAAAGTTTGATGTGAAGACACAGATTGTATCTCACCCTGGTCACGGGAAGGTTATTGAGGAATGCATTGGCCTGTTTGCAGATTGAGGAGTGGGTCAGCTGGAGGGGGAGATAACTAATGGTGCAGGTGTTGGGGGAAGTGAGTTGAGACAGGTCAAGGAAAAAGAAGAGACATGGAGAGGAGCGTACAGGTGACCTTTCTATGTAAGGAGGAGCAGATAAGGGGATAGTGTAGATATGGAGACATTTTGAGGTGGAGAGGAAAAATCAAGGGACCCCTTGTCAGATGCCCTGATTGCTCCTGTAGAACAGGCAGTTGTCAAGCATGGAGTGGAAGGAATTCAGGGTGAGGCACTGTGGTGGTCTTTGATTGTGGCCATTCTTGCAATCTACTGCAAAGAATCATAGTGAAGAACCAATAAAAATAGTGAGATTTTTGAAGTCTTTTGCTTTTAGTATAATCTGTGTTCGATTGGAGTGCAGGGAAGACACTGTACCTTAAAAAAGAATAAAAGAAAATGCCTACAAGGAATAATGAAATAAATAATCTTGTGATAACTTGAGCCTTTGCAGTTATTCAGGCCAAAACTCCGGAGTTATTGGCTCTATCTTCAAAATACATCCAGAATCACCGGCCTGTTCTCATTGCCTACACTGGTAACACTGAAACTCCTGATATCCTCACCTGGATTATAGCATTAGCTGCAGAAATGGTCTCCCACCTCCACACTTGTGCCCTCTCCCATCCCATAGTTTCTTGTCAAAAGAGCAGCTGGAGTCCTCCTTTAAAAATATGAGTCAGGCGCGGTGGCTCACACCTGTAATCCCAGCACTTTGGGAGGCCGAGGAGGGCAGATCACGAGGTCAGGAGATCAAGACCATCCTGGTTAACATGGTGACACCCTGTCTCTACTAAAAATACAAAAAAAAATTAGCCGGGTGTGGTGGCAGGCGCCTGTAGTCCCAGCTACTTGGGAGGCTGAGGCAGGAGAATGGAGTGAACCCAGGAGGCGGAGCTTGCAGTGAGCCGAGATCGCGCCACTGCACTCCAGCCTGGGTGACAGAGTGAGACTCCATCTCAAAAAAAAAAAAAAAAAAAAAAAAAAAAAAAATGGGTCAAATCATGATTCTTGGCTGCTGTA
Source organism: Homo sapiens (assembly GCF_000001405.40). Classification (NCBI taxonomy): domain Eukaryota; kingdom Metazoa; phylum Chordata; class Mammalia; order Primates; family Hominidae; genus Homo; species Homo sapiens. Next base: position 20,677,599 of record NC_000020.11, on the reverse strand, counting down.
AAGTTTCAAACGGGTTCTCATTCCCTGTTATTACAGTGGTCTCAGGCTCCACCTAATCTGCCTTCTTTTGCCTCACCTACTCTCCAACCTCAGCTTCTCCAACTGTCCCGCTTGTGTGCTCCAGCCTTAAGGGCCTCTGACTGTTTTCTGACTAAGCCAGACATGTTGAGCTACACGGACTTTGCATTGTTCAGTTCCTCTGCCTGGAATACACCTCCCCTAAATTTCCGTATGGCTTGCTTCCAAACCCCCACATTTCCATATGGCTTGCTTCCTAACCTCAAAGGATCTTTTCTCAGATGTTACCTTACCAGAGAGATGTTCTCTGACTTCCCCAGTCAAAATTGCATACCATCTTTTTTGGCTTCTGTGTCTGCATTCCTTCTTGTTTTTCTCACTCATTTATAGAATGCCCCCTCCTGCCAGAATATTAAATTGTTGGGGGCAGGGATTGTTGTCTGTTTTGCTCACTCCTGTATCCTCAGGGCCTAGAATAATCCCTGGCATATAGACATTCTGTAGTATTTATTCAATGAATGAATGAATGAATGATATCTACTTCATTGAGCTGTGGGGATTCAGTTAGATCAGGGGTCCACAGCTTATAGCTGCCTGTTTTATAAATAACGTTTTATTGGACAAGCCATATCCATTATTTATGTATTGTCTGTGGCTGATTTTGTACTGTAACAGCAGATTTGAGTGTTTGTAAGAGAGGCCTGCAAAGCCTAAAATATTTATTGTCTGACCCTTTACAGAAGAGGTTTGTTGATTCCTATATTAAATGATATGCGCCAAGCACTTAGCACGATGCTTGGTACACAGAGAGGACCGAAAATGGTAACCTCAGCTGCAGGTGTTGTAGGTTTTATTACTGTTGTTATTATCAATAGGACAGTGTGCAGTTGCCCCAAAAGATATACTACTTTTATAGTTATCTGCTCTATGACTTTTTATATTACCAACTTAGAAATTTTTCGTTTGTGCTGTGCATTCTGCCACAATTTGAGCCAATAAGTAACTAGTTGAGAAATGAATAAATTACCCATCATAGTTTGGTAACAAGTTGGAAAACATGGAAGCTGTGTTCAAACAGCTAGCAAGGGGCAGCTCTGCTGGATGTGGATCTGAGCAGTCGGGCTCGGTTGTCTGTTTGCAATCCTAATGTGTTCTCCATACTGCCTCTTGCTATTTTTTGAATAAATGAATGTATGTTGAGGCTTACTAGTTTTAAGCTGCCTTTTAGCATAATTTGTAGTGTCCTGAAGTTTAAATGATGTCATGATAACTAATTATTTTTTAATATTCCAGGGAATAATAAGTCACAAAGGGAGGAGCTGGACTCCATCCTCTTCCTTTTTGAAGTAAGTTTTGATGAGTTTATTTAGCTTTTATAATTCTTGTTGGAAATAAAGTATTTTTGATCTTTAATTTTATTTGAAGACAAATAAAAATGGCTGTTGGTGGACATATATTTTTTTCTTTCCTTCCTTCCTCCCACCCTCCCACTTTTACAAACTGTGCTACAAATAATTTTCTCGTGATTTTCTTTTTTTGCAAGCATGTGTGATAGTTTTTCCTGTATGGGTACCTAGATGTGAAATTATTAGATGGAGGAGTACACACATCTTAAATAGTAGCAGATATTGCTGAATTGCTCTCCAAAAGGTCATATATTCACACTGAGAAACTGCCCTGTAAAAAATAAAAAAATTTAAAAACCCAAAAATGTTATATAAACTGATATGTAAGTCTTATGTAAATTTCCTATACTCTAACATTAGAGATGATTCGTCTCATATATATAAATACATATATATATAAATCTGACATGCAAAAACTTTTTTTGATATATATTTTTCTACTAGTGAGGTTATGATCTTTATGCATCTGTATATCTGTGTGCATTGATCATATCTTCAAAGTTGAAACAATGTTTGGGTGTGGTTTTTGACTTATTAAGCTTAAAGTCTTTCTTGTCCAAATGTATTAGATAAGTGGCCAGATTACGGGTACCTGGAGAACACACTCAGAACTGAATTATAGGTTCCGAAAGTTAATTGTTGGTTTTTTAGAAATTATTTGTGGTTTGAGAGGTGTAGGCTTAGGTTAGTGTGAGAAGATAAACTTTTATAGCTGTAAAGGAAAGGCCTAATGTGAGCAGGTGCAGAGCTGGCTGGAGGGCAAAGCACTGTAGGAAAGATCTCCTACAGTAGGAGAGTTCTCCAGGGCCTTATGGTGAGGGGCTTTCTGAGTTTATGGAAAAAAAACAAGATATGGGAAACTTCCTGCCCAGGACTTGGCTTCATGGCTAGTGCTCAATAGCCCTGGTTCCCCTTTCTCTCCTTTGAGAGCTATACTCCTTTCCCAGAGTACAGATGTTGATTCGCTATTGATACACATATGTTGATACACATATTCTGTAGTGGTTATTATGTTTCCTGTGTTTACCGTCCTTTGAATGAAACCTGTGAAATGAGTTGTTTTTAACAGGAGCTTTAATTAAGTGTGTTACTTAAATATGTATCTACTGACCATCATTTGTTTGTACTATTTTATCAACTTAATTATATTATTTATGTAATGGTTAAAGAATCTATAACATATGTAAGTTAGGAAGCATGGTAATAAAGCACATACTCTTGACACCCTCCCCCTTCACCATTTTAGGAACTAAAAGCTACTTAGGTGCTCTTCCACCATCCTTTTTCACCTCTGTGACAGTAACTCCCCTGCATTTTATCATTCTCTTTCTTTTAAAAAATGGCTTTGCCACACATATTTGTACCCTTAAATAATTTCTTGTGTGGTTTTGTTTTGTTTTGAGTGTAATAGAAATGATCTCCTATGGTACATAATCACCTTCGACATGCTTTTTACCCTCAACATTAATTCTAAGATTTATCCATGTTTTTAAATTTAGTTCATGTTTATTCAGTCCCACTGCTGGATTAAGTAAATATATGTGACTTGTTTAATTCCTACATTTTGTCTACAGGTTTTTTGTTTTCTTGGTAGACAGATTGTCTATGAGTAAGGAGTGGACATACTTGCCAGTTGGTCTGCTTTCCGCCCTGAGTCAGCCTTCCAGTACATTGGTAAATGGAAGTGATAAAGGGTCATCTTGTTTTTGATCTAAAGAGAGTTTTGTTAATGTGAAATATTAAGAGTAATATTCTCTGTAACTTTTTGGTAGATTCTCTATCAAATTAAATAACTTTGTTTCTATTCCTAGTTTGAGATTTATTTAAAAAATCATAGATGGGTTTTGAAGTTTTTAAATTTTTTCTTGAAAAAACTTGATTGAGATGATAATGATTCTTCTTGAGTATTAATATGGTGAATTACAGTTCTAGATTTTTGGATGGACTAATTACTATTACTATTATTATTATTATTATTATTATTATTTGAGTCAGGGTATTGCCCAGGCTGGAGTACAGTGGTGTGAACATAGCTCACTGTAGCCTTGACCTCCTGGGCTCAAGTGATCCTCCTGCCTCAGCCTCCTGAGTAGGTGGGACTACACGTGTGCATCACGATGCCCAGCTAATTTTTTTTCTTTTTAATTTGTTGTAGACATAGGGTCTCCCTATGTTGTCTAGGCTGGTCTCAAACTCCAGGGCTCAAGTGATCTTCCTGCCTTGGCCTCCTGAAGTTGTGGGATTATAGGCATGAGGCACTGCACCCAGCCTGGACTAATATTTTGTTTGCATTTTTGGATCTCTGTTCACAGCTGAGGTTGGCCTCAGTTTTTCTTTCTCATACTCATGTTGTTTTTGACTGGTCCTGTGGTAATGGTTATAAAACCTGTTGTCAAGCATTTCTTCTTTCTCTGTTATATAACATAGTTCTATAAGATTGGAATGAGCTGTCATTGAAATGTTTTTTTTACCTTTCCTATAAAACCACCTGCAACTGGGGTGCTTTTTTTACTTATGTGAAGATTTTAACCACTCATTCAATTTCTTTGATAGTTTTAGACTTGTTTTAGTATTATTCATATTTTCTGGTTTTTTTTTCTTGATTCAAGTTTGGTAAGTTATATATTTTTCTAAGAATTTGAAGAATTCTGAGGATTTGTTCTTATCACCAAAGTTTTAAAATGTATTGGCAAAGAAGCATCTCTTTGGAGAGTCATAATCCCTTCAGTTTTATCTCCATTAGCTTGGTCTTTATTGTCTTCAAGCAGTTTTTATATTACACACCCTAGTAGTAGTGGTGGTGGTGTTGGTAATAGTAGTAGTAGTAGTGTTTGTGCCACATTTTTACTATCTTCTAGTTGCCATTGTAGCAGCTTTAAACTCTGTTTTTGGTGTAATTGTTGTTCCTTTAAATGTCTTTTCTTTCTGGCTTCTTTTTTTTCATTTTTTTAAATTTTATTTTTATTTTTATTTTTATTTTTTATTTTTTTAAAGATGGAGTCTTTCTCTGTCGCCCAGGCTGGAGTTCAGTGGTGCGATCTCAGCTCACTGCAAGCTCCGCCTCCCGGGTTCATGCCATTCTCCTGCCTCAGCCTCCCAGGTAACTGGGACTACAGGTGCCCGCCACCACACCCAGCTAATTTTTTTGTATTTTTAGTAGAGACGGGTTTTCACCGTGTTAGCCAGGATGGTCTTGATCTCTTGACCTTGTGATCCGCCCACCTCAGCCTCCCAAAGTATTGGGATTACAAGGCGTGAGCTACTGCACCCAGCTGCTTCTTTTAAGATCTTTTGTGTCTGTTGTTCTACAGTTTAATTACAAAATATCTAGTTGAAGATTTCTTATCTTGCTTGGTATATGTATGTTTCTCAAGTCTCTGGATTCATATGTTTTATAGTTCTCTAACATTCTTAGCTATTGTCTTCTCAAATATTGATAAGTTTCTGTTCATTCTGGCCATACTTTCTAGGATTCTTACTTAAACTTGTTGATCTATCCTCTCTGTTTCTTAAGCTTGCTTTTATTTTCTCCTCCCGCAATCTGTTTGTGTTGCATTCTGGGAAGTCTCTTCAGTTGTTTCTTCCAGTTCACTAACTCCCTTCGTTTGGAACAAATCTGCTACTTTACCAATCTATTGAGCTGTACATTTCAATGATTTTTTTCATGTTTTTAACAGCTTTTTTGGTTTGGCATTCTTATGTGGCTGGTTGCTTTCGATTGTCTCTTGATCCTCGTTCATTTTTAGACATCTTTTATTTTATTAAACATTTACTGTGTAATATTTCATATTTTGTAGATGATAATCCTAGTAGCTTAAGTGTTTGTCTAATTATGCTGGTTATTTCAGCTGCCTCTCATTCACAGTGGCTTCTTTTTTTGCATATTTTGTGATATTTGATTTTGAGAGTGGTACTGAATGACCACAGATTTCACATTTGTTAATCCTGGTTTCTCCCAGAGGATTTGTCTTTGCTTTTGCCGGGAGTCTGGGAATGCTCTTGATTGAGAGCACTTTAGCTCCATTTGAGGGTTCTGGTTTATGAATGGAAATTCAGGTTCAGTTCCCTAAACTTACCATAGCTGGGAACTGGGGGCTGGAGGGGATAGTCACCTGTAAATCCTAGCGCTGGTGTTGGCATCAGCTCCTTGGCATTCTGCAGTTTTTTCTTTTGCATGTTGCTTACAGATCAGGTTTTGGCTTACTTGTCTTCTGCCTCCTTTCTTCTTCCCTCTTTGCTCCTCCTTCTTCCCCCACCATTTTTTAGTCCCTTGTTAGTTTCTCTGTGTTCTTCAAAGCCCAGCAATGTTTTAAGAATTACATTTGTTGTCATGGATCCATTGGCCTGCAGCAGGAAAGCCCTTCAGAGACTCTAGACCTATCCCTCTCACAGAAGTTTTGATACTTTCTCTTCATGTTCTTAAATTCTAGACTAGGGAGGGTGTTAATACTGATACATTACCATTTACAGAGGATTAGTTGCCTGTATAATAGAACAAATATATATTGTTCAAGGCTTCATAAAACTTTCATTTTGCATGGTAAATATGAGTGAATAATAAACTTGCATTACTTTTGTTTATGCTTATGTTCCCTCTGTCTCTGGCTTTAGAAGGTAGGTTGTAATTTGTATGTTTCATTCTGGGTACTAAGTAACTTCGTTGCTGCTTTGTAGGATAGTGCCCTGTAAAGCTTGTAAAGAGATAGTTTATAAGGGTTTGGAAGTGAATACTTACCACTTTGTAAATAATTAGGAAAGGCTCCCTTGAGAAGAGGTGGAATTAATAAGATGTGTTAAATCACAAAAGCGATACCATGTAGAGATATTCTATAAATAAGAAATGGCTTGGAAGAAAGCATAGAGGTAAGAGATAAGAAGGCATGAAAGAGGAGTATGTAAAGAGAGCTGCTGTCTGCCTTGTAAGTCAGGGATGCACTGAAAGGGAACCTTGGAAAAGGAAACAGTAGTTTTTAGATGTAGAGTATTGGAGACATTACAGTATTCTGATAAAGTAAGTGATGTGCAGTGAAGGCCACCAGCCAGTCCAGGTCATGGTCTCAGGCAGTGAGCAGACCTTTTTGCCTGCCTTCCTCTCTAGTGGGAGCACTTGTACCTTTTGGAAGTTGACTCCAGCTGCCTTTGCCTGTAGCTTCAGATATGTACACCACTTAGAGTTTCTGTTGGTTCATGGAGTTGTTTATCATATTTTTTTTTTTTTTTTTTTTTGAGACGGAGTCTTGCTCTGTCGCCCAGGCTGGAGTGCAGTGGCTTGATCTTGGCTTACTGCAACCTCTACCTTCTGGGTTCAAGCAATTCTTCCTGCCTCAGCCTCCTGAGTAGTTGGGACTACAGGTGCCTGCCACCGTGCCCGGCTAATTGTTATATTTTTTAGTAGAGACAGGGTTTCACCATGTTGGCCAGGCTGGTCTTGAACTCCTGACCTCAGGTGATCCATGTGCCTCGGCCTCACAAAGTGCTGGGATTACAGGCATGAGCCACTATGCCTGGCCTATCATACTTTTTTTTTTTTTTTTACTATGGTTATGACTCTTACTGTACTTTAAAAACCATATTTCATCCATCATTGCTTTGTCTTTCAAATGGAGATGTGGGGATGATGATGTGGGACTCCACAACATGAATTTACATTTACCATCTTAACCGGAATCTACATGTTTTACATGGGCTAGTCTGTTTAATCCTTTCCTTCTGAAGTAGGTTTGGTCTTCCCAGTTTTTATGAATGAAATGTTGGAGGCTTTGTAGGGTTAGGTGACTTGCCCAAGGGTGCACACTTAGTAAATGGGAGAGTAGGGATTTAACCTTTAGTCTAACTCTAGAACCTATTATTCTAACTTACTGGCATGCTGCCTACCACTTAGGAGTGTTGGTATTCTTTCTAAGCTGTATTCCATAGGCTGTCTATATCAACATATACTATTCTTTACAATTCATTTATTCATCAGACACATTTATTAGGTATGCACTGTGTCAGACACACGTAGGTGCTGGAGATACAACAATGAGCAAGGTAGCCAGAGCCTCCCGTCCTCATGGAGTATAAATTACCATTTCGTGGTGAGCGGAAGAGTCTACTGGTAAGAATGAATTCATGTCAGAGCTCCAGTAATGACCTTCTGAATCACAGAAAATCCTGAATGGTTCTTTTCAGAAGTGATATTTTGGTGATGGTTCTTGAATTAGTTACCTGCATAAGGGAAAGGAGAGTTGGTGTAGAAACACAAGGTACTTGGTGAATGGGTCTCAAGATCAAATAATTCACATTGAGAACCTTCTGGATTCAAGCTTGACAGGTTATTTTAATGGTACCTGAGATTCGTTTTAATCAGGTGTGGTAAGGCACAGAAACATGAAAATGATTGTTATGAAGGAAGAAGTTTTAATTATGCTCACAGGCCTCTAGAAACAGACATGTCACACAGAGCCAAACAGGGAAGCACCAAGGCAAAATCAGTACGCAAAGAGGAAAGGGAGCGACAGAGACAGAACTGAGGGCAGGAGCTTTTATTGTGTTTTTTTGCAGGAAGGAATGGGCAAGGCCAGGTAAGTAAACTACATAGGCTTAGGACTGGATAGTTTGAATAATTTCAGCTGACAGGGCTGTAGGGGTAGCTCCTGGTTGTCCAGCACCTGGCCCCTGGATGATTGAGGGGAGGGGGATAGAGTCCATAAAAGGATGTGGTTGGGGTTACGGATTTGGGATTGGTTGGTTTGCATATCAGAAACATGCTCTGAGCCACTATCTTTGGGAATTTGCTAACCCTTGGAGGGGCATCCTTCCTATGTCATTGAGGCCCCAGATGTCAGCACATCAAGAATACAGAGAATAAGACAATATAGTTAATTCAGAGATACTGTTTCAAGCTTTCTGCCATGTTGTATGCCATCCCCTTTTACTAGAGAAATAGAATAGTTTGGAGTTATACATGTATGTTTTAGAAAGTTTATAGAATTTGATATTTCCTCACCCTCCCACACTCCAATTAAAATACATCGACACAAGAGGCTTAATTTCAAAACGTAAACATGTTCTGGCATTGGAGTGCCACTCATTTGGATGTTCTTCAAATATCACAGGATTTGAAATCACAGATAAACAGATTCTTTATTCTAAATTTTATTTAAATTACCCCACTATATTAAACCCTGTTTCTATCTTGTCATTAGCCTTCCTAGAGACCTGAATGAGTTCTTTATAGTCTGTAAAGTGTGGCCCAGGCTGGTCTAACACTCACAGTCCTCTCCCTGGCTCTCAGTGTAGCTCTTCTTCATATTTTGTGGTTACTCTGTGGAAGTGCTCTGTCGGGCTAACACTGCCCCTTTATCTCTCTTTGCATAGTTTCACTTCTGCCTCTTAGTTTATTCAGTTCTCTTTTCAGGGACTGCCCTTAGCTCTTCTCCCCATCTGGCCCATTCTCTCAGGACCTGTTTAGACCCACCAATTTCTCCTGGCAACTCCTGCTGGAAGTGCTCATTCTTTCCTTTGGACTCATATAATAGCCCTGCCTTGTGTTATCATTTGACTGTGGCTGGATATCCATAGTTATCCCTTAATGTGGCTATGCCTTAGTTTCCTAATGAGAGTGTAAAAACTCTAACTCCATGTTTTTTATGTGCATTTTTGTACATATTTTTGAGTGGAAGAGGGACAAGGACATATAAAATGAACAAGAAAAGCAAATTCTTCCAAAGCCAACAACCGTGACTTAACAATCCTTTGTTACTTTTTTCTTTTCTTTTCTTTTCTTTTTTTGAGACACAGTCTCGCTCTGTTGCTCAGGCTGGAGTGCAGTGGCACTATCTTGGTTCACTGCAACCTCCGCCTCATGGGTTCAAGCAATTCTCCTGCCTCAGCCTCCCAAGTAGCTGGGACTACAGGCACCTGCCACCATGCCTGGCTAATTTTTGTATTCTTAGTAGAGATGAGATTTTACCATATTGGTCAGGCTGGTCTCAAACTCCTGGCCTCAGGTGATCCATGTGGCTAGTGGCTACTGTATTGGACAGGGAGGCTCTAGAGTCCTCCAGTAGAGCCGTATCTCATCGTTTGAAAGACCACTTTTCATTGTTAAACATGGTTAAATCCTTAGTATCTTGTACATCTGTATCCTTGTAATGCAGGGGACTTTGACTTAAGGTTTAGGATTTTACTGAAATGGTTTCTCTGGGCTTCTTCTTATTACCAGAGTGCCCTTGGCTGAGGGGAATGAGCATTTACCTCCACAGGTTGGAGAAGCATGGCTCCAAAGTGACCCTCTGCAAACAGAATTGAAAAGCCATGCACAATGTCATTCTACTGTTTTCATGCATTTTTTAAAATGAAAATAATGTTAAATAAAGGCTAGCCAAATTCCTTAGGACTTCATCTCCCCACCACACCTTCAACCTTTCTCCATCTGTTTCCCCTTCAAGATAAAGAAAACAGTTTCAGTGCACTCCAGGATGATGCACCATGTCTCTTTCTCACCCGTCCTTTGGTAGGAGATTCTTATTTGAGAAGCATTGGTGGAAGAGGCAAACTGCAGCAGGTGAACCACACAGCAAGTGCAGATGACATGTGGGTTTCTTCTAGGACATACAGAGAAAGAAAAATAATATTGTGGATGCTAGCTTTTGTTTTTCCTTTGGTATTGAAATTTGATTGCTTGCGATTTATTACACGCCTATATGTACTGACTCCCTTCCTTCTCTGCAGTTTGGTGTTATGCTGGATTGGATGGCTGGACTCAGCATGTGCACAGTCTGGGTGTAGTTATGTTTGGGATTCATAATTTGACCAGTGGTGAATCCAGGGATGTAGTGGAATCTATGTCTTACTTTAATGGAATTCAGCACTGGGTCTCTTGTTCTTCATTGCTCCAGGTGAGCTTATATAGATAGTGGATTTAGCCCCTAATTTTTTTCCTTAGAGTAGGGGAAAAGAATTTTTAATGATTTTCCTGATAATAGTAATATAGCTATATCCAGTACAGTGCCAATAAGATGAAACAAATGGCTGATTTTCACTCTCTGTAGCATTGTTTTGTATATGCAATCCAGTAATTTGAATGTTGATTTTATTTCCCATCCAAATGCATTCATTTATAACTTTTCACATTTAGTAGCACCATTTTACTTCAGATACTAATAGTGAATTGCCTAAAGAAAAACTAGAGTTATGAATATAATAGGATTACAAACAATTCTGAGATTTATTTCCTTTCTTCTTCCTTTCCTTCTCCTCCTCCTCTTTTCCTCCCCCCACCCCTGCCTCCTCCTCTTCTTTTGTGAGAATTGCATATCTTTTGTAACTCTTTGAAAATGAAAACAAATTAAAAGCTCCTGTGGAGGTTCAGTGAAAATGCCTGAACTGAATTCTAGGCAAGTCAACAGATTCAGGCTCGGTGTCCTACAGGATTAAGTAACGATTCCTTTTCTTTCTTTATACAATGGCTAATGGCTTTTCTTATAAGCAAATAATACATAGCAAGGTGGCAGAATCATATTTTTACAATTAACTAGTTGCCACAGTTTCTGCGCTTTTCTCTGCTTTGTTATTTCTTATTCCAGGCTGTCCAGTGTGCAGCCATCCTTCCGTGCTGCTCCCTCCTCCCATGCCGAGGTGAAGGACTTCCTCTACAAACCTCTCAGGCTGATACTGCTTTTTATTTTGTTTCCTGTAAGGGCCACTTCACGGTTTTTGAGTGGAAGAGGGACAAGAACAACTAAAATGAACAAGAAAAGCAGATTCTTCTAAAATCCTTGGAATTTAAGTTCTTATTGAGGATTTCAAATATTTAGATGCTTTAGTAGATTTTGTTTTCTTTTAAAAGAATGATTCCAATTTTGAATGCAGCTCTTTGGTCACTGTCATAATTCTAAATGACTGATTGCAATTGAGAAAAAGCCACTATCAATTCAGATTTTCTGGAGAACATTTTTAAAAGAACTGAGCTGACAAAGACACCCATCTCTCATCCCCAAAGTCTCCCTGAGTTCCAGTTGGCAAAGTGAATGTCTCTAGTTAGCATGACTAAGATTTTGGGTCACATTTATGACATGGGGCTATATTTAAATGATAATAGAGGTGTGTAATCATCTGGCTTTCTTTGTAATGCCAGCCATACTTGTGGCTTTTATTGATGTTGAACCCTTGGTTGGGAACAACTCCAAATGATAACATTATTGTTATGGCATAGTGTGATCTTGCCTTGAGACTGCTCTGCAGGGATCACAGTAGAGGGCCAGGTGGCCAAGGTACCCTTTTTCACTGGTCTCATATGTTGCCTGTGGTGGTGAATTAGCTCTGTAGTTGCTCCTCGGTGCTATCGCCTGTACTGGATACTGGGGAAATAATAAAACATAGGACTGAGATCCTTTATCTCTATAGCATGTGGTTATTCTGGTGTCTGATTTTGATTGTGAAATGTCTATGATCTGTACAAACCGGAAGGTGGGAACAAAATATAAACATGTGGTCCATTTTGGAGATTCTTTGCATGCACTTTTCCTGGTTAAAATGTGATTATCCTATTATAGAATGTTAGTAATTTTAATTAGACAAATGTTTGAGTTGAAAGGAGTCAGTTTCAATGGATAGTTTAATATGCAAATTTAGTATTAAAGACTGCAGTCTCCCTTTTGCATCAAGACTTATAGGTGAGAAACTTGGGATTGACCCAACGGGATATACCAAATTACTCAGTTCACCTTGGAGGAAGGGACACTGGAGATAAGATGTTCGTGGAAGTCTGAAATTACATTCTTGTTGTTATCTGTTGCAGTCCAGGTGCCCTGAGCTTCCTGGCATGCTGGCCTCTTTCACATAGTGTGCCACTTGATGTGTTGGTAACTGACACTCTTAAGAGGAGATCCTGTGGAAGGCAATACTAGCAAAAATGCTTCCAAGAATCTTTTAAGGGCAGATGGTAGAAACTGCATTAGGGCTAAAGATATGGGAAATTCACACTGAAACCTGAGCATGTTTATTTATTGTTAGGATAGCAGGAGACATGTAGAGAGCTTTTTTCTCTTTAATTAAAATTAATCTGTTAATGCAGTTTTGGTAAGTTGATTTTTTTTAAATTAATATATACCTTTAGGAGAGAGTTGTACAAAAACTTGCTATTATAAGTCTATTACTTGTTTTCTGTTTGGATATGTAGTGTGGTGGCTGTTACAGAGTGACATCTAGTGTTTGATGTGGTTTGTGACACTGTACAGGTTGGAAGGGTCTGGCTTGAAGCCTTTGTGCACTGGCTTTTCCTGCAGGCCTTGGGCACTTGCTGAATGAATTTGACAGGGTGGCCAGTCCCAAGACAACCTGCAGGTGTACAATGCTTTCTAATTGTGCTGAGGCAGGAGTTTAAATCCTCTGAATTTATGGGGTGGTGGGAACCAAGTAGTGGCATCTCACTGGGGTTTTGTTATTCTCTACTCATCACTCCTATAGAAACTGTCTTGGAGTGATTTTTTCCCCTAAAACATGGCATAAAACGGATGGCCAACTAGTGCTAGTACCAAAACTGAAGAGATCGGAAAAATGCAGTAGTTTTCAGGCAGAAAATAGAAACTTGCATGAAATGAAGAATAGCATGGCAGATTTGGTTGTGACTGAGATCTCCTGTGTAAGATACTTTTGTGAGAAGAAGACTCCTTTTGAATCTGTTTTAGTGAATGCTTTATTCGGGGCAAAACCCACATATTATGGGTAGAATTATATGCTACTAATTTGGGGATTTGTGAAGGTCACTGAATGTTCGTTCCGTCATTAAAAAAATGAGGAGTCCGGTGCAGTGTGATTTTTTTCTTTAAAAAGAGATTAGACCTTTGCATGATCCTAAGCAAAGAGAAAAAATAACCTTGAAATCTATTAAGTGCTGCCTTTCCAGTTTTTGAAGGTTGCATTTTTTGTACCTAATAAAAAACATTTTGAATATCACATTTTACTACTTAATACGGTAGTCCCCCTTATCTGCAGTTTCACCTTCTGAGGTTTTGGTTACTCGTGGTCAACCAGGGTCCAAAAACATTAAATGGAAAATTAAAGAAATAAACCATTCATAAGTTTTAAATTGCATGCCATTCTGAGTAGTGTGGTGAAATCTCTCACCATCCTGCTCCATTCTGCCTGGGATATGAATCATTCTTTTGTCCAGTGGATCCATGCTGTAGATGCTAGCTAACTGTCAGTCACTTAGCAGTGGTCCTGGTTATCAGATAAACTGTTGTGGTATCACATTGCTTGTGTTCAGGTAACTCTTAATTTACTCAATAATGGCTCCAGGCCAGGCGTGGTGGTTCATGCCTGTAATCCCAGCACTTTGGGAGGCTGAGGCAGGTGGATTGCTTGAGGCCAGGAGTTTGAGGCCAGCCTGGCCAACAGGGTGAAACCTCGTCTGTACTAAAAATACAATAATTAGCTAGGTGTTGTGGTGTGCTCCTGTAATCCCAGCTACTCAGGAGGCTGAGGCTTGAGAATCACTTGAACCCAGGAGGCAGAGATTGTAGTGAGCTGAGATCGCGCCACTGTGCTCCAGCCTGGGTGACAGAGTGAGACTCTGTCTCAAAAATAATAGTAATAATAATAATGGCTCCAAAACACAAGAGTAGTGATGCTGGCAATCAGATATGCCAAAGAGAAGCTGTACAGTGCTTCCTTTAAGTGAAAAGGTGAGCGTTCTTGACTTAATAAGAAAGAAAAAAACTATATGCTGAGGTTGCTAAGATCTACAGTAAGAATGAATCTTCTATGAAATTGTGAAGAAGGAAAAAGAAATTTGTGCACAGTGTATATAGGGTTTGGTACTATCTGTGGTTTCAGGCATCCCTTGGGAGTCTTGAAACATATCTCCCTAGCATAAGGGAGGACTACTGTTTATTTTGTTCAGTATTGGTAGTATTTTTCTTCACTCTGTGGCTCTGTATATTTTGTGCTGGTGCTCTTTTATCTCTTTTCTGCCTACTACCTAAGACTTTGTTCAGAGCCTCAGTTTCCCCACCAGTGGAGTATCCTGCTAAGCAGTCTTTTGGTTTGTAATCTTCTACCCCTTCTCTCTCCCTCACTCACCTCAGATGCTGTGTGATGTAATTTCGATTCTCATTGCCTTCAGGACAAAAGTCACACTCCCCAGTATAGCCTTCAGAATGTTCTTCGTCTAGTCTGCCTCCTTCTCTATCACTTATCACCTGTCTTCTGCCCTCACTGGCAGCCTCTTACAGGTCCCCAAATAAGCAGCAAGGCTTTTTATTTTTTGCTGCTGTTTGGTCTGCCTGAAATGCTCTTCCTTGCCTGGCTCACCCCTGTTGTCCTTCAAGATTCAGTTCAAGGGTGTTCTCCCTTTGGAAGTGCACCTTGTCTGTCTTCATTTCCTTGTGCATGTACTGACATCCCTGATTTTCTCACCTTTTCCCTCTTAGGGCTCTAACTTTTAGAGCAGGAATGGTGTCTTTTATGTATCTCTGATCCCTCACATGGTACCTCGCACATAATGGGCACTTAATAAGACTATTTTTTAATGAATTAAATAAATGTTTGATTAAGAGGATATTTAATTACCTGCAGTACTACCAGTTCAACTGTCTGTAGCTTAGTGATTAACAATACTTGGTGATAATTTCATTATGTAAGTCATTTTTGCTTTTATTTTTATTGATTTCTTCCTTAATAAAACTTTTTTATTTCTATTTTTTGAGTTTAAAACTTAGTTCTTGCATTGTAGGAAATTCAAGTCTATGGATTTGTCTCTTATTTCAGCTTTGGCCAGTTTTTGTTATATGCGAATCACAATGTTGATTATTTTTCGTTTATATAATCAGTTTTTTTAACTCGAGTGTTAAAATCCACAAGTAATTGAGAATTACTTTTTTTTTTTAACTTGAGTGTTTAAAATCCACAAATAATTGAGAATTTTTTAGCTTAAACTCTTGATGGTGGACTCCCAGTGTATTGAGTTTGCTTGTGACCTGTGTAACACTTACTTTGAGGGATTTATTTGCATCGCTTAGAATAATAACTTTGTAAATGTTTCATAGATGTTGGATTCTGTGAAGTTTGATATATAGCTGTTAAACCAGTCTTGCTATAACTACATTCAAGTCTTCCGTATTATACTGTATTGCCTATTTTATTTCTCAAAGATAGTGTGTGTTAATATCCCCCATTTAAAAAGTGTTTTTCCCCTTTAGTTTCTGAAAGTTGTTTTAATGGAGTATGCCTCCATTGTTTTATTTTCATGCTATGTTATTTGTTGCATAAAGATTCATAAGTATTATAGGTATATCGTAAATTACATATTTAACCTATTTGAAATAATTCCCTTTGTCCTGTTAATACTTTTTTACTTGATATTAATATTGCTTTGTGTGGGTGTGTGTGCATGTGAGCCTCCTTTTCTGTATTTTATTGTCAGTCTTTCTGTGTTTGAAAGCTGGGTCTGATGGACTTGGTCTTCGGTAGGGGAATTTAACCTGCTTATACTTACTACTTTTTGTGTGTGGTAACCAGTACACATCTGTGTATTCTGATGCCCATTGCACTTGGTTTTAGCTTTTCTTCTAACTTTGTTTTTGGGGGAGAGGTCACTGATTTTGGCTTTATGGAATATGCTTTGTAATTTGGAAGGTGCACTTTCTATTTTCATTCCAATAACTATCTTTCAATTAACAATATCATTTGCATTGTTTTTCTTCTAATATCAAGAACAAAGCAGTATTTCAGCCAGGCACAGTGACTCACACCTATAATCCCAGCACTTTGGGAGGCCGAGGTGGGCAGATTACTTGAGGCCAAGAGTTCAAGACCAGCCTGACCAACATGGAGAAACCCTGTCTCTACTAAAAGATACAAAAATTAGCTGGATGTGGTGGCACACGCCTGTAATCCCAGCTACTCAGGAGGCTGAGGCACAAGAATCACTTGAGCCTGGGTGGTGGAGGTTGCAGTGAGCCAAGATTGCGCCATTGCTCTCCAGCCTGGGAAACAGAGCGAGGCTCTGTCTCAAAAAAAAATAAATAAAGCAAAATTCGATGATAGCCCTATACTTTTACTTTAACTCCATATGTCTTTTGTACTTCTTCTCAACTATTTTAAGCAGTTTATACCCAGATTATTATTAATTTTATATTATTTTTCCCTCTTTAGTAGTTTATTGTAATGTTACCTATTAGAGTATTCTTTTCTTTTTTACACATTTAAACAGGGCTAATACCTCAATAATTTCAAGAAAATGACAGACCCTGCATTTGGTTCTGCCTAAAGATCAACTGTACAGCACACAGGAGGTACATAATAACCTTTGTTCAACAAGACTGGTGTTAGTTGCAGACAGATTCTTGGGGTACCCACAAACCAAGTCACCTGGGAGGGAGGTGAGACATAGTCTAGGCTCTATCTACTGTCAGTACCCACAAAAGCAATTATTAGGGATTTCATTTTCCTTCTGAACACAGGAAAAAAGTATTTTATGCATGATCGTGAACACAGCCAAAACCTTAATGGGAGGTTCTTAAATACAAAACTTTCAAGCTTTACTTTTCACTTTACTGTCAAACTTCATGAGGTTAGATGCCAGGTACTATAAGCTTTTGTATTCTCCATGGCACTTTGAGCTTAATAAGGACTGCATAAATGTCTACTTAAATAAAAAAAAAAAACAGGCCTGTACTTTTGTATTATGCTCTTCCGATCAACTCTGCAATTCTCATATTTGTTGATACCTACATGTTAACTAGGAATGTTTAGGGAGAAACCTAAGAATGAACAAATCTGATCTCTCAGACAGGTCAGTCAGCTAAGGAAACCAGAATTTTAAATAGGTTACCAGGAAGGTAAATAAACATCACGATATAAATACAGGCATGAGTGAACTGTCAGGGCTCCATTAAATCATTGAGAACTCACAGAGGCAAAGGTATCAATATGTTTGATAGTCTTTTTTTTTTTTTTTCCAAGACAGAGTCTTGCTCTGTTGCCCAGGCTGGAGTGCGGTGGTGCAATATCAGCTTACCGCAACCTCCGCCTCCCAGGCTTAAGTGAGAGTAGCTGAAATTACAGGTGTGCGCCATCACGGCCCCCGGCTAATTTTTGTATTTTTAGTAGAGACTGGGTTTCACCACGTTGGCCAGGCTGGTCTCGAACTTCTGGCCTCAAAGTATTCAGCCCACCTCAGCCTCCCAAAGTGCTAGGATTACAGGCATGAGCCACTGCACCCAGCCAATCTGTTTGATATTCTCTTTGTAGCTCTGTAAGCTGGTGAGATGGCTAGGGGTTCTCCTGGAATACCAGAAAGTGTAGTTGTACTGTAGGGGATGCTCTGCTGGTCCAGGGACAATAGCTTTCCTCTTGCTGCTGCTCTGATTCTTGTCTTGTTCTGTTTTTTCCTTCTCTCCATCTTTCTGTGTGCTGTTTTCTTCATTCTGAGCATGGTCCCCAGTGTCATCATCTTTCAAGGTGTATAACTTGTTCATCCTCTCGCTGCTGCTGTTGCCATTCAGATTATTTTATTATAATATTTTTAGGATGTTGTCTTATGTTAGTTGTTTTAGGAATATACTCTTTTTTATAGTCATATTAACTCCAATTATGTAAATATAGCTCACTGTCACAGTGTTTAGAACCCCACACCCTTGTTTTCGGATTATTTTGATTAATCTGTATATTTTCTGGAATATGAATTGTGTAGGATATATTGAAGAAGGGAGGTATGTGGCTGATGGACTTTCAGTTCTAGAATAACTTTCTTTTAACTTTAAACGTATAGCAGGTCCTCAAATAACATTTTGTTATAATGTTAATGAGAAAGTGTTCAAGGCAAATATTCTGTCTTCATGAAAGAGTTGAGTCATTGTAGTAAGAGATGAGTGTCCAGGCCTAAGACAGCAAATGATCAAGTTGCCCTCTCTATGGGTCTCCCTGGAAGCATCTATGCAGCTGGGCTGCTATGCACGTGGGTCCCTCTGAAATCAGACTATACTTGTAGCACAGGCATTCACAGAATGTTTTCTTTAAACCGAACAGTCCAGTTCTCATCATAAGTTTTCTGCATATTTATTATTCAAAAGGTCAAGTAACTAAGACCTCTGTTCTTTTAAACCAAATCTGTTTTCTTCTCGGTCAGCATTTTCTTTACCCAGAGCTCTTCTGTCCTGCAGCTAGTTTGGGGAAGGGTTGCTCCCCACACTCTGCTTTCAGATGTAACATGTTAGTTGGTCATTATTGTAGTTGATTACCTTCCCATGAGTTAGTATGTAGTATTTTCTTCATTCTTCACTGTCCTAGCTTTCTAAGTGGAATTGAAATCAAGTGTGAATCCACTGGGACATGTTGCAGTCATCTGATAATAATTTAAAAATATTTCCCACACAAATCAGAAGACCAGCAGTTATAAAGTAGACTATAGCATCTTGTGTAGACTCCAGCTTACATTTCACATTATTCCTGGTCATGCAGTAGGTTCTGAAGAAAAAAGAACTATGGATAATCAGTTAAAAGAATGACAGATTCCCTGATGTGCTGATCAGTAGTAATACCTAATTTCGATTTCGAGTGTACTATAATGGATTACCATATAGATGCAGCTGAGCACTGAGCATTAAATAGAGCTGTGTGTTTTTCAGAAAAGTAATATTTATTCACACTGTGTGGCTTTCTTGATTTTTTTTTCTTATTTTACTTTCCAGTGAAACTACAAACAAGATGTCAGTAGCTTATGTGGCATTCACAGCAGTATAGCTTAGAATATTGGCTGCAGTAGAAGAAATGCCAGATTGTATTTGTCCCAGTAAAGGTAGCCTTCATCTAGGGCTTTCTGAGGGACAGGCTTAGCATTTGGACATAGATAGTTGTGTTGGGCTTTATTTTTATTGACCTCATAGACTTTAAACAATGGCTCTTGCAATATTTGGGTACAAAAAGCATCAGTGTGGGTAATGTTTCAGCCTTTGACTTGTTGTGTAAGATTTTGTCTATTTGGGAATATTCTTAGTAGCTCAGATACTGGGCATGCATTTCATATCCAAGCCTTTTTGAGTGTTTTTAAAGTCCATCCATTTTGTGAATCTGAAAACTTACCCAGAAGTGGTGATAATGATAGGCTTGACCTCAGAATAAGCTGGAAATTACTTTTGTGGCAGACTGACAGTATCTAAGCATGTAGATACACATCGTCTTGCTGTATTCTGTGTTTTTCTTTGTTGTGTGCTAACAAAAGAAAATGAAATCAAGAAGACCAATATGTATTTTGGAAAACTAAAAAGCATGATTTTCACTGCCAAATTAGTTTCCTGACCAAATTAAAGACCTGAAGAACAGTGGGTATGTCAAGCATTCATCTAATCTAAGATCTATTCTGAATCTTTACTTTTCTCAGCATTTCCTATATGAAATGTTTAAGTGGCAAGATGGGATCAGAATATGATCCTGGGATGTAGCTGGGCTGCCAGGTCCCTTAAAGGAGAATGCGTGAGATAATAGGACACCAAGTTACTGCTGTGCCGTTTGCCCAGGCACTGTGAACTGCATGGAAGGAAGCACAGAAAGCATGGGGAGAACTCACTGGGACCAGGTTTCCATCAACGTGAGGTAGCAGCCAGCTGTTGAGAAACTGCCAGTAGAGAAGCCATGTCTCTCAAGTAGGGGGCCCGTCTCTTAGAACTTCAGCTTTCCAATGTGATGAGAATATTCTAATTAATAATTTGAAGATTATTGTGGCACACATAGAGATGGACTGTACATATTCCCCTTCAAGAAAGAATGTGCTGCCCAGCTACAAAAGTGGCGTTAGCTGATGGTTTCCAGCTCTTCACACCTTCGGCTTTCCATCCTTGGTCATACTCTTTGCATCATGGCCCCAAGCCAGTAACTGCCAGAGGCAGTAGTACAAGGGCCTCGCCATTTCTGGTCACACTGGACTCCTCTCATCTTTGCTCTGGAGCTTCCGCTAGGCTGGCAGAGATTTGTCAGCTCTGCCTCGTGGTCTGAGGCTCCCCTGTCTAATCTTGCTGCCGTCTTTTCCCTTTCACAGGTGTTAGTCCTCAGTAGGCCATTTGTACTCCTATCTCCTCCATTGCAGCATGTTTTCCAGAAAACTCACCTTGCTATTATCATTAATTTTTTATCAAAGATACCAAATTGGGGTCTATAGTAAATTTTTCTGTTAAGAGAAAGTTTGAGTTAAAGAACCAGAGGATCTAACTTAGATGCAGGTGCAGGCTTGTCTTCATCTCTCGCATCTGGTGATCCCCAGGCCATCTCCAGATTGTGTTTGTGGCCCTAGAGTTGCTCATTTGGCCTGGCAGCCTAACTCCTGAGACCCTCATTCTTATTCTCAGTTCCAGAGTCTTTGCATTTCTTGTTCTAATCTCTTTGCTTGTGATTTTTTCCTGTAGGTTGTAAACCAGCTTGGGTTCTTGATCCTATGTGCCCATGGGGATGTTTGAGTTTAGGTTCTGTTGGTAAGACAATGCTCACGTGGGTTCTTATTAAGATATTCTGTAGAGAGCTGTTTTACTTATTCTGATTCCCTTTTAATGTAATGTAACTTGACATAACATAACAACCCAGTTTTTATATTTAGCTCCTTTTTTGTGTTATCCATCTAAAATTAATGTTAGAGCATATTGCAAGGGGAAGACTTATTTTGATTTTTTTTCCCTTGAAACAGCCAGTTTACTTCTGTACAATTTATAGATGGATCTGTCATGCCTGGCATTTGGTGTCTGGCTTACAAAGGTTGTGTGTTCTCAAGGCAAGAGATTAATATTGAGCTCACTTTATTTAATATTGAAGTCATTCTGTTATGTGACATCAATTTCCCCACATTTTCTAATATGTTTAACTTTTTAGAACTAGTTGTGCATATAAATACTCGTAAATGTTTCTAATCTTTATAATAAGTAAGCATACAAATAGCTGGCATATCAAAGATTTCTCCTTGGATTCGAGCACATTAGCCTCTGGCTTTTGCTTTACCTTCATTTTACCTTCTTAGCAGAGCTCCCTCAGCTCACGGATACCTCCAGAGCTTCATCTTGTCGTATTTTAAACTCTCTCAAAAGAGAGCTCTCATGTACACACAGCTTCAGCTGCTGCCCATATCTGTTACCGTCCAAATCCTGCCTCTGTACTCCAGACCCATTTACACATTTGCCTAGAAGAACATTTCCAGTAAGGTCATCCCTTGACACCTCAAATGGCAGGATGTCCAGAATCAAACTTGACAGCTTATTCTCCTCGGGTCTAAGATTGCATCTGGATTTGATCTCTTGGATAAAGGTGTTGCCATCTACAAAGCCACTGGGAGCCATGGAGACCTCCATTTACTACAGCCCCTCTACCCACTTATCCTGACAATTTTATCTCCTGCATATCACTATTATATGTTCTCTTTACCTGGCCGGCCTTGATCCAGGCCTTCTTATTTCTCCTCTGAAATGCTACCATTGCCTCTCTTTAGTGACTGTGTCTACCTCCCCTCTCAGCTGCCTCCAGTTCACCTCCAGCTGGAACCCATTCAGGGACCACACTGCTCCCATGAGGACATTAAGCCCCCAGCCTCGCCTGCCTCTCCAGGCCCATCTCCTCCCCTTCTCACTGCCTACCAGCCAAACTGACCCTCCTGCTGCTGTGGTTCCTGTAAGGCACCAAGCTGTGTTGGCCTTCTAACATTCTCCCATGGCATTCCTTCTGTCCCTATCCACTAGGCGAATTTAATTCATCTTCTAAGTCTCAGCTCAAGTGTCCTCATTTCCAGGAAGCATTCCATGAAGCCCCTGCTGAGGTGAAGCTCTTTCCCCCTTACGTCTGTAATATTTCGTGCAAACGTCTGTCAAGGTTTTTTTTTTTATTTAAAAAATTTTTTTTTGCTAACTGATATTCTTTTCTTTATCATCTCTCTTGCCCACTATTCATGAAATCTTGGAAGGATTACATATTTTATTTATATTTATTTTATTTTTCAAGAGTGAAGTCTGTTGTCTGGTGTGTAGGTATTTTTCACTAAATGGGATTTGGAATGCATGTGGGTGTGTTTGAGTGTTTGTCAGAATTATCGTGTAGTAACATTAGATATGAGATACCTTTGAGAGTTATGGGCTTGAAAGATAAGGTGACTTGAATAGACTTTCTCAAAAGAATACATAGATACATTTGGCCAACAAGTTTATGAAAAAACGTTTGACATCACTAATCATCAGGAAAATGCAAATTAAGATCACAATGAGATGTCATCTCACACCTGTTAGAATTACTATTATCAAAAAGATGACAGGTAACAAGTGTTGGTGAGGATGTAGAGAAAAGGAAATGCTGGTATACTGTTGGTGGGAGTGTAAATTAGTGCAGCCGTTATGGAGAATAATATGGAAGTTCCTCAAAAAAACTAGAAATAAAATTACCATATGCCCCAGCAATCCCACTTCTGGCTTTATGTCCCAAGGAATTAAAATCAGTATGCAGAAGAGATATCTGCACTCCCATGTTTATTGCAGCATTATTCACTGTAGTTGAGATATGGAAACAACCTAAGTGTCCATCAGTGAATGAATGGATATAGAAAATGTGGTATGAATACACAGTGAAATACTATTCAGCCTTATAAAAGGAAATGCTGTGATTTGTGACAACATGGTTGAACCTGGAGGACATTGTTGCCAAGTGAAATAAGCCAGGCACAGAAAGATACTGCATGGGGCTGGACGTGGTGGCCCACGCCTGTAATCCAAGCACTTTGGGAGGCTGAGGTGGGTGAATCACCTGAGGTCAGGAGTTCGAGACCAGCCTGGCCAACATGGTGAAACCCCCATCTCTATTAAAAATACAAATATTAGCCGAGTGTAATGGCAAGCACCTGTAATCCCAGCTACTTGGGAGACTCAGGCAGGAGAATCACTTGAACCGTGGAGGCAGAGGTTGCAGTGAGCTGAAATCACGCCAGTGCACACCAGCCTGGGCGACAGAGTGAGACTTTGTCTCAAAGAAAAAAAAGATACTACATGATCTCATATATATGGAATCTACAAAAGTCAAATTTGTAAAAGTTTGGGGATATTCTTAACTATAATTCTAAAACTTATTAGTTTTTTTGGCCATTAATTTCATGAAATTCTTGCCACCAATTTCATTTTCTTGTCTCACTGAGTTGTTTACAGTCTCATTCTCTTTGTTTTCACTTTTCTTCCCAATCCTGTTCTTTGTCCAGAGACTAATAGTGATTATAATGAAAATGGGAAGGAGATGGTGAAAAAGAAGAAACCTGGGGAATCTGTCATTTGGGAAATTTTTATTTTAATATTTAAGAAATGGCTATTATTTAATTAAGATAAAAATAACATTTTAGGTTTTTTCTTGTTTTCTTTTGGAGGGAATTAAACTTGGGACAGTGATCTCTTTAAAACATTCAGGTAAGAAAGCTTGCCTGGGGCAAGTGAAAGAAACTATCTCATAGGAATACAGCATGAAGTGCAGTATTTATGTTATTGTACATAGTTTCCTTTTCCTCTTCTAGAACTTACCTACAGTGAGTAATATGGGCCTGTCATGAAAATGTGTAATTTCATTTGTTGTTTATTTTCTTTATATCTTTTTTTAATAGAAAATACTGCAGTTTCTACCTGAACGAATTTTCTTTCGATGGCATTACCAGAGTATAGGTAAGAACAATTAAAAATTTTTTAGTAATATGAATTTCTTCCAGTTGAATTTTCAGTAATGTTTTATATAATTGATATCATCAAGATAGCTTATAGAAAGGAATATTAATAAGGGTATGGTATTATGGTAATGAAAACCAAGACAAGTTCAACCCTGACTTTGGAGACAAATATGTCTCTCTCTTCCTCTGTGTGCTCCTTAGAGTATAGTTCATAGGCCAGCAGCATAAGCCTCACCCAGAAGCTTGTTAGAGATGCAGAATCTCAGGTCCCAGCCAGACCTCCTGAATCACAGTAGTGTGTATTTTTTTTTTTTTTTTTTTTTTTTTTTTTTGAGATGGAGTCTTGCTCTGTCGCCTAGGCTGGAGTGCAGTGGTGTGATCTCGGCTCATTGCAACCTCCGCCTCCCGAGTTCAAGTGATTCTCCTGCCTCAGCCTCCAGAGTAGCTGGGATTACAGGCATGCGCCACCATGCCCGGCTAATTTTTTTTTTGTATTTTTAGTAGAGATGGGGTTTCACCATGTTGGCCAGGCTGTCTCGAACTCCTGGCCTCAAGCGATCCACCCGCCTTGGCTTCCCAAAGTGCTGGGATTATAGGTGTAAGCCACCGTGCCCAGCCAAGAGAATTCTTGTTCTTTAAGCCTGTATCATTGACTGAAAATTATTCTCTTTGAATGCTTTAGGATGTGGCATTGAGAGGAAACTTGAAATAAAGCAAATTACCACAGCTGCCTTTTCTGTCCAGCTTTTAACCTCTAACATCTCATCCCACTTGAATATACACAGCACAGCTGGAGTAATTCTGGGAAATCAATCGTGAATTCTGCCTTCCGTTTTAAACAGTGTCTCCTTCAATCCCCTGCCGTACAAGAGTCTAGCATGTCCTACAAGATTTCTTACTTACCAGATGATTGTATTTGTGGAGAGTGTGACCTTATGATGGAATCTAACTCTGTTTGATCATTCATTCATTCAAATATTTGTTGAGGGAGAGACATTTGTGTGCAAAGTTCTGGGACAGAAACTAAGAATATATCACCATTCTTGTATTGTATAGGCCTTTTGCCCAGTCAGGGGATAGATGAGAAAAATAATTACAGCAAAATTGTCTCTATGAAAGAAGTATGATGATAACAAAAAAGAAAAGTTGAATAATTCTGTTCAGAGGAATTGAGGAAGGCTTCAAGAGAGGTAACTTTGATCTGAGCCTTGAAAGATGAACAGGTGCAGTTTGGAAAGGGTTTTCTGGGTGGGAGATCAATATGTACAAAGTTGTGGAACCTGAAAGAATGCAACATGATTAGTGGATATTCCAAAATTCTAAATCCTAAATTTCATTTAGGATTATTCAATTATTAAAATTGAATTGACTGTTATAGAAACTGAATTATTTGAAGTTATATGTTCTTAATTTAAAAAAGTGTATATGTCAATTGAACCAAATGTGTAAATCATTACTTTAAGATAGTGCCTTTATCTTTAAATATTTCAAATACACAAAGAAAGTTTTCCTTTAAATTTTAGAGAGTTCTCCATTGCATTTCTGCTTAATTGAGACTTTCAGCTTGTGTTTTTAAATTAAAGTAAAAATAAAAATTTAAATGTAAGGTATAATCCAAAGAGACATCATGGGGATTTGTGGTGCTCCATGGTACCGTAGGAATGGCTGACAATGAGAAATAACTGCATGCAGTATTTTTTATCTGTGCTACATATAATCCTTCTTCAATTTTGTTTATATCATTTGTATGAAAACTATGCTAATTTTCTTTAGATAGCACTTTAGAATGTCTGAAGATTAGTAGGCTCTTCACAGCATGAATAAACTTATTAGGACTATGTGTGAAAATTAATTTGCATTTGTGTTGTGAAACTATGTGTCTAGTAGGCAGTGTGTAGTATTATTTTAATTCTGCCTAATACCACATAAACTGGTTAAAATTGCTGGTACAAGTAGCTTTTTACCCAGTTTGGCAGCATCTTAGCAAGAACAATGACTGGAGGCCTCAGACTCCTCAATTGAGATTGCCAAATACTGAGTTTCCTGAGCCATCTAATAGCAGTATGTGTTGTTTATCTGGTGTGCAGAACAAGCTGGTGCTGTAAAGTGGTCAGAATGAATAATATTTCAGAATGTTGAAATATGAGCATTTGCATGTAAAATAATCCACATTTATTACTGATGCTTATATACTTAAAGTCAAACAGGCTCTTTTCAGACAAATATATTTTTGCATAATAATCATATTGGGTGGAAATTGGTGTTGACACAGGTCCACATCGCTTCTACAGTGATCTTTACTAGATGTGCTTTGGAATCAGGCATTTTCAGATTTTAGAATGACAATGTGGTGCGTTGATGTACAATGAAGCAAATAAATTAGAACATCAAGACAATCTTAACATAACACTTCCAGTGGCCTGGGCAGCGCCTTCTCCTCCCGGCCCCAACTAAGCAAGTTATTATTTCTATAGCTTAAGATAAGAATATGTACCATTAGTGGAATATCTACACACAAGATAGCCTTATTCGGGTGTTGCAGGCATATGAATTCAGATTAGGTTCTGTCCACTAATGACTTACACAGAAGAACTTCAGTTTTCCTATAATCTTTTGGATTTTGAAATGGTCCATAAGAGATTATGGATTTGTAATTATATACATATATACCTCACTGTACCTATTGAATTATTTCCAGTTTATTTGGATTTTTAAAACTGTTACCATTAGTCAGTCCGGGTCTTGACTGAGTTGTTGTAGAAACTTAGAAACTATAGGGAAATACCAGGTATCAAAGGAAAGGAATATGCTTTAAATATGTCCTCAGCATTGGCATCCTGACTTTTACAAAACTTCTGAGTCTTGGGCAAGGAGGGGCCTTCTCACCAACCAGTGTCTGATATTCTAGGTAGCAAATATTCCTTACCTACTAGGGAGGACACTCCTATACTAATGTCTTACTAATTAAATGTTACTGCAGCTGGTGGGGGACAGGGTATTCTAAAATGTTGGGTTAAAACCTTGAAGTTGTAGTTATACACCACTGATGCGGTATGCTTCTTGTCCCACACTGCAAATGACAGTGTCTCTAAGCAGAGAAACCTAAAATAAGGGCAACTGCTGTATTCTATGAGTCTCGAAAGCCACATTTTATCCTGAGAAGGAAGAAAATAGTTTGAAACATCAACCACCACAGTGCTTGAAGTCTGTTTCTTATCATGTCATCTTATTTTGTCTGTAGAAAACAGAGACATTCTATTTCTCTTAAAACTGCTTTTAAAGGGAAGGGATAATCTGCGGTTTTTGTTTTGGTTTTTAATGGCTGGCTCCTTGCTTTAAATCGTTGAATGAGGAAACATATTTGAACTCGTAAGTTTTGCAATGTGAAATGAACATGGGTTCATTATTCCATCTGGAGGTATTTCTTCAAGTGATGTTTGTACAGCAAGATGACCAGGGGAGTGGTTGGCACAATACTCATGAGCTCTGCATTGTACACTAATATACAACTCAACTATTTGTCAATTTCTATTACTGACTACGAAAGAAAAAATTGTTTATCAAATTTTTTCTGAAGTCATTTTTTAGGCCAGTAAATCATGGTGGATAAAGGTGACTGCTTGACATCTCATTTCTGGGCAATAATTAGAACTGATAGAGAGTGAGGCAATGGCAAAGAATCGCACTGGCAGCAAACCAGGGATATTTGGTATAAGGGCAGGCTGCGCATCGTCAACACAGGACTTAAGTTATATGTGTGTTGACTTTAAGAAGGCTTACTGCTCTGGAGCCTCTAGAAACCAAGTTTCCTGTCTCATTCAGTGTACAGTGCTGTGCCCGAACTCAATAATTATTTGTCAGGTAGGCAGAAGGATATATTTTGTATTAGAGATGTTTTATATAAAAAATGTTAAAAATGAATAATCCCTAGGTTTAAAGGGGTGGGGTTCAGTTATTGGAAAATTCACATATGTGCAATACCTCATATGTTTTTTATGAGTCATTATTAAATCTAGTTTGTTCACCTAGGTTTTTTATATACATAATGTAAAAACCAAAGGCCTAACTAAGCTGAAAATTTGTTTTTTGCTTTTTAAGTGTATTCCAGGCTTTGGGCCTGGGACTAACCAGTGGCCCCACATTGCCTGGGATGTGAACATAGCCTCTGACCAGTCTCATTTCTCAAGGTCCCTACTCCCCACTGGGTCCTAACTTTTCCTTGGGAGCCTGAGTCTGGCAGCTTTCCCTGCTCCCCTCATTCAGACCATACCATACCTCACTCTTCCTGAGAGAGCAGGGTTTCCCTGTGCACTTCACACAGGACTCCCTCAGAAGTGCATCACAGCCAGGCTGGGTGAAATCAGGGACCCCACCTGCCTCCATGTTCAGCAGGAGATGTCTGGAACTAATGCCCCTGGTAGCTTAGGGGCCAACTCACCTGGTGTTTTTCCATGCCCTCTCAGGGTGCTTTTACCGTTACTGCTCTGTGCTTCTTCCCCTCCCAGGCACTTCTTTGTGTTTTGCCCTCTGGGGGGGTCCTCTTCTTGCGTTAAACAATAGCCCTGAAACCTCAGCCTCTTTCTTTCACCTCCCTGACCATCTGAAACCTGACTTTTGTCTGAAGCTCCTCTGTCTCCCTCAGGAGTGGGGGTGAGATCATGGTCTTTCTTTTCTCCCATGCCAATTCTAGACATCAGCCACCATTCCCTCTGTGGAAACCTCTGTCCCTTTTACATGCCATCTTCTACCTCCTGGTTGCTGCCATGTCTTTTGACCTCCTGCTCGCTTGCCTTCCCCCCATCCCCCATGGCTTTGTTCTCTCCTAGCCCTTTTCCTTCATGCCAAGTTACCCATCAACCCCCACCGCAATCCTCTGTGCCTCAATGGCTTCAGACACTGATCTCTGTCTTGACCACATCCTCCATTCTCCTGATCTTTGACCCAATCACTTCCAGGTCGCCTGATCTTTTTTTCTTATATTAAAAAAAAAATATTTATGGGGGGTGGTTAACAATTTATACACAGTAAATTACATATATTTAAAATGCACATTTTGATAAGTTTTGACATAGGTATACATATATGAAATCATTACTACCATCAAGATAATGAACATAGGTACTACCCCCGAAAGTTTCCTCGTCCCCCTTGGTAATCCCGCTCTCCCATCTTTTCTCATCTCATCCCCCAGTCCCTAGGCAACCACTGATCTGCTTTTCTGGCCCTTGTAGACTAGCTTGCGTTTTCTAGAGTCTTACATAAGTAGAATCATGAAGTATGTACTCTTCTTTGTTTGGCTTTTTTCACTTGGCGTAATTATTTTAGGGTTTATTTATATTATTTCATGAATTAATAGTTCATTCCTTCTAATTTCTGAGTAGTACAGTATTCCATTGTGTGGACATGTCATAATTCCATAATTTATTCAGGTATTGATGGTCATTTGGATTGTTTCTAGCATCTGGGGCTATTATAAGTAAAGCTACTATAAACATTTATGCTCGTCTTTGTGTGAACATATGGTTTCCTGTCTCTTGGGAGTGGAATGGCTGAACCATGTAACAGTGTATGTTTAACTACTAGACTGTTTTCCAAAGTGGTTGTACCATTTTATATTCCTACCAGCAACATAAGAGCTCCAGTTACTCCACGTTCTCTTCAACATTTGTTATGATCAGTCTTTTTATTTTAGTGATAGTGGTATCTCATTGACTAATAATAATAATCTTAAGCATCTTTTTATGTGCTTATTTGCCATTACTTTGTCTTCTTTGGTGAAGTTCAAATCTATTGCCCATTAAAAAAAATCTCAGATTGATGCCTTGGAAATATTTTCTCCCCATTTCTGGCTTGTCTTTTCATTCCCTTAATAGTGTCTTTGGAAAAGTTGAAGTTTTTAATTTTTAAGAAATCCAGTTAATCAGTTTTTTCTTTTATGGATTGTGCTTTTGATGTCATGTGTAACACATGTTTGCCTAACCCAAAGTCACAAAGATCTTTTATGTTTTCATATAGCAGTTCTATAGTTTAGGTCTTTGATCCATTTTGAGCTAATTTATGTTAATTTCAAATTTTTTAGTGGAATGCTGGTTCCTCATGCTTAGTGTGGATCTTGTAGTGCCAGGAAGTTCTCTGTTCGTATTCCACTGGCCTCTTCTA
This sequence comes from Homo sapiens, assembly GCF_000001405.40. Lineage (NCBI taxonomy): Eukaryota > Metazoa > Chordata > Mammalia > Primates > Hominidae > Homo > Homo sapiens. The sequence goes on along the minus strand of NC_000020.11, from coordinate 20,647,368 downwards.
GCAGGCTTGGCATACCATTAGCCCAGAGGGAGTTTCTCTCTTTCTTGCTTCTTGTTTGATGCTGATGGTGTACTGCATTGTGTGTAATTTGGTTTGAAGTGTGATATTGAGAAGGAGGTTTTAAAAAATTAAAACTAAATAAGAAAAGATTTTATAATGTTAAAGTTTTAGGTGAGAAATATCTGTATGATCTCCTGGCCTTAAAAATATTATTAAAAGATCTTTAAAAGATTGTTACTTGTTCAAAGAGAAATTGTCAAATGTGACAATTCTTACAATCTAAAATGAGAAGCAAAGAAATAGATTTTGAAAATATTATTGATGAATTTGCTTTCTTCAGAGCCAGGAAAGTAATATTATAATACATTCTTTGTTATAAATAAAATATTTAAACTAATGCTGTGAGTTTTAATACATCCAATTTTACATTTTTAAGCTACTTTAATGTTCTGCACGAGAAAAAAAAATTAAAAGTACATAGAAACACACATACAGAAGTATACCCTTTTTCTTTTCCCTCTGGTTCCTATATGGTTCAGCGGAACATTAGTAATTAAAAATTTAATATTGTTCATTATGGATTCTTTGCATTTTTTAAAATGCAATTTTTAAAAACCATTGCATGAAAATATTTATCTTGATTAATGAGTTTTTTAGTATCCCTTAAATTTTTTTCAGAATCTACACTCTTCTCTCACTAGTTGCAGCCCTGACGTTTTTACTGCCTCTTCAAAAGTAGTAAGACTTACATTCAAAGGATATTTATGGTTAAAATGTAGTAAAAGTTAGCCAATAGAAATTAGAAATTCATAGAATCAGCCCAAGTAATTAGATCTTATTTACTTATTCTTTCAGTTATTCCCATGGTCAAGGCACAGAAGAGGTGGGGTGGGTATAATTATAGTTTGAATAAGAAGTTTAAAAATCCAAACAGGCATGACATATATAGAGGAACTTAAAAATTAAAACAAAATGAGAAATGACTTGATAATGTTAAAGTAGAAATATCTTTGTGAACTTAAGGCCTTAAAAAATACCTACAGAGGGCTGGGCGCATTGGCTCACACCTGTAATCCCAGGACTTTGGGAGGCCAAGGTGGGCGGATCACCATATGGTGAAACCCCATGTCTACTAAAATACAAAAAATTAGCCAGGCATGGTGGCGCATGCCTGTAGTCTTAGCTACTCAGGAGGCTGGGGAACAAGAATCACTTGAGCCCTAGAGGCGGAGGTTGCAGTAAGCTGAGATCGCGCCACTGCACTCCAGTTTAGGCTACAGAGTGAGACCCCATCTCAAAAAGAAAAAAAAAAAGCCCTACAGAGGCCAAGCAAGGTTCTCAGCTACTTATTACCAGTCCTCATGCTATGTGCCTCCACTGCACATGTTTTTCTTGCTAATTTTTTTTTTTTTTATTATTAAAAAAGAGTTCCTTAGAGAATAGCTGATGCCCTGTCCTGTGTGGAAAATGTGCTTACCACATACCCGGCACTGTTCTGTGCATTTATATGTATTAACTCGTTTAAATCTCACTGTCAGTTGTCTGATAAGTACTATTGTCACCTCATTTTACAGATGAGAGAACTCAGGCATAGTGAGATGAAGTTACTAACTTAGGTTACAGTTAATAAATGCAGAACCTAGATTTGAACCCTAGCAGTCTAGCTTCTGAATCTGACTTATAACTGCTAAGCTGTACTGCTTCCCATGTACAAACGAGTTTTTCACTACAACAGAATAGACTAGATCAAATACATATGTATTAGTTTTCTGTTGCTGCTGTAACAAATTGCCAGATAAATTTTAAAAAGTTTGGGACCATTGACCAATATGGGTCATGTGTTCTATATGTCTGCATGTAATGCCCTTTCTATATGTATTTTTCTCCTCTGTGTGTAGAGAACAGTGGTTATAGGCATCTATAGGTAGTCCAAATACTTAAAAAACAACACTAACGGCCGGGCACGGTGGTTCACACCTGTAATCCCAGCACTTTGGGAGGCCGAGGCGGGTGGATTGCCTGAGCTCAGGAGTTTGAGATCAGCCTGGCTAACACGGTGAAACCCCATCTCTACTAAAATACAAAAAATAGCCTGGCGTGGTGGTATGCACCTATAATCCCAGCTACTCAGGAGGCTGAGGCAGGAGAATTGCTAGAACCCAGGAGGTGGAGGTTGCAGTGAGCCGAGATCGTACCACTGCACTCCAGCCTGAGCGACAGAGCAAGACTCTGTCTCAAAAAAAAAAAAAAAAAAAAAAAAAAGCACCACCACCACCAAAAACAAGCCAGACCCATCTTAACAAGGGGAAGGACTAACAAGCACCAATGCTCACACACAATGACCAGGAGAAAGTATTTCCAAGAATATGTTGCAAGATGATGGATTAGCCAGATGGCTGGAAAGAGAACTGTCTGTGCAGACTTTATCATTAGGTCTCCTGGGAGGTCTAGTATCTGTTGGCTCTGCCAGCCACCATAAGGTGTAATGAAGTAGATGTTAAACTGACTTAGAACAAACTCTCCAAGAATGGATGAACATGGGGACAAAGAACAAGGCCCCAGGTTGAGGAAAGGTGTGGGCTAGATGGACACTTGAACCTTAGCTGTGACAGAGAGAGCCAGCCTAGTAAATGTTGGCTCTAGACCAAAAATTACTGGATACAGTTTTGTGAAGGGAGAAGTTGGGGAAGGGGAGACACTTTCGCTTCATTCACTCAAGCACAAACTATTAGTTATTTAAGTGCTAGAACCTAGCCTGAGTCATGATGATGAGTTTCCTCCAAGCCCTAGTGTTAGTTGTTATGAACAGTAGAATCGTTCTAAAAGGTTCCTTCGGATTGCCAGTGATTTTTTTCTGGCTAATGAATTTCTAAAGAGTATGCATTTAGTTATTATATATGTATTTATCAATGTAGCTGTGGCTTGTATCAGTTGCCAAAACACTGGCTCTCTTGTTAGAGGAGCTCTATGAAATTCATTGGTGGAGTAAATATTATTTGATATCCAGTTGTTAAAGAGCTATCACAAACTTTTCATCAGAGGATCTAAGTAATTTTTTTCTTAAAGGATCTGAAATTTGACTGAGAGGAAAGTTCTCTTGCCTCAGATTTTCAGTATATTTCTGTTTTAAAAGATCATCTCCTTTTTTGAGGTTAAGATCCCGTTTTAGAGGCTACATAAGATATTTAGGTGGGGTTGCCATCTCCATACTGAGGTCATGAATACATTTATAGAAGACTTAGTAATAGTGTTCTATCCTCCTAAGAGAAGCTTTTCTCATTCTAGTGGGCTGCAGCACCAGTTTTTGTAGTTGACTGGAGTTCCGAGTCAGCCTTGATTCTGCCTCCTTGACAGTGACCAAAGCGCTCTGCTAGAGGATTTATTGATGGACCAAACCCCATAAATGTGGTTGTCATTGCCAGGAGAGAAACATGCCATTCTAAGTATTTGTAAAATGTTCTTGTAAAAATGTTTTGTGAGCAATTGTTTTACATTATTTTTACCTTTAGAGATTAAAAAAAAAAGCATCCATTTTATGCATGACAAGAGATATATGCGCATAATCCACTGTGGGCATTTGGCTTACCTTAATATCAGTCATTTTGACTGTTTTAAAAGAATTCTGAAGAGATACATACTTAAGGTACTTTTATCTTGAAAACGTCTTTCCCTCTGTGACATTGCTTTGCTTCTGAAGGTCAGCCTTCTTCCTTTTATTTTTAAAAAGTATATTTTTGTCATAAGTACATATTTTCTTAAAATAGATCTTTGATATGCATTTATATACTCTATTTATAATTCATTATTTTAAACTTTCAGGCTCAACTTTAAAGAAGCTTCTACACACTGGAAATTCTATTAAGGTATTTATTTTATTGTGTAATGACATTTTTTATTACTCTTAAATTTGTTAATGCCACAAAGTAACAATGTTAGGGCATTTTGGAAAAAAGATCTTTAGAAACCACTTGACTTAGTTTTAATTTTTAATTGAGAAATTATATTGTTAGGGTTTTGTTCTTACATCATAACTTATTGCGAGAGACATTTTAAATAGTATTAGGAGAAAATGGGTTGGGCTTCAGAGTTTAGAGTTCTGAGTTCTAATTCTGATTCTGCTGGGTATGGGTAGGGACCATGGGCAAGGCACTGACTGCTCCAGTTTTATCATCAGAAAAAGGAAGTGCAGTCGCCCTCTAAGCTTCAGAGCTCACATGCTTGATTCTGTCCATCTTGGTAACCTGGTTGTTAAAATTATAGTTGTCTCTAATTAATTTTACTAATTGTGAGAGCCATTGTGGGAGAAAAGAACAACAGGGTCTCACTCTTGAATATTTATTTGTGGCAGATTTATAGGTTAAAATTGGTTTATTTTGAAATGGATATGTCTTTTATTATAACATATACTTCTTGATGCTGAGATAAGATTACCCTAAAACATAAATGGCAGAAAAAATTCAGCCTGGGATGAATATTTTATGAAAGGTAATTCACTTGGAGTTAATTAAGTTGTGCGAATGCCTTTAATAAGCTAATATATTGGTTGGTTTACATTGGCTTAAACAATCACAGCCTCTGAAAACTTGATATGTTAACTATTTCTTACATGTTGAAAAAAAACGAAGTGAGTTATTCCTAGCGTCACTGTAGATTCTATATTTTGTCCCTCTTATTTTAAGGAAATAGGCTTGTAGTTAAAACCTATCAGGTTGTTAATCTCATGTTTATAACTACCCTTATTTATATTTAGTTCTCTTAAATACAGTTAACATATAACAATTGGAGACTTGTGGTAGAATTTCATAGAAACTTCCCTCTTGTTCAATTAAATATAATTTGATTAGATATACATAGAGCTGGCCAGGCACAGTGGCTCATGCCTGTAACCCCAGCACTTTGGGAGGCCGAGGCAGGCAAATTGCCTGAGGTCAGGAGTTCGAGACCAGCCTGGCCAACATGGTGAAACCCCGTCTCTACTAAAAATACAAAAATTAGCCGGGCATGGTGGCATACGCCTATAGTCTCAGCTACTCGGGAGGCTGAGGCAGGAGAATTGCTTCCACCTGGGAGGCAGAGGTTGCAGTGAGCTGAGATCATGCCACTGCACTCCAGCCTGGGCAACAGAGTGAAACTCCATCCCCCGACCCCTGCCTCAAAAAAAGAAAAAAGATATACATAGAGCCTTCTCTTCCCTCCCCTCCCCTCCCCTCCCCTCCCCTCCCCTTCTCTCCCCTCCCCTCCCCTCCCCTCCCCTCCCCTCCCCTCTCGGTCTGATGGCTGAATAGTAATGTTACCACTCATTTTACCTGCTTGGGAGAGGAGGACAGGTGTGAGTGGGCATGGAGGTTTGTGCAGAACAGTGGTGGAGTCCAGGACTGTGTTTGGAAGTACACTGTGAATTTACCCCGTTAATGGGGCAGTACTGTCACCAGCTGGGGTGTCTGTCCTAGTGTATTTTGGCTTCTATTGGGAGAAAGCAGAATATTTTTATTTATTTATTTAGGCTTTTCTCCACTTTTTGGTTTGGTTTTCTGGCAAAGCTTTGTGTTTGACTTGCAATATTCTTGCTCTGGTGGAGTCAGCACCACCTTGAATTAATTGAAAGGAGATGAGGCAGTCACTCCAGTTGCTGGCATTTGGAGCTCACTACATCTTTCAGCTGCATGTGACATTTTTTCAACCTCTTTTGCTTTTTTTTTTTTATTGACATAATCTTTTCAGTTATTTAGGAATACAGAAATGGAGGGACATGTGCTTTTGAATTCTAGGAATGGGATAAATTTGAAGTGTAAAGAAAGAAAAAGGACACATCTCCCTATGTAGATGTCTCCTACAGCGTGATGCTGGCAATTCAGAGCATGGCAAAGGTGTTGGAGAAATAGAATAGGGACATAAGGTATAAGAAGAGCTGCTCTGTCTCATTGAGGTTATTTAGCTCCATATCTTCTGATTCTCAAGAACATTATCAACATGGCATATTATAGTGATAGCACATGTAAATTTGGAGGGAGATTATCTTTGTCATTGTTTTTATGGATAATTGAGGCCGTGGGTACTGTTGCCTTACAGAATAAGATACTATTAACAGGAAACACTTACATAGTGCTTACTGGGAGTTAGCCATTGTGTTATTTGGTTTACATATGTTAACTCAGTCTTTATCATAGTCTTTTGTGGTAAATGTCTTATCATCCTTATTTTACAGATGGGGAGACTAAGGCATGGAGAAGTTAAGTGGTTCTCCATGGGTCCCAGCTAGAAAGTGGCAGCGCTTACATTTGAACCCAGGCACTTTGGCTCCAGAACCCAGGCTCTTAACTCTTGTGCTGTATTGCAGCATCTTTGCTTATTTGTCACTAAGTGAAGAATTTGGTTTACTACTTAACACACCTTTAACTTGTAGTTTTTCTTTCTCAAGACCGATGCTACATTGTAATGCATTTCTGTAAATACATGTGTTTCATTTTCATTGTTTTTAATTTTGTTTTAGATAAGATGTGAAGGAATCAGGCTGTTTCTTCTGTGGCTTCAAGCACTTCAGACAAACTGTGCAGAAGAGCAGGTTCTGATTTTTGCTTGCCTGGTGCCTGGTTTCCCAGCAGTCATGTCATCCAGGGGCCCTTGCACACTGGAGACACTCATCAATCCCAGCCCTAGTGTAGCTGATGGTAAGTTATGTTAGCAGATCTCCCATGTTGAAATTACTCTTGAACTTACATTGAGGAATTCTTACTTTTTCATTTTCTTGAATAGAAATCCTGATGGAGTCTGAAGAGGAATTATTCCCCTTTCATATTCACTGTAGATTCTTACATACCTTAGAATCAAAAGACTTGGAGCTTATTTTATATGAAATGAAAACAGGAGAAATGTACTGAAGTGATGGAAGCAGGAATAGGAGGGGACAGATGTTGGCAGTAGCACGAAGTAGAGACACATGGGAAGTCTGGACTGGTTTTCTGGCTGTTAATGAGATTAAACTCCACCATCCAAAGCTATTGTTTTTATTGTTCTTATCACTGTTGTTCGTAAGTGGACATTCATCTGCTCACCAGGATCTTATTTTGCCACTGTATTTTCCTGCATCATCTATGGAAGGACAATAGTGGCCTCATGGGACTATTAACGGTGGTCATTTGTGTCCTGTGAGTTTTCAAGGAACTTGCCTGTTAGGACCATTGATTTATTACTGTATATTGCGTTATTGCTTAATGACTGGCATTTGATCTTGGGCTGACCAAAGCAGAATTTGAACGGGAAAGAATGGTGCAGCAGGAGAAGGCGCTTCGTGGGCATCTGGGCTGTGTTTCCAGGCCCTTTATGCACACTGCCTTGGAGTGTGCTCCTCAGTGTGAGCTGCTTCAGTGGATGGAGAGATGTATTTTAATAGAGACCATTTTTAAAACCCTAAATTCTGTTTAAAATTTAACTTTGGTGAATGAGCTGTCATCATTTTCTGTCCTTTCAGTAAAGATATATCCAGAAGAAATCACTCCACTCCTACCAGCCATATCAGGGGAGAAGATTGCTGAGGACCAAACCTGCTTTTTTCTTCAAATACTGTTGAAGTATATGGTTATTCAGGTCAGAGAAAAATTATGACTATTTCAGTGATGGGTTTATTCTCAGCAGGAAGAGGAAATATTGCCTCTTTTCCCTCTGTGTATCTATATTTTTCCTCTTTCTTTTTCTTTGAGGTGATTTTATGTGATATTTCAGCAAATGCAGAGTGTGTACCATTTTTTAGGTCACTTCAGCAAGACCAGCTGTATGTACTATTTTGTGAGTGTGTTTAAACCATTTTTCTCTCTTTACTCCTTTCCTACCCCTAATCTCTATGCTTGCAAGACAGGTTGAAGGAGGAGGCGGGCCCAGAGGCTGAACAGGTGGACAGGAATAGGCAGAGCAGACCAGGGGATCTGAAGGGAAGCACATGGAGCAATCTCCTCATGCCATTGGCACAGGCCTCCTTTATGTCATGTATTATTTTTCTCATATGCACCAATTGCCTACAGAACTGAAGTAACTGGTTTATGATTTTAATAGGAGATTTGTGACTCCTGGTCTAGATTTCTGAATAATAGTTAGAATAAAATGTACTGATTCTTTTTTCTCAGCAAATACTTCTCTTGTCCTTGAGTTCATCCTGGGTATTGTCCAGTATCTGTCTTCCCCTTCACAACCGAGTTGTTGAAGTAATAATCTCTACTGAGTTCACATCCTCATTCATGTTCTTTTGACACCCACTGTTAGCTGCCTTCTGCCCTGTCACTGCTAAAGTGGCAAGCCCCAAACCACAAGGGTTCTAGGGTCAGCCCAGAAGGAGGGCACACTTCAGGTTTTGCTCTCCTCATTCTTCGAGGGGATTTAACTACCCCTCCTTCATGAGATTCTCTCCTCTTCTGATATTTTCTCTGGCAATTCTCCTCCCTTCCTTTCACTCCTTTCTAGTTTTCTTTAGGGAACTGTGCTTTTCTCTGCTGTCTCTCAAGATTCAGTACTTGGCTGCTCTTTCTGAATACTTAGCAATTTTGTCCCCTTTCCTTGCCCCTTTGCCTTTAGCCAGCAACAGAAACACAGGACTTCACAATCCTGAGAACCTGACTGGGGCATGCTTTCATATTCTGGAAACTCCACATTTGAACTCTAATGGCCCATTCTAGATGCATCTCAAATGCCAGCTGTTCAGAAGTGTTTGGACATTCAGTTTATCCTGGAAAATCAACAGAGTATCCAGAACTTGTGTTGGGGGCCTTGGGTTCTCATTCTAGGTGTGTCACTAATGAGTTGTGTGACCTCAGATAAGGCGGATGGAATTGATATAGGATAGAGGTTTGCATGCAGACTGTGAACTTCCTAATTGTGTGCAGAGTTTTAGGTGCATATCTGTGCCTCCCTTCTGCCTTCTCTTCTGTCGATTGAGATGAGTTCTCAGAGCACAGCTTTTGGCAGGTTATGGATGCTGAACCCCGCTGCCCCTGCGGTAGCCAAAGCATCTCATCCCTTTACCTCAGGTGCTGCACAAATTTCATTTTCTAAGTGGGCATGTCAGGAAGGAAGTTGGGAAGCCCTGCTTTAGAGTGCTCTGTGGTCTAACAAGCATTAAGAACCACCAACAGGTCTTATCTAAGGGCTGTGTTTCCCTAAGTCATGTTGGGGGTGACTGCACTTGTGTAACCAGGCTGTCCTCCTGGCTCCTGAGGGGCGGTCCCAGCTATTGAGCAGTTTTGGAGTGCTCCCACTATGCAAACACTGATGGGTTTTTGAGGGGGAGGATATTATCTCAACACAATGAAACATTTAAACTTAATCCATAGTGGACTGGCATGTCTGGTTTATCGTAGCCTTTGAATTTTTTTAATACGGAGAATGCATTTTCCAAGATTCCATGGCTTTTGCCTTTTGATATTGGTTTTACATGTAGGTAACATTGGTTGAAATTCTTGAGAGGGATTGTTTCTTTAATTTCTATTTATTATAAATGGCCTTTTTCTGAGTTTAGAAAAAAACACCTGATTGTTTGTGACTAAATGTTTTAAAGGCACAAGGAATGTTAGATAATTACAAAAAACGTAGAGAAAAAATATGGGCATGATACATTACAGCACGTTATAAAAGATACGATATCATTGAGCAATTTGGTTCTAAGTAAAAATGCTGTTTTTAACATAGTTACTGTTTTGTTTTGAAGTATTCATTCCTGCCATCTTTTGAGCTTTGTTATTATTTCATTACATGATTGTCAATATTATTTGTCATTTTTTACATTTAGGTTAGGAATTTTAGTAACATAACAACACTTCAGTTTAGTATATGTTAATTTGAAATATAAATATACATATGTTCTTTTCCACATATTATCCAAAGGCTGCGAGCTTGGAGTGGAAGAATAAGGAGAATCAAGATACTGGTTTTAAATTTCTTTTTACATTGTTTCGAAAGTATTATCTTCCTCATTTATTTCCATCATTTACTAAGTTAACAAACATCTACAAACCTGTACTTGGTAAGTACTGTTGGAGCCGTGTATAGAGGATATCCAAAGGAAAGCTATGCAGTCTCTTTCAAAGTGACCTTTGATTATTTTAAAGTAAAATAGTCATTTTATTTTTGTATTGAATGGTAACTTTATTATTAAATGTTTAAAGTTTCTTAATAAGTGATTTTAATTATTTGTACCAACTAAGATATACCTCAGCTTACAGCAGTAAAAGGGAACCGTGGCTCCTATACTCAGAAATAATTTGAAATGTATTTATGATATTTTTGGTATAATTACATTGTCATCTTTTAATGTAAAAATCTCTGCATTTCCTGAAGTCTTTCCTTGTGGGTGGTGGGGTATGGCGACCTCAGGCTTTGCTCAGTGACTGGAGGCCAGCCCAAGGCAAACAGCTGCCATTGTATGCCTTTTATTTTATGCTGGGTCCTGCATCCAGCAGCTACTACTGACAGGTGCTTATGGAGAACCAAATTTTAGGTGATTGGACAAGCTATGGACAGTAAGCCCCAGAGGACTAGGAAACAGAAAGGAATTTCCAATTTGGCTCCTAATGTTTTTTTCTTCTGTAAGCAATGAGGACTCACAGGACAGAAGCATCCCTTAGAGTGGTAAAGGTGGGGGTCAAATCTTCCTCTCCCTATTATTTAAAACAGGTAAAACTAGTTCAAATGAATAATTAAAAACAGTTTTGGAGGGGAAGTGGTGACACGAGATGTTACTTTTTTGGGGAACATGGTCACCTGATTCAGTTGTCTGTACTCTGTGTGTTTCTATGTATGCGTACACACACACACACACACACACACATACACACACACACACACACGGGGAGAGAAGCCAAAACTTGGTGAGTTTTGAAAGATGTAGAATTACTGACTTTTAGGTGCACTGGGACATGTATTTCTTTAGCTATATATATGTGAATATTTTTTCAAAATTTGTTTCTGATTTTATATGTAGTCTAAATTCATTTTAAAAACATGGTATATTGTTAATATTCCTAGATTAAAAGTTATTTGTTGATCATTTTTCTGCCTCATACAGGTATTCCAGATATACAAAAATTATTAAGATAGAGAGTTGAACTTATGGCAAGTAGTATCTCAAATCCAATACCATATAATTTTCATATTGATTATGGAATTTAAAGAATGAGAAACTGACTTCTTATTAAGTCTTTGGAAAAGGTAGCATTTGATGCCTCAAAGGTGAAATGTGACTTTCTTAATTCTTTTAAATATAAAGTAGATGATATTGATTCTGTTTCATTGGATTCATCTAAAGGGAAAAGGATATAAACCTCTAAAGTTCAGTGGATTTAATCACTGCAGTGTTAGATGTTAAAATACCTAAAATGATGTTTTAAAAGTTCATATATACTTTTACATTTGTTCCAGCTATAAAATAAAATTAAATTAGGTATAATGTATGTGAAAAGATGTTTACTATTATAGTCTCATGTAATTTATCAAAATTGTTAAAAATAGTTGTTAGCTTAGTTTTTCCATAGCTGTATATCATAGATACATAAACAATCACCATCATCACTCATTCTCAGTCAGATCACAAGGCGGAATCAGAAAGGAGCCTACCAAAAAAATGCCATTTTAAATAATTGCGGTTCTTCATTCTTAGTTGCTATTTAGACAACCAAAAATTGGATTTAATTGGAAACCAAAACATTTGTAGGGATTACTTAATGTTATGATTTATTAACCTAATCAATCATGTGTTCTTTCTTCTACCAGACATCCCCCATTTGAGACCAAAGCCTGTGTACATTACTACCACTCGAGACAATGAGAACATTTACAGTACAAAGATTCCATATATGGCAGCTCGTGTTGTTTTTATTAAGTGGATTGTAACCTTCTTTTTGGAAAAAAAGTATCTAACTGCAACACAAAACACTAAAAATGGAGTTGATGTATTGCCTAAAATCATCCAGGTATGCCATCCATCATCTTTTTATCTGTTAATGCTTGTGTAATAAAATACACTGGAACATAGCCAAAGTTATTGATTGTTAGAGTTATTGGTTCTTACAAGTTGTTGGTTATAGGTAAGTGATTTTATTGGCCTACCCTGTCTGTAATGCCAAGGTTTCAGAGGGAGTTGTGAGTTTGAATCACTTGCTGTGCATTGTTGGGACTGCCATGATGATGCAATCTCGGGAGCCATTTTGAGAAGATAGCTGTTGTGTGCACACTCCTGGCTCCTCCTCATTCTCCTCACTTGAGTACCAGTGGCCTCTGAGCATGAGAACAGAGGCCTGTCTTGCTTTCACCAAGCCCCAGTAGCTGGAAGGCACTTAGGAAACTGTAAGTGGCCCCTGGAAAGGACCTGTGAAGCTGCCGAGCACCCTCTGGCATCTCAGGAGAGGGAAGTAGATCAGCAGCTCAGGATTTGGGGCTGGCTGTTGAGCAATGGTGGGGCCCCTAGAAGAGAAGCCCACCTCTTCCCAGAGGCCTTCAGAAGAGACCTCTCCTTGTGTGGGGCCTGTTGTGCTTTTTCTCTCTTGGCCTTGGTCAGCCATACACAATTGGGGTCTTTCCCAACAGGCTGAGTTACTTAGGGACTTGGTGGAGCACTACCATTTGTGGAGGTCAGAGAGCAGCCACTTCGCTAAGGGATCATGGTGTTGTGTGCTCTTTTGTTTATTGTCCCCAAGAACAGGGATAGGAAGTCTGGTCCACTGACTGCAGATTTGCCGATGCCCTAGAAGTCTCAGAACTCCGACCTAGGCCTGAGCTGAAAGAATGCACAGACCTGAGGAGGCAGATAAGTGGCTCTTGTGCTTCAAGGTTATTAGGAACCTTGATGGAGGAACACCAAACAGTCTAGAGCATGCGGCTCCACTGGGGAGAAGTCACTGAAGAGTTAGAGGAGAACTTATTTTTAAGATCTGAGGGAGGTGCAGTTACAGTAAGAACAATGAAAGACTTGCTGAAAGAAAGTTTTAAGAAACCTTTAAATGTCTTAGTTTAAAAAATTAGCAAATAAAATGAAAATGATAATGATTATTGCTGGGAAAAAAATTAGTTTTCTGAAAAAAGATCCCATGACAGTGACTAAAAACTTAGAGTTCGAAATCAGAAATTAGTAGACAAGATCTAAGTACAGGTCCCTACCTTACAAATATTAGGTGGGTGGAAGAAGAAGAGAATGAGAATAATTGAACAAATAATAAGAGTTTATCTGAACTGAAAAAAAAAAATAAAAAGGTGTGCCTCAAACTTAAAGGGTCTTTGAGTCCCAGGAAAAAGTATCAAGATACAAACCTAAACAGACATTTGATTTTCAGGAATTAAGAGACAGTAGTATAGGTTTCCAGACAGGTTGCTTCAAAGGAATGAGACTGAGATTAGTATTGAACATCTAATCAAATCTGCAATCCTGCAATCTCTTTCTCTCTCTCCTTCATACACATACACATCCCCCCACAGGATGTCAGTCAAGATTAAAAGAAAGAATCATTAATTAATGGTATTGGAATAGTTGGCTAGAACCTTGCCTCTTACAACATACTGAAGCAAATGTCAGATTTATTTAAGGTCTACAATAAAAACAAAATAATGAAGAAATGTAGGCTGGGCACGGTGGCTCACACCTGTATTCCCAGCACTTTGGGAAGCTGAGGCAGGCAGATCATGAGGTCAGGAGATCGAGACCATCCTTGCTAACATGGTGAAACCCCATCTCTAGTAAAAATTAGCCGGGCGTGGTGGCGGGTACCTGTAGTCCCAGCTATTCAGGAAACTGAGGAAGGAGAATGGCATGAACCCAGGAGGCGGAGCTTGCACTGAGCGGAGATCGCGCCACTGCACTCCAGCCTGGGCGACAGAGCGAGACTGTAAGAGAAGGGAAAATCCAGGAGAGTGTCTAAATTTGGGAAGTGGTAGACTACCTTAGGTAGAAATAAGACCCAGTAGGCTGGGCGCAGTGGCTCTCGCCTGTAATCCCAGCACTTTGGGAGGCCAAGACAGGCAGATCACTTGAAGTCAGGAGTTCGAGACCAGCCTGGCCAACATGGTGAAATGCCGTCTCTACAAAAAATACAAAAATTAGCTGGGCGTGGTGGTAGGCGTCTGTAATCCCAGCTACTCGGGAAGCTGAGGCAGGAGAATCGCTTGAACCTGGGAGGTGGAGGTTGGAGTGAGCAGAGATTGTGCCACTGCATTCCAGTCTGGGCAACAGAGTGAGACTCCCATTTCAAAAAAGAAGAAAGAAAGAAAGAAAAGAAAGAGAGAGAAAGAAAGAGAAGGGAGGGAGGAAGGAAAGGAGGAAAGAAAGAGAAAGAGAAAAGAAAGAAAGGAAGGAAAGAAAAAGAAAGAAAGAAAGAGAGAGAGAGAGAGAAAGACCCAGTAGCCGTGGAAGAAATGAGGTTTGACTTTATTTAAAAAAAAAAAAGTGAAAGATTTTTATGTCTAAAGACTACAGAAGGCCAAATCCAATCAATAGACTATGAAGTAACATTGTGACTGTTAAAAGAGTTAATATCTCTGCTATGTAAAGAGTACCCATGGACTGGTAAGAAGACAAACAACCCCACTGAAAAATAGACTAAGGAGATGAAAGGGCAGCTCATAGAAGGCAGACTACAGGGACCCCTGATTTCACCGGCAGTCAGAGAAATGCAGTTAGTTCTGAACCATGATGAGATACCTTTATTCACTTATCAGGCAGACAAAAATCTGTATGAAATTATGTGTAGGAAACTCAGTCATGCTCTTTGGCAAATTTACATCACATCTTAAGTGATTGTCACTCAGTTCAAAAAAGTCTTAATTAATGGGTGTAACCTTTCCTCTCTGGTTTAAAAAGGTCAGAAAACCATCACCTGTATTTATTGAAAATAAGTAGCTCATTCTTGAAAAGTACATCTGGATGATGAGAAGTAGAAAGAACAGCAAATTAACCACTGCTTCCAGCTTCTGATTTTTTCTTTTACTTGACTCTTCACAGTTGTGAGTCATCTACTTTTACTATCTAGCTTTTTTAACATCTTAAAGGTTGGAACTTTGGAATCAATTAGGGGCCGGGCACGGTGGCTCACACATGTAATCCCAGCACTTTGGGAGGCCGAGGCGGGCGGATCACGAGGTCAGGAGATCGAGACCATCCTGGCTAACACGGTGAAACCCCGTCTGTACTGAAAAAAAAATACAAAAAAATTAGCTGGGCATGGTGGCGGGCGCCTGTAGTCCCAGCTACTCAGGAGGCTGAGGCAGGAGAAAGGCATGGACCCAGGAGGCGGAGCTTGCAGTGAGCGGAGATCGAGCCACTGCACTCCAGCCTGGGCAACTGAGCGAGACTCTGTCTCAAAAAAAAAAAAAAAGCTGGGTGTGTGAATGGGCCAGGAG
Source organism: Homo sapiens (assembly GCF_000001405.40). Taxonomy (NCBI): domain Eukaryota; kingdom Metazoa; phylum Chordata; class Mammalia; order Primates; family Hominidae; genus Homo; species Homo sapiens. The sequence continues at coordinate 20,632,002 of NC_000020.11, read as the reverse complement.
ATGTCATGATTGTCCTCCACAAAACAGATTGGTCCCTAGTACTGTGGATGGGGTCAGCTTCCTGCAAGTCAGTTGAGGTGCATGGGAGGAGGCACACAGAGGACTGAGGTTCTGGTAGGGAGGGAGAAAGAGTGCTGGGCTGACAGCCATTTGTACCTTCTGTGCCATCATACCCTGCAGTTGACTGTCCCTAGAAATGGCCACTACCATTCTAGAGACTGCCACTATACCTCACAGTAAGTTGTTGTGTTAGTTTCTTACTGCCACTATTGCAGATTCTCACAAACTTAATGTCTTGAAACAGTACAAATTTATTATCTTACAGTTCTGAAAGTCAGAAATCCAAAATCAAGTTATTGGCAGATCTGTGTTCCTTCTCAAGGTTCTAGGGGAGAATCCTGTGTTCTTGCCATGTCCAGCTTCTAGAAGCCACCTGTATTCCTTGGCTGTGGCCCTGCATCACACCACCTTTTCTCCCAGTTTCCATCATCACTTAGCCTTCTTTGTCTCTTATCCTCCTGCCACCCTCTTATAAGGACCCTTGGATTATATTGGGACCATTTGGATAATCCAAAATAATTTTTCTATCCCAACATCCTTAACTTAATCACATCTGTTATGTCTCTTTTGCCCTGGAAGGTAACACATTCGCAGATTCTGGGGATTAGGACATCCTTGGGGAAGTCATTATTCAGCCCACCAGCACTGGTTGGTCTGCAAGGTCCAAGATGACTTCGTTCAGATGCCTGCTACTTGATGAGGGCAGTTGGAAAGGAAAGCTGGGCTCATATGGGACTTCTTGTTCTGTTTTCTGGTTAATAAGGTAGTTGAACTTCTCATATGCCTACTCAGGGCTCCAAGAGTGAAATGTTTCAAGAGATGGGAATTGTTAACTGTCAGCCTCTTGGGCCCGGGTCTGATAGTGGCTAGGTCTCTTCCACTCTATTCTACTGGCTAAAGCAGTCATACAGTCCATGTAGATGAAAGGGAGGGGACATGGGCCTCACGTCTCTGTGGAAGGAGTGTTAAAGAATTTGTGGTCATCTTTAATTTGCTATCTATGTGCATATTTTTTTTTTCTTTTTTAGTTTGTGGGGAAAATGGGAGTTATAGGTCAAAAAGTCACAGGTTATTGAGCCATAAGAGACTTTAGACCTAATCTAGCCTCTGTGTCCTACAGATTAACATATATGCGTGTGTATATGTGAAATCCAAGTGCGTTGCGTGGGTTGCCTTACAGTTAGGAATGTGGAGAAGCAAGTTTTTGAGACTTAGTTTGGGCCTCTTCTTTCTGTACCATACTCATCCTTGAGTCATTCCTGCTGAAGCTTCAGATAGAAAAAGAATAAAATGAATAAAGTTTTATTTTCCTGTGGAAGATAGTGGATCTGTAAAAAAGATAAAATAATTTCCATAGGTGAGCACATCTTACAGTGCGACAGTGCCTTTCATAAGCCACACAGGCTTAGTAACTAAGGCATGAAGAGAAAAATTATTACAAGTATAATCCATTAATTTTCTCTAGAGATTACTATTGGATATCTGTTTTGTTTTCAAACTGTCCTTGGTAGTTACTGAAATTACTGTTTTGTACTATTCATATCTTGTCTCTTCTTGTAAAAAATACTCACAGTGGGTAAATTTTAGTTGTATTTGGGCTATATATTTTTGACACTTAAAAGTAATAATGGAGTTTGCAAAGGTGAAGCAAAATTATATGTATATTTTGTTTGGAGTAAACCTTTAATTCTATGTGGATACGAGAGCAGAAATCAGTGTTAAGCTTTGTGAGTGATTGCATGAATTACTTCATTTCTTTGGATGCCTAAAGTCTTTTAAATGTTTAAAATTTTGTGAATATTTATTTATGTTTGACCTAAGATTCTGAGGATAAAGCTCAGATCAGCATTCTTCTGATAAAATACACTTTAAAGATCTTCACACTCCACTGTCAAGCTGCCGCTTAGTCATATGAATCAAATGATGCCTCCTAGCATTGTTGCTGCAAGAAGTCCCCTGAATATTCCAATCTCTGTGACCATAGGAGCAAATGCTAAAGTGTAGAGACCTGATGTGATGATAATACAAATGTTTTTACACATTAATTTATTCTGTGGTTTTACAATGCAAATTAAACCTTTTAGATTGGGAAAATTTCACAGCCCTCCTTTCTGAAATAGCTTAGTAGTTTTCCTCTTAAAATAGCTGAGTTGGGAGGGATTTGTTGGTTAGTTAGAAAATTGGTAAGTACAGGCTCTGGAGCCTATCGTGCTTCAAGCTGGTTTTGGTTTGCTGTACCCTGTGCACATTGATGGTAACCAGAGTTACTTAAAACAAGGCAAGACTGAAGTTTTGCCAGGTGTTCTTGAGTGGGGGTGAGCATCATTGAGAAGTGTGCTGACTTTCTTCCAGACTGTTGGTGGTGGTGCTGTGCAGGAGAGAGCGCCTGAGCTGGATGGTGGTGGGCCCACGGAGCAGGACAAAAGCCATTCTAACAGCAGCACCTTGTCGGACCGAAGACTCAGCAACTCCAGCCTCTGTAGCATTGAAGAAGAGCACCGAATGGTGTATGAAATGGTACAGCGGATTCTCTTGTCAACACGAGGTTATGTCAACTTCGTGAATGAAGTATTTCACCAGGTTAGTGTGTGTGTGTGTGTGTGTGTGTGTGTGTGTGTGTGTTACAAGTTCTTGAAATGGAAATGATTTTGTTTCATGTTCTTTTACTTGTAACACGCCAACAAATAGAATTGGTGAGTTGGGTTATGTTACAGAACTGAATAATAAAGAACGATCCCTCTAATCTTTTAATTTGTGAGGATTGTTGTGATTTTTAAATTTTGTTGTTGCAAAATATTTACACAAGGAGGGAAAATTCTATATTTGAGCAAAATCATGAGACAAATACTTTCATGTTTTTATAACAAAGTAAACCCAGAGTTAGGTGGGAAGAAAGCCGTTCCTGAATACCCAGCAACAAATGAACATAGCAAAGAAGAGTCCAGTCTTCTTCCCAGAGCCTCACGGAGCTCTCTGAGGAGCTGGAGGTTTCTGCAAAAACTCTGCAGAGGCGTGTGGCACTCACAATATGATAGAATTATTTATGGCACAAGAGAAAAAGGTAGGTGGCAAGGGGAATAAAAGGAAAGAAAGGAGCAGAGGCCAAGACACGAAAAGAGGTGTGAGCAAAGGAAGGAGACAGAAGAGGTCAGAAGCCCAGGCTACGGTTAGTGGCCGTGAGTGACATCAGAGGTTTGCAACTGGGTTTGATGCTACTCCCTAGGGGACATTAGCAATGTCTGGAAACAGTTTTGGTCATCACAACTGGGGAGGGGGTGCTACTGGCATCTTAGTGGGTCGCAGCCAGGGATGTTGTTAAATATCCTGCAATGCCCAGAATGGCCCCCACCCCCACCATGACAAAGAACTATCTGGCTCAATGTGTCAGTAGTGCTGCTGTGGAGAAACTCAGTACTAGCCTTCAACACAGCAAACAGAGCTCCCACAGGTCTGGAGTGTGGCGTGTGGCCAGTGCCACTTGACTCTAGGTACTGGTGCTCTTGAAAACAGGGAATGTGGCCTATTGGTGGGTATGTGTATATGAGGTGGAATAGTTGTTTTGTCCATAGACCTGAAAAGTAGGTTAAGCCCTTGAATGGCAGAGTCCAGTTGTAGGTGAGGAGGAGAAGAAGAGTCTTAGACATATGAATGACGGGAATGCACCACAGAGAACTTCTTATGGTGAGGCAAGTTTTTGAGATAGTGAATGTTTGGCCCTCTCACTTCTGGGACTTTCATTACAAAAAATCAACCAAAAACAAAGTCACAACCTAATCTATAGCAGTGTAGAGATTTTACCATATTTTCATTTTAATGAAGAAAAAATTTTACTTAAGAAAATGTTTGTTTAGTCTGCAATTAACATTCCACTTATAAAATATTTTTTTCTGGTTCTGTGGCCCGGCACTGCCTTGGTTCTTCTCACTCTCTGTGTCTTCTCTGTTTCATGTCTTGGCCCCTCTTTTTGTTTCACCCCAAATTACAGGTGTTAACCAAGATTCAGGGCTCAAGTCTCTGCTGTAATTCTACACTTGCCTCCTTGGGGCCTTTACTGCCTGTCCAGTGCCAGCAACCACTGTGGCATATGACTCCCAGTCAAGCCTTTTGTCTGGACCTCACTTGTAAATAAAAACATTAATTTCATTAAACAAATTTTTTATACTCATGAAAGATTTGTTACTGGCAGCGGATATACCACACCAGGAGCCGGAAAGCATAATGCAATGCTACAGAGGCCGGTTACACCTGAGCACAGCTTCAAGGGCCCTCCCTCTGCTGCACAGAAAGTGTGCCCTCTCGGGATCATGATTCACCAACATGAGAGTGAGATGTCTGTCTCAGGGAAGACAGGGCACAAGTTTACTGAGAGGGCTTTTAGACCTAACTAATCACATGGCCAAAATCAGGCAGAATGACTGGGTAAACCAGGTGTAGACTCTCAGTGTCTACATTGTCACTGAACAATGTAGACAAGGTGGCACTGGGTGCCTCCTACACTTGCCTTTTAAAATGCCCACGTGCCATCCAATCTGATGTTCCTGTAGTATCTTAATGATAACAAGACCAAAGCCGGGCTGATTTTTTCCCCTAATATCAACTTCTTCTCCTGACTTGACTGCTTCTTCAAAGGGACCTGTATTCATGTTTGCATCTTAATTTTAATGATCCTAGGTTCCCCATCTCCCTCTCCTCCTATGACAGTCACTGGACAAGTCACACAGGAGTTTTGCTCACTCCTTTCCTCTCCATTTTCTTTGACTGTGGTTAGCAGCCCTCTCCTTGGAGCTCCCATCCTTCTGTGTCATCCCTTTCTAGGTAGTACTGCACACATCATACTGCCACAACTTTTCTTTTTATCGTAATAGTCCACGATTTTAAAATCTACCCCATTCCCTACATTAATGTTGTCATATTCATGCTCCTGTTGTACATGTGAAAGGTCCATAGCAACTATTGATTTGAAATAGTCAAGGTCCTGGAGTGTATCATCTATAGCAGGGGTCAGCACACTTTTTAAAGCAAAAGGCCAACTAGTAAATATTTTAGGCCTCGTGGATCGTACGTCTCTGTCACAGGGGCTAAACTCTGCTATGGTAGCAAGAAAGCAGCCAGAGATACATGTAACAAGTGAGGATGGCTGCGTTCTAGAAAAATTTTATTTACAAAAATAGGCAGCAGGCTGGATGGTTTGCTGACTCTGATCTATAGTAACATTTTTAAATGCTTGAATGAAAATACTTCATATCAGATAAGATGACATTAGCAAGGCTTTTAGATCTTAGACAACAGATAAATGCTATATTGTTGTGGTTTTACCTTTATTGTGTAATTGTTAATTTATCATACAAATAATTCTGACTGTATCTGTTATTGGCATCCTACCCCTGGCAATAGTGTGCTCTAAATTCTAAATTCAGTCTAAATATTAAACCCAATCTAAATTCAATTTTGAAGTAGTTTTGATCATTGAGGTGACTATAGACTACATATGACTGAAGTTATGAGACATCTTAGTGTCATGAAGCTTAAAAACATTTACATTTTATAATTTTTCTTAACCAGATCTAATTTGAAAGAGTAACTGTGTATGTGAAGTTTAAAATCTAAGTATTATGTGTTGTTAAAATACTGAAATAGAAACATTTGGGAAAAGAGGAATGGGTTTTACAATTGCATTTTATTGCTCTGTTGGTCAATGATGAATTTCTCTTTTATGGAAAACAAAATGTGACTTCTTTCAAAATAACTATGTTTTTTCAACTTTAAATTAAGATTCACAGATGTTTAAGCCTAACGGTTATTATAGTTTAAAATGGATGTTCAAGAAGTGCACATTCTCAGTGGAGAGATAAGGTGTGTGTGTATGCTGCAGAGAACAGTGTGAGATGGTAGATCAGATGTCCATGAGTGACTTGGGAATAAATGCTGGTGAGCTATTGGGGCAGAGAGGCTCATGACAGAGGCTAAAGAACCACCTGGTGTGGGTCACCTTGGACTGGGTAGTTCAGTGAGTTGAATGTGGGTGGTGGAAATAGACAGTAACTGAAGTAGGACAAGGCTCAGGGTATCCCTCATCTGCTGCCATCCCCAGCAGGAAGGCCAGGCAGTGGTAGAATGCTTCGTGTAGGCAGTCCTGGTCACTGGGTCACTTCACTGTAAACTCGTCTTCTCATTGGCGTTTTTCAGACTACCTGTTGTGACCTATTCGTAGGTCATGAAACCAACTTAGTGAGTCAAAACTAGTATTTTTTTTAAACAATGAAACAGAATAAAATAGAATAGAACAAATATTTCACAGTGTAGTTCAAGTTGTAAGGATTACTATTTCTTTGTGAAACTTCTAATTTATTTATGTGTGTACAATACTATATATACAAATGCATATATCCTTTGGTAAAGTGTCTTACTTAGGCTATGATCTGAAAAGTTTGAAGCACTGCTCTAAAGGATGTTTGTTCATTAGGTTGTTTTATTGGTTGATTTTATTTTAAACAGCTTTATTTTTATTAAAAAATCTATGTTCATTAGATAAACAAAGTCTCTCTGTATATGTAATTATAGAGGAGAAAGCAAAAGCAAATCCCTCGAAACACCACCATTAATGTTAGAAGAAAGTCTGGTCTTTCTATATGTGTATATATGGCTGGGGCCTGGCTAGCTACATAGATGAGACACCAGCAGAGAGGAGATGGGTAAGAAAGGATTATAAACAGACAGAAAGCAGGCTGGTAGAGAGACAGGGGGGTGTACAGGTGAACTGATAGACATCAGCAAACTGGCAGGCAGGTGTAGAAGAACAAACAGGTGGGTGCAGATAGGCCAGCTGGCAGAGATGGAAATAAGCAAGCAGGTATAGACCAATAGGCAGACAGAAATAGGCAGGCAGGCAGAAAAGCAAGAGGGAGGGAGGCATGGGTAGAGACAGGTGAAGGTGGAACCAGACAGACGTCAGTTGAGATTAAGGCAGGCACAAGGGGAGGTATGGAAAAGTGCCTGGGGTGGGGATGGGGACTGACGGAGTAACTATGACAATGGAATCCTTAATTCTTCATTCATTCATTCTTAATTAATGAAAATTCTGAATTTTACTTGAATTTAACAGAAGAAAAGACAGTAAAGGAAAAGTGAAGGAATTGTTTAAAATCCAATGAATATTTCTTTACCATAAGAAGTATTAATTGCTGAAAGATTTGTCTAAACTAAAAAAAAATTATAATAACGTTGAGGTGTTAGAATCACTTTTGAACTACACATGGTAATTTTAGATAGCACTATGGGTTTCCTGCTATGAAATATGAATAAATTAGCAGCCATGTATTTTCTTTAGCCCCCTCTAGTTACTAATTTCATCTTATTATACATTTATATTATAAATATAGCATCATTGGCAGTTGATTTCAGAATCCTAATGTACAGAGTTGTTTAGTCTTGATTCTGTATTTACACAGATTAATTCATCCTGTTCCATAGTTCTAAAATACTTAATTTTTCTTGCTTGGCCTTGTTTTGTCATTGAGTGTTTTCAGGAAGATGTCCTGGAACGCTTATGCCTTAAGTCCTTTTATGATGGGGAAGGTTTTTCTTTTGCCTTTCTTTTTTTTTTTTTTTTTTTTTGGAGATGGAGTCTCGCTCCCATCACACAGGCTGGAGTGCAGTGGTGCGATCTTGGCTCATTGCAACCTCCACCTCCCGGGTTCAAGTGATTCTTCTTCCTCAGCCTCCCAAATAGCTGGGATTACAGGCATGCATCACCACACCCAGCTAATTTTTGTATTTTTAGTAGAGACGGGGTTTCGCCATGTTGGCCAAGCTGGTCTCGAACTCCTGACCTCAGGTGATCCACCCGCCTTGGTGTTCCAAATTGCTAGGATCACAGGCCTGAGCTACCGCGTCCAGCGTCTTTTTCCTTTAGGTGTAAAGAGCAGCTTAGCTGGGTATAATGATCTTGGGTCATTTTTTTCCCCTTGGGAATTTGTGAGTCAAAACTTTTCTAGACATAAAAATCAGAAGAAACAGGACAATCTCACAAGGACTTCAGTTGTATAATTTGAGACTTTAGGGTAAATAGGTTTAACATATTTAAAGAAATAAAGAAATAAAAGACACCAAAATAGATGACGAATGCAGATTAGGAAGAAAATAGAACTTCCAGACATTAAAAAGACATGTAATAACTGGAATATTAAAAGAAAACCTAAATGGATAAGTTTAATTGTAGATTAGATGCAGCTAAGGAGAGAATGAGCTGGATGACAAATCTGAAGAAATTATCCTGAATGCACCTCAGAGAGACAGAGAGGTGAGAGCTGTGAGAGGTTGAGACCTGGAGGATCTGGTGAGAAGGTTCCCATCTCCCCTGGCTGCATTATTTTTTTGCTTAGTGTTCTACCACTTTTGGAAGAGTATCCTACTCTGATTGTGGATTTGTTTTTTTTTTTTTTTTGAAAGCCTATCAGTTTTTGCTCTATTTTTGGCAAAATTATTAGTTGCAATACAGACTTAGAATTAGTTTATATTCCTTTGAATTGAATGCTGTCATTAAGAAGTTTCTGTCTTCATCTCTAGTAATGGTTTTCTGGAGGAGGGGCGCAAAGTCTATCTTGTCTATTTTTGATATAACTCTACCAGTTTTCTTTTGGCTAGTGTTTGTATGGTACATCTTTCGCTAACTCTTTACTTTCAGCCTCCCCCGTCCATATGTTTTGGATGTCTTCTTATAAATTGCAGCGAAGTCTTTTAAACAGATTTTTAAATTAAATCTTACAATCTTTGTCTTTTGATTGGATCATTATTCATTACGTTTAACATAGCAACTGCTGTTAGGTTTTAGTCTGCTGTCTTCTTACTTTCTAGTTGTATTGGACCTTCAAGCTCATTGTTTTTAATATCCCATTTTTCTTCTCAAATTAAATTAGTTTTACGGTCATTTGTAGTTACTTTAATAGTTAACACATGCATTCCTAACATAAATGCTAGCATTAATTTCAACTTTTACCCTCAGTACACATGTTAGCTCTATTTACTCCTCAGTTTATATGCCATTGTTATTATTATGAATATGTAATATGTAGATATTATCCCTTTCAGAACCACTGTAAGGTTTGTTTCATCCAGTTTTATTCTTTTTATTCATATATATTTTCATATATATGTTTTGTTCATTTAGATTTATCCACATTCTCTTTTTATTGCATTTTATTGCTTCCCAAATCTCTGACCAGGGAAAATTTCCCTTCTATCTAAAGGATAAGTTTTAATATTTCCCTTAGCTCAGGTCTCCTGGTAGCAAATTTTCTCATCTGAAAATGTCTGTATTTTGCTTTCATTTTAGAAGTGTTTTATTTCTGGGTGTCAAATTCTAAATTGGCAGCCCTCTGCACATGAATCTTTTGTTGCATTGTTTCTTGGCTTCCATTATTTCTTTGAGAAGTCATCGAAAGTCACGTGGTTGCTCCTTTGGAGGAAATACATCTTTTTTCTTCTGGCTGCTTTTAAGATTTTTCTGATTATCTTTGGTTTTCAGCAGTTTTACCTGTAATATACTTCACATTTATCCTTGTTTTTCTTTGTGATTCTTAAATCTAAGGATTGATATATTTCACCCATTTTGGCTAAATTCTCAGCCACTCTTTCCTCAAATATTGTTTCTTTCCCCCATCTTTTTTTTTCCTGTTTTTTTCTGCATCTCCAGTCATTCATTGGATAACCTATTCATTGTATTTTCTCTTTCTTATCCTCTCTTCTGATTTATCCATTCTTTTATCTCTTCATAGTTCATTCTAGATATTTTCTTCTGATTTTTCTTCCAGTTTTCTCTTCAGCTATGTCCATTCTGTCCATCTCATATACACTGAGTTTTTGAGTTATTTCATTTTTAAATCCCATTACTTTGGCTTTTGATACCACAGTTATCTCGATATTGATATATTGCATGAAGCTTTGTTAAAGTGAGTTCTGCCTGTAACTGGATCCTGTGGCATGAACCTTAAGGGCAGTATTAAAACAAGTGCCAGCAACTTGAGACCAAGACCTGGATTTGTGGCTAACTTTGTAACCTTGGAAGAATACCTCTGGTGCTGTAAGCCTCGGTATCCTCATCTGTGACATTAAAGCATCTGAGTATGGGGAACCTCTCCCTCTTGTTCCCCTCAAATATAGAAATAGTCCTTAAAACTGATAAGCGAAAAGCAAATGCATTTCTCCTTTAAATTGTTTAACATTATTGGAATCTTCTCACATTAAATCAAAATTGTTGTATGGAGATGTATAAGGGAATTCCTTAATGTTAAAAAGTTCTTATAAATATGCACAATGCTACAACTTTGCCAGAGGCTCTTGTTAACATTGATAGCTGAACTCATTAGTAACCTGATATATTAGAAACCTGATATATATGATATCAAAAAAATAATAATAACAAAAAAGGAAGGAAGGAAGGGAAAGGAAGAAGGACAAAAGCAAAGAAAAGGAAAAAAAAAAAAAGAAACAAAGTCCTGATTTGTAACAGATGCTGACTTCTGTAGTAGAACCACTCCCACCATGGCTGATTCAGGCCAACACCATGACATCAGTGAACATGGAGCTGAGAAGAGGTGGGCACGACTGGTTGCCACTTGCTGTACCAGCATGTCCCTTCTAACCTATTTCTGATTTGTTGGGAAAAGGTCCAGGTTGTGCATTATAATTGTGTTTTGTAGCCAATTAAAATATTTCTATAGATATGATTTGATTTGGTTATTTTTATAGACAAATTATTCAGAATATAAAAGTTATTTTTTTCATTCTTCCTTTTTTTTTTTTTGGAGACTGAGTCTGGCTCTGTTGCCCAGGCTGGAGTGCAGTGGTGCGACCTTGACTCACTGCAACCTCCACCTCCTGGGTTCAAGTGATTCTCTTGCCTCAGCCTCCTGAGTAGCTGGGATTACAGGCACACGCCACCACGCACAGCTAATTTTTGTATTTTTAGTAGAGATGGGGTTTCACCATGTTGGCCAGGTTGGTCCCGAACTCCTGACCTCATGATCCGCCTGCCTTGGCCTCCCAAAGTGTTAGGATTACAGGCGTGAGCCACTGCGCCCGGCCTATAAAAGTTATTTTTAACGCCATTTTTTAGGGCTCTCTTATGAGAATGTCTTTCTTGCTGCTGGTAAGTTTGGTGTGCACAAAGATTTGTGGCCCTGTGTAGTATATTTATAAGCTGTGTGTTCCAAGGAAAGTGAAATGGGTGATGCTCATTGGGAATGTCCGTGATGCTGCCCTATACTGATCTGAGTGTGTTTGTAGTTAAAGGGAGTTTTCTCTTTTCCTTTCAGGCATTTTTGTTGCCTTCCTGTGAGATAGCTGTAACAAGAAAAGTAGTTCAAGTGTACAGAAAGTGGATTCTCCAGGACAAACCTGTGTTCATGGAGGAGCCAGATAGAAAAGATGTTGCCCAAGAAGATGCTGAAAAATTAGGATTTTCCGAGACTGATAGCAAGGAGGTAATTTTTTTCACTTGTCTTTTGAGTTGAGGGTAAATATATTTTAGTAAAGTATACTTGCTCAGTCAAGAGTCTTGTCAATGGGACAAAGGCAGGTGGATCTCTTTTTTATCCCATCTGATGCTTCTGAGTTGCTGAGTTCTGTGAGGATCTACCAAGGAGAGTAGCTTCTGTACTCCCATTCTAGATTGGCAGTCATCTCCTGCAACTCTAGCCAGGGCCATCTGCGTGTTGCATCTTTGTTGGTCACTGTTGCAGGAGAGTTGTTTAATAAGCCATCATATTTTACATGTCTATTTGTGAGACTAAAAAAATCACTACCTTCTCCTTGACTTGTTTAAATAAATATCTTTTGGAGAAACTAAATTGAGAATGTTTGGGTAGACTTTTGTTGTGCAGTGGCCTGTACCAGAAGCAGCTGGGTGTTACCCCTGTGAAAGGACTAACCAAACAGCAGTGTCCCTCCCCTTTAAGCCTCGCTGAGTGCTGGCCTCCTGGAGGGGCCACTGTCCATGTTAGATAAAGCTATAGGTTGGATAAATCCAAAATGACAGAGTGGAATATCTCCTGAAACAAAAGAAACTTAAGTGACATTTATATTTCTGTCATACTATTATGAAATTAATTTAAAATGTTTTAAATTTCTCACTAGAGGCATGTCACTTTAAAATATCTGTGTTCCATAATTTTAATTTTTCAATATTGGTGAAATCATTTTAATAACTACCATGAGATCTAAATGAATAGGTAAGCAAATTATCATTCATTTTAAAGGGCTGTATTCCATGCTCACTCAGTCATTGGACAAACACAACTCATTCTTTCAGCACATACTAAGTGCTGAGCACTATTTTAGGTGTTGACGGTTGAGTGGGGAGCTCTCTACCTCCTAGAACCTATTTTCATGTGAATCCTGGTGAGTTTAAGGAATTAAATATGCCAACTAAATATAACTTAGTTTATATAATATATTTAATTATATTTATAGTTAAATGCAAGTTAAACACGTGCATCTTCCACTCTGTTAATGGATCATTATCTTCTGAAGGCCTCATCTGAAAGTTCTGGTCATAAACGATCTTCCAGTTGGGGACGCACATACTCCTTCACAAGTGCAATGAGCAGAGGGTGTGTGACAGAGGAGGAAAATACAAATGTGAAAGCCGGCGTCCAGGCTTTGTTGCAGGTATGTGGCTGGCCAGGACATGAAGACCCCTCCACCGCCTACAGCTGGAGCCATTTTGTCTTTTTGTTTATTGGGGATAATGTCATATAAAGTATGGTGGTATTTGTAGCCATCTGTCAGTAAACGATAAACAGCAATTTAATTAGCTATTACATTCTCATTCTGAGTTTTCTTTCTAATTCCTACCCACAATTTACAAAAATTTTTTTCTAGTCAAAGAAGACATAAAAACTGGTTACAGTCTTTTTGAGATTATTATATAGTGAATATGAAATGGCTGATATTTAAATCTTTAAATTATCTTCCAAACACTTATGAGTAGTAAGTTATCTGGGCTCTAATTTGCAAGACAAGCTTGGCAATTATAAAATCTTATAAGTAATATTCCTCTTAAAATTGGCTGTGTTTACAAAGAACAATGACTGATGTAGTTTTTAGATTTGAATGAATATATGAAATAGAACTGACTCCATTTGGGAACATTTGAAAGAGCAACTTTGGAACATTACTTAACCTCCCCAGAGCTCAGGATTTTACCTCAAAAATGGGAATTGGGAGATTTCCTCTCAGATCTCATGTAGCTTGAAGAGTAAGTGAAAATACAGGGTGCCTCTCATTCCCTGCTCACTGCCCCCTCGCCCGCCACCCTTCATCCACATTTGGAGATGTGTCACTTAGGCCTCTCATGTAGAGGCCAGGTGTGGAGTCTGGGGAACATCTGGGAATGACATGCATTTTTCTAATTTTCTGTCATCTGTTTCTTGATAGGATTCATTTTCGTGGTATCCTTTTTTTTTTCAAGTGAATTAGCAGTTTAATATACCATACTCATGAATTTTCTCACTTTTCATTGAAAACCTACACATAATTTTGAAGTTAACTTAAAAAAGTTGAGATGATTTCACATGTGCATCTTTAAAGACTTTTGGTGCTGCTCATAAGTATGACCTGCGTCCCCATCAGAGAAACACTTGCAGGAGTCCTTGCCCTTTGTCCCTCAGTAGCTCCATCTTTTAGCTAAGGGGATCTCCAGCAACAGCCTGTGGTGGTTGCAGGTGCCAGTGATCCCCTTGGTTCAAAAGAGTGCTTTTTATTTTCTGAAAGGTTGAGTTACATTTACAGTAGGTCCTCACTAATGTCATCAGTGGGTTCTTGGAAATGGCGACTTTAAATGAAATGAGTACAGCAGGTCTTTGAGTAACATGGTTTGATTCAACATCATTTCATCATAATGTTCATGAGAAAAAAAATTTTTTTATATCTTGCTTAAAGTCATCATTTCCAACAACCTATTGATGACGTTAAATGAGGACTTACTGTCCTTGCCTGAACTGAGAAAAAACAATTTCTATTTTATTATATATAGTGCTACAGTTAAAAAAAAGATTTACTTTGGATTTAAATAGTTGGTTTTGTTCTTATATCTAATACCTTAGTCCTTTACTTTGTTTATTAAGAAAAAGGGGCCAAATGGAGGTTTGATAAGACAGTAATTTTCTTTCTTTTCTCCGACTGTGTCTCAGATGTTCAAGAGATAGTAGTTTTCTATAGTTGCTTTTGACAAATGTACTCTGGACATACTAATTTGGTTTATTTTTACCTTAACTGATACCAGCACATTAATAAGAAATACTCATGCAGTACCTTTGATGTTTTGTAAAAAGTAAAAGTATATAAAGACTCCTTACATGGGAATGTGCAAAAAGTTTTTAATTCATATTCAAGAAGCCAAATACATTGAATTAAAAGGATCTGTGTTGCAATATATCATCTGTGGCATACTACTTTCAAAAACAGAACCACTAAAATTGCTGTAATCAAAAAGCTCTTTGTTTTTGTTTTTCTTACTCGAAGGCTAGTAAATTCTTCATGACTGAAGTTATCATCATCATCAACTATATTATAGTGCTTATTTAGTGATTTTTCTTAGAAAATTGGGACATAATACGTTTTAATCTTACCTAAGATAACTTTAAAGGCTGTGAATATTTTAGTTCATCCACTTGACTTTTGATGTTAATTTTAATTTCGTCAGATTGTACATTTATTTTGATACAATACTTTAAAAAATTTTACTTATAAATGAGCTAGAGAAGCTCCGTCATGCTTTGAGTTTGTGTTATTGAACACAAAGGAGACCTAAGAGGCAATATACCTCTAGGTAGATAGAGCAGGTCTGTCCTCGTACCAAATTGACAACTCAGAATATCTGCAGATGATGGGACACTGGTGTCAACTGTGTAAATGGTAACACACCGTTATTTTGCTGTAGTGACTCAAAGCAGTAATAGTATATGATATCCTGGATCAGTGCTTCTCACATTTTTCTGCTGAGATACCCCTGATGGTAGAGAACAGTGAACTTGTATGCTAAAGGTCTGAGGCAGAGGGTAGAGTAGTTGGCTGATAATCTGAATTGTTTTTGAAATCTCAGCTTTTAATCTTAAGAATTCACTTAGATTTTGTATGCTACTGCATAATATATCTTTCATATTAAAAAAAAATAGCCTCCTGGAAGGCGTGTGATGTCGATGGCTTCGTCTGTTTCTGGACACATCACAGCTCCTTGAGGTTCTGACCCCTGTTGAGTGGTGCTGTCCATGCTTCTGTCAGCAAGGAGTTCATGTGCTGGGAGACTCAATAAGAATCACATAGTTCTGTCTGACCACTGTCTGGCCATCTATCCTCTACTCCTCCCATTCCCCCTCTACAGTTTCTCACTCATATGCAACGATCCTACTTTTTTCCCTTGTTTTCCTTTTTTTGTTGAGGGGTTGTTGAAAAGTCTTCAAAAGCTTTTCTGACTCATAAAATTTCTGTAGTTGCAATTAATATGTAATAGTGATTTTTTCTTTTCCCCTAGGGAAAGGCTTTTCAGGTGTCTCTGTATTTAAGTGATTCTAAAAGGTGAACCAAAAAAAAATTTTGAATATGTGTTGGTACCACTTGCCTTATTGAAATAGAATCTTTTGGAAATAACTGAAAAATGATTTCATTGGTAGAGTGAAATTAATATCTGTAAGCAAAATTTATTCAAATGTTTATGTTCAGTTATATTTTCTAATGTAAAGTTGTTGATTTTAAGGTATTTTTGACGAACTCTGCAAACATCTTTTTGTTGGAACCATGTGCTGAAGTTCCTGTGCTCTTGAAAGAACAAGTTGATGCTTGTAAAGCTGTTTTGATTATTTTTAGGCGCATGATAATGGAGCTTACAATGAATAAAAAGACATGGTAAGTTTATATCAAATTAATTAGTATTGTAAAACAGATGTTTCTGTTTTTCAACATAATTAAAATGTTAAGGCTTGCATTTATTTAATGTTTTTACGAACTTAACAACAAAATGTCTTTTGTAACAGTTTCTGTGAATTATGAAGAAGGTAGTTACCCAGTACTTTGACAGATCAATTATTTTCATTATATTTTTAAAAAATGTTCTTGAACAATAAGTATTTTACTTAATAGTGGATTTTTCCTTTTAAACGTTAAACATAGTTTTGTGGAAAAGCAGCAACTGGTGTTTTATAATACTCACCATAAGCTCAGGAGAGTTTGTTAATTGCCCTGAAATGCTGTCAACTGATTTTTATTGCTTCTAACTTGACGTTTTAAATTCATTTTGGAAAAGCAATTATTTTAAATGATAAATTATCAGAAACTAAATACATAGTGCAGTCAACAATCTGTTCCTGTCATTAAAACTACGTTTTTTCCTTTTCATCTTTGTTTTTGTTTGATGTTTTTATTTATAATGTCCCTACAGGTAAACAATGCATTAGATTTTTTTTTCCTGCTCTTATTTGAAAGTTATCAGCCAGGTGCGGTAGCTCATGTCTGTAATTCCAGCACTTTGGGAGGCCGAGGTGGGTGGATCATCTGATGTCAGGAGTTCGAGACCAACCTGCCTAACATGGTGAAACCCCATCTCTACTAAAAATACAAAAAATTAGCCAGGTGTGGTGGCACTTGCCTGTGATCCCAGCTACTCGGGAGGCTGAGACAGGAGAATCGCTTGAACCCGGAAGGCGGAGGTTGCAGTGAGATTGCGCCACTGCACTCCAGCCTGGGCGACAGAGTGAGACTCTTGTCTCGGGAAAAAAAAAAAAAAAAAGTCCTCACGTTACTCCATCTGATGAGGTATTTTCACTGATGCTCAGCAACAGACCAGAAAGCCTCAGAGTCACTTTCCATTTCTTCCTCTTCTCCATGTGTCATCAGCCTCTCACTTCTGCCTTTAAAATGCTCCTCAAGCCTGTCCTTTGTGTGTTCCCTCTCATTCCACTGCCACCCTTGTGCAATCAAGCTGCCCGCCCAGCTGTGGTCAGCATCCCCCTAGGTGATCTTCTGCCTTGGTTATCAGTCCTTGGAGGCCCTGCAGACCAGTGGCACCTTTCCTACCTGAAACCAGAAGGGTCCTCTGCCTATGCCTGTATTCTGGAGGCCCTTGAATCAGCAGGAAAGGGGCTTTGGAAAGTGTCTGCAGTTGGTAGGAAACCATGGACACGAGGCAGGTCTGATCGGAAAGGAACTGTAGGCCACCAAGTCCAATTCTTGTTCTTCAAAGATGAGGGAAGGGTGGACTCAAGAATCTTGGTGTGCAGAAAGTTCACAAGTACAGAAACCACAGGCATCAAAATGATACTATGATGTAGATTCCAATGTCATCTTTCCCAGACTTCTAAACTTAGCACTATTTGCCAAGTTAAACAATTGTTAAAACTGGAAATATTACAGTGATGCACAATATGATGTAAACAAATTCCACGTCAGTAATATTGACAGTAATGAGAAATGCTGGTATATGCTTTCAACTGAAATATCTGTTCCTGAATACCATAGTTTTATCAACATCATTTTTAATGTTTTTTTCCTTTGAAAACTCCCTGAGTTTTGTATACTACTGTATCAGTAGTTTTTTGATATTTTTGATAATCTTTTTATTTTGATGAAAATTCTAGGAAATAAAATTAAGCAATTCTGTTCTGTTTTTTACTAATTCATAGATTCCTAGGTGAAAGTATAGAAAAGAAAAATTGTAGAACTCGATGAAAATAGTTAACGGAAAAATGGTCAATAGAGCATAGAAAAGAGTGTGAGCAGTTTCTGTAATGGATTTTCTTGTGTATTTAAGTACCAGATAATCCCTTGCCTCCCATCCCTCCTTTCCTTCTTCACTCCTTCTTCTCCCCTCTCTCCTTACCTCCTTTTCTTCCATCTAATAAATAACTATCGAGCTTCTACTGTGAGAATATAGTGGCGAACTATGTAGACAAGGTCCCTGCCCTCATGAGGTTACATCCTCATAGGACTGAGAGGCATTAAAAACCTAGAAAACAATTTCAGAGACTCCGAAGTACTGAGAACAGTGAAGGTTGCAAAGGGGAAAGAGTCCTGAATTGGGTGTGTGTTGCTTGGCATGGACAGACGGGGAGTTTTTTCCGTCAGCTGTCAGAGAAGGCCTTTCTGA
Source organism: Homo sapiens (assembly GCF_000001405.40). Taxonomy (NCBI): domain Eukaryota; kingdom Metazoa; phylum Chordata; class Mammalia; order Primates; family Hominidae; genus Homo; species Homo sapiens. The sequence goes on along the minus strand of NC_000020.11, from coordinate 20,613,806 downwards.
GCAGAGCCCTGAGTGAAGGGAAGGGGGAGCCTTGGGGAGGTCTAAGGGAAGGGCATTCCTGGTAGAAAGAGCAGCAGATACAAAAGCCCTGATGGGAGAAAAGGTAAAAGAAAAGTGGCTTGTTTAAGGAAGGACAAGATGATGGCCAATGTGGTGGAGTAGATGGAGTGAGAGGGAGCGTGAGAGGGGAGGAGGCAGGGGGCAGGCCGGGGCCAGGTTGCTCAGGGCCCTGCAGACCAAAGGAAGGACACCAGCTACCTCCCTGTGTGCCTGCAAGATTGTGACATAACATAATTTATGCTTCTGAAAGGCCCCTCTGGCTGCTGGAGAACATGCAGTGCAGTGCCATAGATGATGGTGGCTGAGACCAGGGCTGTAGCCAGGGAACTGTAAGAAATGGTCCTGAAATAGGGAATAACTGGTATGTAAATGAGTTGAAATCCACCTGTATGAGGAGATAGAGATCAGGAAAATAATGAAGAATGCAGGAAAATCCTCACTCCTGTGTTGGACCCAAGGATGGCACACATGCCTCATTCCATGTGCTCCAACAGAAGTTTATTACACTCTTTGAGCAGTTCTCCTTGGTGGAGTCAGTGCTTCACAAAATAGAAAGGAACAAGCAGTTGTCAAAACTGGCAGCTTTGGCAGGTTGTGAATCTTTCTACTATAAGGAAAGATTTTTCCAAATCATAGTTTTTCAACCCTTGTTTTCTTCCAGAAGACTCTGCATGCCTTTCCAAGCTTTCATAGGTTCAGAAATCAAATTAACTGTTTTTGTCAGTCATGGCTTTGATCACATTTGTGGCTTTTGATAGCAGTTGCCATGATCAAGGCTTTACTTGAAACTTACGATGTCTGTTGTTCTCATCACATTCTCATGATGGATCTGTAACTAGTTGTGTGTAAGGGATTGTTTTTCATTGTCTTATGCATCATGTAACATGAATGGGCAGTGGTGATACTAGGTGCTGCCCTTCTCTGCCCTGGCGACAGGGGCCTGGGTACCCTGAATGTGATGAGCGACAAGCTGTCCCCCAGCACTGTGCCATTGCTTCTCCCAGTTCTCTTCAAAGTCACCATCCTGCTTCAGCGTGTGTGCCCAGAAGATAGCCCTTCCTCTTCTGTGCTTCCAGAATCCGTAGGCAGGGAATAGGAATACATGGACAAGTAGCATGCAGTGCAGTGAGAATGTATAACAACAGATGACTCTGGGGACCAAAATCAAATGGGGCCAGCTACAAAGAGGGCAGGAAATCCCCACAGGTGATTTTACTGTGAGGAATTTTATGAGGTTCAGCATCATATATTGTTAGGAGAAAATGCTGTTTTGATAAGCAGAGATATGAGAAAAGTAAACGGGAACTATGATTTAGAGATCTCATCTGATTACTTTGTCCTATTCTCAGTTTTATTACTAAAGAGCAGTAAAGCCAAGGAGAAAGTAGTAAAGATTAGATGAATGGTTAGCATGTGAAACCTGAAAGGAACCAGAGTGATTTCCCTCGAGGAACAAATGCACTTCTCTTACATATGAAAGATGATGTGTTCTGTGTTCCCATAGAATCTAGGGAAAGAAAAAGTGAGCAGATACTCTGATATGAGCAATATAACTTAGGTGTAAGAAAGAAAAATGTCTTTTGGCTGTTCTGAAGAACTTATTATTGTAATTAGCAGTGTTATGTTGTCTCTGTACTATTTTATAGTCTTCAAAGTCCTTTTACATAAACCTTCTGTAAGAGACTATGAAAAATGCTGGCACATTGGAACTGAGCTGCAGTGATGGCATTTGTCTCAGTTGTGCCCTGTAGTGCAGAGTCAGGATCTTCCAGACATGAGCACTGTGCCTGTAAGTGTCCTGTAATGCAAACCCCTCCTGCCTGTGAGAGTACTGTGGCATTCCACCTTACCAAGATACTGACTGTGTGTGTCCCCAAAATAAAGGCCAGAAAGTCAGCTTCACCTCCTGTTGCAATGAGAGGGAGACCTTACAGGTTAAGTAAAACAGTGGATAGCAAAATTAAAGAGTGCTGCATATGTTCCAGTAGGTTTTCACTGAGTACCTTTAAGCTGCTGGCACAGTTGGAGAAGACGATCTTGCCTCTCTTTTTGCAAGGGGAGAAAATCAGGCTGGAATGATGTTTTATCCTGCCTGTTTGTGTGGACATGGGAGGCATGTTTTTAAAACTGTTATAACATAAGGGAGCTTATTTTGGTAAAATATGGTATTCATTATGTAATTGGCATCTGGACTTTAATAGTTTCGAGTAATACATAATTATCAATGTTGCTGAATTCTTAAGAGAATTTCTGGTACCTATAAATTAAAGTGCTTTGGAGACATGATTATTAATATGAGCTTTTATTTTGGGTGGCCCAGGGAACAGATGTTGCAAATACTACTCAGGATAACAGAAGCTGTCATGCAGAAGCCAAAGGATAAACAAATAAAGGACTTGTTTGCCCAGAGCTTGGCAGGGTTACTATTTAGGGTAAGTCTTTTTTATGAAAGCACTGCAAATGCAAGAAATGAATCAGATTTTGTAGCAAACTAGTTTTAATCATTGAGAATTTTAAAAATAATATTAAATTTAAATTTCTAGAAATTTTTCTTCTTAGCTTTGTCCTGAAGGTTATGATCTGTTCTTTACAATTAGTGCTGGGCTTTTAGGCTTTTCTCCCTCTCTGCTACCTACTTCCTCTTTTAATTTGCTCAAGGGTGGTAGGAATTAGGAAGCTCTGATGGCCTTGGTGGAAGGCTAGGTAGATTTGGAGAGGTAAAGGATGAACGAAAGTATGGGAATGGGATAAAACTTTGAGAGCCATCAGTGTGTTGGGCAATTGTATTTAAAGCCACAGGATGGGCTTACCTAGAGAGGACAATGTCCACAGGTGATGGGAGAGATGCTGAGAAAGGGTGGCCAGTGAGTGAGGAGGAAAACCAGAGGAGTGTGTATCCTGGGTGCCTGGGGATGAGTATTGGGTAGGAGGAGAGCAGCCAGTTGACCATGGGCTTTGACAGATGTAGTTGGTTGAGAATGTTCTATGGGATGAGTCCCACCTGGAGTAGATGGAGGAGAAAATGAGAGCTGGGCAGTGGAAGTTGCAAGTGTAGTTAAGGCTTTGCAGAGTTCTTGCTGTGGAAAGGAAGAGGAAAAGGGGAGCTAGCTGAAGTCGGTGGCATACATGGTGGGCGAGGTTTAAGGTGGGTGGTACTAAAGTATGTTTGCTCACCAATGGGATGGTCCAGTGAGGGAGGACAAGATGGTCTTGGGGAGACAGAGGATAAGTGAGGTCCCGGATATGGTGGAGGGCTGGGCCGGTCTTTGGTGCGAGCAGAGAGCCAAAGAGATGCCTGTGCTTCTTGCATCTCATGTGGTGAGCAGGTGAAGACCAAGAGCAGGCTGATACCTGGTGAGCTGCCTGGGGAACAGATGTGCCAGAGAGTCCTGAGCATGGCAGCCTACTGTGATGTTGCTAATATTTATGAGGACCTTAGAGTTTATGAAGCATTACTGAAAGTGAACAGTGTGAAAGGGCTCTGGAAAAATGCTACATTCTACATAAATAAAGATATTAGTACAGTGGATGGACTTGACTTTGGATAATTACATAGGTGATAGTTGTGGGGAGGAGAAATTAACTTCCCTCCTCAGTTGACCTGAAGGTGGTTTTGGAGGATATATGTTAAAAAGCATATCTAGAATATGGGTAGGACATGTAGGTAAAAGTGACAAAAGGAGAAATTATTTCTTTAAAGCTAAATATTGCCATTGTAACACAAGATAACGGAATTTTGAATAACTTAATATGAGTCAATGCTCTTGGCTTGATAAAAAATGTATGAGAGGCTATTGAAATAATTGGCCTCCTGAATATTACAATTGCTTTTACTCTGATTGCCTTGCCTGGTACATTGGATGTGTGAAGTGGCCCTAAACTTTCTTTTGCATGTGTCCAGCTTTGCTCTGCTGATGCGTGGAGGGTGGTACTGACCACTGCTTTGCTGCCTGCCTGGACATATGGACACTGCACACTTTGCTTTCTCAGCGAAGCGTCTCACTGTTGGCACCCTTTCGAGCTCCCCGTCCTGGACCTGGGCTGCCAAGTGGACATGAGCTGAAGCCAGTCTCACACTGGCAGATGCTTGGGCCTTATTCCCACCAATTGCCTGGCTCTGCATCTGTTTTGTGTGTTGGAATTAGAGAACTTGTCACAGAATTAAACAAGTATCTATTCTGGGGTTCGGATTTTTTTGTTTTGTTTTGTTTTTGGTTGGTTGGTTGGTTTTGATCTTTGGGGAAAAAAAAACTCCCCCCATGAATGGAGAAAACCTTGTCAGATATTACTTCCCTCCTCAGATGACCTGACTTCCCTGAAGCTCAGTTAACCTGACTTCCCTGAAACTTAGTTTTGAGTTCATGATTATTAATGATTTTGATGTTGTTATTATTTTGGCAGTGGTTAGGTAGATCGAGAAGGATGCTTAAATTAAGAACTAACCAAAAGGCTGGGCATGGTGGCTTACACTTGTAATCCCAGCACTTTGGGAGGCTGAGGCAGGAGGATTGCTTGAGCCCATGAATTCAAAAGCAGCCTGGGCAATAGAGTGAGACCCCTGTCTCTACAAAAAATTTTAAAAAAATTATCCAGCCATAGTGGCATGCACCTGAAGTTTCAGTTACTTGGGAGCTGAGGTGGGAAGATTGCTTGAACCCGGGAGGTTGAGGCTGTAAGCAAGCTATGATTGCATCACTGTGCTGCAGCCTGGTCAAAAGAGCAAGACCCTGTCTCAAAAAACAAACAAAAAAACCTACCATAAAAAATAGTGAAGAGAGGATGAGCTTTTTGGCATTAGGCAGATTGTGTTTCTGATCTCAGCTCTGCTACTCTCTGGCTATGTGGCCTTGAGCACATGACTTTAGCTTTCTGAGTGTCTTCCCTAATCTGTCACAATCAGGAAAGGACTTCTTCTTACCCTGCAGGGTTGTCATGAGAATCAGAGTGGGCCCATTGGGATTTGTGATCATCTGTTGACCTCCCACGTTCTTACGTGAGATGCAAGAGGCAAGAATACTAAGGGTCTGGACTTACCAGCCAGGCTCTCTATTGGGCATCATCTTGGTCCCACGCTGCCGTTAAAACATGCTATCTAATTAGTATTCATTTGATCATGTGGACTGTCTAAAATGGCTAGACACTTGATTTTTTTTTGAAAAATTGAGAACAAGGAGACTGTTAAAAGGGACGGGACATTTTTAAGTTTTTATTACCCTTTTTATCTTTTTCTAGTTCTTCTAGTGTTTGTTTTTTTTTCTGTCAGTAGATAACCTGGGCCACCAAATTTTCTTTAAGTGATGACTGAATTTGACTTAGTTTTAAATATTTACCAAATAATGGTGACTGCCTTATTGCCTTAAGTGATGTTTTAATTTATTATCAGTGCTAAATATGACCTTATGCTTGAAGCTCTGATGGTATATCAGGAAACTGTGGTCCTGCTCTTTGTAATATGAGCCATTACTTTAAAGTTACGCAGTCCCCTTAGTGTGTTGGTAGAGTGAAGTAGGAAGTGGTTGGTTAGCAAATGTTCATAAGAACAGGAGTGATTTATTAGTTAAGGTGTTTTTAAAATACATCTTGTGTGCCAAAATGTATCTGATAAAACATCAAATTTCAGTACTGAAGGAACCTTGGAGAAGCTCTTATGCACTTCTTATTTTTAATGAGAAATGTGACTACAGAAAGGCCAAGTGACTTTCCTAGGTCACAAACCAGGGTAGTCCAGGCTGTTTGTTTCCCTCTTCCTTTTAGAAAATGGTAATTGATTAAAAGGACACCCTGCCTTCATGTCCACAGGTGCCACCACTCACCACCCAACTGTATTTTACCATTTTACCATTTTGCTCTGTGCACGTGTTGTCAGTTGTGAATTATGATGATAATTCAACAGGTCTGCATACATGTTTGTAATATTTGCTAAGTTGATTTTATAAGCTGCAAGAAGTCATTCTGCGCTTGTTTCATAATTAGTCAATAAAGTGAAGCCATTATAAGATCCCCAGTATAGAGCATCTCATTACACCAAGACATCTGCTTTTATCCATGAAGCTGGCGCTATATCCAAATGTGAGTCTGAGTCCTAATAACATTATCAGTCTCTACTTTCTTCTCTTACTTGGCTCAGATTATATTTATTGATCTAATATTTATTAATTTTATTGTCTATAGGTACGTTATGGCAATGGCCTCAAATTCATCTTGAAAGCAGGGGTATAAAAATTAATAGGAGATGGCATTTTAGTCATAATAAAATATTTAATAAAGATAAAATTATTTTATTTTCTTTCATATTTTTAGTTTTACCAAGTTCATACATGTTAGAATCAGACTTTAAATATAAGTGGTTAATATCTTGTTTTTTATATAATTAACTACTTTAGTCCTACTTTAACATTTTTATGTTCTTAAAAAGTGGTAAACACAAATTGAAACAGAGAACAGGCGTATTACAGAAGGACCACTTTAAATAAGATTTTCCAGGTGGTCAGAATAGGCCTGTCTGATTTTATAGACTGATTTCTGTTTATCAGAGTTTTCCTGTATCTATGTTAAAGAGTAAATTCCATTAAAAAATCTATATATAATTTGGGGAAAAAAATTAAGAAGTGAACTCACCTACGCAAAGAAGAATTCCTGACAAGAGTGGGAGCCTATTTGCATCTGGGTTGGGCCAATGCACATGCAAGCTGGTATCTTAACAAGTGCATTTCTCTTTGACACCAGGCTATGGGACTTACATAGACTTTGGGTATAAGGATTCCTTTTCACAAGGCTTAGGAAAGCATTTGTGGCTCATTTGAGATGGACTTGGCTATGTAGAGGCACTTCTTTCAGGGAAGATATATTTGGATTTGAATTTTAAAGGATGGTGAATATTTTGGCAGAGGTAAGGAATGGGGCAATTTTATGGGAAGGAAATATCCAGCATATAGGCATAATTGTCTCATAGGGCTGTCCAGGTGACCAGTTGTAGTGCTGTGGACTATAAGACTGGGGGCAGACACTGATAAGTGAATAGACTGTGAAGGAAAGGTGTGATAGGTGCATTGATGGGGGGAAAATGCAGGGACCTGGAGGACACTTCCTGGAGGCTGGGAGGTGGTGGTGGGGAGATAGTCAAGGATACCTTCTTGGAGGAAGTGATGCACAAATTTTGACCTGAGAAATGAGGGGGAGTTATACAGAAACAAAAAGGAGGAAAGAGAGGGAAGGAAGAGTATGTGCAAAGGCCAGATGCAGGAGCGAGCAGGTGAAGGCACTGAGAGAAAGTCAGTGGAAGAAATTGAATACCTTTTACTATTATGCTCTTTGATAGGTGCCTGAGGGTTGTGTAAGTAGCACTGTCTAGTACCTAGGTAGATAGATCAGGAAACCAGTAGAGAGGTCTAAGCTGGACATGGAGATTCAGAAGTCAGCAGCACACAGAGGATAACTGGAGCCATGGGAATGGAGCCAAAACTCAGGCAGAAGGTGGAAGTGGCCTCAGAAAGGGGAGAACCAGAGCAGTCTGTTGCCTGGGGGATGAGGAAGTGGAGATGGAGCGGGTGTGGAACATTCGTTCAAGAAGTTTGGCTGTGAAAATGGAAGGAAAAGGGCTGTAGCTAGACGGGGGAATCTGGGTTCAAGGGAATTTTTTCTTTTAAGATGAGGAAGAGTTTGGAGTATATTTAAATGCTGAAGAGAAAGAGCTGGGGAAGTGGGGTTGGCTGGAGATTAAAGGAGAGGGGTGGTTAAGAGAGGCATGAAGACTCCGAGGAAGGGGTCCAGAGTGTAAGGGGGCAACAGGGTAGCAGAGCGGGGCCCCTCTTGGAGTTCAGCCCACAGGTGGAGGTGGAGCTGGGTGAATATGGGCAAGAATGTGAGTCCATGGGCAGAGGTTGAGGGGAGTCTCATTGAATGGGTTCTGTTTCTTGTGAAGTCTGCAGTGAATCCATCTGCTCAAAGTCAGGGAGGATTTGGTGGGCTGGCGGTTTTCCTGTAGGAGGTTTGAAGTAGCCACTGTGGATGGTAGGAAAAGAGCAGTCTCAGGAAGCAGAGTTGTCACTGTGCGGAGGGCTTTGTCTTTTCTCTGATTATAGCCAGGGCCAGCTGCAGACACTAGAACAATATTGAATCAGTAACTTTGTTCATAATGATAACTAACTCCCCAATAGCTTAAATTTTGATTATAGTTGGTCAAATGAATTTTGAGAATTAAAAGAAAAACAACTTCCAAAAGTACTTTTTATTTTAAAATTTGTGTTATTAATAGTAATTTAAAACATTTTGTTTAAAAGTATGCTTTTTCCAAATGAAGATGTGTGAATTCTCTTGTTGGTTGGTTGGTTTTAGACGCTCATGGTAGCTTGGATCCGAGCAAACCTCTGTGTGTACATTTCTCGAGAGCTCTGGGATGACTTTCTTGGTGTGCTGTCCTCCCTCACGGAATGGGAGGAACTTATAAACGAGTGGGCCAACATTATGGACTCCTTGACAGCAGTGCTTGCAAGAACCGTTTATGGAGTTGAGATGACAAACCTACCTCTGGATAAATTAAGTGAACAAAAGGAAAAGAAGCAACGAGGCAAAGGTATTTCCACTCTTCCAGGTTAACACCAGATGTCTAGGACTGGGGACGAGTGTGTATTTGTATGACTAAGCAATTAATGCGCGAAATTTTATAATGAACTGAACCAACTACACAGTGTCTTCTTAATAGTGGCATTAATTTGTGTCTCATATCATTCTGTTCCCTTAATGAGATGGTGAATTTCTGAGGAAGCTATGCAAGAAGGAAGATGCAAGGAAGGTAGTAGTAATAGTAGTGATAACTAACAGTAATAATAATGGCTATTACATTGTACATATTATCTCTTTTTACCTTCATAATAACCTAGTGAACTGTAGATACTTGTATTATCCCCATATCACAGACAAAGAAACTGAAGTACAGAGACTTTGCAGGGATGTCCAATCCTTTGGCTTCCCCAGGCCACATTGGAAGAATTGTCTTAGGTCACACATAAAATACAGTAAAACTAACGATAGCTGATGAGCTAAAACAAAAAAAGAAATTGCAAAAAAAAAAAAAATCTCATAATGTTTTAAGAAAGTTTACGAATTTGTGTTGGTCTACACTCAAAGCCATTCTTGGCTTCATGTGGCCCATGGGTCACGGGTTGGACAAGGTTGCCTTACAGTGATTGACTCATCCAAGGCCACATAGTTAAGAAGTGTTTAGAAATCAAAGCTGGATAAATACAACTCAAGATGTCACACTATTAAGATGCATTCTACAGCCTCTCTAGGAAACGTGGAGAAATTCTGAATGCTTCAGATGGGAGCTATTTTGGCTTTGTTGTATTTCTGGGTAAAAGTTGTTTTGGGACTGAGAACCTCAAATGAAAGTTATGTTTTCAAGGTAGAAAACATCAGTGGTAGTTTCTATTAGGAATGACAATTTGGCATCCCCTTAATTACTGTGCTTAAGGATGTGGCATGGTCCTTGGATTAATTCACTTGTACTACACCTTACTCTGTAAAGATTTGAGGCAGCTCATAGAAAGGCATATAGTACAGTAGATCAAATACAAAATAGGGTCAAAATGAGTGAGGTTGCAGGGAACTGCCATTGTGATTAAAATGCCAAAATACATGCCATAGAGCCTCGTGGGCTTGCTGGGGAGATGGAAAAGTCAAACATTGGATTTGATTTTGGTCTTTGCAGGGTTACATCAAATAGAGAATCACAGAGCACATAGGGTAAAAACAATTCAATCACTTAGGTGATGCTTAGCTTTTATTAGGTCCTCCTGAGACTTGGGAGGAATTTTTCCTTCAAAGCTTCTTAAAGGGTACACACTGCTTATTGTGTAGACTACCCTTTAATAATACCAGCTGCCTTATAGACAGTATCAGTGTGCTTTTGCCATGTGACAAATCACCCCAAAACTTATGGCTTAAAATAACAACCACTTATTTATCTTGATTTGATGAGTTGGCAATTTGGGTTGGACTCAGCCAGTCAGTTCTTCTGCTGGTCTTTGCTTCTGTGTTTGCAGTCAACCACGCTGTGAAATAGTCAGCTAGGCAGCTCTACTTTTACGGGTTGACTGGCTGTCAGCAGGGGCAATGAGGTGTGACTGGGCCACGTGTTTCAGCAGCCAGAGGCTAGCTCAGGCTTGTTCACCAAGTGGCTTAGAGTTTCAGGGGCAGTAAGAGGGTAAGCTCAAATTTTCAAGTGCATTTCAAGTCTCTGCTTGTTCAGTTTTGCTACCAAGTAAGTCACGTGATGAAGCCTAATGTCATTACAGGAGAGAACAACAGAGGATGTGGATACAGGGAGGTGTGAACCAGTTACAGTGGTTAGTAAACCATATACACGTATAATAAATGTGGTGGATTCTTATATCTTCATTGAAATCTGAGAATGGCTTGCCAAAGCACTAATTAATAAAAGCAAGTTAGTAAGAAGCCAAAATAAAGTAGTTGAAGTACATGGCAATCCAGTGGAACAGTTTAATCCCAATGTAGATTTAGACTGTCTAATGCAATGATTTTCTAACATTTTTAACAGATCCGTTTTTCTTCCCGGTTGAAGGTATACACAACTCCTTTCTAAAGAAATAGACTGGAGATTTAGGATTGAAGTAGGGGCAGGGAGCCAAGAGTCTGGGCCCTTGGCGTCCATCTAGTCCTCTCTGACAGCTCTGAGGACCTTTGTGTAAACCCGGGGCCTGAGAGGACCCAGATACTTCCAACTAGGAACTTGCCTCCCTAAGACAGTCGTTCTCAGCCCAGAAGAGAACTTACCTGGCTAAGGATACCTTTCAGGCCAGAGGAGGAGAGCTGAAATAGGAGATAAGGACCTACCTTCAATTGTTGTAATCCATGCACGAGTGCACATGTGTGCATACACTACACACACACACACACACACACACACACACACGCCTGCCATTCTGCAAGATTCTCTTCCTACCCACAGATTCATCTAAAGAGACAGACTTATCTTAGGAAGGCAAACAACTTCGAAAACACTGTTTTCAAAATGTACCGAACACATTATTTAATTAGTGACCATGACTAATATTTCTGATTTATGTTGCTTTATTCTAAAAAGGATTTAAATATTTATTATAGAAACACTTGCCTTCTAAGGGCTAGACTACTAGAAACAAAAAGCACAGGCAGAGGAAACTGGGTGTGGAAACATGCCACAGGTGGCAGCCACTGGCCACATCATACCTGTGCAGAAATCTGTAAGTCTGCCATTCTCTTTCCTCCTCTATTTCTTTTGGTCCATAGCCTCTCATTGAAATAATTAACCAGAACAATATGAGGAAAAATAAAAGTTGAATCTCAGACTACAATGTTTTATTGTTTTGGACCTTTGCTAAAATAGGATTTTGTATTATTTGTAGATTTTCATTATCCTGCCCATTTGACTGAATCCACATTAGAGTTTATAGGCATGGATTGCTCTGGGGATTTGTGGAGGGGTTGGTGTCTACAGGATGCAGTACTATTCTAACATCAGGATCTCTGAGTTTTTGGTTTATAAGTAGTGGTTTTTGGAGTGTCCTGGGAACAGTAGTATAACTTCATTTGATATTGTTCTTGTATTGAGAAAGGTTTATTAATACTTTCTTTTGTATATTGGAATGAGTACTATGAAGATATAATAATATCCATAAGACTGTTTTAGATTCTTGAAAATATTTTGGCAACAAGAATTCTTAAATTAGTGACATATGAGCAACTTCCTAAATTGCAGTGTAAGGAAGTGGTACTTAATTTGTGACAAGGAAACCTGCTGATTATATATAGTTGTAGGTACACCATTTGCTGAGCAACACAAGCGTGAAATGAATAATAATGAATTCAGCCTTTAGATTATTTTTCTTTTCCTTTATCAGGCTGTGTTCTAGATCCTCAGAAAGGAACCACCGTGGGGAGGTCCTTTTCTCTCAGCTGGCGGAGCCACCCAGATGTGACCGAACCGATGCGATTTAGGAGTGCCACCACGTCTGGAGCACCGGGAGTGGAAAAGGCAAGAAATATTGTTCGCCAAAAAGCAACTGGTAAACATTTATTTAAATGCTTCTCAAAAATCTAATTGTTATCTAAAATAAATTTATAGGCATAAAGTGTGTTAAAAATTCTACTCAAAATTTAAATATTAGACCTTATATTAAATGAAATGTCTCTACATCTTTTTAGCTTTATGCTCTGGTTACTTTTCAAATCACAGTTTTCAGTTACTTATTTCTAAATCCTCCATTGTGAGAAAGAACTTGTGATGTTGATATTGAGTGAGATATTTGTGCGAAATAGAGAAAATACAGGTTTTGTTTGAACCTTGAAGAAAATAGATTGTTAATAAATACACCAGTAGTTGCACTATTGTCAGTGTTAAACAATATTAATCTTTAGAGTGTGGCAACCTGTTTCAGCAAAGAAAAGGAGAATTTCAGGACTGGATAGACATTTTCATTTTTTGCTCCTTTGGAAAATTGAGCCTTTTCATGCCTGTGGATGTTATCTTTGCAGCGTATTTCAGTTAACAACTTGACCAACAACCCCCAGTTAATTGGACTACTTTGCTACATTTTACTCTTTTTTTCTTTTCTTTTCTTTTCTTCTCTTCTCTTTTCTTTTTTTTTGAGACAGAGTCTCGCTCTGACGCCCAGGCTGAAATGCAATGGTGTGATCTCAGCTCACTGCAACCTCTGCCTTCCGGGTTCAAGCAATTTTCCTGCCTCAGCCTCCTGAGTAGCTGAGATTACAGGCGCGTGCCACGACGCCCGGCTAATTTTTGTATTTTTAGTAGAAACAGGGTTTCACCATGTTGGTCAGGCTGGTCTCGAATTCCTGACCTCGTGATCTGCCCGCCTCGGCCTCCCAAAATGCTGGGATTACAGGCGTGAGCCACTGCGCCCGCCCTACATTTTACTTTTAAAACAAAAAGTGAACTCTTTAAAAAGAAGCTTGTATACGGCATTTAATAAGAATAAATAAAGCCACCTCCTCCCCAGTGACTTTGAGCCTGTAACTTAGGTTTAAGACAATTGTAATTGATATTTAACATGTTGACTTCAGAAAGTCGCAAGATCCTCTGGCCATAAAACAAAGATTCATTAAAGCTTAACATATTCTATAGTGCTTAGTAAAGGCTTAATACAGATGGTTTAGAATCCTGTTGGAGTTTTTATGAAAATATATTCCACCTTAACTGTAACTCTCTCATACTTTTTTGCTGTAGCATTTGCTGGAAATTATCACCTTATTTACATGCACAGCCTATTCTGCTTCTTTCTTTCTTTCTGTCATTCTCTCCCCTGAGGAGAGACCCAATTCTTTGTTAGCAGGCAACTTTTGAGGATGCTCATTCACTGATTTCCTTTCTCATTCCAATTCCTAAAAACTATTTGCTTTTATCATTGGATTCTTTTTTTGTTTTGTTTTTTGAGTCGGAGTCTCATGCTGTTGTTCAGGCTGAACCGCAGTGGAGCGATCTCAGCTCATTGCAACCTCTGCCTCCCAGGTTCAAGCGATTCTCCTGCCTCAGCCTCCTGAGTAGCTGGGACTACAGGTGCGCACCACTATGCCAGGCTAATTTTTTTTTTCTTCAGTAGAGACGGGGTTTCGCCATGTTGGCCAGACTGTTCTCGTACTCCTTACCTTAGGTGATCTGCCCGTCTCTGTTTCCCAAAGTGCTGGGATTACAGGAGTGAGCTGCCATGCCCAGCTCTTCTATCATTGGATTTTTTTTTTATTTTTTATTTTTTTTGAGACAGAGTCTTAAAAAAAAGCCCAGGCTGAAGTGCAGTGGTGTGATCTTGGCTCATTGCAACCTCTACCTCCCAGGTTCAAGCGATTCTACCACCTCAGCCTCCCGAGTAGCTGGGATTACAGGCATGCACCACCATGCCCAGCTAATTTTTGTATTTTTAGTAGAGATGGGGTTTCACCATGTCGGTCAGGCTGGTCTTGAACTCCTGATCTCAGGTGATTTGCCTGTCTTGGCCTTCCAAAGTGTTGGGATTACAGGCTCCCAGCCTATTGGGAATTCGAATAGGCAAAGGGTAGGAGAAAGGGCAGTAGGGTAAAAAGTTTGTTCCGGTTTTTGCAAATGTGTTACTATCATTTGTAGTTCCATTTCATTAATGTTAACTGATGTCATATGAAAATAGTAAAGCAGCAAGTAAATCTTTATATTTTTGTTTTAGAATAAAACTGATTTTACAGATTGTGGTTTTACATATATGAAGCACGTTTTCCTCCTATGTTCATTCAATTCCTCCAATATTTATTTGACTAGCAGTATATAGAAAACATAAGAACACCGTAAAGTAGACACTTAAGATGTATGGATTTAATAAGCATGAAATGTGACATAAAAGGATGGGTTTCATGGAGATTTTACCTTTTCCTCAAATATCAAATCTTTTAATGTTCAACTTGACTTTTATGTGTTCTTGAGCTTTTTGGATATTTAATTTACTAAATGATTTGCTTTTGAATACAGTCAGCTCTCAGCAAACCAACTTCTGAATGAAGGCCAGATATGCCCTCTCTCACCATGGTCTTTTTGTATTTGTCCTTTAGGAAAGGAAAACTGATTATAATGTCTGTCCAGGCAAATAACCTGAATGTGAATCTGATACACAGCAGAAAGAAGGAAAGGCTAAACATATAAAGCATTTCAAAATAAAATTATTTGTGGATTGCCCATTGTCCTGTGTCATGAGAATGACTGACTGAAAGTTGGCTGTATTTAGAGACTACAATTAAATACTATACTTTGTACTGACTTCCTTTAAAGTTTAAAAGTTTAAATGACCTCCTTTAAATGTTTAAAGAGAGCCCAGAAAAGTAATAATAATAAAGTGAAAGGTCCTATTGTTCTTCTGACATAATTATTACTTTATCTCTCCTGGAAGCTAAGCGAAGCCAGTCTATCAGCAACTGTGTCCACCTTTCTGAGGCTTTGCCTGCCACTAAAAGCGTCCCGCTCCTCCTTCACACCGTGAGCGCTCTCTTACCTGGTCTCTCTTACTCTTCTTGCTCTCACAGGCTGTCAGGTACTGTAATACTGTCTCATGTGTCCATCACTGTTCCTGGGCTTCTCCCGCTTGCCTCTGGGCATTGCTTCCTTTGTTAATATCCCCACATCACACACGTGCCTGACCATTACACTAGTGTTAAATTGCAATGAATGCTAGTAATTGCTCTTGTGTAGTTAGATACTTAATGGCAATTAGATAGTCAAGAAAAATTTCTATAACTTTGGTCTTGGCAATAACAATTAAGAAGGATAGAAGGGTTTTTCAGTCCATAGCTATTTAATAGGGGGAAATGTGATGCCTGCCTTAGTGTGTCTTCTATACAGTGCCCATAGAAAGTAAGGGGATTTTCATAAAAGTTTTGAGAATGTCAGTATTAGAATGCTTACTATGCCTTCCAAAAAATGAATAAACTAGAAAAATGTATGTAGGCGGGATCTACTTGGAGTTAATAAATCATATATGTGAAGTAATGACCAGTTATATAGATTTATACTATTGAAATTTGAGTGCAAAAGGACCAGTGCCAAAAAGCAGTAATTTCCAAAACAAAGAAACGTTGTTCCTGTACTTCAGCCAATTAAAATTGAATTTAGCCATGTGTGATTTACACACAGTACATTTTTTATTAAGATATCATAGCACCAAAAGTCATTTTTGGCCTACTTACTTCAACAGAAGGATTTACCTTTCTCTATATTGAATAATTAGGCCTATGTCTATTTATTTTTCAGTGATTCTAGGATGAACTGAATCTTCTTCCTTAAAAGAGAAAGATCATTTTCATGATCTTTTTTATTTTCAGAAATTTGGCGTTGTAGATTAGTATTTTTTGTTGTTGTTGTTTTTGATTTTTTTGAGACAGAATCTCTCTCTGTTGCCCAGGCTGGAGTGCAGTGGCATGATCTCGGCTCACTGCAACCTCTGCTTCCCGGGTTCAAGCAGTTCTCCTGCCTCAGCCTCCCGAGTAGCTAGGACTACAGGTGTGTGCCATCACACCTGGCTAATTTTTGTATTTTTAGTAGAGATGAGGTTTCACCATGTTGGCCAGGCAGGTCTTGAACTCCTGACTTCGTGACCCACCTGCCTCAGCCTCCCAAAGATTAGTATTTTTTTTAACATTGGAGATAACCTAATTGTGGCTTTCTGTAGTACTAAACTATGTCATACTGTGTTTTAGCAAAGCAAAATGAAAGCTTACGTTCTCTGATGGCTATGTAAATACCATATTACTTTATAGAATTTAAGGGAAGAAGTTTTACCAAGAGCGAGGACTATAATGTTTCTTAGAAAACTCTTTTTCTCCAGTAACTATTAAAGGTGAAAAACAGTAAGAATGGTACATGGGAAAATGGTCACTAGTCAATTACATTACTGTTGAGTTTTAACTGCCCAATTATTTGGTTTTCAAAAAAAGCTATTGTTTGGAGATGATTAATAAAGTATTTAAAATGATTTTACCCCCTGTTTGGCTAATACACACCCCAAAAGAATTTTTTTCATGGTGAAAAGTTTTCTTATGTCACAGTCCATTTTTTTCTATATTTTGTTTCTCTTAAGTTTTTCACTAGTTTGTCCAGAACATGTTCCCACAAGAAATCTCTTCCTATTAGTAATTTAATTTTGGAAGCTTTTGTTCTCATTCAATATTACATTTTATTTTACTAAGACTCTTGGTTCCTGTATATACGTATACAGTTCCAACTGAAGTTAAATGTGATTTAGAGCAGTGATTCTCAATTGGGGACAATTTCAACAATGCCTGGAGACATTTTTAATTGTCACAAGTGGGACAGTGCTAGTGGCAGCTTGTGGATGGAAGTCAGGGATGCTGCTGAATAGTCTGCAATGCACAGGACAGCTCCCAAACAAAGAATTGTCTGGCCCAAAATACCAGCTGTGCCGAGGCTGAGAAATCCTAAGTCAGAGTGAAATCAAGTGGCCTGGGCTCGGTCTGCAGTTTTCCTGCCTTTGCCATCTTTGTTCTTGGTTTTGTAGCACAAAGGGTGAAAGAACTTTAGAGTATAGTGACTTTGAGAACAACCTGACATTCCAACTATGATAGTGAGCTTCTTAGCCTGATGCCATTGGTTCTTTACTACTTAAAATGTTGCCATTGTCCTTTATGACTGTCCTATCAAGAGACTGACCCAAGGGCAGATTGTATATTCTCCACTGGTTGGCACATTAGAGTATTGAATTTGCCCTCCAATTTAAATCCAAGTATGTAGGCATACCCCACCAACATACTGCTAGATAATATGACACTTAATTTTACTTTCTGGCACAAGCTCCTTACCCTATCAATGATTGCTAATTTTGTTTACATTTAAGTTAACATGATTGCTAATTTTGTTTACATTTAACTTTTTTTGTTTTTGTTTCTAATCTATGTGATTTAGAAACCCACCAAAATTGTTTTAATAATATAAGCAATAGACAATTACTTACTTTTAGCTACGATTGTTTGTTTTTCTGATCTTTTGGGGACTGTATTTGGCGGCAGCAGCAGAATTTTGGGTGGGTTGTTCATATTCTGGGAGGAAGAAGTGACGTTTGTATTTTGGAGTCACAACCACCTGTTTCCATTAATATGAATAGCTACATAAAGAAACACAGTTGGGGAGGTAGGACTGGCACTTTTTGTGATTTTCTTTTATTTGTTTTTTTCCCTTCGTGAGAACAGTTCTTTCCAGCTGTTCTACAGTTTTTTTGTTTGTTTGTTTTTTGTTTGTTTTTTTTTGAGATAGAGTCTTGCTTTGTACCTCAGGCTGGAGTGCACTGGTGCGATCTTGGCCCACTGCAACCTCTGCCTCCCAGGTCCCAGTTCAAGCAATTCTCCTGCTTCAGCCTCCCGAGTAGCCAGGATTACAGGCATGCCATGCACAGCTAAGTTTTTGTATTTTTAGTAGAGATAGGGTTTCACCATGTTGACCAGGCTGGTCTTGAATTCCTGAGCTTGTGATCTACCCACCTCGGCCTCCCAAAGTGCTGGAATTACAGGTGTGAGCCACCACGTCCGGTCTGTTCTACAATTTTAACTGCTTTTTAGGTTAAAACATTTATCAATCTGTAGCACTTACAGATAGTAGATTTTATTTTTCTTTTAGGAATATTGTAATAGTAGTAATGAGAGGATCAACAATCTCCCCTTATTCTAAAAAAGCATATTGGAATGGTATGGCAAACCTTGCCTCGCTGCTTCTGCATCTGGTTTGTGTGCTTCTAGGAAGTGCTTTTTTGTCAGGACCTGGTCTGATTTACCCTTGGGAAGTTTGATCTTGTGGGAAACCTCAAGATGCTGAGCTGATATGCATTTCCTATGCTTTTTATAGGATCAGATTGGTATCATGCAAGGTGTTTTAAAAATTAGGAAATTATACTATTTATTTTGCTTATGCAACCTTGTATAAGGGATAAATGGAACTCAGAATTTTGGTTATTGAAGAATGAGCCTCACTCCACTTACTAAATGTAAGACTGAGTAAGGAAGACTTAAAAAGTGAGTGAAATTGCTGTGAAAAATAGAGATCTGGAAAAAAAAATAGAAGTTACTGAAGAGCTTACACACTTAATTTGATCACACTGCCTTTTCTCAGTGGAAAAAAATGAAATTAAGTAATCCTTATTTGATCATTTTTCGGTGTTTCGAATGGAGCTTTAGAAAGTAATAGTTTAGGCCGGGCGCAGTGGCTCACTTTGTAATCCCAATACTTTGGGAGGCCAAGGCGGGTGGATCATGAGGTCAGGAGATCGAGACCACCCTGGCTAACACGGTGAAACCCCATCTTTACTAAAAATACAAAAAACTAGCCAGTTGTGTGCCTGTAGTCCCAGCTGCTTGGGAGGCTGAGGCAGGAGAATGCCATGAACTTGGGAGGTGGAGCTTGCAGTGAGTCAAGATCACGCCATTGTGCTCCAGCCTGGCCGACAGAGCGAGACTCCATCTCAAAAAAAAAAAAAAAAAAGAAAGTAATAGTTTAGTAATGGTATTGTGTAACTTACACTGTCAAGAGACGAGAAAGTTAGTGCTTTTAAAATCTGGGTAGTTGGAACTAACTAGGCTTTAGAGAGAGTACATTATTTGGTGAATCTAAGATAGAATTTAGCTCTTTGAAGTGATTTAAACAAATTGTGTGATATTCAAAATAGAAAATGCAATAGATCTAGGATGTATTATATAATTTTATTGTAACTGATATAATTCTTTCTCCATTTTAAATATCAGATAATCCTGTCTTTTGGTATTTGCATATCACTATTAAAATGATTTTCATTCGTTATGAAAGAGCAACTGCTAACAGCTAACCCCACAGAATGAGAGCAGATTTAACATAAATTGCTCTTTCTTAAATAAAATGCCAGCAGAGGGAGCCCAAGAACTATTTAAAAAGGAAAAATAGTATAAAGAAATTGTTTCTGTCATTCATGTATTCATTTATACAAAACATGTATTTAATATAAAATATGAGAAAATCCCAATAAATATACTGTTACAAATCAGGAAATTGGATTTAAATTGTGGGATAAGGAGAATTGAAAATTCTCTTTTCACACCATCTCAATTGATAGTCAACTACAGGAGTAGGTAGCTCAGGGCACCTACAACCCAACAGCACACTTAAGCATCGTGGCTCTCCCCTTCCTTCCCACTAAATCACGAGTGCTCCTGCCCTGCTACTGACCGCTATTCCTGAAGGCTTGGACTTTCTCCATCTGATACGTCCCTCCTGACAGCTTTATAAAAACAAAGCCTTAAAAGCTGCATTAGGCCAGCCTGTTGGGAAGGCAGACCAGCTGGTGGTGGCAGGCTCTCCGTCCGTCTGCTGTGTTGAGGACCAGTGGGGACGCTCTAATTTGGAAGCAATGGTGCTGTGGCTATATTGCATCCCACCAGATGGCGATGTTCTTTATCTTTAGGAAGATGCTGCCAGTGTTGGCTCAGCTCTTATTTGCTCCTGCTCATAGCCCAGAAACCAACATCTATCTGTTTTTGGCATCAGGCTTCAGAGACTAACTCTTCCCACTATCCATAAAAAATGGCATTTGCCAATTATAGTTTAGAAAGTTAGGAAGCTCTTGGGCTCCCCCTTCTGATACTGGATTAACCAGTAGATTCATTAACAAATATAAACTGTTCCCAGAAGGTTTCAACATCTTGCATAATTAGAATAAACAATTAGAGAAGACAGCCGGAAGGGCTGGCCCTATGGTGTTATTTGGCTTCTGTTGCTGAAGGCTGAAGAGACTAGAAATAGATCTGTGAGAAGGACGTAGTCTGTACTTTGGGATGTGTAAGTAGATTAAAAATGTGCACATATGCTTTGTGTTTCTCTGTAGAAAAATGAACAGTTCTTGGCTGTTCAAAAGAAGAGGAAGGCAAAGACAACCTGGGAAACATGAGGCTTTAACATAGCTGTCTTTTCTTGCTACCTTGGCCTATCTTTGCTTGTACTCCAAACAGTTTCCCACCAGCATCTGAAGTTAGACTGTGGGCTGGGCACCATGGCCCACGCCTGCAATCCCAGCACTTTGGAAGGCCGAGGTGGGCGGACTACTTGAGACCAGCCTAGGCAACATGGCAAAACCCCATCTCTGTGAAAAGACAAAAATTTTTTGGGTATAGTGGTGTGCACCAGAACTCCCAGGTACTCAGGAGGGTGAGGTGTGAGAATCAGTTGAGCCAGGGGGGTCGAGTGTGCAGTGAGCTGTGATCACACCACTGCACTCCAACCTGGCAACAGAGCAAAAAAAAAAAGTAAATTGATAAATTTTTGTAAGTGAAGGATCACACAAATTTCATAGTTTTGAGGTCTTGTAACCATATCAGCACACTATAAAATGCATTTTCATTTGGATAGAAAAAATAGCAACCTTTTGTTGAAATCCTCTGTATTAAATGTAGAATCTTCCAACATACTTCTTGCTTAAGGTGAGCCATCAGTTTGCCTTATGACTCAGATTAAAGGATTATACAGAGGGTGGCCCATTGACAGTGAGTTTCCATTTCAGGTGACAAACCAGGTGACCCAGCCAGTTAAGATAATACAGGCTGAGTTTTGATTATCCTCTTCTTAGTAGTAGTAATGAGCAAATTAAAATTTGTGGAAAATATTCTAGTTATGTGGATGTAAAGTTTCATGACTACGTCAGTGAGTGTGGAATCTAGTGAGAAACAGAGCAATGGGGCTTGCATGCAGGGCCAGGGAGCAGGTCCTGTAGGGGATATTCCCAGGGCAGCATGGTAAGGAGGGATGAGGGAGCAGGTGTGAGTTTAGCATAGGGGAGTGAACAGCAGGAAGAACAGAGTAGCAGGTGCCAACTGGGTTAGTACTACTGGAGACTAAAGTGAGCTAGAGTACCTTGCAAGGGGATCAGTATGTCCCGTGAGATCAAGGAAAGCCTGTGTTCACCCTGACTAGGATGTTTGACGAATCTCTAACAAGAGAGGGCTTTGGTGGGTTTTAAGAGGAGTGGCACAGCCAGATCTTTATTTTAGATGGACCATGGAGAGGATAAATATGAAGGTGGTAAGAAGAGAGGGACAGTGATTAGTGATTAGTTTGCAGGCTATTAAAACAACCTACGTAAAAGGTGGTGCAACCCTGAAGCTGTGACTCTAGAAAGAGAGGGTGGGGTGATAATTCCAGTGCCTTGGGTGGTCTTTAGAGATTAAAGTGTACTGTGCAGTTTAGAAATGAGCTGGGGGGAACTCATTCTATAGGGGAATATAGCTTGTAATAATACTGAGATTATCCTGTGGTCCCTACCCAGCTATGGTTTTCTATTTTATGTCTCATATATATTGGTTTTCTACAAATACCTGTGGATCATTCTGTACTTTAGAGAATAATTCAGCATTGCATTTGATGAAATAAGCCATTACATAACTATAGCATTTTATTTTGGACAGTTGGGCACTTACCTGTTAAAAAGGCATAATGCAGTAGAAATTCCCACATTTCCTTTCATCTTCCTTCAGGGTGTATGTGTGTGTGTGTGTGTGTGTGTGGTTTTCTGTTCTTCTCAAATGTACATTACCCATTCTGTGCATCTCCTGAATCTCTCTTTCCTTGGCATGCCTGGCCCTGAAATGTCAAATGACTTTTACAGTTCTTAACCTTTTATTGTGGCTTTTTTTCCTTTACTTTGATTGAAAAATAAAAGGCTTTATAGAACTTAAGTGGAAAAGGTACTCTTGGAGTAGAATATTAGGGGTTAGCAAGTGTAGGAAACTTGATCATTTAAATGCAGATTATCTGACTATAAATTATTTGTGAAAAGCATTTGAAACTTTATTTTTTAAATCGGTTGTTTTAAGTGGTGAATGTGTTTTTTAAAAACTTGAACTGTAACTTTGCATGTTTTGTTAATGCTCACAGAAGTGGAGGAGTGTCAACAGTCAGAAAATGCACCTGCAGCCGGATCTGGCCATCTCACAGTGGGACAGCAGCAGCAGGTCCTTCGGAGCAGCAGCACCTCCGACATCCCCGAGCCGCTGTGCTCAGATTCTTCTCAGGGTACATGATGTCTTCAGTGTTTAATACAGAACTATAGATTCTGGCAGAGGAATAAAAGCTGCATATAGTATTGCTTTGTACATATATTCTGAATATATTTATTTCAAGGGAATTACCTTTTTAATTTGATTAGAAGGATGTGATTTATGGCAATGAAATATTTGCACTATTTAAACCTGTTTATCTAAATTATTTTTATATATCTATATGTAGATATATACCCACTTTTTTAAAGGTTGGCATGTTTGAGGACGAGACAGGAGTCCAAGTGGCTGGAGTAGAAGGAAGACGGAGGCTGTTACAACATGAAGTCAAGTAGGGCATCAAGTTAGGTATTATGGAAGGCAGGGAGGCAGGATGGGGGCAGGGACATAGGGAAAGGGCTGTGAGAAGAGCCGTTAAAGTTGAAAATGAGAATGGAAAGCTGACCAGACTTGTGAAAAAGTTTATTAACAGCTTGCCGACTCTGCTGAGATGGAAAATAATAACTTTTAATAGCATTAATCTACACGGTTTCACCAACAACTTGCAGCAGCAACAGGGTGTGGAAAGCAGGGAGACAGATGGTTTGACCTGTAAACAGTGAAGAATAGATTTCTCAATGAAAGAGTGTGCTTAAAGTGTGTCTAGTATCATTGGAAATAGTTATTCTGTTTTGGTGTCATGAATTAGTTAAGAAATCAACTCTATTTATCAACAAGTTATCTCATATCTTTTAATGTCAAAGTCATGCTAGTCTCATCAGATGAGTAGGGAATTATTCTGTCTTAGAAATCCTCTGGAAATAAGAAAATACAGTAAAAGCTTCAGAAAATGTATTATCTGAAAGATTTTTGAAAGGTTTTGTATAAGGCTTTTTTTTTATACATATTTGGTAGAAACTACCAGTTGCCTGCATTTTTCTTGTAGGAATGTTTTAAAATATCATTTATATTTTAACATAATTTCACTTATGGAGGAGGAATAAGTTCAAGAAATGTGTTGTACAGTATGGTGACTGTAATTTGTAACAGTGTATTGTATTCTTGAAAATTGCTAAGAGAGTAGATTTTAAGTGTTCTCACCACAAAAAAGTATGTGATACATGTTAATTAGCTTAATTTAGCCGTTGCACAGTGTATACACATATTTCAAAACAATATATTATACATATTATATTAATATAATTTTTATATGTCAAGTTAAAAAATTAAAAAAGTTAAAATAAAATAGTTATAGGACTATTTAGATTTTCCATTTCTTGTTCTGACTTTGATAAATTATGTTTTTGTAGAAAAAAATTTTTTTTTTTTTTCAAATTTATTGCCCCCAGATTATTCATAAAATCCTCTTATGATCAGCTTTAGTGTTTTCAGGCTTTGTGGTGATATTCCCTTTTTTATTACTGAAACTGGTTATTTGTGCTTTCGTCAATCTTTATTCTCAAGCAATACTGAGGCACCTTACTGCTCTCTTCTTCCTGTTGGTTCATCTGGCCAACACAGGCACTTTTTCTCTGAGATACCTTCCCCAAGACCCCAGGAAGGGTTTTGTTGCCCTCCCCTGTGCGAACATAAATGCGCTAAGTGAACCTGTTGGCCACAGTGAACAGTAATCAATCCACTCTCTTCAGAGCTCTCTGTGGGCCAGAGACCAGGTCTAAAGTGTGGACTTGACCCATAGGCTGCTGTTTTGCCAGGCCCATAACTCCTGTTTTTACATACCTTAGAATATTTAAATTTAATAGTTACCTATATATAAAATCATTTTCCGGTTTTACTATCTGAAACATTCCTTCTATTTCCGCTACCCCCCTGCCCCACCATTTCTAGGTCAAAAGGCAGAAAACACACAGAATTCGAGTTCTTCAGAGCCTCAGCCTATTCAAGAGAATAAAGGACATGTGAAGAGAGAACATGAAGGAATAACAGTAAGATATTTTCAAGCCATTTCAGTTTGTCATTAAAAATAAACATTAATTAGTGCTCAGTAAGTAAATTTATTGGTGGCAGTGATAATTAAAATATTTTTTTCCATTTAGACAGTTTATAGGCCCAAATGATGTTGAGATCTTTTAAGATTTTGCTTGCTTTCTATGTAAAATTACAGTCACATTACAAAAATAGGAAAAAAATTAACATGAAAATGGAGTTCACCACCTGGTCTGTGTATGGCACTGTGTATTTTTAAGCAGTTACCTTTGCCTGTTAAACCTACGTTTCAGATTCCCCATTCCTGACATCCATTTAGGTAGCCTCTACCTGACATGAATTACTAGAATCAGTGAGTATTCACAAAGATGTTAGGTTTCTTAAAAAAAACAAAAAACAAAAAACATAAAATGGCATTTATTTAAATATATATAAAGTATAAAGAAGAAAATTAAAACATAAGCCCATAACTCATTCATGCAGATAACCCCTATTCATTTTTTTAAAATGTAGCATATATTCTTAGAAAACTCAAACATCACAGAAAGATACAAAATAAAAAAGGGAAGGCCTCTCCTTGCTCCCCTCCCACTGGACAATAACCCATGTTATGTTTCTTTTTTCTTTATTTTTAAAAAGGGCATGTACCAGTTTACATTTGTATATTCTGTTTTCAGCAATGAAATAAATACCCAGAAACCCACCATCAGCTTCAGATCATTTTGGCTTCTACACTCCTTCCTTGTTCCCTCTCTCTGCTATCTCCCCTCAGAGAGGGGCCTTATCTTGGCTTTGTGTTCATCATCCCCTTGCTTTGCTCTGTAGTTTTGCTATGTAACTATGTATCTCTAAACAGGATGTTCTTTAGTTGTCCTTACTTTTGAATTTTTTAATAAAGTATTGTTGCTTTGTTTACTCAGTTACATATTTTTAAGATTTATTCACATTGTGCTATGTAGCAATAGTTCATCAAGTTTTCTGTGATGTGGTATTCCACTATAAGTAGACCACAATTTATTTTTTCATTCTCTTGTTGGTTGACATTTAGATTGTTTCCAGCTTTTTGTTTTTGTGAAAACTGTAGCCATGTACATTCTTGTATGTGTTTCAGCATCTGCATGTTTAATGTTTTCTCTATGATGGCTATCTAGGAATGGAATTAATGACTTATAGAATAAAATAATTTCTTTACAAGATAACCCCTGTTCTCTAAAGTGGTTGCATCACTCATATTTTTGCCAGCATTGTGTAGAGCTCCCATTCATCTTCATTCTTGCCAACACTTTCTATTATCAGATTTTTTCATTTTTATTGGTCAACTGAGTGAAAATAAGATGTCTTATTTTGTATTTCTTAGACTACTAATAAGGTTAAAAATCTTCCCATATGTTTATTGGCCATTTTTGTTTCATCTGTGAAATGCCTACTGATGTCCTTTGTTGTTTTTCTATTTTTTGTCTTTTTCTCTTTATTTATATTTACTAGCTCTTTGTATGGTATGAATACTGATCCTATTTTGGTTATGTTTGTAGCAAATATCTTCTTCCAATATATGGTTTATATTTTTACCTTCTCTAGGGTATCTTTTGATGAACAGAAGTTCTTCATTTTGATATTCTCTATTATCATTTTTATTGTTGAGGCTTTATGGAATTTTTTAAAAGTCTCAACTACACAGGAATAAAAATATTATATTTATAAATGTTTCAGGTTTGCTCTACAAATTTAAGTCTTTTATATATTTGGAATTGATTCCTGTTTATGGAGTGAGGTAGGGATCCAATTTCATTTTTTTTCCTGAATAGATAACTACTTGTGTCAGGTCCCATTTATTGAATTAATTTTTCTTTATTGATCTGAAATGCCACCTCTCTTTCATATGTGCTATTTCTGAGATATGTAAGGCCTCCTTTTGGTGTTTCTTATCTTGATTCTTGGTTACTTTATCTTTCGGACAGTACAACATCTCAGTTACTATAGTTTTCCCACCTCTTTCTCCCTTTTCCTTCTAATGGAAGTTATTTTTCCATAATCTTTTGTCTTTCTTTGTTGCTGAGAAGTCTTCTGTCCATCCGGTCCTGTCTGGTTATTGTTCCTTGCTGTTTTTGTTTGTCCTTTTCCTTCCATTTCACTATAGTATATTTAGGTGCAGGAATCTTTTGGTTCGTATGTTTGTTCTTTTTGGTATATGCTATGTGCCATGCATCTGTAAGTGCTTGTCTTCTGTCATTTCTGGAAAATTCTTGGTAACATTTCTGCATATATTGTCTCATTTTTTCCTCATTGGTACAGTGGTATCTCCACCTGTTACATGGGACACTGGGGTTTTAAAAAAAAGAACACAAATATTGCCTCTTTTATATTCTCTCTTTGCTTTCCTCCTGGAATTCTGGGTGGAAATATATTAGACTTTCCCATTCTGTCTTCCTTGTCTCTTAAATGTTTTTTATATTTTCTATTCTCATTGGCTTGGTGTTTCCTGGATAATTTTATCAGCTCTGTCTTTCATCAGTTCAGTAACTTTATCTTTACTGTTAATATTTCCATTGAATTTTTTAGTTTAGCAATTATGCCTTTTATTTCTGACAGTTCACGTTTATACTTTTCAAGCATATCTTGTAATTTCTAATAATCTTTTGTTGCTTGCTTGTTTTTGTGATTCCAACTTTTATTCCTTTAAAATGTTTACAAATTGCAATTCTGAATTTTTTATCTGATTATCTGAAATCCTTGGGGGATCTAAATCTGATATTTGTTGTTTCTGAGATTCTTACACATGGTGATTTATTTTCTTTAGTGTTTGGTGATGTTTTATTATGGGTTCCTAGCTGGCTGATCTTAATCTGCAGAAAACGTGGATTTCTAAATTGATGACATTTCAACAGTATGTTTGCATTTGTTTCTTGCACCACATGGAGAGTGCTACTTTAATCCTGGAGTCTTGGTCCTCTTGCCACTGGCAGTGGTACTATTGGATTTACCCTTGCAATAGCCACGTTTCACTGCCCTGGTTTCTGCTCACTTTTAAGGGTTGAAGGTAGATTTCTTGGAAGTTTCTTTTACTTCCTGTGAGCCCCAAATTGCAACTAAAGTTTTATGTAGGATCTGGTTCTATGGCTGGGAGGTATTGTGTCTCTCATATAGTTAGAAGCAGAAGAGTCTACATTCTGTTTTTTAACTAAGGAAATATTCTGTGCATATTTCCTCTTAGCACATTAGATATGTATCATTCTTCTTTAAGGCTGTGTAATAGTTTTTTCATATAGTGTTAATCCTCTAAATCTTCTAAATATTTTATTCATGGCTTGCTTTTTATTAGCTTAATAATTATTCTTTCTTTTAATTTTTTTTCCAGTTTTGCCATGGTCAACATTTGTGGGGCATTCTTTTTTTTCTTTTAACTCTACATCTTGTTCCCCACTTGAACCTAAGGTTCAAGGCCCACTGGCAGCTGTGTCTTTTTAGAAGGTCTGCATTTCTTATTTTTGTCCTTCTTCACCTGGGTGCCCTGCATGGCCTGGTATAACCAGCATCTCTTCCTGTACATAGAACTTGCTGATTACCACCCAGTACTTCCTGCCTTGAATCCCCTCCTGTCTTCCCTCTACCACTTCATGTCCATTGCTGTCTTGAACAGCTCTCCTATAAAGCTGAGCCAATTAAGGCAACAGTTTATTCTGCATCCCCTTCAGAGGCAGTTTATTTGCATATTTTGCTTATATACATTATAATTATTTTGTGTAATTTGTGTATGTTTTGTCTCTCCAAGCAAATTATAACTTATTAGAGGATGCAGATTTCCTCCTGATTTTTTTTTAATCCTGTGAATTTAATACAAGGTTAAGCAATGCTCAGGAGAGTCTGTGGCATGCTTAACTAGGAAGACACTGAATGGACCTTTAGATCTCTGGGTGGAGTTTGCGCCTTCCCTACCAGCACACTTATCATTTGTGTGCATAACTTATGCCTCCTAGAGCATTGTGTTCACAATATATGTGTGCCTGACCAGAAGAACAAATAGAACTTTAAAACAAATTCCTTCCATATAATTTAGCATTCCTTCTTAGATCAATTTAATTGGATGGATGTAAGTTGACAAAGTAGAGGATATAAATTAAAGTTTCAGATCTTGAGTAACATAAAATTAAATATAGTGATTTGTGAAAACATATCCTTCAAATGGAAAACATCAATTTATTTAGCTATTATTATTATTTGTTTCTTTTTCTTTAGAAATTTGGGCTAGAAACTTAAGTCTTATAACAATGAAAACTTTCCTGTAGTAAATGCAATATTTCTTTTTGTCTGAAGATCTTAGTTCGAAGAAGCAGCAGCCCTGCTGAATTGGATTTGAAAGATGATTTGCAGCAGACACAAGGAAAATGTAGGGAAAGACAGAAGAGTAAGTTCCGGGAAATGTCTGTTCCTCCAACTACAGAGTTGATATGTTCTATTTTCTTTTTACATTTTATTATTATTATTATTAGAGACTCAGTCTCACTCTTTCGCCCAGGCTGGAGTGCTCTGGCACAATCATGGCTCACTGCAGCCTCAACCTCCCTGGGCTCAGGTGATCCTCCCACCCAATCCTTCTGAGTAGCTGGGACTACAGGCACATGTCAATGCGCTTGGCTGATTTTTCTATTTTTTATAGAGATGAGGTTTTGCCATGTTGCCCAGGCTGGTTTTGAATGACTGGGCTCAAGCCATCTTCCCACTTTTTACCTTCTAACTTGAGTAATAGCTTATCAATTTGAGAGAAATGGTTGTGAAATGGGACCTTCTTATTCCTGGAATCCTAGGATTGACAAAAGGTTCATCCATACATATAATAAAACAGTTCTACTCACCCGTACCTTGAGAGGCCTGTCTTTCTACCCCTGGACCTTTCTCCAGGTGAGTGGTACATCAGAGACTGATGGCATGAGTGAGCAGATAGACCGGAGAGAAAAATTATCTTCCCCAGAAAGTTCCCAGAGGCTAGAAGCAAAAAGCATCAGAAGTACATTGAAGTCAATGGGTTAAATACTTAGAAATGGAATGAGATTGGAATCCTGAGACGTATTATCATATATTGTAAAATACAGCCTTAGTACTCTGCTTTCCTGAAGTCAGGTGCCAGAGTAGCAAAGTAAACACCTCCTCAAGTTCAGGACAGTTCTTGATGGGTGCAGAGGAGTTCTACCTTCACCCTGCTAGCTTAGAGCTCTTTAGGAGATGAAGTTTGGGACCTACCATTGGTCACCTGGTTACTGAGACAACTTTTAGTTCTTTGTGAGTAAATAGAGGACAGCAGATTAGAAACAGCAAGAGTAAGGGACTGTTAGGAGTAGATACAGAGAGCAGCCAGAAGGGTGAGCAGACAGAGATGTAGATGCATAAAGTTGTTATGAAGTAGACAGGAGACTCTGAGAAGCAGAAGTGTCTAGGTTCATTTTATGTCAGACTAAATAGTTCTATAAGTCTTTGTGGCCTAGCCTTATTATATTATGATAAATTAGAACTTATTACTGTTTAAAGGGGAGAATTTCTGTTCTAGAAAATCTGTTGTATTGGGACACTATATCCCCAGATGACCCTGAATGAGTCACCCTAGGTCTACGTCTACCTGTCAGGCTTGGGGCATACAGCATCTTTAGACTCTTCTACCCGGTAGAGTAAACTTGCATTTGTGGTGGATCAGTTATTATCTTCTTCCTCCACCCATCCTCATTTTGTAAGTCCCAGCACACTTTAGGACTTGGTGTAGTTTGGGTGTAGGGGGTACTGAGTGAAGACACGTTGAAGAGTGCCACTTGAATGATACATAGTGGTGCTCATAATGGCTATTAATATCCTTATTTGGAAGATTCATTTTCTTGACCAAGAGCCCCACGTGGACACTTTTTGAGCTCCTCTCAAGTTCTGCAGGTTCTGCCAAAGAACATGAATGATTCCTACTGTGTCTGCTGTTTGTTTAGTTACTTTCGTATCAGTAATTGTGAACATTCTGATTTTCAGCTATTTTTTATCTTAAACTTTGGTTCTTCCATTGTACCAGGTGAAAGTACCAACAGTGACACAACTCTGGGCTGTACCAATGAGGCAGAGCTGTCCATGGGCCCATGGCAGACCTGTGAGGAAGACCCAGAACTGAATACTCCCACAGATGTTGTGGCTGATGCTGATGCCCGTCATTGGTTACAACTGAGTCCCACCGATGCTTCAAATTTAACAGGTAAATTGCATTTTGAAAAAGAGGCACTAATGCAAACAGCTGGGAGATCAGTTGTGAATCATTGGAGTCTTGTATACAGAGGGTTCTGAAACAGTTGTAGGAGGAAGTGTGCCATGCTCCTGACCACTGTCCACCATAGGAGGAAGTGATGGTATTCATGTCAAGCCTTTACTATCCCTGACTGAATTGTTCTATGCTAGAAAGAAGAGTGATTTTTCCAACTCATACATGTTATAAATCCAGGATAAGTCAAAGAGTTTAGATAGCTTATTGATTAATTTTTAAATAAAGTATTTTGATACATAAAATGTAAGTTGTAACATATACAGTATGTAAGTTACGGGGAACAGTAATGAAGTGAACACGAGTGAGTCTACTACCCAACTTAAGAACTAGCAGGGCACCCAAGCCAGTGAGGTCTCCTAGAGGTCCTTCTCAAGTCCCTCCCCTTCTCCCATTATCTTGGGACCCTAGTCCAAATTTGTTTTTATACTAATTTCCTTGATTTCTTTATAGTTTTACCGTGTGTGTCAAGCAATATATCATTTAGTTTTGTTTCTAAACTTAAAAAAAATGACTTCATACTCTGTATTTTTTGCAACTTTTTTAACCTCAGATTGTTTGACTTCAGAGCCAAACTTTCTGGGTCGGCTTCCAGGCACCTCCGAGGAATTGCTGGGTGGCCTTGAGCTAGTTATTTAATCTCTGTCCTTTTGTTTCTTTGCCTTTAAATTTGGGATAATAGCCCGTACTTTATGAAGGCTGTTGGAAGAATAAATGAGTGAACATCTAAGTCAGGTGCCCAAAATATTGTGTGTGGTGTAGTCTGCAGTTTTAGCTACACACACACAGACACACACACACACACACACACACACACACACACACTGTGTGACACTGGGTAAGTCAACCTCAAAGGTCAGTTTCCCTCACCTGTTTGACCAGGCTGATGAGAACGGGGAGGCCATGGAGGAGCTGGGTTTGGTTTTGCTTTGTTTTGTGGAGTGTCAGGAGAGACTCGTGGTCTGAGGAATCAGTGCGGGAAAGGCTGACCAGAGCCAAGACTTTTATGGATGCACATTCATGTTCACACACAGGTATCTTGTATGAAAACAACCACCACAAAGTAACATGTTAAGAGTGTTATTAAAATGCCAAAAAATATTTTAAAATGATTAACATAAAGGCTAAAATTTGACCTTAAATGGATTTTTTTTTTTAAACCAAGCAAACTGGTT
This sequence comes from Homo sapiens, assembly GCF_000001405.40. Taxonomy (NCBI): domain Eukaryota; kingdom Metazoa; phylum Chordata; class Mammalia; order Primates; family Hominidae; genus Homo; species Homo sapiens. Next base: position 20,581,811 of record NC_000020.11, on the reverse strand, counting down.
TTCACTGTGATTTAAAATTTAACTAACGTCTCTGATATTTGGGAAATTCTTGATAGAATGTCATTAAAACTTCATAAAATTAACATATGAAGGTGGTATTCAGTAAAATTCTTTATAGACTAAATAATGATTTTGACTAATAATACTATACATTGATATGAGATTCAACATTTACAAAGAATTTTGAGGCATTCTCTTTGATTCTGTATGGGAAGCAGGCCAAGTCTTATCATGTCTGTTTTAGAGATGGGGAGATTGAGACCCAGAGAAATTGTTATCAAGCTGGAGTGTGAGTTCCAGAGATGAAACTGGCTTCCAAAATGTTTTGACTCAACGTGCAGTGCTATGTCTACTCCTTTACACTGTGTTCCTGTTAAAATTAAAATTACTGTAAAGCCCTTTGACCTACTTGAGAATCCTTACAGATTATCCAAAAGAAAGTCATCATTGTGGTACTGTAGGAGGCAAAACTGAAGCTTCAGTAGGTTGAATTTACTTAAACATGGACTAGTTTTAATTATTTTTATTGAAAGGGAAGAAAATTAGGTGATTACTTCTTTTGTCTGTTCTTTGGAAAGATTAGTTTTGATCCCATTTCAGGGTATGTATTGGACAGCTCAATTTAATAAACCTCTGTGAGGTAATTTTATATGATGCACTCCATGTTGTGATTAACTCCTCCAAATACTCCGTTCTTCTTTGAAATACTAATATAGAGAATCAGTACACGCAGTTCAATAGTTCACCTTGTCATCTGTGAAAAGGACAAACTGTAATGTGATAAGGCTTAAGGATTATCACAGTTCTGAATTTAACTTTCTGTTCTTAAGAGAGCAATTTCTTCATAAATGTTCAAAATAAAACTCATATGAGCCTGATTTTTAGGACATGCAAAGAGAAACAATTTGATTATATCTTTGTTTCTTATTGAATAATCCTACCAGTTATCAAATGCTTAGAATAATAAACTGCCTCCAAAATCTTAAATTCCTTCATCACTGGCAAACTGTTTACTTTTATATTTGCTTTCTCATTAAATCATGTTTGCTGAAAATAACAGCTAAATTTACTGTGCATTGTCTTAAAGTTTACCTGGGATTTGTTTTAATCAGATGTGGTAAGACATACAGACATGGAAATGATTGTCATGGAGGAAGAAGTTTATACTCACGGATCCCTGGAAACAGGGGTCATGCAGGGAAGTACCAGGAGGCAGAAGGAACAAAATGGGGCAACCGCTTTTAGTGTCATTTCTATGGAAATAGCAAGGCAAGGCAGGGTATGCAGTTTTAGGATTACTAATATGAATGACTTCAGTGGGCTCTGGAGCATACGGGCTGTTTCTAGTTTCCTGGTACCCAGTCCTAGGATGACAGGGCAGGGGATATTGACTTAGTATGTGAGAACTAGAGAAAGGAGGTAGTTGGAGGGTCTGAATTTTGAATTGGTAGGTTTGCATGTGAAAGACATGCTGCCTGGTGAATAGACTTCTATCTCTAGGAATTAGCTAACCCTGGAAGTGGCAGTCCTTCCCTGATCAGTGAGGCCCTAATGCCAGAGCATTGAGAAGACAGAAAATAAGAAAATATACTTAAGACATGCATACATTTAGTTCTGTTGAAATAGTCAGGGGAGGGGGACATTTATGAGTCTACAGCTAAGAATCAGTATTGTCATTTACCTCATCCCTTATTTAACAAATAAGCTTATAGTCTAGAAATACTGATTTAGATGCTCTGAGAAATAAAAAGATGAATAAGTCATAAGCCACTATAGTTTTTAAGAGCTTATAAAAAGGACAGAAGACACAACATTTATCCTAATAGTCACAAATAATGTGATAAATTCTATGACATTTACTTAAAGTTGTAATCATAGAGATAGACAAATAGACGGATGGAACAGAAGATAAAATATAGCACTGAGTGCACACAGACATGGAATCATGATATATGATATATGTGGCTTGTCAGGTCTGACAAGGAAACAATGTATTGTTCAACACATTTCTGTGGGACAAGTACTTAGCCATATGGAAAAAAATGAAATAGAATTCCTACCTCACGCCATGTCCAAAGTCAGTTTCAGAGGGATAAAGTACATAAATGTGAAAAGGAAAATTTAAAAACTTTTGGAAGAAAACGTCTTTTTTAAAAGGTTCTATGATTTTTTTTAAAAAATAGCTAACCATAAAAAAAGTGTCAGTAATTCAACCTCAGCAAAATGAAAACTGCATTACCAGAGAAACTTTTAAGAATTCTGTGGTTTAGCAGAACCACAAAGGGAAAAAGCCAGCTTTGTTGCTCTTTTCTTTCCATGTTCTTGTTAGCTCAGTGATAACTTTTAAAGTAAGGTTTGGTGAGAAATGTTATCTAGCATCTTGGTTTAGTTGGGAGATTCCAAGGTCTTTCTCTACTGGAATGCAGACTCCAGGAGGGGGACGCCTGTTGTCTGCTATGTGCACAGCTGATTCTTGCTTCCGAGAATATTGCAGGACAGGAGAGAAGCATTTAATAAATACTTGAATCAGCGAACAAATACACTTTAAGCTGCAAGCTGTTGTTTTATATAGCTGAAAAGAGCAATTAAATTTTAATTTTTTAGAAATAATACATAAGACAATTTCAAAATCTCTTTTATTTAGTGTGGTTATCACAGTCTTGCATCCAAATGTTACAGAAATTTTTTTGCCACTTCTGCTTTTAATTATGGCTGTGAATATGAATTACAGCTCCTGTTACCTGCCACTAAAATTGTTTTTCCAAGAATGCTTTGTCAGCATTCTCTGTCATCGCCTATATTTTTGGCATTTCCACCAGACTTTGATGTGTTTCGAAGTCATGAAATATTAGAAAGAAAAATAATAATGATAGCTACTGGGGCATTGGTAGCTCACCTTCTGAAATCTTTGCAGTGAGCAGTGGACATCCTTGAAAAGGAGTGGAAGAAGGAGAGGAGAGCCAGGCTGCACTGGTGGGAGCAGGATGCCATCTTACTGTTTCTCCACTTGATCATTGACATCCAGGCCAGGCCTGAATTTTCTGGCTCTAGAATTAAGTTGTTTCACTCAGGCCTTTGAGTTTGTTTTTTATGTTTAGTTTTCAAATCAAAAGGAAAATTTTTTTCAGAGACCGAGGCTACATTTCTTTAACACTGTGCCTAGCTTATATAAAATTGCAGCCATATTAAATCACCATTTGGCCTTAAATGCTTATTTTGCCAACTACCAAGACTTATTTTGTGGCTGAAATCCTTTCTATATTTGCAAAGTTCTAAACTTTTAGATCTCTTTGTAAAAATTATTTATGTGTTTGGAGAAAGATGATACAATTATGCTTGTAAGAGTTTTCACTTTAATAAAAAAATTTTAAACACCCGTATAGCATTAAGTAGTAATAAAACAAAAAGATAGCAGGCTAGCATACTAGGCTGCTAATGAAAAATAAAATAAAATAAATATTGGGTATTTTTAGGGTGAACGTGAAATTGTCTGAAGTCTCTTAAATTCCCATTTTTAATTAAGTGCTCCTTCACTGAGGAACCCTCTACATGTAAAATGTCAGCATCTGTTCTGTCACTTACGCCACCAGCAGAGTAATTTTGGGCAAAACATTTCAACTCATTAACATTTTTGTTCATAGTAATACTGAGGAAACTCATACAGGCATCTCAGAAACTCCTAAAGAAGTCAGCGTACCTTGATAATTTTATGGAGGATGTTGCCTAGGATTTTATCATTGAGGCATGAATTTTTCTGAGTGTAAAGCAGTACTGAAGCAGATTTTCTATGTGGGATTCTTTCATAAGTAAGGGCATATTCGTTGGCAGGTTGAAAAGAGGTGCAGGTGATGATGAGGTATCTGTCTACATGTACTTGGAGTGGTTACTCAAGCAAATCTCCAGTGTGATTGGGATGCTGGGGACCAATCTCTGTTTTGGATAGCTACATTTTTGGAGTGAAGGTTTAACCAGCGATGAAACAAAGCTGTAAATTATCTAATCCCCTTACTTTTTTTTTCTCCTCAAGGGATTGAAAAATGCCATGACATCCTTTATGAGAAAAATAAATGCCATATTATGCTTCTTGTTCACTTGGGGGCTCATGTTGATTCATAAGCATTTATTGATGCTTCAGCATACCTTTTCAGACTAACAGATGCCTGATATTGTACTTACTTTACAGAATTAGGATGATGAGTCTTTCTTCCGAGGTTTTATAAAAGTCAGAGAACCCAGAAGGCCCATAATTAGGTTTTTTGCACTCTGCCTTTCAGGCACAGTGTGTAGGAATTCCAGTTTGGATGATATTTGCACATTTTGATGTGTCTCCTGAGTTGAGTATATGATACTCTTGTGGGAACTACAGGTGTGTTTTCCTCTAAGAAGGAACAGTGCTTCTGTGTTTGGGAAGGCCTTTCCAAGACACCATGTGCCATCATTATTACATCTTTTTTTATGTGTGTCTTGGGATCTTTCCATCACTAATTTAATAAGCATAGCTTATTATAGTGAGCAGCCATTTTTGGACCTGCCCTCCTTTTCAGTTTCATTTTTTTCTTGCCTTTTGTTGCCCTTGTCATTCCTCTACTTGAGTTCCTCAGATCCAGAGATTGTGCTTCAGTTTCTTTGATTAGGCCTTAAAAATGCCAACAACATATACACTCGAGATGACACTCAGTGGGGACTGATAATTGCCTAGAAATCAGTCCGGCTTTATTTGTATGGGGTGAAGAAGAGAACTTTGGGAATAATTATGTTAATAAATTAACACAATGTGTTCTATTCAAAAATTAGGAAAAGAATAACAGAATAACATACATGTTAATAAAAAAGGAACTAATAAAGCTGAGAGCATACATGCATGTACTAGAAAGCAAATAATAGTTAGAAGACAACTAAAAATTGTTCTTTGAAAACACTAATAAAAATAGACAAACAGGCAAGACTGATCAAGAAAAAATGTTGGAGGTGAAAAGGGAACAACTACGAAACCAATATAAATTTTTAAAATAATACAGTATGCTATTCAAATAGATCTATAAAAATAAAGGATAATTTCTAGCTTTACTAAACCTTCATGTAAAAGAGAAACTTTACCTTTTTCATCCCATTCCGTAGAAAGAGAAACTCACTTCTGTTATCTACCTTATGTTACCTTGAAACAAACCACACAAGGTCAGTATGAAAAAAACATAATTAGAGACCATCTCACTTATAAACATATAAGCAAAAAATTCTAAATAAAGCAATAATAAATGAGATTGAAGAATGTTGGAAAAATATCATACATCAGGGCTAAGAGAAGTTCATTCCAGGAATGCAAAAGAAAAGCCTATGAGAAAGATATCCAATAGATTCCAATTGAGGAACAATCTATAAAGCCAGTACTCCTTAAAAACCATGAAGGTCATCAAAAACAAAGTTTTAAGAAAACTCACAGTCAAAAGGAGGCTATGGAGACATGACAGCTATTTGTTATGTGATATCCTGGATGAGATCCTGGAACAGAAAAAAGAATTACCTAAAAACTAAGGAAATCTCAATGAAGTGTAGACTTTATAATAATCTTTTAGTATTGGTTTGTTGTAATAAATATTCCATTCGAATATAAGATGTTAATAGTGGAGAAATTAGATACGGAGTATATGGAAACTATATTATTGTCACAATTTTTTATAAATCCAAAATTGTTCTTAAAAAATAAATTTTATTTTAAAAAGACTAATTCAGGAAAAAATTACCAAATATAAATGCATTAAAGCCAACAACAAAAATTATAAAATAAGTGGCTTTTAAAAATAAGCAAGAGAAATGAGTAACAAAGACATAAATTATAATAATGCATATTATTAAAGACAGTAGAGTGAACAAACACAAATAGCCCCACTTATTCTCCAAACCGTACTTAAGCCACATTGAAAGGATTTATATTAAATAAGACATAAATCCACAAGGACAAAGATGGCAGGAGAAAGACAGTAGCAACCAACTTCTTGAAGTTGCAGAACAGGTGGCCTGTGGTAAATTAATTGGCAGACCTGAGAATATTAAATCCTGTGTCAGTAATAGGGGAAGCCAAGAAACAACCTGACTTAAATTAATGCGGGTTCTCTAAAAGGGTTAGAAAATTTCCCATACCAGGTAGCTACAAAAGTAGGAGGTGATGATGGGGCTAAAAACAGGAAGACTGTAAGTCTGTTTAAGAACTAGTTAGAGCTCTGTTGCCACTGGCCACTGCTTTTTCACCCTAGAAAATGGTGAAAGTAAATTAGGCGGGTTCTGGCTTGGAGTCACCAACACGTCTGAGTGCAGAGATGCTGTCTTGAAAACAGAGGGATTAAAGGAGAGTTTTCATACTCTTTGAGCAGGAAGAGAGTCTTTTGAATTCCAGGAAAAAAAAAAAAAACAAACTCAACATACATATATCTGAGGTTCTTCAGGAACACAGTGAAACTGACCAAAGACCATGCCTGCTTATGGTTTCTGCTTCAGTTCAGTCCTGAGCATGTAGAGCTGTCAAATATGTTGTTGGAGAAATGAGTTTAAACTTGAGGAAAGAAATCTAGGCCAGAAATGGGCATGTAGAGCTGTGAGTATATGGATGGCATTCAAATATGTCTGGCAGTAAATCTGTATGAGATTAAGAGGGGCATGAGTATAGATAGAGAAGACAAAAGCTCCAGGGCTCTTCAGTGTCCACAGTCTGTGAGATGAAGAAGCACCAGCAAAAGAAGACCAGGTGAGAGTCATACCTGGGGGTCAAATGGTTGAAGCATTTCAGAAAGGAGACATGATTACCTGAATCAAATGCTGCTGAGGACTGGACATTGAGCACTACATTAAACAACATGGAAGTCTTTGGTGGCCTACTCAAGCACCATGCCAGTGGAGAAGAGGGATAGAACACATGGGGGCTGAGGCTATGACACATGAGAACAGAGACTGAACTTTGTGCAAAGGCTGCAGGTTGGAGATGTGGAATCCAGAATTTAAAAACTGAGCTGCGAGAGATTAGAGGAATGTGCTTGGTCATGGAAGCAAATAGAGATAGAATTGTCTAAAAAGGGCCTGAGAAGAAGCGTTAAATGCTGCAATGAAGTCAAAAGGATGAAGAGTGAGAAAATACAATGTGCAGTTAAAATGCTTGCCTCTGTTGATTATTACATACATACTATGAAATAAATTTTTTTGTTATAATACATCATTCTTTAAGTGGTGCCTGTGTGTCTTTGGCTGCTTTTCTGTTTACTCTAAAAATTCAAAGGCTTATTTTAGGAAGCTGGAGACGTACTCAAATCAGTCTTCTAGCCTTTACTCATACTAAAGCAACAGGTATCCAAAGAACAAAATTCTATAACTTAATCGGTAAAATTAGATATACATGTAAATCATTAAATTCTTCATTAACTATTTGTTTCAATGCACAGTTTCATATTTCATAATTAAATATATATTACAAAGACATTCTATGCCTTGAACTTGTTAGCACACTCCTATCTCACAGCCTTTGCTCTAGCTCTTCTCCCTAACTGACTCTTCCCCACAGAGCTGCACAGCCCATTTGCACATTGTCTTCAAGTTCGAGTCACATATCACTGCATGCTTAAAATCTTTAGTCACTGGAGAACTGCAAATGAAAACCTCAGTGAGATACTGCTGCATGCCTATAAGAATGGTTAAAATTTTAAAAACCAACAGTATCAAGTTCTAGCAAGGATGTAGAACAAGTGGAACTCTCTCATACTTTGCTTGCAGGAGTGCAAACCGTAACAGCACTTTGGACAACAGTTTGACAGTTTCTTTCTTCAGTTTAATGTTTATTAAGCATACACTTATGACCGGACCCAGGAATCTCACTCCTAGATATTTACTTAAGAGAAATGTAAACATGTTAACACAAAAGCTTGTACATGAATGTTTATAGCAACTGTATTCATAATTGCCAAAAAACAGGAACAAATCTAAATATCTACAGGTGAATGGATAAACTATGACACATCTGTAAAATAGAATATTAATCAGTAATAAGAAGAGACAACTGATACCCACAACTGTACAGATGAATCTCAAATGCATTTTGCTGAGTGAAAGAAACCAGACAGGCTACAAACTGTAGAATTTCATTCATGTGACATTCTGGAAAAGGCAAAACTATAGGAACAGAGAACAAAGCAGTAGTTGCAAGAGGCTGAGAATAGAGGAAGGGGACCAATTATGAAGGGGCACTTTTTGGAGTGATGAGATCCTCCATATTTCAATTATGGTGGCAGTTTATGGCAACAGTTGCATGAACGTATACATTCCTTAAAACTCCTTAAACCTGAAAGGGATGGAAATTTCTTGTATGCACATTTCACCCCCATGAACCTGACCTAACAACAACCACCGCAGATGTTACTCCAGCATTGAGGCTTCCCTGGCCACCCATTTCCATGGCACTGTTTCCCACCCATCCTGCTCAAGGGTCTCCCTCTTCCTCTCCCCTGATCTATAAAACCCATCACAGGGTCTCCAGGAACTGTTATGTCATGTCTTAGCTTGTTGCTCTTTTAGTTTGAAGAATCAAAATCATTTGACCTTTCTTCCTTGATCCTGCTTTTCTCTCCTTTTAAATTCTCAGCTGTTTCACATTTTTTGCCTTAATTATTTTACTTTGAATACCTAAGGTAATTTGCCTTAAAGAAAAAAGGTATGATGAAATCAAGATTGTTTACAGGGTTAACAGACATGTTTTTCTGCATAGATAGCAGCGAGTGCCTCACAGATGACTGTAGTATAATCGCCGGGGGGAGCCTCACTGGTTGGCACCCAGACTCTGCTGCTGTGTTATGGCGAAGGGTCTTGGGGATCCTCGGAGATGTGAATAACATCCAGTCACCCAAGATCCATGCCAGAGTTTTCTGCTATCTCTATGAACTCTGGTACAAACTAGCAAAGGTAAGTTCTGCTATGTTACTTTTTATTCTAATCCAGGAAAATGGTCTTATCATTTAATGTAAAAACTGTGTTTCAGTTAACTACTGAACATATTCCGAAACACAAATGGTACATTTAGACAAAGTCCATTTGATTATCAAAGAATAATCATATATAACATGACTATTTTATAAATGCAAAAGTTATTTCATTTAGTGCAAAAGTAGAATATTGCTATAGGATATTAAATACAGGATGTTAAGTCATTCTAGTTACTCTCTTTATAAAAGTGATATTGGTTGTATTGTATACAATTTGAAAAATGTAGAAAAATACAAAGAAGAAAATTAACATCAGTATTCATAGAAATAGCCAATATTAATATATAGTCTTCTTTCTTTTTATGAAAGTAGAATCTTAGAGTACATACAAGTTTTTTTTTTTTTTTTGAAATGGAGTCTTGCTTGCCCTGTCGCCCAGGCTGGAGTGCAGTGGCGCCATCTTGGCTCACTGCAACCCTCTGCCTCCTGGGTTCAAGCAATTCTCCTGCTTTAGCCTCCTGAGTAGTACATACAATTTTTATTCTGATTTTTGTTTGGGTTCTGACATTCACATGTATTAAATTTTTTTTTCAAAAACATGGTTCATGTTTGTTCAGTATAACTCATTAAAATGTTACTTATCGTTTGGAATTCAGGACCTCCCCAGCCATTAACGTTCAAGGAAAAACAATGCCTTTGTTTTGTATATAAATCTAAAACCACATACAGTAAGCCAAACATGTAATTCAAAAGGATAATTTCACAATAAAAGAGAAACTTGTAAATATTACAGGTTTTCACTTATAGAAATTAACTGAAAGCAGCTATATGGTCACAGAAGACTGTTGAAATACTGTTGGGATAAACGTAATGTTACCTACCCTAAAATTCTCCTCTTTGTGAATTAGATACGGGATAATCTAGCAATAAGCCTGGATAACCAGTCTTCTCCATCTCCTCCAGTTTTGATCCCACCACTCAGAATGTTTGCATCATGGCTGTTTAAGGCAAGTGGATATGTGTTTATTCCTTTATTGCGATTTCCTCTTCCTTTCTGAAATTGAGTTTGAAAAATGTAATTGCCCAAGACTGCATGTTTTGAAGACAGGCTGGGTCTTACTAAAGTAACTGCATCCCACATGTCCATAAACAACTCTTAAGGAAAACTGAGAAGTAAATGAAATGTTGAAATACTCTGCACCTGGGCTTGATTTAATCTGGAAACATCATCTCCTTGACAGGCGGCGACACTGCCAAATGAATATAAGGAAGGCAAACTACAAGCCTACAGGCTGATCTGTGCCATGATGACCAGACGCCAGGACGTTCTGCCAAACTCAGATTTCCTGGTGCATTTTTACCTTGTGATGCACCTGGGATTAACCAGCGAGGATCAGGTATTCTGCGACTCCTTTATTGTGATTGCCCATTAATTGGAAATAGCATATCACTCTTTAAAGACATTAGTAATATTTATGAAAATACATCAGAAGTGTTGAATTTCTCAGTAGTTTCAACTCTTTTACACACAGCAAGCACAATGGTCTTTCAAAAATGTAAATCAGGTTTCACATCCCTGCTTCTTCTCCCCACTGACTTTGCATTTGCATTGTGCCAACCAAATTTTAATTTTATTCTATGGCCTCTATGATCTAACCTCTGCCTGTGTTGTCAACCTCAAAATACTATTATAACCACTTTTTGTTTGGGTTCTGCATTAAATATGGTTTGAAGAAAGTGGTACTGATCATTTAAAAATGTTTGAAAATTGTTGTTTTAGTAGTTAGGATGTTTTTGTGAAAGACTTTACCTGTAAGATAGAAGATGAGTCCAGACATTTCTTGATAAGGAGTTATTTTAATTTCTCCCAATGCAATTTAAGTTTGGTTCAAGTTCGAACAGAAAGGCCCAAGGAGCCACTAGCTACCTCTTCCTCCTTGTAGGCCCTAGGTTTGGGAGATAGGGTGTGGCCAGACCCTGACCTTCCTCCCTTGGGAAGACTTCTGCCAGTTGAGGGAGATTACGGATAGGGACACATGGATTCTTGACTTGATTTGGGATATCAAGCAGGCAAGTGATGTGATTGATTTATGCTTCACAGAGATTCTGGACTGCATTTGGAAGATGGATTTGAAAATGTGATAGTAGGATAGAATCAGAGATTGGCCTGTAGATGGAGAACAATTAGGAAGTGTTTAATACAGATTTTAAAAAAATGATAAGAACTAAGCCGGTAGCATTGGGGATGGAAAGAAAGGAATAGAAAAGATTCAATAAATTTTAAGACATTTCATTTTATTACTAGGTTTTCTTAACCAATATAGAGGTATAGGGAGTGTTTGAGATTTACCCTTTAAATTGTAAATACTTATTAATGAACTTGAATCATTTATTAACTATCAAGTAACTGTCCTTTCTGCATTTTTTGTATTCGTTGAAGGTATGATGCAGACACACAGACCTTTTGATACCTCAGGGTACATGTAAGAAGTTATTCTCCTGATAAGCAAACTTTTTTTGTTGCTTTAGAATGTACTTGAATTTAAATAGTTTGCAGTATGTATTTCCCAATACTTACTTTGAGCTTTAAAAATCATTGAACTCTTATATGAAATAATAACCATACTGTCCTAGTGAGTAGTCTGTCATATTCATTGTGATTTTAGCAGTGTATAGAGGACATCCATGTAGCAGGCTGGCTTAGTCCCATAATCTCATTTATTTCCTAGATAAATGTAGAAATAGGAACACAAAGTAGAATTGTTTGTACTCCCTGCTCAAATATTTTACAGGCATCATTGCAAGTGGAAGCATCTTTTACAGAATGATGCAACTCAGGGTATGTGGAGGATTATGGGGTATAGAAAAGACAATTAACTCTCAGATAATAATGAACTCCTTCAGTGAAAGAAACAAAAGAGGAAGGTTTACTTAACAATACCCTACTTTAAAGAAGCCTTATGCTAATATTTTGCAGGAAAAAAAATTTACTTGGAAATAATAATCAACTATAGATCCTTCTCATTTTATAAAAACAAGTAAGTTAGCAGTAAACAATGTTCCTTAGAATGAATTTTTTAGAAAGTCACATAAATGAGTTTAGAATTGTCTTTCTATTTTAAGATGTGTTGATGTGGAAATGAAACAGTAAAATGAGATGAAATAAGAGTATATTATATAACATTTGAGAACCTGAAAAAAATTATTTTATAAATCATTTTCAAGAAATACAATTTTATAGTATAGACAAAAGAATTTCCAAATTTTGTGCTTAAAATTGTTTTTACATCTTAATGCATGTTATGTTTTTAATTAAGTTAAGGCTCAATATCTTTTATAGTTCATAGTGGAATACATAAATCTTAAAAGATGGTCCAATGCTAACAGTAATCCCAACATTCAGACTTCTAAGATGAAATGAGGATATCATAAATCTCTATTTAAAATCAGCCTATTATTTAGGCTTAGTTAGAAGCTTGAATTTTTATGTGAGTTTAATAGAGTTGACTGTTTTCTTTAACCTTAACAATTATTGTTATATATTTTAGAAGCGCTGACTGTCTGCCAAACAGAATTACTCTAAGTAAACTTTATTCCTTTGCCAGATGAAAATTACGCAGAAGACCTAATGAAAGAAACTTTTTTTCATTTAAGTTAAGAAATGTCTCTGGTAATTAGTTTAACTTTTGATCCACACGTCTAAATAGATCATAGTGGTTGTTTCAGAACTTATGTAATTCTGGAAACACATGTTATATTAATTATAAAAAGAAAAGAAAGCATTTATGGTAGAGAATACAGTTAAATTCAATTTTTTAATTAACAAACTATGTACCTGTGACTGGTACCATCTCAGGGCTTCTTTCTATTTTGTGAGAATTCTCAAAGGGCCACACTTTTATGTATCCTAGCAGCAAAAGGATTTATTTATGCAGAGAGAACCTTATGAAAGATGTCCTGTGTTTTTAAATAAATAATCATAAATAATTGTTTAAAATTGAACATTATCAGTTTTGTCTCACAAATAAAATCCAAGGTGGGTTTCTTCCTTTTGCCTCTGGGTGGCACACTTGTCTGCACGACGCAGCTTTGTGGTTCATGGGCCTTTGAACATTATGCTTTGTATGGCTTGGTTGTTTCATGAAGTTCTTTCTTAAATCTGAAGGTATCAAAATTATGTCAGTAGTGACCAATAAAGTGTTGAATTAAATAAGTTATAAGATGCTAAAAAGTATTTTCAAACATAATGATGTTCATAGTAATTGAAGACATTTTTTAGTTTAAAAAACAATTTGTAAAGTAGATGTCTCATGAGTTGTGTTCTCTGGCAATCCTGGAAAGTTATAGTTTCATCTAATATGATAGCAAATTTATTATGTAAACAGACATGACCATTTGTATCTTAAAAAATAATAATACATATACCAAACAGCCAGAAAAATGTAGTGCATTCCAAAGCAACTGTTTTTAGTATTTTTAACCAGTTTTGGTTATCCTAATAACTTATGTAATACTAACACAATGAATTTATCAAGTAGTATTTCCCCCGGTACATATGTAACATGGGTTCGTGGTTGATTGGTGTGATCGAAAACATGGTTTGAAATGGCTTTATTTTTTCCTTGACAATGAATTTTTTTTAAAAATTGATGTTAGTGGTTTACAAAATAATTAGGATTATAAACAGTTCCAAAATAACTATAAATTATGAAGAAAATTTGGCGTGACTTTCAGGGCTACCCGGCCTGCCTGTGAAGGAGTCTCCCAGTACGCTTCCCTCTGCTCAGCTGCTTTGTGTCTGAGGGTGGGCTGGTGATGGTGCTTAGGAGTATTTATTTCTTCAGCACTCACAGTGCTGGACTCTGTGCTGGGGACTGCATGATGTTGTACTATTGAATCTTCTCTGCAATTCAATTCAATAAATACCATGGCCTATTTTATTTTATTTTATTTTATTTTATTTTATTTTATTTTATTTTATTTTATTTTATTTTATTATTGCTTTTTTTTTTAGAGATGGGGTATCGCTCCATTGCCCAGGCTGGAGCGCAGTGACACAATCATAGCTCACTGGGCTCAAGCAGTCCTCCCGTCTTGGCCTCCCAAAATGCTGGGATTACAGGTGTGAGCCATAGTACCCAGGCCCCTGAGGCCCATTTTATAAATAATGAAACTTCAAAAAAATATCTAAAACTTTTGCCCAGTGCCACAGGCTAAAAAGCCTGTTAGAATTCACATACAGGCTTGGCTTATTCCACCAGGTATGTTTTCTTTTATTGATTCACAGCAAGCGTATTGGTCCAACAGCCTTGATGTTGTTTCTCCCTTCCGTTTTATTTTGCCTGGGCTCTGCCCTTGGTCCTACTCCACTTCAGAATCCTCCTTATTAAACTACCCTGCCCCAACCTGGAAAGACCTTTCCACAGTTGCCTTCTCAGTTCTTCATCATCCTTCAGTTTCTCTTCTAAAGCTGTTTCTTGTTGTTCTCAGTTTTTCCTAACACTTAAGCAGCTTTTTCACATCAGAATTCCCCAAAATAGTTTGACATGAAAGAACCTATGATTTGGATTTATTAAAAACAGTTTTTATTAATTTCATGATTATTTAAAACAGATGGAAAGATCAATATGTGTGAAATGGAAAAGGACAGTTGAGGAAAGGAATTTTATTTTCATGTTTGTAAGAACATGTATCAGAGACTGGAAGGTTTTCTTTGCTTAAAATAAGTGAGCTATTTTTTAACAATGACTTACAGATTTAATGTCTTAATGTAATTTGTCTGTTATACATCAAAGTTAAATTCTCTTTTAAATGCAAAGCCTACATTAATGTAAAATTATTGTTGCAAATATGCATATAGACATTTTGGGAAATGTGGGTCTTTGTCATTTTCATCTATAATATTGTGTTTTATAATGCACCAAAAAAGCATGAGGCCTCTCTCCAATGCAGAAGTGTTTGTTGTTCTGCCCTGAAGTAACATATTTGGATCATAACAGCATAAAGTTAAGATCTAGTGTAATAGAGTGTGATAAAGTGTATTGGTTAAGAGCATGGACCTCAAGTCAGCTTGTCTGATTTCCTGTCTTGGCTTTGTTACTTATTAGCCAAATCATTTGGGTTTGCTGTGCTCTGGCTCCCTTATCTATCGAATGAGGATAATAATAGTGCCTACCTCAGAGGGTTGTTTGAAGACTTGAAAGAGGTAAAAACATGTAATGCATTCAGTCTGGATCATGGATATGATCCCTTAGTAAGCATGAGCTCTTGTAATAATATTAAGGGTAAGGAGAAGAACAGCAACACCATCATTTATTTCTGATATCTTAAAGTGTTGATTTTTTTTCTTTCTCCATATACATTTTCTTACTTTGAACATAATGATTTGACTAAAAAACATAACTAGGCATTGTGGAATTTTACAACGTGTGGAGAAATAACCACTCCCTGTGCTGTAGACAGACATACCGATTGATACATTTGTTTTACCCATGTATGCTTATGATCCAGAAATGCTTCTTTTGTGTCCATGGCTATCGGCTCACTTTCCCTCACTTTTCACCCCACCCAATGAGCCTCTGTACAAGGAAAGCTAGAAAGCTGAACACTGCATGTCCCAGACTCCTTGCAGCTGGGTTGGCATTGACCCAGGTTCTGTCCAGCAGAGACACCAGCCAACATGGCACTTGAAGGTAGATGTGGGGAGTGGTGGGCAGCAGCACAGGGGGATCTGGGTCCTCCTGTCATGGAGGTTCTGCTCCGGCACCACCATCACTGTTGAGATGAGCAGACAGTGGGCTCTGCTGGAACAGCCTTGTGATGTGGCTGGGTGTTCCTGCTTACCAGCTTTTTCCTGGCTGTGGAGATTTGTGATTGGTTCCCTGGCACTTCTAGACATTCTCCAGACCATCTAACACCCTCATAGAAGTCTCTTTCTTCTTAATCTCAAAACAGTGGATTCTCTTGCCTGCAAGTAAGACCCTGGCTCAGCCAGTAACTGCTCTGCAAAGTGCTGTGCTGGTCACTGGCAATACATGATCAACACTGGTTCATATTTCAGTTGCTGAATGCACTTGAGCATTAATTTAATTTTTGTATTTTTAAAATTTTAGCCACTTATTTTGTAGGCAATAATATTTAGCTTGTAGGAACATTTTGCTTTCATTTAACTCCACATTTTTATGAACGTTTTGTCACATCAATGTTAAAAAAAACCATAATTTTAAACATCATATATAGAGCAGTATTCTATCACAGAAGTCAAAGTAGTTCATGATTTTCTTAACGGGTGTTACAACCCCCTCTCATGAGGTATATGATGGAATAATATAATAATAAACAGTCGTTTGTAAAAAGATCCCATGAGGCCCCTCAGTGAGCATTAAGACTCAGCAGTGAGCTTTGAAAGCAAGGTGCAGGGGTGATACTTGTAAATTGGCCATACCTGACTCTTTTAATAACCCCAGACAGCCTGTATCATGCAGTCATATGTAATAATTGCATCACCTTTTCTCAGACAAAGAATTGTTCTTTGCTGAAAATTTAGACTTGTTACTATGGAACCATATATGTTAGATAAACATAAATTTCAAAGTATATTTAAGGTGAAACATAAGTGAGTATTCAGTTCCAGGAAAGGTAAAGAATTAGGATGGCAAATTGGAGGCCTTGTTTATCTCAAATCCCTGGAAATAATTTTAATACATGTCTCTAAAGTGCTCATTCTGTACAGCAAGTGATTTTACCAAGGTTTTAATTTATAGGATTTTAACTCAACACTAGCAGATAAAGTACTTATTTGTGAATTTAAAGATCTAACTGATGTTCCGAGGATGAAATAATAACTTTGATGTGTATCAGTAGAGGAACTTTAGACCTTTAGAAGGCTAACTTTGTTAAAGCTTCATTTAAAAACAGTTTAAAAAAAACTATAGGTTTATACAACAAGTAAAAATAGGACTAATGTGGGGCCTTATTCCTAAGGTTTCTAAGAATTGGAAAATGTACTTCCAAGAATTCAGGATATAAGATGGCTTCAGAATATATTGACTTTCAAGAATAACATATGACTCTCATGGATGGCAGGCCTGATACTGGGAACTAAAATACCTTAGAGCTAGACTCAGCTTTGTCACTCACTGGCCATGGGGCCCTCACCTATCCACAAGTAGTCAAGTGAATGAATTGGGCTAGAGAGCCTCTCAGACCCTTTCCCATTAAGCATTCTTAGATCCTCTGATTTATTTTTAGGCACTTTATTATTAGGGTCACATCACTCCTTCCTAAATGTGGCACAAAGTTCAATGATCTTTTTATGTTGAATATTTTTTCCTGCCATGGTAAAGACCTAGTCAGGTTATGAGAGTGTGAGATGCATAAACAAGTATCTGTACTAACCATCAACTTGTGCAGAAGACCAAATAAGTAGTGATATACATGTTATGAAAATTGAACTGTTGAATATCCTTTTAGCTAAGTTGATTTGAAAGCAGCTCACAAAGGAGAGGGGATTTAGCAGGACTTTCAAGAATGGATAGGATTTAAATAGCAGGACAAGAAGCATGATGGAGTTTCACATCAAAGATACAGAACTTTTCAGGCTGTGTTCAGGAACAATGACTAGAGTGGCTTTGATTTAATGCCAGATATATGCGTAGAAATAATATATGGTCATGAATCCAGGCAGCACTGTAGAGAGCCTTGATTCAAAGTAGTTTTCATCCCATGGACAGTGGGGAGCTGTTGAAGGTTTTTGAGCATGATACTCCACATGACCACAAGAGCATTTTAAGAAGCTTAAACCACAGTGATAAAGTGGGGGTGAATTATAATCATGAAAGAATGATGACAACAAACACAGAAAGGAAATTATTATAATAGCCCAGGGGCAAGGTAATGAGGGCTAACAAGGACTGAGGCACAGATGGGGTTTGTGTGTGTGTGTGTCTATGTGTATAATTCATTATATGTGTATATATTTTGTATATATATGCACATATGTGTTTTGTGCATGTGTGTGTGTGTGTGTTTGTCTGTGTGTGAGAAATATGTTGGAGAGGTAGGATGTAGTACTGATTGGTAAGCATCCTGAGAAAGTAGTGTCCTGGCACGATTCCCATTATCTGTCAAGGCAAATGTTGGTTCAGAAAGGCAAGAAGATGAATTGAGAAAAGGAAGACATGTGGGCATGATAGGATAAAGGGACTGTAAGTTTCGACTCATGTCTTGATGACCCTTCCTCACCTTGGACATTATAGCATAGGACAGGCCAAATGGGTGCATCCGAGGATACACCAAGGGGTGTCCCCAAAGAATTCTTGCCTGTTAGGAATTAGAAATGTGCAGGAAAGATTTCCAGGGACATTTTCTCTGTACTTAAGAGAACATATTTTCTAATTCTGTTGGAATTCAAGCAGTTGGTATGCAAATTGTAAATGTATTTATAATTATTAAAATGGGACATCTAAAGGGCTCTGTAATTGATGTTTTTGTTAGCCAAGACATATATTTGTTACTAATTATTTCTGAAAGTAATGTAGCACTTAAAAACAAGTCCTTTTATTTTTCTAAAAATACAACTTCTGACCTGAATTTACTTTACTCAAGTTAATGAAATATTATTGAATATAAGGGGAGTTTACTGTAGCAATAAACAAAACTTCCAAGTTTGACTTAGGTTTGATTGAAGGATAATATTTATAAGGACAGGTGAGAGATGACAGTCCTCTCCTGACATGTATTGTTAAGTTAATCATAATTCCTGTTTGTGCTTATTGTACAAATTCAGAGTGATAAAATACAGAAGCTGTCATATAATTAACGTTACACCATCAGGTAGCATCCACTGCCTTCCGAGTGTTTTCCACAAGGTTTTGTGGGAATGGACAAGCCACAGATTCATCAAAATTTATCAATGAAAGTTTTATTATAACTTTATTCAGCTATCAATCGCCATAAAGACTTCAGATAGATGACTGCACCAAAAATAAATGCGAGATATTTTTTCTTTTTTTTATAGCTGTAGAATCAATAATTATTTTCATTAATCTGTAGACAGAGCCCACTTGTACCTCAATGAGGAAAGTAAAAATATGTAGGAGGTAACAGATGGCAGAGGTTTCGGTTATGAGGTTTAACACATGTGCAGTGAACTTGTTTCACAGCTTTAAAAAGTGTAAGATGATAGCATGGAGGCTGATCCAGAGAGAAGAAAATCTACCTGACAGGCCAGAAACTACAGTTTTGTTTGGTTTCCTTTGTTGGATTTAAAGGTGTAAAGACTTTCTTTCAAGTAAATGTTATCAGACATGAATATGAATTATGTATATTTAGCCCAAAATCTTCCGGTATCTAATAAGACATGCTACGTGAAATAAAGCATAAAAATAGTATAGCAACTCTCAGTATATGTGGGAAAAGGAAAGATTTTGTTCTTAGTAAACTGTTACCGTGTGATATCGTGTATCAGTTGGCATACATTTTTCAGTTGAGAACATGTTCTTTTGCTCTGAGGTTTCTCTCTGGAAGGAGACTCTACTGTGGCCTGTCACAGAGCCCAGATCACCGGAATCTTTTTTAATAGAGTCACTGGAGTGCATTCTGTCTTTTCCCAGAGAGGGTAGATGCTCAGTAGATATATTGATTGATAGAAAATGGAAGAAAAAAAAAAAGACCTTCTTCTGAGACTGGCTATTCCAAATCTACACAGCATCATGGGGAAGAATGGGTAACCAAAGCAGCTGAGCTGAGCCACTTTGGTTGCAATTTTGGCTCCAACTATCAGTTTCAAGGCAGGCATTAACTTTCTACTGTGGTGAGCTAGTCAACTTTCATTACCCTAGAACAGTGATTCTTGAGGGGCAGGGGAATTTTGCCCCCTCCAGGGAACATTTGGCAATGTCTGGACACACTTTTGGTTGTCATAAAGTGCACTGTCATTTGGTGGGTGAAAGCCAGGGATGTTGTTAAATATCCTGTAGTGCACAGAAACACAACAAAGAATTTATGACCAAAAATGTCAGTACTGCTGAGGTTGAGAAACCTTGCCCTAAAGGAGTACTTCTGCAGATGACATTGTCCTAAGAAAAGAGCTAGGTAATATAAATTAAATGACACAACTCAGTAATCAAAGACAGTATGAAAGTCTCACTCTGTTAGCTTAACCAAGGGAATAAATGCATACAAAAATTTAACCAGGGAGATTAAGAGAGTCAATGTTTCAGGTTGAGTTAAATGAGTTTTCAAAAAGGGGGTACAATTTCATAATGGTTCAGCTTACTAAATTCTCTGTCTAAAAAAATCAGTTTAAGAAATAAAACATGGAACGTTCTGATTAATTCTGAAGTTAACATGAAAATTATCTGAGATGAATTTTGTCTGGAAGCCCAAAGTAGAAAGTTGTGTGGCCTGCATCTGCAAAGCCCAAGGCACTGTATGTATGAAAGGAGGCAGGAAGGGGGCTCAGGTTCCACTTCTTGCATGAGCACTGCCTGAGTAGCTAAGAGGAAGCAGGATGGCTGAGAGAACAGCTTGCATGGAAAAGGGCTGGTGCATGGAGACAGATAATTGCCTTTTTCAAATGTCTGAAGCAGTGCTGTGTGAGAGAGACTGTTTTACCCAGAGCCAGGACTAATAGGTAGATTCTAGCTCATCATCAGGAGACACTAAATCCAGTTTTCTGTTCAAATATGGCAGGTGATAGGTTCTGTGTTTGTAAGCCTTTCAAGCTCTAAAGTATTCAGTCCAAGGCTGTCTGACGCTCTAGGACAGCCTCAGAAAAAGGGAACATTCACTTTAGAGCTTGAGCCCTACCTAGCCTTGCACTCAAGTCACTGCATCCATGAATTGGTGAACAGATACATAGCCTGTTTGGCTTGTGCTGCTTATTCCATGAAACGGGTTTCTGATGACTCTGGGACTTTGGGAAGGGAAAGATAGTTAGGCCTTCAGTAGGCAATGGTACATTTCATTGCAGAAGGGATTTTCCTGCTCTTTGGAATATAGCTATTGACCTGTAAGACCATCTTTTCTCATTTAGAGTTCTATGAAGACTTTAAGAAATGTTACATTTTTCTCCAGGCACAGAGGCACTGAGAGACACAGGAATAGCTTCTAGAGACATTTCAGGTACTAAAGTTATACTTGGGGAAGGAGGATACATTAACTCCCATTTGGAGAGGAATGATTTTTGAATATAAGAGATTTAAATCATGACTGTGGTTTATAATTCATAAAGAGTAGACTTGGATAGAAGGATATAATGTCAAGAAAAGCATTTTAAATTGCAATTTTTGTTTCCGTGAGAAAAGTGCT
Organism: Homo sapiens; assembly: GCF_000001405.40. Classification (NCBI taxonomy): domain Eukaryota; kingdom Metazoa; phylum Chordata; class Mammalia; order Primates; family Hominidae; genus Homo; species Homo sapiens. The sequence continues at coordinate 20,560,542 of NC_000020.11, read as the reverse complement.
CTCCTTGTGGGGAATAATCTCTTTTTGTCTGTTGATTTCTTTTTAATACATAACAATAAGTGGTATTGTGGTAATTGCAGATTGTTCAGCTATTAATGCTATTTACTGAAACACATTTTAGAGAGAACATTGTTTTCTGAAGAAGCAATAAACAACAGTTTTTCTTTTGTTCTCCCATGGAAAAAATATCCTTTGGTAGGTAATTGTGGGCTAAAGAAATGTTAGCAAAAGAGAAGCTTTTAATAATAAGACATTAAAACAAAATACCTACCATTTTCCTGTGTGCTGGAGTCTAGTTGAACACGTGCAGCATGGTCCCTTCATCAAGACCCAGTGCCTTGTGCCACCTATTTGCTTCCCTTCCTTGGTTCCCATGGCATGCCTGCTGTCCCCATCATGCAAGAGCCCTGTGCTCTTGGTGGCCTCACTCTTAGCTATGAGTAGCTTTCCCTTCCCCTAACAGGTCATTGCTGGAAGGCAGGGGCTGCCTTAGAACCTCACAGCAACTAACATGGTACCTTCAACCCAGTTAGCACTTGAGAATTTCAAATGATCCTGGAAAATTAATATTTTAATAAGATCATGAATAACTGTTGCTGTTATTTAATAAAAATAATAATTATGAACTTTGGAATTTACAAAATGCTTTCAGTTACAATCTCCTTTGCCCTTTTGAAGAGTACAACAGGGCATGATGCATTTTCATTCCCATTTTACAGATGACGAAATTGTTGTTCGAAAGGTAAAGTATCTGCCCAAGTTCAGCTATCAAATTAGTTGTATCTTTTACTGGAATTTTATCTTTAAAGCCCTCCTCCTCCTATTTCCTCATTAGCTCAAAAATCTACACTTAAAGCATCTCATTAAAAAAAAAGTTGTTTTTAGGCCCCTAAAATGAGTTTTGTTATATGTACATTAAAAATCAAAATGTAAAATAAGTATTCCTAGAATTTGAAGCAGCAAGCTATTTGTCCACCATTTAGAGGTCGATTGACCTCTTTGCTTTCTGCCATGGTGAGATTTGTATGTGGTGGGCTTTTCATCATACGATGGGCAGGACAGGTGTAGTGTCGGGTTTGTTGGTATTGCTGCTTTGCTAGTGGATCTGGCCTGAGGTTTCTCCATAAGCAGGTTGATAGAGCTGGCTTCCGTTGGGATTGTTCTCTCAAATTTCAGCCATTCTTGAGAGCTCTTTGTCTAAACACGAATTGTCTAAATGGGAGGGGTGGGAGATTGTCATTCTAATTCATCCAGGCCTCCACCCACATTAGAGGGTTGGTCGGTAGAGTCCCAAAATTGAATGACCACAGGGTTGCCCTCTGTTTTTTTGCAGAACACAAAAATGTTGAGAGCTTCAGTTTTGCTGCTTTGTGCAGGTGGAGTAATTTTACTTGTAAGAAAATAAACTAAGAGAGCATGCATTTTGTGTTTTCTTAGAATGAAAAGAATGGATAATAATCATATTCTAAAATTAATCTCTTTACTGATAAGGGAACAAACCAGAAGTTGTGGGAAGTAACGAACAGAAATCATTTTTTGTTGTTAATCTGTTCTTGGGCATAGGCTGGGAAACATCCTGGCAAAAGTCAGTACCATGAAGCAGACTCATTTTCACCCAAACCTGAGAGCCAGGCTTCCCGATTTCACCATATGAGAAGGAAGCATGTTTAAATGCATGGGGCACGCTAGTCTGTGATGGCATTAGAAGCCCTGAGCTTTTTTTTTTTTTTTTTTTAGCAGAGTTGAGATCACAGATAAATGAGCACAGAAGCCACGAAGAGCTGGTATATGTTCTCTAGTGTTCATTCTCAGGGAAGAATAGGAATCTTAATTTGTTGCTGGAATCCTGGTAAATTTCTTTTTTTTCCCCCTTAAGATCTTTCTAATGCATTTCCCCTCACCGCCCCCAGCCTCCTCACACAATTCCACACTCCCTTACACCCCATGCCCAGTAATTTCCGAAGAAGATGGCTTTGGTGGAAGACCTGTCTTTATTTTGAAGATAGCATTTATGAGCCAGTTCCTTCATCTGATAATACTTCTATGAGAGTAGGAGTTAACGTGTTTATCTTTGGAAGCATATTTTTAAGCTGAAGCAATCATCTGTTGACTTCACTTGAAAGTATAGTTTTAAAAGGTGTTATTTGCATTTTTAAATGATTATTAGGTAAAGTGAGTGAGATGAAAGAAAAATTCATGTTTCAAAACTAAGTAAGTCCTCAAAATAGTGCTGTGCAGGCTGGGCGCGGTGCCTTTTCCCTGTAATCCCAGCACTTTGGGAGGCTGAGGCGGGTGGATCACCTGAGGTCAGAAGTTCAAGACCAGCCTGGCCAACATGGCGAAGCCCCATCTCTACTGAAAATACAGAAAATTAGCCGGGCGTAGTGGCGGATGCCTGTAATCCCAGCTACTTGGGAGGCTGAGGCAAGAGAATTGCTTGAACCTAGGAGGTGGAGGTTGCAGTGAGCCGAGATTGCGCCACTGCACTCCAGCCTGGGCAACAAGAATGAAACTTAGTCTCAAAAAAAAATAAAAAAATTGAAAAAATAGTACTGTGCACTATATATGAGGCCCATTATTCACGAATATTAAATGGTGCTTCATTGACCCTGAATTAACATTTTCCCTTCCTGTAAGGAACAGGACGATGCTTGGGTTTGTTTTTAAACCTTGCTGGTAACTGCAGTTCTGGCCTTGATTGATGCCGTTCTCCGTGTCTGTTAAATTAAAAGATTGAATGATGATCTCTCGGATCTCTTTTCTAAGTTTTTATGGTTCCAAAGGAGTAAGTTAAATACCTTTGTTACCCAAATTCAGTAGTGTTGTGTTTTCCGTACTTATTTTTTCTACTTCATTCTGGGGTAACATAGGGTGCAGGTGGGGCCTAACCTAGATTCCAACATTAGAATGAGAATATTATTTTACTTGGCATCATTGGCAGTGTCGATTAAATCTTTACTATGCCCTTGCAGCCATGACCTTAAGCAACACCTGACTGTGTTAAGTCTGTGGTTTCACTCAAGTGTTTCTTTTTAATATTCTAAGAAGAATATATTTCTAGTAGATGCATTCTTGAGACAGTGTGAATAATAAACCTGGGAAAAGTATAGTTTTCTGACTCTGCAGTACCTATGTTTGTGTGTGCACATTTGACTCATTTTGGCAATTCTTACCTTAATATTTACTTACATGATTACACACAGTACGTGCATTTTACTTACCCCTTTTTTTTTTAAGACGGAGTATCACTCTGTCGCCCAGGCTGGAGTGCAGTGGCACGATCTTGGCTCACTGCAACCTCCGCCTCCTGGGTTCAAGCAATTCCCTGCCTCAGCCTACTGAGTAGCTGGGATTACAGGTGCCCACCACCACGCCCGGCTAATTTTTGTATTTTTAGTAGAGATGGGGTTTCACCATCTTGGCCAGGCTGGTCTTGAACTCCTGACCTCAGGTGATCCACCCACCTCGGCCTCCCAAAGTGCTGGGATTACAGGCATAAGCCATCACGCTCGGCCGCCCATCCTTTTATCTATGATGGCAGTGACCCTGTTTTTGCTTCTGCTAGAGAACATTGTAAAGCTGTAGAGGAGGGGGTGGAGGAGACAAACAGAGACACTTGGCTCAGTTTAGCCTCTTCTAAGACAAGCAGTTGGGCACCTCAGAAAAATATTTTAGTATCCTCCTACCCCAGCCCTCCCTCATCCCCAGCCCCCAGTAACTTTCTTGTTGCTGTATAAATGCCTTTCTGTTTAGACTTATCCCTGAGCTTTGGCAATGAGGCCTGATTTTCTTTTGGAGTTCTGTACCAGCGTCTAGCACTCAGAGCACCTTACACATGTGTCTGATGCAACTGAGTGGCTTCCACTGTTATCACTTACTGGCAACAACTTGTTGAAGCCCTCATTTGCTAAAGTCTCATTGTGAGGATTTAATAACTGCTCTTGAGCATCTGCATCAACCTCATTAAGCCAACCTGTTGTACAAACTGTAATGGTGTAGATTTGAAGCTTATCGGTGTCATGACTAAGACAGTCATTACGTAGTCAGGCCACGGCATCTTCAAGGCACTATTGGTGCAGCTGGTAAGTCACTTCTCTCCATGACCCTACAAATAGTTTTCCTCATCTTATGGAATTATAAATGTGCCAGAATTTCCTAATAGGTTTGCCATCTCCCTGTCAGTCTCCTCAGTGAGCTGTGAAGTGCCCATTATAGGAAGCACACGTGAAAGACAGCAGCCCCTCTTGATCTGTGGGCTTCAGGCAGGGTGTTGTGTTGGTCAGAGAAAAGGGGCTTTATGTTTTGTTCACATAGCAAAGGACTTGGGGCTGAGGGAGCGAGCTGATTCATCTGATGGAGAATCATTTCTTTCTTAGAGGCCCTGATCTCACAGCACCCTGAGCATCCTTGCAGAAAGCACTCATTTGCTGCTGCAAAAATATATTGCAAAAAGGTTGCCCAGGGCTTGTTTGCCACCAAACAAGTTCTGGCTCTGGCTTTCTTCCCACCAAAGAAATAACAGGCATTTCCATTTTAAACTCTGATGTTCTCCCTAAGATCAGGGACAAGACAAGGATGTCTTTTCTCACCACTTTTCAACAGTGTACCAGAGATTCTAGACAGTGAACTTAGGTAAGAAAATGAAATAAAAGCCATTCAGACTGGAAAGAAAAATGAAAGATATGTATATTGACAAATATATGATCTTGTATTTGGAAAACCTCAAGAAATACACACACACTTAAAAAAGAAACCTACTAGAACTAATAAATTATGTAAGATTGCAGGATACAAGATCAATATGTAAAAATCAACTGTATTTTTATACAACAGAAATGGACAATTTAAAATGAAATTAAGAAAGCAATTCTATTTACAATAGCATCAAAAAGAATCAAATACTTAGGAATAAATTTAACCCAAGACTTGCACTGAAAACTGCAAACCTTGCTGTAGGACTTTAAAAACTACCTAAATAAATGGAAAAATATCCGTGGATCAGAAGACTTAATATTATTAAGATAGCAGTACTCCCCAAACTGACATGTAGATTCCATACAATCCCTATCAAAATTTCAATGGTGGTTTTTGCAGAAATGGAAAAGCTGATCCTAAATTTCACATGGAATTGGAGGGAATCTTGAATAACCAAAGCCATCTAGAAAAGGAACAAAATTAGAGAATTACTAGTTTCCTATTTCAAAAGTTCCTAAAAAGCTAGAGTAATCCAAACAGTGTGGTCCTGGTGAAAGGTTAAACATATAGATCAATGGAATAGAATTAAGAGTCTAGAAGTAAACTCGTAAGCCCATAGTCAGCTGATGTTTTGACAAGGGTGCAAAGACAATTCAGTCGGAAAAGAATAGTCAATTCAACAGGTGATGCTGGGACAACTGGATACTCTCATGCAAATGGATGAAGTTGGACCCCTACCTCACACCATATACACAAATTAACTCAAAATGGTTCTGTGTCCTAAATATGAGAGCTAAAATGGTAAAACTCTTAGAAAGGAAAGGACTAAGTCTCCATGACCTTGAATTTGCCAATAAACTTTTAGATATGAAACCAAATATGCAAGCAACAGAAGAAAAATGGATAAATTATCATTCATCAAAATTAAAATCTTTTGTGCTTCAAAAGATGCTATCAAGCAAGTGAAAATACAACTCACAAAATATTTGAAATTATATATCTGATTAGGGCCTAGTATCTAGAATATATAAAGAAGTCTTACACAGCCAGGCACGGTGGCTCATGCCTGTTATCCCAACACGTTTGGAGGCTGATACAGGTGGATTGCTTGAGGCCAGGGATTTGAGACCTGCCTGGACAACATGGTGAAACCCCACCTCTACCAAAAATATGAAAATTAGCCAGCCTTATAACCTAGTCTCAAAAATAAACAAAGAAATGAAAATTTAAAAAATTAAAGAAGTCTTATAACTTAGCAACAAAAAGACAGCCCAAATAAAAAATGGGTGAAAGACATAGACTTAAACTTCTCCAGAGAAGATATAAAAATGGCCAAGAAGAACATGAAAAGATACTCAGCATCATTATTCACCAGAGAAATTCATATCAAAACCAGTCACCAAAAGGTAGAAACAGCTTAAATGCCCATCAACTGATGAAAAGACGAACAAAACATCATGTATCAATACAATGGAATATTAATTTGAAGGAATTAAGTATTATTAACTAAGAAGGAATAAAGTATTATGTGCCACAACGTGGATGAACCTTGAAAACATGTTAAGTAAAAGAAACCATACACAAAATGCCATATATATAGTAAGATTCCATATGCTGAAATATCCAGGGTAGGCAGATTCATGGAGACAGAAAGTAGACTAGTAGTTGCCAGTTACTGGGTATATGAGAAATGGGAAATAGTTGCTTCATTTTGGTATAGGCTTCATTTTGAGGTAATGAAAATGCTCCCAAATTAAATAGTGGCTACGGTTGCACAATTCTGTGAATACACTAAAAACTACTGAATTGTACACTTTATAGGGTGAATTTCATTATATATGAATATATATCTTGAAGCTGTTACCAAGAGAAGGAGGCAGTTTAGACAGATTAGTGAGTTATCAACTTCATTATAAAATAAAATTCATGTACATTGTTCCTTAAATAAGTAAATCTATATACCACATTTTCTGAAGCAGAACAGTCCATCTTCATCTGTTTAAAGGCCAGCCAAGTTTTTCTTTGTAGATAAGCAGTTATAAAAAATATTCAAGGTTCTCCTTTTGGGCTTGAGCATCACAGTGCCTTTTTCTGCCATCTGTCCACTTGTTCTGTCACTCCTGAAATCTTGATGCTGTGCAAATGCTCAGAACAGCTCCTGTGGCCTCAGGAGTTTGTTGCATGTTTCCCATTCCCTAAAGCATGCTGCTGTCAAGGACATTCAGTGTCTTCTTCATGGCAGTTCTGCTGGTGAGAAGTTCTAGGTATTGTGTTTTGTTTTGTTTTGTTTTTTTTTAAGATAGATTCGCTCTCTGTTGCCTGGGCTGGAATGCAGTCTTACAATTACAGCTCATTGCAGCCTTGATGTCCCAGGCTCAAGCGATCCTCCCATCTCATCTTCCCAAGTAGCCAGGACCACAGGAGTGTACCACCACACCTGGCTAATTTTTTTATTTTTTGTAGAGGCAGCGTCTTGATATGTCACCCAGGCTGGTTTTGAACTCCTGGGCTCAAGTGATCCTCCCGCCTTGGCTTCCTAAAGTGCTAGAATTATAGGTATGAGCCACCATGCCCTGCCACTAGGCAATTTTGATTCTCCAGGTGCAGAACCCAATTACTCTGTCCTGTAATATTTCTCCTGGCTTTCATAACATAGTTGTACTCTAAGAAGTCACATTGTGTACAACACTTGTTAAAATCTCTGCTTTTTTCCCAGACAGATGTACCAAGTTAACCATTTTAACACATAATGTAAAGCACATACCACATATTTGGCCCCAGTCATGAAAGTAATTTTCAGCTTTGTCCTGCTGTCTTATTCTCAGTGACTTTTCTGGAAATGAAGTATTGGCGCCGTGCTCTGCTGTGTTTTTTGTTTTGTTTTGTTTTGTTTTGTTTTGTTTTTAAAGGGCCGTGTTGATTTGATTTATTTTTTAATCATCAGAAGCCAGGTAGCAGCTTGTAGTATGTAAAGTATGTCCTTGTGCCCTAAGCTGAAGGAGCAGAGACCCACTAGCAGAAATGAGAGAATCAGGCCTTGGAGCTTTGAGGTCTCTTCAAATCTGGTCTTCTGGTAACTAAAAATTTCTCGTCACTCAGCATTTCTGAACTTCAGCAGGTGGGCAATAACTAATACTTAAAAATATGTCCACAAGTACTGCAGGATCGTGGCTGTCTTCTCCATTGTTAAAGTTTAAATTATATTCATATATAGTATGAATGTATTCCTCTGCATTCACATTTTTTATAATTAATTATCCAAGTATAGAATGAATCATATCTTTTTGTTAGCCAGATTACTGGGATAAACAGATCCCAACCTTCCCCTCTTTACCAAATAAAAGAGCTTCCTATAGAATTTCCTAGGTAAAAGACAGGCATCTTCTCTAAAAAACAGTGATGAATTCATCTAACTGTGTAGTGTTTAGTTTTCTTTAAGTAAAAAGTTAAATGAGGAATTGAGTGATTTTTCATATGCAGATTTTATTTCTTGATGATTGTGTCTGGCCTCGTGGAGGGACGGAGTGACTTTAGGTGGAATAACTGGATCTGTTTGCTCTTGAGAAGCAGGCGCAAGTCCACGAAGGAAAGGCAGGGAGACAGATGGCTGGCTATTGTGTTACAACCATCATCTGCTGGGCCCTGAGCAAATATTAAGTGAATAATATATATGTAATTGGTGTGAAAGTACAGTTGCAACATTTCTAATATGGTTTGGAGGATGGCTACTTCTTGAACATTTGTGTTTTATAGAATGCTATGTTGAAATGTTTTTGTTTTTAGGGTTAAACCATTTTAAACTGCTTTAAAGTGAACATTTTCCCCCATTTTGACACCACTGTGCAATATTTTGAATTGAAATGGCCTGTAATCGCCCTTTTTTATTTTCCATAACAACATGAGCACTAAATTATAGCTGTGCAATTATGTAAACAATGGAAATGCTTCCAGAACGAATCCTTCCTTTTAAATTTTCATTTTGTGTAATTGTTGGAAGGTTTGGAGCCATAATAAACAAAATTATTTTACACATTTATCGCTCTAAAGGTCAATTATAAGGGAACGAAAGAAACAACACTATGCAAAATGAATAAACCAATTTCTGTTGCCATCACCATATGTTTTTCTTATCACTTATGGTTTTTCCAGTTACTGTGTACATAGCATTCAATTAAAGCGATTCATTTACCAGGCTGAATATGGTTTGTGTTTATAGAACTGTGCTTTGGAGGAGAGGAAACAACACGCCTCTATTTGAATTACCTGATTTTTTGCAAGATCAGTGATAAGAGACAGATGTTCTCACCAGTTACTTTCTCATAACCAGAATCTTTTGATAAGCTACAGATTCACAATTATCATCTTAGTGATCTTTTCACACTCAGTGTATAGTATTCACTTGGACTTTTAACCAGAGCAAGAGAAAAATACTAGTTTGGTGATCTGTTCACTATATTGCAACATTTTGCAGGATGAATTTTAATTTCTTTGAACAAAAGCTTGTGAAAGATCTTTGTCTACGTGTCATATGTTCAACTCTCAAGAATAAACCTCATTTTATTTTAGATTCCATATATCATTGAGCCTATTGTTTAGTTTGTGGTTTAGTCTATTTAACGTGTGAAAAAGAAACTAATTCTTGCTATAAAACTAACTTGAACTTCTTTGTATTAAGTTCTAGAACTCCTTAGAAAAATGAATCCTAGAAAATCTAAAATGATAATTTTCCTGTTTTTCTTTCAGTATTTGCCTTGTAAAACACTATGGCTAATTGCCGTAAAGCTTTGTTAAGGGTGTTGCTTGAAAGCACTAATTTCTAGAGCTTTTGAATTTCTGGGGTAATGTGCGATCTAAGAGGCTTGTTTGTGTGCCACCTTTGAAATGTCTTAAACTATTCTTTCTGTAGATCAGCAAAATAATAGTTCACTGAATTATACAAACTACACCTATAAAGTAAATTTTACAAAGTAAAACTCTTCAGAGTCCTTCTCTTTTTGAAAAATAATTATTTACTTGCTATTCTACTTACTTCTTTATGGCTCTTTTCATTTTACAAAGGCATATGTTCTTATCTCCTATCCCATTACATACAGCTCCGTAAGGGAGTATCATTTCATTTTACGGAAGAGAAGCATGAAGCTCTGGGTATGACATGATCTGCCCACAGTCACACAAGGCTTTGGACCTAGGCCTCATGGCTCAAGTTCTAGAGTTCTTTTCACCACGTCAGAGTGCAGGGCCGTTTCTCACTAGCCATCTCAGTGGAGGCAGCGCTGAATAGCATTGAATCACACAGTAGAAAGGATGGCCCCTTTCCTCCTCTCTGCAGGTCCTTGTGATACTGTTAGGTAGGCCAGCTGGAGTTGAGAGAAGTTATTCTTTCACACCACCCTGACATTGCATTCTGTGCTTATATTCAACAAGGAGAGCTGCTCTCAGACCCAGAGTCTTCATCAGAGGATGGTATTTTTAGCAAAAATTTAGCAGCATTGATTACTGTCATTGTATTACTTGAGTTACTTTTTACTTATGAGAAAGGATACACATAAATTTTTCAGAATAATTGGGCCATTATTCTAAGCGAAGTAACTCGGGAATGGAAAACCAAACATTGTATGTTCTCACTCATAAGTGGGAGCTAAGTTCTGAGTACGCAGAGGCATAAGAATAATACAGTGGACTTTGGGGACTTGGGGGAAAGGGTGGAAGGGGATGAGGGATAAAAGACTACAAATTGGGTATAGTGCTTACTGCTTGGGTGATGGGTGCATCAAAATCTCACAAATCACCACTAAAGAACTTACTCATCTGACCAAATAGCGCCTGTTCCCCAAAAACCTATGGAAATAAAAAAATTAAAACATGAGTCACTTTGAAAAACCTGTTAGGCAAGTAATGTTCACTTTGGACAGGGAGATGGCAAAAGGCATGAGGATTGCACATGAATGACTCATGTCTGAGAGCATCATTCTTTCCCATGTATATATAAAGCCCTGGAGGCTGTGAGGAAGGTTTCAGATTTTTATTATATTTTTCAAAGACTTCTGTTATAGCTGTGTCTTAATGTATGGTGGGGATGGTGAAAGAAGGATTCTACTGAGTTAGAAATGAGTGGGGCATTTTGTGGATGTCCCACTATTGAGAATATGCAGCGGCTCTTCTTTGAGTACCACGTGGTTATTCCTAATTTTAAAATGTTATCACAAAGATACAGTCTTCGAGTTGTTCCACTTCAGTGTGGAGAAGCAACGGAAGCAGGCATATGGCCATAATTTGGCTGACTGGTCATATAGTTCCCTCTTTAACCCCCCCATTTACCCTCCCCCAGTGCTGTCTTTGGCGACTTCACACAGGCGCTGTGTCTCCTCAGGGCGCTGTCTTACGTGGGTGGCAGGGTAGGGTAGGCTAGCCATCTGTTATTTTGCCCTCTCTTTCCAACCTTCTTGCTCATAGTAGCAGGTTCCGTTGAAGTGATTGGCTGAGGTCCAGGGGGTGAGGGAGCCATGTGACTTTATCTCAGCTACATGCCTATCTGCTGTCTTTAGCATCAGTATAGCAACTTAGTCATATTTTTTGAATGCCCCATTTTACAGATTGTTGCCTTTACACATACAAATCTTACAATGCAAAATGGATTCATTTACAAATTGTGGTATTAGCTTGTTAAAGGATTTAGTTCATAATTCCCATAAATTTAGCCTAGAAAAGCATTTTTTAATTAAAACTCTAAATTCCAGTGGTGAAAAGGGGCTTATTTGATTCAAGTATGTGCTAAAGATTTTTAAAGCCCACAAGCTTCAAGGTTTAGTTCCACATCTCAACAGATGGAATTAACACAAGCATAACAAAGTTAACATCATGGTTGTTTGCATTATTAATCTTCAAATGCATGGCATTCTGCTACCTTGCTAGCCAGGTTTGCACGAATCCTTTCATTGCAACATATGTCAACAGAAATGTGCTTCCATCTGCTGCCGGATAGCTTGATGCCTGATATTCCGAGACAAGTCCCAGCACAATGAGTACCTCTGTGAGTAATTACAGGTGTGTGCTGAGGAGCCTAGGGCATTAATCAGAGGCTTAATTATGAAAAAGGTGGATCTTTTGTTCCACTCTTGGATCCTGAGTTTACCACACACTTTCTAAACTGCAGCATCCATCTGCTCGGTCCCTTAGAATGTTTGCCTTGACTGATATGGACCTTAAAGTGTATCAAAGGACGTGATTAAAGCAGGCTTAAACATTAACCTGGAAGAAGCATGGTTCATGTTTTTTTTTCTTCCTTCCTTCCTTTTTCACTTATCTATTTATCTGTTTATTTCTGATGTAGGAAAAAAGTCTGCTGAAATGCTAAAACTTTAAATTAGTACTTGCTAAACTATTTACCATATGTGAACTCTACTGAATTAAGCATTATACAGTAATTTTAAGAATGTAAATATCAAGATTTGTAGAAACTAAGACCCATGTAAAGAAAAAAAAGTCTTAGGAAAAATGGTTTGTGAACACATACAAAGTTTTTTAGGAAGATAAGTTGTTAAATGAGGTAATTTTTATTATGACAGACTGAACATGTTAGAATTTAGCATGTTACTACTGCTTTGCTCTAATGTGATACTGATAGAATTAAATCAGGATTATTTTTAAGGATTTTTTAGATAACCATACTGAAATCTAAGAAAAGAAACTAGGATTTTGTGTGTGTGTGTGTGTGTGTGTGTGGAGATTTTGCTTCTTACTCTTATATTGAGACTATAATAGGTTGTATAACTATAAGTCACGTTACTATAGTATAGTCATGTAACATTTCAGTCAGTGGCAGACCACATATATGATGGTGGTCCTATAAGATTATAGTGCTGTGTTTTTACTGAACCTTTTCTGTGCTAGATGTGGTTTGATATGCAGACAATTTCCATTGTGTTACAATTGCCTACACTATTCGGTATAGTAACATGTTGTGCACATTTGTATCCTGGATGTGTAGTAGGCATCTACCATCTAGGTTTGTGTAAGTCACTCTATGATGTTCACAAGATGATCATAGATTGCCTAACAGCACATTTCTTAGAATGTATCCTCATCATAAAGCGACACGACTGTACTTCAGTGTGTGTTTTGATTAATGTACATGGCCAACAGCTGCATAAGTTTGTGGTTTGTGGTTTTCTTACTAATTCCTGTTACACACACACACACACAAACACGCTTGCACAGATGGCTTCAGAGATGTGGCCTGGCCATGGATGGCATGAATGCTGTCCAGTGGTGGACCCCTGATCTGCCACAGGCAAGAATTAGATATCTGCTTCAGACCAGAGCTGGGGGGTGAGGGGCCATCCAGCCATCAATGAGAGGCCATTACACACACAGGAACACAAGATGTCTGGGGCAGATGATGCTCTTCACACTGCACTCTGTGCAAAAGGCTACTGTTGCACTTTGTACTTGCACTGAGATCACACATATACTCAGAGCCATGCTGTTTCCCTGACCTTAGCATTTCACTGATTACAACGTCACCTTAGCACTCTGCATATTCCCATTTCTGAACACGTAAAACTATCTGAAGAGTGAAATTTTCCATGTCTTTGCCTACTTTAAGATATTTTAATGTAACTGTGCTTTAACTGTGGCCAATTGAAAGCTAAAGACAGGACATTTGTTTTAGTGATAGATATTTGAAGGTTTTAATTACATATTTACCTCATTACTCCTGTAGCTTGTCCAAGGAGCCTACCTTTACACGGAAGACAGATGAAATGTCTAGTCTCAGAGCCATGATTTAGATTTTGGATAATTCATCTTACAGCTTGGGGTCTCCAATCTTACCTTTAAAATGGGTACAGTAATCCTTGGAGTAACTCTGTTTCCAATATCCCTTTCACTGAAAATTTTCTGTAATCTGTGCTCTCTTGGATTATTATACAGTGGTCATATGTACCACTACAAACACTACTTTGGAATTTTGTGTTTGAACATTACGATTGTGTTTTTTCTTATCTTCCCTTTTAGGATATCTTAAATACGATCATAAGGCACTGTCCACCCCGCTTTTTCTCCCTGGGTTTTCCTGGCTTCTCAATGCTGGTGGGGGACTTCATCACGGCCGCTGCCAGGGTCCTTAGCACAGACATTTTGACGGTGAGTATGACAATGCTCAGCATCCCAGCTCCCAAGAGGCTTCACAATCGCTAACAAGGTTCAGATTTCTCCACTCTTAACAGGTGTTGACTCATTAGTGCAATGTGAAACTGGGCTCTCAGGGTAGATACCCTGGCAGCTGATGTGTGAAATTGTAGGATAAGATGACACACTGGTTTTGGAAAGGCGTTTCATCAAAAGGCCAAAGTGTGAGAAATCATATCCTCACTAATATTTCAGCACATTTACACAGTCAGAAGCAGGACTTGTCTCTTAGAATATTATTAGCATTTTCCAGTAAATGGTGACACAGACATAAATGTCTAAAATAGAGAGTTTTAAAATGTACATTAGCAGTAAGTTTTTTTTTGTTTTTAAATTAAGTCTTGGTTATTATAAGTCTCATAGAAAATATTTTCTTAAAATGTTAGAACAGTAAAGTCTTAACTAGAAGTAAATATGTATTCTCTTAATAACATGCCAGAATACTTTGGCAGAATTTTTGTAATAAAAAATTAGAAGTGGACTAAATGATCAGTAAGGGCTACAAAAAAATTATTTTTACTCTCTACATTTACCTCTACTACTAAGGCAGTATCTTTTCTTTTCTTTTTTTGTTGTTGTTTTTCAAGAGATAGGGTCCCATTCATTCTCTGCCCAGGCTGAAGCGCACTGGTGCTGTCATGCCTAGCTCACTGTAACCTCAAACTCCTGAGCTCAAGTGATCCTCCCACCTCAGCCTCCTGAGTAGTTAGGACTGCAGGTACACGCCATTATGCCTGGCTGATTTTTAAATTTTTTGTAGAGATTGGAGTCCCTCCATGTTGCCCAGATTGGTCTCAAACTCCTAGCCTTAAATGATCCTCCTGCCTCAGCCTCCAAAATGTTAGGATTACAGGTGTGAGCCACTGCACATGGCCAAAGCAATATCTTAATGCCTTTTTGAGAGAATACTGTTATACATTTAAAGTTAAAGGGCCTTTTCCATTTGTGCTCTATAAGCTGTTATATATTCAGAGTTATCTTTGCCCCTTCAAATGGTATAAATAAAATTAGCTTTACTATTTGCTAAGCATTGGTGTCGAAATCAGTGTTGCCATCCAACAACCTAAATCTTGTTTGATATGAGATTACTTTTTCACTTATTTCTTCTTTGCAGGGTAAATTCAAACTTCAAGCCCTTGGTTTTAAATTAAATTGTTTAAAATACTTCCTGTAGCTGGTATTTCATGTTGGCGCTTTCACACACTAACTTTTTCTTATAAAGATAAATTAGAAAACAAAGAGAAGTGAAAAGAGACAGGAGCAAAAGAGAAGAAAGGTAAAAGAGAAGAAGAGGCCAGGCATGGTGGCGTATGTATAGTCACAGCTATAGGAGACTCAGGAAGCCAAGGTGGGAGAATCACTTGAGATCAGGAGTTTGAGTTCAGCCTGGGCAGCATAACAAGACCCCATCTCTTAAAAAGAAAAAAAAAAGTAGAAGAAGAAAAATGTTGAATTTGTTCAACTGTGGCTTTATCGTAAATAATTATGACAACTTTTCATACTTCATTATTTCTGAAAAAATTTAGGATAATCTCAAAGAATTTTCAAATGTATTTTAACCATTCACATCATCTTTCAAAAAAATTACAAGATACAAGAAGGGAAATCATACTTCTTTATTGAAATACTCATTTTTTTAAATTATACTTAAGTTCTGGGATACATGTGTAGAACGTGCAAGTTTGTTACATAGGTATACATGTGCCATGGTGGTTTGCTGCACCCATCAACCTGTCACCTACATTAGGTATTTCTCCTAATGCTATCCCTCCCCTTGCCCCCCACCCCCTGACAGGCCCCAGTATGTGATATTCCCCTCGCTGTGTCCATATGTTCTCATTGTTCAGCTCCCACTTATGAGTGAGAATATGCAGTGTTTGGTTTTCTGTTTCTGTGTTAGTCTGCTGAGAATGATGGTTTCCAGCTTCATCCATATCCCTGCAAAGGACACGAACTTACTCTTTTTTGTGGCTGCACAGTATTCCATGGTATATATATGCCACATTTTCTTTATCTAGTCTATTATTGATGGGCATTTGGGTTGGTTCCAAGTCTTTGCTATGGTAAATAGTGCTGCAATAAACATACATGTGCATGTGTCTTTATAGCAGCATGATTTATAATCCTTTGGGTATATTCCCAGTAATGAATGGGATTGCTGGGTCAAATGGTATTTCTAGTTCTAGATCCTTGAGGAATCGCCACCCTGTCTTCCACAACGGTTGAACTAATTTACACTCCCACCAACAGTGTAAAAGCATTCCTATTTCTCCACATCCTCTCCAGCATCTGTTGTTTCCTGACTTTTTTTTTTTTTTTTGAGACAGAGTCTTGCTCTGTCACCCAGTAGCTGGGACTACAGGCACCCGCCACCATGCCCAGCTATTTTTTTTATGTTTTTAGTAGAGATGGAGTTTCACCGTGTTAGCCAGGATGGTCTCAATCTCCTGATCTCGTGATCCTCTTGCCTGGGCCTCCCAAAGTGCTGGGATTACAGGTGTGAGCCACCGTGCCCGGCCTATTGTTTCCTGACTTTTTAATGATTCTAACTGGTGTGAGGTGGTATCTCATTGTGGTTTTGATTTGCATTTCTCTAATGACCAGTGATGATGAGCTTTTTTTCATATGTTTGTTGGCCACATAAGTCTTCTTTTGAGAAGTATCTGTTTATAACCTTCACCCACTTTCATATGGGGTTGTTTGTTTGTTTGTTTTTTCTTTTTTTTACCATATACAGTTTTATTTTTTAATTTATTTTTAATTTTATTTTATTTTTATTATTATACTTTAAGTTCTAGGGTACATGTGCATAATGTGCAGGTTTGTTACATATGTATACATGTGTCATGTTGGTGTGCTGCACCCATTAACTCGTCATTTACATTAGATATATCTCCTAATGCTATCCCTCCCCGCTCCCCCCGCCCCACGACAGGCCGTGGTGTGTGATGTTCCCCTTCCTGTGTCCAAGTGTTCTCATTGTTCAGTTCTCACCTATGAGTGAGAACATGCAGTGTTTGGTTTTTTGTCCTTGCGATAGTTTGCTGAGAATGATGGTTTCCAGCTTCATCCATGTTCCTACAAAGGACATGAACTCATCCTTTTTTATGGCTGCATAGTATTCCATGGTGTATATGTGCCACATTTTCTTAATCCAGTCTGTCATTGATAGGCATTTGGGTTGGTTCCAAGTCTTTGCTATTGTGAATAGTGCCGCTATAAACACACGTGTGCATGTGTCTTTATAGCAGCATGATTTATAATCCTTTGGGTATATACCCAGTGGTTTTTTCTTATAAATTTGTTTAAGTTCCTGCCGGGCTTGGTAGCTCACGCCTGTAATCCCGACACTTTAGGAGGCCGGGGCAGACAGATCATCAGGTCAAGAGATCGAGACCATCCTGGTTAGCACAGTGAAACCCCGCCTCTAATAAAAATAAAAAAAAACTAGCTGGGTGTGGTGGCACATGCCTGTAGTCCCAGCTACTCAGGAGGCTGAGGCAGGAGAATCGCTTGAACCTGGGAGGCGGAGATTGCAGCAAGTCAAGATCGCACCACTGCACTCTAGCCTGGGTGACAGAGCATGACTCCGTCTAAAAAAAAAAAATGGTTTAAGTTCCTTGTAGATTCTGGATATTAGCCCTTTGATGGTTAGATTGCAAAATTTTTCTCCCTTTCTGTAGGTTGCCTGTTCACTCCAATGATAGTTTCTTTTGGTGTGCAGAAACTCTTTAGTTTAATTAGATCCCATTTGTCAATTTTGGCTTTTGTTGCCATTGCTTTTGGTGTTTAGGTCATGAAGTTTTTGCCCATGCCTATGTCCTGAATGGTGTTGCCTAGGTTTTTTTCTAGGGTTTTTATGGTTTTAGGTCTTATGTTTAAATCTTTAATATGTCTTGAGTTAATTTTTGTATAAGGTGTAAAGAAGGGGTCCAGTTTCAGTTTTCTGCATATGGCTAGCCAGTTTTCACATCACCATTTACTAAATAGGGAATCCTTTCCCCATTGCTTGTTTTTGTCAGATTTGTCAAAGATCAGATGGTTGTTGATGTGTGATGTTATTTCTGAGGCCTCTGTTTTGTTCCATTGGTCTATGTGTCTGTTTTGGTACCAGTACCATGCTGTTTTGGTTACTATATCCTTGTAGTAGAGTTTGAAGTCAGGTATCGTGATGCCTCCAGCTTTGTTCTTTTTGCTTAGGATTGTCTTGGCTATATGGGCTCTTTTTTGGTTCCATATGAAATTTAAAGTAGTCTTTTCTAATTCTGTGAGGAAAGTCAATGGTAGCTTGACGGGAATAGCATTGAATCTATAAATTACTTTGGGCAGTATGGCCATTTTCATGATATTGATTCTTCCTATCCATGAGCATGGAATGTTTTTCCATTTGTTTGTGTCCTCTCTTATTTCCTTGAGCAGTGGTTTGTAGTTACCCTTGAAGAGGTCCTTCACATCCCTTGTAAGTTGTATCCCTAGGTATTTTATTCTCTTCGTAGCAGTTGTGAATGGGAGTTCACTCACGATTTGGCTCCCTGCTTGTCTATTATTGGTGTATAGGAATGCTTGTGATTTTTGCACATTGATTTTGTATCCTGAGACTTTGCTGAAGTGTCTTACCAGCTTAAAGAGTTTTTGGGCTGATAAGATCAGGTTTTCTAAATATACAATCATGTCATCTGCAAACAGATAATTTGACTTCCTATTTGAATACCCTTTATTTCTTTATCTTGCCCGATTGCCCTGGCCAGAACTTCCAATACTATGTTCATTATTTACCAAGAGAGTTTCCTGTAAAAATGTTGGAGCCCTTCCTAGAGATAATATCACACATGGTGGTCATTTTCTGTCAGTGTGGCTAGGTGGGCTATTAAAGTAGCCTTACAGATATACAGTTGGCTAATAGTACAGTAGCCCCACTTTATCCTCAGTTTCACTTTCTGATATCAGTTACCACAGTCAGTGGTGGTCCAAAAATATTAAATGGAAGATTCTAGAAATCAGAGCTTTACATTGCACCCCATTCTGAGTAGCATGATGAAACCTTGAGCTGTCCTGGCCCATCCTGCCCGGGACATGGATCATTGCTTTGTCCAGTGGATCCACGTGGTATCTGCTACCCAGCCATTAGTCACTTAGTGGCCATATCTGTTATTAGGTGGACTGTTGTGATATCACAGTGCTTGTGTTCAGGTAATCTTTATTTTACATAATAGCCCCAAAGCACAAGAATGTCATATTGTTATAATTGTTCTATTTCATTATTAGCAGTTATTGCTAATCTCTTACTCTGCCTAATTTATAAATTAAAATTTTTTCATAGGTATGTATGTATTGCAAAAACCATAGTGTATATAGGGTTTGGTACTATCCACAGTTTCAGTCATCCACTGAGGGGGTCTTGGAATGTATCCCCTTTAAATAAGAGGGAACTGCTATGTATGAAAAATGCTCAGGATCACCAGGGAAATGCAAATTAAGATCACAGTGAGATAATTACCTCACACCTGTTAGGATGGCTTTCACCAAAAAGACAAAAGATACGTGTAGGCAAGGATGTGGAGGAAAGAGAACTCTTGTATACGTAAAAAAAAAAAAAAAAAATTCTCCTGACTTTTATTTGAATTCATTATATATTGCCTAGATTGCGATATATAATGCCCATTTATTATTCCATTCCCTCTGTGATCACCAATTACCAAAATAGTGATTCTTCCTTATTTGAGGCCTCTGACAGAAAAAACTAGAATGAGATTTGACATCACAACCAACACATCCCCAAAGACATAGGTTAAAAACATATTGATAAGGATCAATATGTATATTAAAACAGTATGTATATCAAAACATTATGTTGTATATACTTTAAATATATAAATTTTTATTAATTATACTTTAGTAAAGCTGGAAAAAAAGAATCAACACAATAGAGACTACTCAAATCAAAGATGGTATAAAGGTAAATGTAAAGGTCAAATTCACATGAAGTGTTGCCAAGATGGGAAAATAAATAATGAAAGCATAACCAGAACCTGGAAAAACACAAACTAGAAAATGTGGAGGGAAGGAAGTATTGAAATATAAACTTCAAAAAATTCAGAAAGGATGAAATACAAAACCAGCTTGCAATAAAGAAAAAAGTGTTATGTTCTTTGAAACTACAGTAAAAGAGACATGAGTGCCTTATCTTTTAAGCTTTCTGACGGTATCGAATTTGCTTGGTCTTTAGCACATATATCAATGTTATGTAATGTTATATACATTTAACTATCTGCCTGAGGTATGATAGTAGGAATAAATGTTACAGCCATGAATCGATTTTTAATTCTGTTTTCAAATATTGCACATGAGTGTGTGGGTTAGTGAATGGTTGGGTACTGGGTGTGCTAGTCATACCATTTTTCCTACACATCTTCATCCCCGTGTACTACACTTTTGGTGGGAAGGTAAATTGCTGCAGCCATTATGGAAAACAGTATGGAGGTTTCTCAAAAAGTTAAAAATAGAACTACCATATGACCCAGCAATCCCACTTCTGGGTATATATCCAAAGGAACTGAAATCAGTATGTTGAAGAAATATCTGCACTCCCATGTTCAGTGCAGCAGCATTCACAATAGCCAGGATATGAAAGCAACTTAAATGTCTATTGACAGATGAATGGATAAAGGAAATGTGGTACATATCTCCAGTGGAGTGTTATTCAGCCTTTAAAAAATGAAGGAAATTCTGTCATTTGCAACAACATGAATGAACCATTTTTCCAAATGAAAGAAGCCAAGCTCAGAAAGATAAATACTGTGTGGTGTCACTTATATGTGGAATCTAAAAAAGTCCAACTCCTAGAAGCAGATTGTAGAATGGTGGTTCCCAGGGGCTGTGGTTGGGGTAGGGGGAGATGGGATGATGTTTGTCAGTGGATCAAAAGTTTCAGTTATGCCGAATGAATGAGTTCGGGAGATGTCAGCATGGTCACTATAATTAATAATACTATATTATAAACTTGAAATTTGCTAAGAGAGTAGATCTCAAGTGTTCACAACTCACGCATAAAGGAACTATATGAGGTGATATATTAATTCACTTGTTTGTGGTAATCATTTTATAATGTATTTGTGTATCAAAACATGTTGTATATACTTTAAATATACAAATTTTTATTAATTATGCTTTAGTAAAGTTGAAAAAAGAATCAACACAAAATTAATAAAGTAGCCTTCCAAAATGTTTTTTTAAAAAGAGAGAGAATATGAATGAGAATGTGTAAGAGTTACATGAAGGAATCACACTCTGAATGATAGTACTTTCTTGTTTAAACTTGAGGTTAAAATTGTAGAGGAACTGGTGAAAGGTGTTTGGGCTGGAGCACACCTGCTCAGTCAGAATTTTCAGTTAGCACAAGGTAATTACCAGTTTGAAGTACCCCTGCTAGGTAGGACTGCCCCACTGAGGCAGTGGGGGAGGAAGATGCACAGATGGCTCGCACAAGTCACCAAGAGATGAGGAGAAGCTTGTGCACAGCAACATTATTTGTAACAGCCAAAGCCTAGAGCCAATCCAAATGCCCATCAGCAGTAGAACAGTTAAATTATAGTGTGTACATAAGATGGATTATTATATACAATGAAAACACAGGATCGGTTACATAACATAATGAGTGAAAGAAGTCAGACACAAAAGAACATATACTCTAATTTCATTTATTTAATTGAAAAACCAGACAAAACCAATCTGTGGTGTTACAGCAGAATACGGTTACTTTGCAGGAGGGGAGGCTATCATGGGAGGGGCACAAAGAGGACTTCTGTGGGTTGGTAATGATATTCTTCCTGTTGTCTGTCTCTTCGTCCTCAGGGCTCCTACCTCTGTCATCACTTCTCTCTCTCTGCACTCCACAAAGACGCATGCATTCAGTTCCTCTGAACACATGTGAATTGTTATCCCAGACTTTTCTCTCCTAACCTCAGGACAAGCATTTCAAAAAGTCTTCTTCAGAACAGTAATCTCCCCAGATACTTTGGGGGAAAGGGAAGGAAGAAAGCCAGGTTCATAGTCAAATAATTTTGGGAAATACACTTCTTCACTTGGAAATTCACAGTGTACAATAACATGTTAAAGGCTTTTGTTTAATTGTGCTTAGCCAAATGTCTCTGCAACGTCTTTTTCCCGGGAGTCTTTGATTTTGCCCTTTCACAGTCCCTGTGGCCCTAGTGGAACATACTTTGGGAACGACTGCTTCTGACCCTTTCAGCCTCCCATCTCATGGACACCTTCCTCTTCCCTACTCAACTGGCTCCCTCACCCACCGCCAGCCTGCCTGATTTCTACTCTCCTCTGTGGCCCTTAGCAGTAGTTTGTTTTAGGTTTCCTAAACATCCTGAGCAGAACCAATCCTTGCCTCATCCCATGGAATAGCTCTGCTGTGCTTTATATTGCCTTTTATTTACCTGTGTACTTATGGGAACCAAGCTAGGTAAAAAAATGAAGGACTGGGCTCCCATGCTATCCTCAGTATGTTGCTCTCCTAGCAGGTGCTTCACTGAATTGTGTGTAGCTGTTATTTGCCTCTCCTCACCTACCTCACATACTGCGCCTCATCTCTCTGAGGGAGAAAAGCTCTCTTTGATTTTATAGCCCAAGTGCTTAACTGTAGGCTCAGTCTGGACCTGGAGCTAGATGGCCTCAGTTCAAATCCAGGGTGCATCACTTAGGAGCCATATGACACTGAAAAGCTGCTTAACTTCTTTGGCGTCAGTTTTCTCACTGGAAAATGAAAACAGTAGCCTCTTCTTCATTGGGTTGGTGAGGGGACTTTATGAAGAAATGCTTGTACAGCACTTAGAAGAGTGCCTAGCACAGAGTGAGAACTCCTTAAATGTGAGCTTTCATTGTTTTATTACATAATAGTAGACATATAGATGGACAGATAGGTGAGTAGATTGATGACAGACCTGTGTAGTCCCCTATTCTTGGCTAACCATATCTGCTAGTGTTGGCTGAGTTGAAATCTAGTGAAATGCCTTTTTTTTTTTTTTTTTTTTTGAGATGGAGTCTCACTCTGTTGCCTAGGCTGGAGTGCAGTGGCACTGTGTTGGCTACCTGCAACCTCCATCTCCTGGGTTCAAGCAATGCTCCTGCCTCAGCCTCCTGAGTAGCTGGGATTACAGGTGCCCACCACCATGCCTGGCTAATTTTTATATGCTTAGTAGAAAAGAGGTTTCACCATGTTGGCCAGGCTGGTCTCGAACTCCTGACTTCAGGTGATCCACCCGCCTCAGCCTCCCAAAGTGCTGGGATTACAGGTGTGAGCCACCGCACCCAGCCATGCCTTTTAAAATATATACCTAATCCTAACACTGGGCAAATAAAAGTATCTCACTAGATATAGTGATATAGTATCTCATTATATTTTTTCGTAAAGCAGTTCTTGGCAGTAGATGGGAAATTTGATAGTTTGTCTTCTCTTTCTACTCTCCGATAGTTACCTCCATCTCTACTTCCCTATGAATTTTCCTTAATTGTTCTTAACAGCAAAATGGTATTCAGTTGATATCCTTTACCCTGCTTTGTTGAGAACATTAGCAGTAAAACAATGTAAACAGTCATGACAGAGTCATTGGCCTTTCTAATTCTGAATGAATCTGCAGATCAGTTTCCACAACACTTGTTTACATCCAAGTACAGTGATATTTTCCATTACTTAGAAATTTGCTTTTTCATTTAGGCAAACCTCTTTTGCTTAAATATGCACTTGGAAGAGAATAACTCGGCCAAGTTTGGTATTTTTTATCTAGGATGAAGAGTAAAACATGTCACTTATTTAACGTTTCTAACTTACAAAAAGAGAAATGTGTGTGCTCCTCTTCCTTATGTGCAGGCGCCTCGTTCAGAGGCTGTCACTGTCCTCGGCTCTCTGGTCTGCTTTCCAAATACCTACCAGGAGATTCCTTTACTGCAGTCAGTGCCAGAAGTAAATGAGGCCATTACAGGAACTGAAGATGTCAAGGTACATAACGCATTTGACTGTATCTCAAGTTTAGTACTTTTTATAATTCTAGATGTATGATTATCTCTTCCATTAGTGTATATTAATCTGCTTATTCCTGAAGTTTTGCTGTATCTTTTAAATGTTTCAGTAGTTGTTTCTAGAAGACTATTCATGGGCTATGCATGTGTTAAATTCAGAGTATATTGCAGTTAGACCTTATAGCTGTAGCTATAGCAGGTGTTTTTTATTATACCTGTTTATTGGACCTAAGGATCATAATCATGTAGTGAATTGCCCTTTGTAATAATTTTATTAGCTTAACTAACTGCATTAGTGCATCAAGTTAATTTATAAGAAATAATGGAAATAAGCTAAATATTCAATCCCCTTGTTGGCCTGATTAAATACTGCTAATACTTTGAGATTCTAAATTATTTATTGGAGAATAAAAGTAAGCATTTGTTCTCTCCTCAGCTGACTTTGAGGTAAACAAAAATGCTTTTAGAATCCCAGAATCAATCAAACTATAAAACATAATTACAGTATATAATTCAGTGTACAACATATAATTCAATTGAAGTAAAAGAAAACCGAGATTTTCCTATCTGGAAGTCTGATTTGCTTTATACCAGAAGCGCTCTACTCCCGCGGGCTGAATGGCCTAAGGAGGCCCTGTGGAGACCCCCATCTTCTACCACCCGCTCCCCCGAGCCCAGTGTTCTTCTTCCCCCCAGGCTCTCACTCATAGATGAGCTCTCTGAGCTCCCTGGTCGAACTTCAGTAGCTCCTGGCTGCCTGGAACATGGTCAGAACATGTGGGAAACCAACTATGACACAAAGTTTTTATTTTACTTAATTTTGTGTTTTTAGCATTACCTCATAAATATTTTACTGAAGAATGCCACAGAAGAACCAAATGAATATGCAAGGTAAATGTTGAATAAGAGGTAAACTATTTTAGAATTTTAAGATACACATTTATGTGTAAGTAGTTAATGTTACAAAAGAAAACACTTATTCTTTCACATAGCTCTTATACAGACTGAAAAGTCTAGGAAGAATGATGCCAGGAAGATGCTTTGCATGATTATTTAAAAAGATGTCATTATTAAGTAAAAATTGTAAAGTGCAGAAGAGTATATAGTACACTATTTTGTGTGAGAAAAAGCAAGATTACAAATATAATCATGTATCCTCTGATATTTTCAAGAAGAAAGAAAATGAAAATATAAACCAAATATTTATAGAAATGGTGTATGTGTAGGGTAGTGACTCTCAACCAGTGATGATCTTTTACACCAGGAGACATTTGGCAGTGTCTGGAAATATTCTGGCTGCTTCTGCCAGGCATCTGAGGTTGCTAGCAACCTATGATCAAGATATATGAGGTTTTCTGGGCCACTTACGTATTGAAAAGTTTCTGCCTCTCCTCCCAACGTGAAGACCAAAGCTGGGAATGCTAATGGAGGGGAACACCTGTCTCTGATCCTCAATTTCAAACCCCATAAGATCACCAGAAGCCCAGCTCAGCCTCTTACTCCCTCCTAGGAACGGTTCATGTTCTGCTCCCTCTGTAGCCTCATTCCAAGACAGCAGCCCATCATTCATCACTGCCTTACCAGCTATTTGATGATTTTAAGTGTTTTTTCTCTTGTATTTTGTCTAATTTCTTTGGTTATCTTCAGTAGATGGGTTAGTTCAAATTTCCTAGTCTGCTTTTACCAGAAGCTAAACTGATAATAATTTGCAAATATTAAGCTAACATTGCGTTTTTGGATAACCTCAACTTGGTTTATGTGATACCAGACTTGGTTTGGCTAATACTTTGTTCAGGAAAGTTGCTTTTATATTGATGGCCTATAATTTTCCTTCCCCATCCTTCCCTTATCAGGTTTGATTATAATTTTATAAAGTCTCACAAAATAAGTACTATTTCATTTTCTTTAATCAGAAAGAGTTTTTACAAAATTAGAGTTAATATTCTTGAGTATTTAGTAGACCTTGATGGTAAAACTACCTAGGTCTAATATTTTCTTGATGAGAAGATTAACCACTGACTCATTCTCTTCAGTGATTTTAGGACTATTAAGGTTTTCTTCTTCTTCTACTTTTTTTTTTTTGACAGTACTGATAAACCAAACTTTTCTAGGAATTTGCCTGTTTCACCTAAATTTTAAAATATACTGGTATATGAGCTATGAGTTATCTCTATTATCTTTTTTTTTTTTTGAGATGGGGTCTTGCTCTATCGCCCAGGCTGGAGTGCAGTGGCACAATCTCGGCTCACTGCAAACTCCACCTCCCGGGTTCACGCCATTCTCCTGCCTCAGCCTCCCGAGTAGCTGGGACTACAGGCGCCTGCCACCATGCCCGGCTAATTTTTTTGTATTTTTAGTAGAGACGGGATTTCACCGTGTTAGCCAGGATGGTCTCAATCTCCTGACTTCGTGATCTGCCTGCCTCAGCCTCCCAAAGTGCTGGGATTACAGGCATGAGCTACTGCGCCCAGCCATCTCTATTATCTTTTATCTCTTTCACTTCTATGGTTACATCCACTTTTTAATCTCTGACACGTTTTGTGTATCCTCTGATTTTTTAATTAGTCTTGCCAAAAATTTGTCAATTTTATTAGTCTTTTCAAAGACTAGGCTTTTGTCTTTGTTCAACTTCTCTATTTTATATTTGCTTTTATTTGCCACTGTCTGCTCTTTTCTATCCTTCCTTTTACTTTCTTTACAATCTTACCTTTAAGGTTATATATTTAGTATATTAATTTCTCCTGCACAGATATAAACATTTAAGACTATATTTTTATTGCTAGTTACTACTTTGTCTGAATTCTATAGGTATCTTTTTTTACTGATGTCTTACTTAATTGCATTGTGGATCAAAATGTCTTACAGCAGTCTTTGAAATTGTTGAAATTTGCTTAATGACCCACTAGGTAGTCAGTTTTTGTCAGTATCCCATATAAACCTGAAAAAAATGAATGCCCAGTTCTTTGTTGGGCATAGTCTTCTAATTGTGTTTATTAAATTTTTTTACTACTGGGCTTCAAATATTCTGTATCCTGTCTGATTTTTTTCATCAGCTTGATCACCTTCTGGAAGAAAAATGTTAAAATCTCCTGCTATTATGGTGTGTTTATGTATTTCTCCTTATATACTGTCAAATTTTGCTTTATATATTTTGAGGCTATGTGATTAGTTGCGTAAAAGTTTAGAATTGTCCTATATAGTGAATCAAATATTTTACATGTTTGTAGTGACTCTTTATTTCTAAGGAGGATTTTTTTTTATCTTAAAGACCACTGGTTTAGTTAAATAATACTTTCTATTCTTTTTAATTAACCTTTTTATAGTCTTCTTTTAGATGTCTATGCAAAAACTGTATATATCCAGATTTTGTAATTTTATCCCATCCCACCTTTATTTTTTAACTGAAGCTTTAGATTCATTTTCGTTTGTTATAATTACTGATCTGTTTGGATGTACTTCTCTTATCATATGTTATACTTTATTTTTAATAGGAAAGAAAGATCCTATTAAAAATAAGGTATAATATTTCTTTTATTTCTCCTTTATCTTGCCTTCATTTCCCCATCCCATTTTTCTTTCTTTCTTTCTTCTTTTTTTTTTGGATTTTTTTTCCATTCTATTTATTATCTCAGTTGTTTTTAAATCATAGGCTCCCTTTCCTTCTTTTAGAGGTTCTACTAGGTATTTGAACATGCATACTTACCAAGCCTGCAGCTAGTCTCTCGTTACTCTTTTCCTGAATAGTGCATGTTCCTCAGAACATAATTCCCTAATTTTGCTCCTGCCTCACTGAACTTTCTCCTTTCTGTCCCTTTTGCTGACCTCTCCTCCTCTACCTAATCTCTGATGAATGTTAGAGTGACGCAGGGCTTAGGGCTGGGCCTATTCTCTCTATGACTTCCTGGGCACTCTTATTCTGATCAGCCTTTAAATACCATCTTCTTGCTCATTTATTTACCTGCCTCTTCAGTGAACCCCTTTTATATTCAGACTTATATATTAAACGGCCTACTTGACATCTCAACTTGAATGTTTTAACACAACCATAACTGAGCCCTTGAGTCTCCTTCTGACCCCCCGAGCTGACTGTTCCTCAGATTTCATCTCACCACATGGCCCCACCATTCCCCCAGGTTTTCAGTTCAGAAATTTAGAGAAAACCCTTGATTTCTTCTTTTTCCTACACCTACTGCATCTAAACCATCAAGTCTTGGCAATTCTTCTTCCTCTCTCTTTCTTTAGTGTAGAAAGCCAAATTTCTGTGTAGTTAAAAACAGAATAGAAATGTATATGGCATGGTCGGCTTTCTGTGAAGAATATCTGGTCCTAGCACACTGTTGAGAAGAATTAACAGTGAAATTTATTTTGAAAGTTGTATTTAAATATACTTTAAAATAAAATATAGCATTTGTTTTATGTTTGTGGTATAGGTATTGTGCATATTATGGTAAAGAAAACAATTACAAACACAATTTTTGACAGTTTTCTCAGATTTATGTTTCTTATTCTTCCTCAAAAATATCTTGAAACAGTCAAATGTAATAACCTATTAGTTTCAACAAAACTAAGTGATATATATGGGCTGTGACAATTAATAGAAAATATGCCATTTGTTTAATTAAATATTTAAGTACTAAACCATTATCAATATTTCTATTTGTCCTGAAAATTGGCCTATTGAGGGTTCTTTATCTTTTCTTTCAAGAAAACATTCTGCTAATAGATCTATAATATTTGCTATTTTGTATAAATAGATTTAAAGTGTTTTGTTATTTGAAAATACTGAGAAAGTATATTAAGTTTCATGAGAGTTTTCCTCTGTTTTCTTCTTTTTAAAAAGATGCATTGCTGTTTGCTCCCTTGGGGTCTGGATATGTGAAGAGCTTGCACAGTGTACAAGCCACCCTCAGGTGAAAGAGGCCATCAATGTGATAGGAGTAACTCTGAAGGTATTACCAGTTTGTGGTGCTGATTGGATATTAAGCCATATCTGAGGCATTTAACAGTTTGAGTTTGAATTAGCCCCATCTTTTTTATCCCCCAAATGACAGAGGGATTGTGATTCCCATTGCATGTGCTGTGAGGCTCCCGGGAGGGGCACCAACGGATGCTCCCCTGCTGGCAGCTGCAGCCTGGCCACGAGTGTCTCGAGTCTTCCTGGACCAGTGGCCAAATGGGTTCCTCTGGTGGCTGGGAAGCTCCTGTCGCAAAGAGGTCACCTGTCACCTGTTGGTGGGGGTGACAAGAGAGTGGGGTGTCGTGCTCTGGCCTCTTCAGCAGGCCTGGGAGAGGCCTCCACACCTTCCAGTTAGGCCTCTCAGTGTTCACCATCTGGCTGAATCTTGGGCACTTTAAGGACATCTTTGTTTCTTTGTTTTGTTAATGAGAAGAAGAACTGCCATTCACTGGGCACTCACACTAGGTCAGAGTAATGGCGAACTCTAAATAATTCTGTTAATCTTCAAGACAGCTCTGCAAGATAGATGTTGCAATTTCTGTTTTATACCAGAGGAAATCAAGGCCCAGAGAAATTAGGTCACAAGCCCGAGGCCACACAGGTATAAGTGATGGAACCAGCAATAAAAGCAGATCTGTGTGGTGTTAAAGACATGCTTGAACTTTCACAGGTGCTGTTAGGCTGCCTCTAAGCCAGAGCTCAAATCCTGCTGGATCCTTTCCTAGGTCCTGCTTGGAAATGGTGGTAATAAATAGCATTGCCATTATCACACTTAGGGAACCAGTGAGTGCCTGGTCTCTGCCAGGCGCTGTGCTGAGGGTTTTGTGGAAGTTCTTAGTTCAGGGGTAAGCGTCCTCAGTTTACTGGTGGAGGAACTGAGGTGCAGGATCATTAAGGAACTTGTTCAAGGCTCTAGAATGACCACCTCACTGAGCCAAAGTTCAACCCCTGAACCATCCACCTAACACCAGCATTCAGGCTGCTGCATGCCCTTCTGTGCCCCCTGCCACATGCAGCTATAATAGCAACGGCACTTACAGCTGACGCCTGGGACTGTCGCCATCAGGCCAGCAACAGTCTCTGTACCACCCTTTGTGCATTATCTGCTTCTGCCCATAGGATGACCAGCCAGTGCTGTCTCCCATCCTTGATTTGGCGTCTGGCCCCTGCTTGACCAAACTCAATGCCTCCTGTTCCCCAAGTACACCCTCTGACCACCCCCATTGCCTCATCCTCCCCTATTTCTCCTCCACAACACCTAGTGGAGGTGGGGGTGGTGGTTGTATTATGGGAGCTGGAAAAACACTTGCTGCTGATCCCTGTGATGAGGAATGGAAAAATTATCCAACCAAAATATCACAGAAGAGTGTCCCTCCAGCCACAGCAGGGTGCTGAGCCCTGACCTTTGTAGGCAAGTTTAATCCGCAGAGCTGCCCTGTGAGGGGAAATGTCAGTGCCACCTCCACTTCACAGATGAGGTAGATGAACTGACTAGGAACTGAAGGAGCTTGCCAAAGCCAAACCCAGAACACTCTGGCCACATGTGTGGAGTTTTACACAACTGAGGTGTGTGGGATACCTCCTGACTCCCAAAGCCATGGAGAAATATTTACATATAATTTATTAAAGTGAAAACAAGTTGGCTATAAATTATAGATCAATGTAGATTCCAATTCATTTTTAAATACCCTTTTTCAATTCCAAGATCTGTTTTTGAATTTTTATTTTTTCTTAAATCTAGATGTATATAGTTAATGTAAGGTGGTTCCCCCATCTCTACTCCTTCCATGGAAAAACTATGAATAACTCGGTGTGTTAGATTGAAGGAGATAGACACACACAGACACACAGAGTCACGCATCGCATAGTGATGGGGATACATTCTAAGAAGAGTGTCGCTAGGTGATTGCATTGTTGTGTGAACATCATAAAGAATATTACAGAAACCTAGATGGTTTCTGGACTGTGTGGGATGGCCTGTTGCTCTGAGGTTATAAACCTATACAGCACACTACTGTACTAAATACTGTAGGAACTGAATATTCAATTGGAACACAATGGTAAGTACTTGAGTAAACATGTCTAGACATAGAAGAGGTACAGTAAAAATATGGCACTATAAGCTTATGGGACTAGTGTTGTATATGTGGTGCTTACCAAATGTTTCCAAAACATATTTAGGAGGTACATGACTGTATATATATTTCTATATAGTATAGGAAAGAGATGGAAATTGATAACAGAGTAGAGGGATAGATATTCTTTCTGCAACTTTTCTATAATTATGGGGGAAAATATAAGACACCAGAAAAACAATGCAGTTACCACATATTGAGCTCTCACTCTGTCCGCTATCCCAGCACAGCATGGAGATTGTCCTGTTGAATCCTCCCCCCTCTGGATAGCAGCAAAAGAGAAGAGGACTGAGGAAGGTCAAAGAACTGACTCCAGCTTGAATTGCTAAGAAAGCAGAGGGATCAGGATGCAGCCAAGTTGTTCTGTCTTTAACCATTATTAATAACAGGAAACTCATTGACTTAAGTCCTGGTCTCTGAGGACACCTCCCTCCCCACTGCCCTCCTCTCCTGCCTCCCTCTAGTTTCCGTGTTGCTGTGGCAACTGGGTTGTTTTACCTAAGGACATAGCACATAAATCGAAGAAATGAGGACTGGGAGGGAAAGAGTTGCTACAAGGAACGAGGAGAACAACCACCACTATGAGAACAGGGGACTCTAGGAGGCTTTGGGGCTCTGCCAGGAGGGAGAGATGGAGAAAGAGGAGGCAGTGGGGGCCTTGGCCCCACCCCCAGCCCAGCCTCAGCCTGCTTCATGGGTAGCGGAGAGTGCAAGCTCTGGCAGGGCTTCCTGCTTTACGGGCTCCACATAAAGCCAGCACCACCCCTCTTGTAAGAACCCTTCAGAAATGCCCTGCAAGGGTGACCTAGGTGCACCCATGAATGTGCAGAGCATTCCACTCAGCAAGGTGTTGGTTGGCTGGTTTGTTTATGGTGGGGTAGCAGATGGATGGCAGGCATGGGGTGGTTGGGGGAGGTGGTTCTAAGCCACAGCCATACTCACCAACTCTTGTGAACTGCCCAGCCCTGCTCCTTCTCCCACCTCGTCTTCTGAGACATGACTGACTTTCCTCCTTCTCCTTACCCCACTGTTTCTGGCTTTGAGTCCTGCCAGCTGTACTTCCTGAATGCCCATTGAATACCCATCGTCCGTCCCACCCACTGCCCAAGTCCATCCCTCACACACTCACCCTGCCAATACTCAGCCTCCTGATCAGAGTCACCAGTCCTAGACTGGCCCCCACAGATTACTGTTCATACCACCGTCAGAGGGATCTGTCCATGCACAGGCTGACCTGTGCAGCCCACAGGCTGGAGCGCTCAGCATGGCACTCTGTTGGTGTTCTATGACTATATGCTGGAGAAGTGAGAGAGCAAATGAATGGCTTATTTCATCTCCACCATTCCCCACCTCCTTCATTACATGTCAGTAACACCACCCTGCCTGCAGCCCCCTGTATCCGACCGACCTTTCCTACCTTGGTGCCTGGGCCTTGCCACCCATACCTGGAAGGAGACCCCACATCCCCCCTGCATTCTCCAGGCACAGCTTAGCTCTCCTCTCCCTCCACGATGCCTTCTCTCTGCCTGTTTTCCCCCAAGCCTCATGTCCCACTCCTGTCTGCCCATAGCTTTTGTGTCTTGTCTGTGGGCTCTCGTAATTTTCCCTTGTCTGTTTCCAGCTTCTTGAGTTCAGAGCTTTGCCAGCCTTATCTTTCCACCTGGTGACTCTGCCACTGTGGTGCATCAGCAACACACACAGTGCCCACTCATGTTCTCCCACTCTCTCAGAGTTTCATCTTCACCTTAGGCACACCACGCACATCCTTAAGGGGGCCATGCTAGGCATTAAAGATACAGTGGTGAACAATATATGCAGGAAAATAACAAACAAAAAGGTCAGCGCTGATAGCCTGTAATGCTGTGAAGGAGATCTAATAGGGGAATAGGATGAAGCTGAAGAGCTGAGGGGGTGGGCCACCACCCAGCTCTTGGGGGTGTGGGGGGAGGGCGGTGTGGTGGCCTCAGGGAGGAGATGACATTTTGTGCCACAATTTGAAAGGTATAACAATGCAAGCCACATGCAGACCTGGGGATTAAGTGTTCCAAGCAAAGTTGGGAAGGAGCAGGTGCAAAGGCCATGGGGCAGAAGCAAGCCAGAGTGTTTGAGAGATGGAACAAGGTCAGTGGAAATTGGGTCATCTGGGATGTGAGGTCTCTGTGGCCAGAGAAGGCTGTGAAGAGCCCCTGAGTGCAACGACTACAACCCTGGGTTTAGCTAGTGCCTCTCAGGTAGGGGTAGTCAGTAACTGTTTATTCTGTAGAATTAAAAACCTTTCCCTTATCTTCTTCCTTATTCTGTACATTTGTCACTGGGGCACTAAAAGTTGATGATGGTCTGCTTCATGTGGCTTAGAGTGAGGTGTCCCTAGACTAGGGTCAGCGACGAACCTTTCCTGCTATAGATAATGAGATATGGATAATGGTGTAGCCCCATGTTCTGGCCAGGGAGGGAAGCAGAGGGTGCCCTTGTCCCTTCTGTGCTCTCCCAGCATGAAAAAGTAAGACCTTGAAGGTGCTGCCCTTAGACATGCTGCCTCGCAATCAATGGAAGCATCCAGCCCTTGTTGGTGACTTGAGATGCACGCCAGCCTCAGGAAACATACTCAAAATAATTGAGTATACCATAATTCATTAGTTATCTTCTCCTACACTCTAATTTTACACATTCTTAGTATGTTATACATGTAGGTCAAGTTTTATTTCATAGGATAGAAAGCCATTTGATCAATCCCTGTTTCTCCATGTGTAAAATGAAAATAACATCTACCTTGCAGAGCTGTCAGTGAAGATTTATCAGTGAGAGAATGAGTAAAATCCTTGTAAAAGGTTCAGTGTATGGGGGTACATTTTAATTTTCTCTAGTTGTCAAAAATATGATTTATGTGAGCTGAATAAGAAATTTGAATTATGGTTTTAATTTCCAAATGAGTAAATGAAAGCTCCTTGTTCCTGTAGAACGTTATGTAAATTAACACAGTGAGGCTAGAGAAGAGACAGTTTTAAAATGGTGATGTGACGATGTCTAAACTCTGTGGTAATAGGACATATTTTTCATCAATTTGAGGCAAAACAGATAAATGTAATCTATAAGGAACTGAGAAGAAATAACTATTTTGTCCTTAAGAACGATACACCTGTTAAGTTATGTGTCTGCTTTGGGATTCGGTTTCCTTTTATAGTTTCCCAACAAAATCGTGGCCCAGGTAGCTTGCGATGTCCTTCAGTTGCTGGTTTCCTACTGGGAGAAGCTTCAGATGTTTGAAACCTCTCTGCCTCGGAAAATGGCAGAAGTAAGTCTTTTTTTCTGTAATACTAAAACATAAGCATTTCCTTTTTACTGTATTTGATATTTAATTAATTATAGATATTCAAATAATTGTTAGAGAACCAACTATTAAATTGCCACAAGTCACTCGTTTTAAGATTAAGTTAGACTGGTTCTTCTCAGCTGTGATTTCAGGCACTATGTAAAGAAGCCAGCAGTATTCCAGACAGAGGCTTATACTTGGGGAGTTTGAAAGGCAGGCACGACCACAACAAAGAGACCTTTTGTAGATTGGGCTTCATTCATCAAGAGCAATTTGGATGGTGCCAACAAGGAGTAGGCAGCTGGTTATGATGCCCTCCGTGAGGGGTGGAGGGGGGCAGCTGTTGTGTAAAACAGAAGTCTCTCCCAGACTAAAGCCCTGGACCACACTTTCTGCCCTAGCATGATTACCGGCTGTAATGAGATTGCTACCACGATAACCTTTGTGGGGGTAACTGGTAGGAAAGAGGGGCGGAAGGAATAGGAAGAATCTTCTCCACAGTCATATCCTGAAGGCCACTTGCATCCAAGTGTGCTTTGCCTGTACACAAGCAGGCAGCTTCACTCCCGTAGGTGTCCATGGGATAAGGCACTTCTACTGATTTTTGTAGCTGCACTTTAAAAACATGCCCTGTTCTTATACATCCAGTGGTAACTCTTCGAGGAAACTTCATTTGTCCCCATGAGGTATTACAAGGAGAGAGAAGTGATATTCATTTATTTTCTCTCAGCCCTAGACAGATTTCACTGGAAAGAACACTTTGTTCTCTCAGAGACACGTTAAAAGGCACAAGTGATTTTTGACCTTAAGTGACCTAGAGTGAAATGGAGTTTGGACATGGGAACATAAAGTGCTCTGAAATGGAAAGTAGGGTTTTGGGGTGATGATGTAATTTATCATCTAAATGGGACTGCTTTTGAGAATAAAAGGGGTGCTGTTTACACCAGGATAGCAGGTGGAGATGTAGGGTAATTTACAATAAAACTAAAATGGGAGCATTTTCATAATTATTTTTAGAAGTATTTTTTTACTTCACTATGAAAACTGTGGAAACCAATGTTCAGAATTATGTGACTGCAGAGAGAAATACTCTTTTCTCTGCCTTCCCTCCTAATTTTTCAACCAGAAAAGTAGAGTGGAAACTGGATGTGGCCCCATTGTCTTTCCCTAATTTTCAAGATCACCACACAGCTGGCCCTCTGCTTTTTATCACCTTTCTGTGGTGAGTTGGCACCAAGCTGGGTTTAGTTGCAAGGCCATCGTGGGACTCCTAACATAGGCTTACAAAGGCTTACAAATATGGTCTGTTTGATTGGGGATTTATCTTTTATGCAGATCCTCGTGGCCACAGTTGCTTTTCTTTTACCAAGTGCAGAGTACTCCTCAGTGGAAACAGACAAGAAGGTAGGTGGCACATTAACTAAGTTTTTCCTATAGTTTTTTTATTTTAATGTAAGGTAAAATGATAAATAATGTTACAACTAGTGATATCCTTTGTAATATCCTTCTCTATTGGCCTTAACAGTCTTTTTTGTGAAAATGCTACTTATTTATTTATTTATTTACTTACCTACTTATCTAGCACCTGCATGTCCACTGAATACTGGGTGTAGGGATAATTCTCTTATTATTACATGTAGTGAGGTTTAAGAGACTGCAGCATAAGCTACCGGGCATGTTCTTCTTCCAGTTTATTGTGTCCTTGCTACTCTGCCTCTTGGACTGGTGCATGGCATTGCCCGTGAGTGTCCTTCTCCACCCCGTGTCCACAGCAGTCCTAGAGGAGCAGCATTCGGCCAGAGCCCCCTTGCTGGATTATATCTACAGGGTGAGTCTACACCTGGGCCTGGGGGAATGGAGTGTGGGTTTATATGACAGAGAACCACCAAAATATGTCTTATGCATGTACTTATTTGTCATTGCCCTTTTGAAAAGGATTTATGGTGGCTTAAACGTTTTCTTAAAAAGTAAATAACTTGGCTGGGCACGGTAGCTCACTCCTGTAATCCCAGCACTTTGGGAGGCCGAGGCGGGCAGATCACAAGGTCAGGAGATTGAGACCATCCTGGCTAACATGGTGAAACCCCATCTCTACTAAAAGTACAAAAAATTAGCCGGGCGTGGTGGCGGGTGCCTGTAGGCCCAGCTACCCCGGAGGCTGAGGCAGGAGAATGGCGTGAACCTGGGAGGCAGAGTTTGCAGTGAGCCGAGATCTCGCCACTGCACTCCAACCTGGGCAACAGAGCGAGACTCCATCCCCCCCCAAAAAAGTAAATAACTTAAGGACTGAAAGCAGAACAGATGTAAAGAAGCAGTGGTTAGTTACCAAGTTAAAGATGCATGCATTTTACATGACTATCATCTTTAATCTTTAAACAACTGCAGTTTTGTCAGAATTCTTCAATTTTCATGGAACATGTTCTATGTCTACTTAAAGAACTGTTCATATTATAGGGATATCTACATTAATTTTTTCCCTAGGGCAAGTAGCTTCTTTTTAAAAGATTAATTTATTTTTGTTGATACATATTAGATGTACATATTTTCAGGGTACATTTGATAATTTAATACATTCACGTAATCAAATCAGGGTAATTGGGTTGTCTGTCTTAAATGTTTATCTTTTCTTTATGCTAGGGACACTGGAATTATTCTCTTCTAGCTATTTTGAAATCTACAGTTGATTAATGTTAACTACAGCCACCCTACTAATCTATAGAACACCAGGTCTTATTTCTTTTATCTATTTGTATACAGCATTAGTTTGACAAAATCTGTTTATCAAAGGAAGAAAAAGGTTTAATGGTCTTAATAATCGTTTTGCCTCAAAAAAATCTTAAGAAATAAATTAAGGAACTATGTCACATCAAAGTAATTAGCGTCATCATTTTTATAACATTTAAAATATTCTTAGTTAACCCCCCATCCCTTCCCTCTACACACATACACACTGATGACTAGGTGTGGCATTTGCTCTGGATTGCTTATAATATCCTTCTGTAATTTGTCTTAACAGTGTCTCTCAAACCTTGGTTGTTTGTTTAGCATTTGCATGTCCACTGAATAATTACTGCTATGGAGGGAAAATTCTGTGGTTTATTCTTTTAGTAAGAAACCTTTAATAATAAAAAAGAGTCCAAGTCACAGACTGATTACTTTGTTGCCTTATTTTTAAAAGTATTACTTTAAAAAAAAAACACCTAATTGTGGTTGAAATTCTACTAAAAAGTATTTGTGTATTCTTAAATGGTTTCTTCAGTAGTCAAAGATTTTAATAACTATATTAGGATTCATTAGATACTTCTGTTGTTTTTGTGGTTTATAAACCTGTACAGAGCTTGGTTTGGGCCAACGGCATTAGCCACAATCACTTTTGTAAATCTCTTTTCTGAGTTCTTTCTTTTCTTAAAGATTTCTCTTAAAATTGCTTTACCACTGTAAAAGTCACCTCATAGTAAAAATTCATAAATTTACTAAATAACTGTTTGTTTTGTATTTTAAAAGTAAACTTTTTATTGAAGTATAATATGCTTCCAGAAAACTGCATCAGTCTGTAAGTGAAAGCCTGGTGAATTTTTACCAAGTGAGCATGCTTGTAAAATCAGAGTCCAGATCAGGAAACAGAACATTCCTGGCATCCTGGAAGCCTTCTCTGTGCCTCCCCATAGCCACTGGTCCCATACCCATGTCCAGGGATAGCCGCTATCCTGTGTAACAGAGCAGAGTAGTTTTGCCTGTTTTGAACTCTATACAAGAGTCATACAGTATATCCTCTTTTGTCTGACATCTTTTGCTCAACATTATTTTTGAGTGATTTATTCAAACCGTTGTGAATATTTGCAGATTTTTCACTCTTGGTGATATATAGTATTACATAGAATAAACCACAATGTATTTATACATTTTACCGTTCATAGACATTTGGATAGTTTAGAGTTTTGGACCAATAAAATGTGAATATTCAAGGTTTTTTTTTTTTTTTTGTACATATACGTATGCATTTCTGTTGGGTGTATACCTAGGAGTGAAGTTGCTGGAATACATGTATTCTGCCTTATTGGTGAACACCAAATAATTTTCCAAAGTAGTTGTGCTAGTTTACACATAACGTGTGGTTTTAATGTGCATTTCCTACATTTATTGCATTTTGGCTACTAGAAATTAATTCTCTCAGTGATTGCAGCTTAATTTTTAAATTAATAAGAGAGCTGCCATAAGGATTTTCCTATACTGCATTTTTTGCTAGGAAGAGGACATAGTCAAGTGGTTGCCCTGACAACTGTAATTCTTGGTACTTATTTACAAAGGGTACCTGACCACAAGGCCTCTTGCCATG
Source organism: Homo sapiens (assembly GCF_000001405.40). Taxonomy (NCBI): domain Eukaryota; kingdom Metazoa; phylum Chordata; class Mammalia; order Primates; family Hominidae; genus Homo; species Homo sapiens. Next base: position 20,521,897 of record NC_000020.11, on the reverse strand, counting down.
TCAGCAAACCAAAGCTAGTCATCTAAAAGTGAATTTACTTTACATAAATATATTTAACCCAATGGTGTTTTCTTATTTTCTCAAGTATTACCTTGATTCTTATAAAAATCAGTGTTTGGAGTTGATGATCTTGAATTTATGATTAAAAAGGGAAATCTGTTACAATTATTACCTCATTTATGCATTTTGGCATATTCAAGATGATTTGTGTTTGCATGGCTTGTATGTGTACAAAGGCTCAAATGAGTAGATAGATCTTCAATCAACTGCAATTTGTAAACAACCAGTGAACTTTCAGGAACTAATCTTGTGAAAATAAGAATAATTTAAAAATTGTATTAAGTTAGCCCTTACAATTTATGGCGTCATGAGTTATACTAATTTAAACTCATTACTGGTTATGACGTGCACTAATGGTCTCTGCTTGTTGTGCTCATTCCACCCTCCACCGTGATTGGCCTGTCCCACCACTACCCTTCATCCCCAGATTAGTTCCTTCTACCTGTGCCGCCTTTGGTGGACAGGAGGGGGACTTAGGTATGTGCAATCACACAGAATGTGAATAAGTACTTTTTAACTTTTACTTTCCTTTTGCCTTGAGAACATATTTCTTGGCATTGATATGAAAGGAGCAAAATAAATTTGCTAATAGCAAGAAGATATTTAAGAGTGGTCATTCCATTTCCAGCTAGGACCAAGCAGGAGTCCTAGCTGCCAAGTGCTGCAGTAGTTTGACAGATTGTCAGGGGACACGCGGTGAGTAGCATCCGTGGTGCACATGGCCTCTGTTTTCACAGGTTTTGCACTGCTGTGTGTGTGGCTCAAGCACGTACACCCAACAGAGTCACTACATACTGACCCTGGCTGACTTGTCATCCACGGATTATGACCCCTTCCTGCCACTGGCAAATGTGAAGAGCTCTGAGCCAGTCCAGTATCATTCATCAGCAGAATTGGGTAACCTGCTGACTGTTGAAGAGGGTGAGTATTCTTTCAGGTATGAAATCTTGTGGGAAGGAAAAGGAAGGATTTAGCCTTTAGCCATGCTTGCTCTATTTTTTTTTAATCTAGTTGTTGAAGTTGAAATCCTAGTTCCTGGAGTCCTCTGTGATGGCAAATTCTGCCTTCCTTGTTTCTTCTTTTTTTCTCCTCTGTTTTCCCATTTTAGTAGTTCAAATGGTTTTTGTATTATTGAAGACAGGTATGTCTCAAATCCATGGAACTCACAAAAAAGGCTCATTTTCTATCCTCAAGGAGCTTTACATCTAATGGAAAACACACAGTGAAGTCCAGAAGGACTCACTGTGGACTGGTAGCACCATGAGGGCTTTCCATGAAGAAGGACTTAAGCCAGACTTAGCAGGGTGGGCAGGTGTTGAAAGGAGCTCATAGATTGTTCCAAGTTAGGAGAGCATCATAAAAAGAGATGGAAATTTACTTGCTACAGTTTTAGATTTGCTCTGCTCATAGCAGAGAGTCCATTTCAGAGCATATAGGGATTGTCAGGACTTAGAGCCTGCTGTATTTCTTACTTAAGCACCCCTCTCCCCAGAATGATAAGAGCCCAGCTTTGGGCCTTGGAATGGGAGTAGAATGTGGGTATACTGTCTATACATATGATAAAATTGCATAGAACCAAACACACACACACACACAAATGCATGCATGTAAAACTGGTGAACACTGAGTAATATAGATGGATTATTATCAATGTCAACTTCCTGACTGTGATATTGTCCTATAGGTATGCAAGATGTTACCCTGAGATGAAAGGTATTTGAGGTCTCTCTGTATTACTGCTTACAACTGCATGTGAATCTTCAGTTGTCTCAACACTAAAAATTAGAAGAAGGCCAAGCATCATGGCTCCCACCTGTAATCCCGTCACTTTGGGAGGCCAAGGCGAGCAGATCACTTGAGCACAGGACCACTTGAGTCTGTGAGGTCAAGGCTGCTGTGATCAGCGCCACTGCACTCTAGCTTGAGCGACAGAGTGAGACTCTATCTTAAAAAAAAAAAAATTAAAGAGATGTAGGTGTGAAGTGTTAGATCATCCATGAAAATTGTATGGACTTCACAAGTTAAAAACCTAGGCCCAAGACTAGAACCTTGTGGGCAGAAACATCCTTAAGGACAGCAGAGTGAGGGAATGTCACCAGGAAAGCAAAGTCAGGGAAGTGGAAAGAGGACCAAGAAAGAGTCATTTCTAGCAAGTCAAGGAAGAAAGCAAATAAGAAGTTGAGAAAGGTCAGCAGTGCTAGTTGCTTCAGAAAGCTTAGGGAAGGTGAGAATGAAACAGGAGCTGTTATATTTCCCAACTAGGTGTTTGGTGGTAGGTTTTGCCAGAGCACTTTCACCAGAGTGGTGGGTCCAGCCAGATAACATGAGCAGGTGACCTGTGCAGTGACAGTCAGATCCCTGAGTCAGACTCCTTTTGTGAGGCCCTTAGTGGAAGGAGGAAGGACACAGCAGGCAGTGGCTGGGTGAGGGAGGACAAAGGTCCAGGGGTATGCTTGCAGCACTACAGAGTCTGGAGCAAGGTTCAAGCTGACATGAAGGGGAAGGTGAGATGAGGATGAAAAAGACAGGACTGGGGGTGACAGTCATGAGCAAGGGCTTAAAATCTAGCAGTCCTGATTTTAGCTGCATTTTGTAGATGAGCAAACTGAGGTTAAGGGATATTCCCAGGGGTGTGTACAAGTCAGAAGTAAGGGAGGTGGAATTTGAACCTAAGATTTAATGACCAAGTTCCTAAAATGCATTATTTACTCTGAAAGTTTTGACGTGGAGTAGACTTAACACTCTTGTTTTGAGTTGTGTTGGTGGTGGATGGTACATGGTTCATTTTCATGTTGTTTTCTTGATTTGTTCTCCATTTATTTAATCATTTAATTGTTTATTTCTGGAGCTCCACTGTCAACTGCAATGTCTGCTTTACTTTTTCCCCCACAATGATAAATTATTTTTATTAAGTAATTGAAACAACTCTTAATCTATTTCGTTGTTCCCTACTGTAAGTTCATATGTCTTATAATAAAATTAACTTGTTTTTTCCTAAAGTCATCAATTTATACTCATCCACATGAGTATATCCCCAAAACATGGCTATCCCTAAAATAGGTTCACCATTTATTATGAGTTGTCACTTAAAAATAGCAGAAGATAAATAGGTTATTGAAAAAGGAAAAACCTAAAAATATACATTTAAATTCTGGCACCATTTTTCTTTCAGTGTACAATACTCTTTGGGAAACATTCCCAAGATAGTTCTAAAGTACTAAAAATAATTGCTTAAACTTCTCTGACAAAGGAGTTTTTAAAATTCACTGACATATTAACTAAGCAAATAGGCAAGATGCTTAAAAACATATTGGTGTGCACGTCCTTGCCAAGCGGATACATCATATAGAAAGTGAAAAGGAAAAATAAAGGTGATAGCGTGGGTATTTTAGGTTAAGCAAGAAAGAGCTCAAATTTGAGGGTATTTTTTTTCACTCAGTGTAATGCTTCATCATCCATAACAAAACTATCTCTGGTCAGGGTGGCCGGGCGTGGTGGCCGACGCCTGTAATCCCAGCACTTTGGGAGGCCAAGGCAGGTGGATCACGAGGTCAGGAGATCCAGACCATCCTGGCTAACATGGTGAAACCTTATCTCTACTAAAAATACAAAAAATTAGCTGGGCATGGTGGCAGGTGCCTGTAGTCCCAGCTACTCAGGAGGCTGAGGCAGGAGAATCACTTGAACCCGGGAGACGGAGGTTGCAATGAGCCACGATCGCACCACTGCACTCCAGCCTGGTGACAGAGCAAGACTCCATCTCGGGGGGAAAAAAATTATTTATGTTGGTTTTCACCTTTCTCTGGGATCTCGTTGAGTAGCTTAATAATCAACCTTCTGAATGCTTTATCTGGTATTTCAAAGATTTCATCTTGGTTTGGATCCATTGCTAGGAAGCTAGTGTGATCTTTTCAACCTTGTTTTATCATATTACCTGTATTTTCTGGTTCCTTCTCATTTGTGTAGACTGTTTCTTCAAATTGTTCTTGAATTTATTCTTGATTTGACTTTTTTTTTTTTTAATTTCTTTTTTCCCCCTCTTCAAGATGTGGCTTTAATGTTTATAGTTTATTATAGCCTAATTTGATTTTGCTGCTTTTAGGGGTGAAGACTCTACATGAGTTTCTTGGTTATAGAGAGTCTTTGTATGCTGACTTTCTCAGATGCTGATTGTAGTAGTTTTGTACTCGGGGTGTGGGCAATTTCATTGTCTCCTGTGGAATTGGAATGGCAAGGATCTCTTGAAGCTTATCTCATTTCCCCGTGTTAGGCACTTTTTTATTTGTTTAATTTTTCCCCAGTATTTTATTTACTCTCTTGATGATCCAGGCTTCAGGCCAGTAGGGGAAGTATCCCTAGATAGAAACCAGTTGCAGCTAAAGCAGGTGGTTAGATACAATACACAATGGTGGGCTGAGGCCCCAGCTTTGATTAATGTGGCTAGGGGATCTCTCAGTTAGATGCACTGAGTTTTATCAGGGTGAAGATTGGGAACTAATCCACCTCCCCTGTCAGGCCAGCAAGAAAGTTACCCACCTCCCAGCCTCACTCCTGTCCTAATGTTTCAGCTATTCACATCAGACAGGCACCTCTTTTCATCTGTAGGGATGAGGGATGTTGATGTTCCATATAGAAAGGAATTGTGACTCTGCCTCTTGTGCAAGCCTAAACTTGGAGAGTGCTTCTGTGAGGATGCAGCCACCGTGAATTGTTCCAGGAGGGCTATCTGTAGGTACATTCATGCTGAATTCGCATGGGAGAAGTTCCAGTTGTGTCTATGGTGGTGGACAAGGTGGAGAACAAGGACCCCTTCTCCACGACCCTTCACAAGCATGCAGGCTGCCTGCCTGTTGGGGTAGAGGTGCAGACTTTCCCTGTTGCACCCAGCACTGCAATTGTGTCTGCTGCAGGAGACTTCCAACCGGCAGAAAGATGTGGGACTCAAGACCTGCTGTCCAAATTCTTTTGTCCCATGGGGTGTTCCCTTGATGTGGTGCTCTCCCACTTTCCCTAGGAATAGGAGTTCTTGATAGCCAGACTACCGTGACTGCTATTGCTCTTCTGGGTCTAGCCACCCAGTGGGGCTGCCACACTCCAGGTTGCTGCTGGGAAATGTCTGCAGGTGATCCGGTGATGTGACCTTTCTTCAAGTCTCCCAGCAGTGGGTACCAGCACCAGCTCTGATGGAGGTGGCAGGGGAGTGATGTAGACTCTGTGAGATTGCTTGGTTATAGATATGCTTAGTGTGCTGGCTTTCTTGAATGCTGGTTTTAATTGTAGTTAACTTTAACTTCGACAGGCTCAGGACCTCTGGTGGCTAGAGTATTATAGGCAGTGGTGATAGCTGAGGTCATTCAGCCATTTTCTCCTTCCTGGGCAGTGTTATTCCATCTGTAGATGCTGTAGTGGGCTGCATCAGCTAGCTTGCAGCCATGAGGTGGTGCTTGCAAGAGAGCACCAGCTGCAGTACTAGCTGTGGGATTTGAGCTTGCCCTAAATTGCCTAGGGGAAGTAATCTGGTTCTGAGGCAATGAGCAGGGCTGTAAAGCTCCCACAAGTTTATGTCCTTTGTGTTAAGCTACCAGGGTGGGTGCAGGGATACATACCAACAGGTGGGGATAGGGTTGAGCAGGTCTGTGCTCTGACTCTCCTTGAGTGGGGCCAGCCATGGCTCCTTTGAGGGTCAGGGGGTGGTTTTCAGGGTAATGTTCCAGAGATAGTATAACTGCCTCTGCTGCACAGAAGAGTTCACAATGGGAGTGGAGAGTAGCAGGCAGCAGTAAGCCTTGCCCAGCTCCCATGCAGTTGGCAAGGCCGGTCTCACTCCCTCAGTGTTCTACTAGCAGCACCAGGTTTAGATCCAGGCAGTCTGCACGCAGAACCCAGATCTGCCGCAGGCCATAAGCTTTCCCACCTGGCTTTCGGGTAGTGCCCCTCCTGTCTGCCCATGAGGCAGATGTGTCTGCAGTGCACTTCCCTGCCCCCCCCGCCCCACTCCCATTGGTTCTGGTCAAAGGAGTTTATCCCTGCTCGAGATTATATCACGAAATTCAGTTAGGAGCATCTTTCACCCTGCAACCCCTTTCTGAGCTAGTTGACTGGCTTCCCCAAGGTCCCCTGTGAGATATATTCAGGTATGGCTTCCCTCGGTTCATGCTGGAGACTGAGAATGCCTGCAAGGCATTTCCTGCTGCTGCTTCTACTTTTATGTTTCTCATCACTCCCTTAAGCAGTTCCAGCTCTGGGTAGGGTTAAGGCCTTCTCCCATGACCTGGATTTTCAGATTCCCTCATAGGGATGTGTATTCTGAAGGTAGTCTCCCCCGACTGACACTCTGAGGATTTATAGTTTTTTACCTGTCTCATGGAGTAGACTTCAGCTTTCTGCTTCTTTCAAAGGATCTGTGGATTCTTGCAGTTTTCCTGTTGAGTTCCTGTATTGCTCCTTGGAAAAAAGTTCACAGTGTGAATCTCTACACACTATTCTGTCCTTCCCAGTGGGAGACGCATGCTAACACTGCCTCCAATCTGCCATCTTCTGGATTTGCTTCTATAGCCCTATGCACTTCTGTCGGCAGGTTTTATATGGGGCTGTGCGATTTGACCTACAAGCCAGTAGATGGTGTTTATGGGTAAAAGCTGGCTGTGGGCAAGGTGGCTAGGTATATACTTGATCCTTGTTTACCAGCAGAAGCTCTCTATTGCCTCAGGCAATGGAGTGGTCCATGGAATGCACAGTGGTCTGAGCTCACTGCTTAGCCCTGGGTGGGCAGGGGGCAAAATGGGTTGAGCCAGACTGGACAGGCTCATTTACAGCTCCCCTGGTGTTGGGCACAAGTAGCAGTGCTGAGGGAGAATCCAGTGGGCAGCGATCAGGTGCCCAGTGGTGTGCCTAGACATGGAGCTGGGAAATCTCCTTGGCTCCTGGTTCTCTGCACAGGCAGAGGGGCACCTAAACTCCTGATCAGGAGAGCGGGTTTGGGTGCTCCAGGTACCTATAAGTCTGCCTGGGCTTGGAGTGCAAAAGGCTCTGCTATACTACAGTCTCTGCACAAGAAAGGTGGGGTGGCTCAGGCTGGTAACCCAGATCAGCAGGCACTGCAGCTACCTGGAGATATGCCTGGGCATGGGGTGGAGAGGACCCCACTTCACCATGGTCTCTGCACAGGAAGGGCAAGTTAGCTCAGTCTGCTGATTCAGATGAGTGGGTGCTCTGAATTCTTGGAGATCTGCTGGGGCATGGAGTGGAATGGGCTCCACTGTACCATAATCTCTACAGGAAGGGTGGGGCAGCTCAGGCCACCAATCTGGGTGAGGAAGTGTGCCGAATACCTGGAGATCCATCTGGATGTGGAGTGGAGAGGGTTCCCCTGCACCAGGATCTCGGCAGAGGAGGGATGGAGAGACTCAGGCTGCTGAACTAGGCAAGCAGGAGCTCTCAGTGCCTGGAGACCTGCCTAAGCATGAAGCAGAGAGGGGCTCCCTGCTGCAGGATCTCTACATAAAGGGTGAAGCAGCTCAGACTACCAGTCCGGGTGAGCAGGTGCTTTGAATTCCTGGAGATCTGCTTGGGTGCGGAGCGGAAAGGGCCCTGTTGCACCACAATCTATGTCCAGGAAGGGTAGCATGGCTCAGGCTGCTCATCCAGGCAAGCAGGTGTTCTGAATGCCTGGAGATCTGCCTAAGCATGGAGTGGAGAGGGCCCTACTATACCATGATGTGTGCACAGGAAGGTTGGGGCAGCTCAGGCTGCCAGTCTAGGAAAGGATTTCCACTTACTGCCTGGAGTCCTGCCTGGGAATGGAACAGAGAGGGCCCTGCTGCACCATGATCTCAGGGGAGCAGCCTGGTGCACTCAGCAATGACACATGCAGACTGATTCTGTGTTGCCAAGCTGGCCCTGGCTGCAAGTCTCATTGCCCAGGAGAAACTTTAGCTGTAGCAGCTCTCTCCTCCCACCCCAAGCCTGCAGTTGAGAAGAGTGCAATTCCAGTGCCTCCTGCTGGTGCGCTTTCCACAGTTCTGGCTGTGGAAGTCCCTGCCCCACTCCAGAGCAAGTGCTCCTGTCTCTCAGTCCCAGATCTAGGAATTGCCTGCAGCTTTTTCTGGTGTCTTTTCCTCTCAGCACCTCCAAGTCTCTCCCCAAGATAGCTCTGGGGCTTGAGAGAAACATCATTCTCTGCCTTGGCCTGGGTTGCTTGGATCCCCAGTGGAAGGGTAAATTACAGAGAGAGACTGTTTCTGTCTCGGGTACTGGGGCTTCACTCACTCTTACCAGCTGGATGCCATCACAAGGGCTGTTTGCCTGCATTGTCCTCCCTGAGATCTGGAACATCCTTCACGATTCCAGTGGATTCCCATTTTCCTTCCTGAATTAAAGCTCAGAGAGTTGATCTTTTTGCACTATCTTGCTATTTCCAAGTGGCTGAGGCACACTAAAAGCCTGTAATCTACCATATTGGAACTGCCCCCTGCCCCCCACCCAAAAAAAAGGTGTTGAGTTTTAATCTTCATTCACCACTGACTCTTTATGTTTCTTTACCGCTGTTTACAGAGAAGAAGAGAAGAAGTTTGGAGTTGATCCCTTTGACTGCTCGAATGGTGATGGCCCACCTGGTGAACCACCTGGGGCACTACCCCCTCAGTGGGGGCCCTGCCATACTGCACAGCCTTGTCAGCGAGAACCATGACAATGCCCATGTGGAAGGCTCCGAGCTGTCCTTTGAGGTGTTCAGAAGTCCAAACCTGCAGCTGTTTGTATTTAATGATAGCACCCTCATCTCCTACCTTCAGACACCCACAGAAGGACCGGTAGGGGGATCACCAGTGGGCTCTCTCTCTGATGTGAGAGTAATTGTGAGGGATATCTCAGGGAAGTACTCTTGGGATGGTAAGGTTTTATATGGACCTTTGGAAGGCTGCTTAGCACCCAATGGAAGAAATCCTTCATTTCTGATTTCGAGCTGGCATCGTGACACATTTGGACCTCAGAAAGACTCTTCTCAAGTTGAGGAGGGGGATGATGTTCTTGACAAATTACTTGAAAACATTGGCCATACAAGTCCTGAATGCCTTTTACCGTCACAGCTAAATCTAAATGAACCTTCCCTAACCCCATGTGGCATGAACTATGACCAAGAGAAGGAAATCATTGAGGTCATTTTGCGCCAAAATGCTCAAGAGGATGAGTATATCCAGAGTCATAACTTCGATTCTGCAATGAAAGTCACCAGCCAAGGGCAGCCCTCCCCAGTGGAGCCCCGAGGACCCTTTTATTTCTGCAGGTTATTGCTTGATGACTTGGGAATGAATTCTTGGGACAGAAGGTAACAATCCAAGCTAGACCTCCAGTTATTTTATCATTATTTTCATGTACTTGTTCTTTTTATCAGTTTGTGGTTGGGGAAGAAGAAAAGATTGGGGAAGAGAGGAGAAGGGAGATTTTTCTTTATTTTAACATTTGCAGCTTATTTTCTGCTACTAAATTAAAGCTAGAAATGAAATTATGCTGTACTGGTGTGCAGATTGAATTCCAAACATGTTGGATATTTTAAAGGATATCAAACATTTGTGTGTGTGTGTGTGTGTGTGTGTGTGTATGTGTGTGTGTGTGTAGGGGGGGTTGTTGTTGTTGTTTGTTTTTTGTTTTTTGAGACAGAGTCTTGCTCTGTTGCCCGGGCTGGAGTGCTGTGGCATGGTCTCGGCTCACGGCAACCTCCGCCTCCTGGGTTCAAGCAATTCTCCTGCCTCATCCTCCCGAGTAGCTGGGATTACAGGCACCTGCCACCATGCCCGGCTTTTTTGATGTTTTTAGTAGAGACGGGGTTTCACCATGTTCGCCAGGCTGGTCTCAAACTACTGACCTCATGATTTACCCTCCTTGGCCTCCCAAAGTGTTGGGATTACAGGCGTGAGCAACTGCGCCTGGCTGAGTGTGTGTGTTTTAATTACTGCTTTGTCCATTATTGTTTCTGCCCTCATGCAGGAAGCAAATGAACTACAAAGGTGAATAAGCCACAGTCTAACCTTAGGTCTGATGTGGGAGATAGACCTAATACAACTCTGATAAAGGATAGAATGACACAGGAGTTCATGAGTAATGATTAAATCCAATGGGAAGTACAGAGCAATGGAGAAGACTTTGTGGAAAGGGGAGGATTTGAGCTGGACCCTGATAGTGGAGTGGAGTTTTTAAGAACAGAGGTAGGGAAAAGGGATTCACAGCAGAGCTGACACTGGAAACAGACACAGTCACACAGGCACATGCATGTAAGTCACATACTCACCAAAGAGCCATCTGTGTCACTGGGTAGTAATGGGATGCTGATGGAATTTTTATACCTTTGCATGTCTTAAGGAGGATGGAGTTCATTCTGTAGGTTTCTATCACAAATCTTTTGTGAGTGAGGTGGTAGAGGATGGATGATAGGTATTTTTATTAAATTACTGATTGAAAAGCGGCAAAATGGTTCTGTAATCACATGGTTTTTCTTCCATCCTTTTTTCTTTATAGGAAGAATTTTCATCTATTGAAGAAAAATTCAAAATTATTGAGAGAGCTGAAAAATTTGGACTCCCGCCAGTGGTATGTGAAAGTATATCAAACCACTTTTTTCCTGTTTGTCTTTGGGTATTCTTGGATAACAGATACAACAGCAGGAATGAATAGACTTACTGAGACATCCAAGGGTAGTTCTGTAACCTAGCATCTGGTGACATTTGCGCATGCCATACCGTTGGTGTTTTTTACTATAAGGAATAAACTTTCATGTTTGATACACTAAAAAGAGGTCACCACTCCCACCTAATCTGTACTTTTGATTATCTTTCTTTGTGGCTGCCAGTAGAAATTTATTCTCATTTGATCTCTGCAACCACCTCCTTATGATGAAGAAAAAGTTTACCTAGGTTTAACAGCCCGTGGTTGCTCATACCATATTATCTAAAGCCAAGTGAGTCTGACTTCAGAATCCATGTTGTGTATCAAGGCGCTAACATTCTGTACTTGTGGCTTCATAGTGTTGGAAAGGTTAAAACCAGTGTGTTGTAATTAATAACTCTCTGTTAATAAGGCTCATTCTCCAAAGCTGGCCAGACTCAGATCCACCCCTGTTCTATACTGTCTCAGAAGCATTTCTAAAGATGAGCTCACAACCATGAAAAGTGTTTGATTTGGGGAATGTGTGTTTCCGAAATCATCTAAGTCAAGAATAAGTATAGGACTTGGTACATAACAGATGTTCCAAAGTTTCGAAGAGAATAAGCTGCCTCCTTAATCTTTAGTTTTTTAAAAAACTCTAAAAAAAAAAAACACCACTTTTATTCCCTGTAGGAATATTCTAATATTCTGTCAGCTCTCAAATTAAAAATTCAGGTTGTTTTCCTCAATTTTATTTTTCAACTCTTCACACTATATTTTTTCACTACATTTTTCTTACTACTCATTAACTCAAAAATTTTCAAATCTGTTTTGATCTATATGTTTTTAAAGGGTGGTACAGTTGCTGGCTGAGAAGTAAGAAGGAAGAAAGGAAATAACAGAGCCCTGCTTTATCTTGACAAAGTCATATCTTAGAATTTCAGAAAATTACTAGAGCTCTTTATTCCATTCATTAAATCCTTCATCCACTGTCACGTTTCTCATCTAAGTCATGAGCTTCTCCTGCTTGCACTTACAGCGATGAGTTAGAGCCTGCTGAATGAACATTTTCACCATTGTGTGTGTTTCAGTGGCTTTGTGATGGTTTTATTGTTTATTTTAGAGTTTTGATCGAAACCCAAAGTGACACATGCTTAAATTTTATTTTCAAGCAAACTCTTGGTTCATGTCACTATTATTTGCATATCACCTTCACAACTGTGATTCTTCTTTGGTGTTTTGAATTCTTGAATTGGATATAAACCCAACTAGCAAAGTCCAGTTGGAATTTTCTTTTAAACACTTGGAAGATTATATTTCAGAAAGGTCCTTTGGTAATGTCACTAAGGACTGAGTAGATAAAATAATATTAAACTTACTCACAGCTATGTATTGTTTCCATCCTTCAGAAGCATATGGTATTAAGATGGATTTGTTTGTATTGACCATTTTGTGGGAATCAGAAGGGCATAAGTTTTCTTTTCTTTTCATTTTTTCTTTTCTTTTCTTCACCCTTCTACTTTCCCACCTGTCTCCCAGGTCACTGAGCGCCTCTTATTGCATCATATAGCTACATACATGTTGAAGCATGAACTGTTTTGTGTATGTTTCCAAGTCTTGGGAATGTGACAGGATGGCTGTTCCAAACCTGATTCCCTCTGCAGAAGGGGACATGAGGGCCTTTTTTCCTAGGTGGCCTTAAAGAGTGATAAATATTTCAGTATCAAATATGCAGACATTTTTTTAAAAACACAAAATTAAAATATTCATTTGTAGTTTTACCTGGATAAAGGAGCCATTCTCTGTCCAGAAGCCTGCAGCTCCATTGCCATTTTAAATGTCTTTGTTTCCTGACTTATCAGGTGAGACAGTAAAAGATTTGAATTTGAATAATTTTTTAAAGTCATTAGAAATGAAAAACCTGAAGCTGCCATTTCTCACCTTGCCCTTCACTGTATTCTGTTTCCTGATTCTTCTTGTGATTCCTTTTCTCTAGAGGAACATAGATCAACTTCTCTATGGAAATTCTGTAAGGGATTTATTCTGAAGAACTCAGGGGTTCACCACACTCTCCCTCCTTCCTTCAGTATTAAATAAGCAGTCATTTGGGTTCCACACTCAGCTTTTTAAGCGTATGCTGAATTATTCCAGGCTTCTTAGTATTAAGTGAATACTTGGTTTCATGTAATTGCGGTCAATTTGTTGAGCGTTAATGCACTTTAGTTGCATGAGGTACAATTGAATTAGCTCCCTGGGGTACTGTTGCAACGAAATATGGCTTTGAATAGCTGAGTGGCAGTCCCCTGCCCCTTGATCAACCTTCACTTAAAACCCCAACTCCTGGATTTAGTGTCTTCTTGACATCAAATGGGTATCAACTTATTTTATGGTGAAGGGTATTTTCAAGATCTTTTTGAAGAAACTAGAAATAAGTCTGGGACTCTTCAGCTATGAGAAATCTAGACTGCCCTGTATTTTGGTCAGGTAGCAGGTAAGAAAATACCTTGTCTGTCAACTTTCATTTAGAACATTTCTGTTTAATTCTGATATCAATGTATCTCACTGCTCTTGATGTATAGTTCCTTCTTAACATGTTCTTTGGAAAAGTTGAGGCTATCTTGCAGCTATGGTCTAGATTGTCAGTGCTATGATGAATGTACATACAAATCACAGTGGGCTTCCCTGTTAGATGTAAATGCCTTCTTGCCACTACATGGGGAGGTGGATGTTAAAATCATGCTTTTCTTTGGCTTTTTCATGTGACAGCACAAGGAAACTGAGCTATTCTGGTCTATTCCTAATAAGAAAGAACAGTGCATTCTAATGAGGAAGGGAAGATTGTTAATTTCATGTATGTGTGTTTCTGAATTACCTGCTCCTTCATGCATTGGTGTGCTTCTTATGGATGTGAAGTGCTGTTGATGTTGCTAATTATCATTTCAAAAGCATGGCTTTAATAAGGCCAGACACAGCTTCTGCATCCTAGCAGGCTCTCTGTGGTACTAACATTTTGGAGAATGTGAAATTTGATGAATGTTTACAACTAAAGGTCATCTTTCCTCACACTCACATTGGTCAGCCCATCATTCAGGCTTAGCTCTCTTGTGCTCTCACATTGAGTTAATGAGGGCTCAAGGACTTAGGAACAGCTGCAATGGAAACAGCTTAGATTTTTAAGGAGAATAAACTGAAACATTGTAGATAAACCTGAGGCTGTTTTTATGTATGTAAAGTCTATAAAACAAAGAAAAATTAAATGCTGAGGAGTTTTTACATATGTAGAGAGACCTTCAGATAAAAACTGAATAACTATACTTCTCCACTTTTGTTGAAAGAGACAGTCTTTTAGGTCATAGGTTATGGTTTCTGTTATTATCCAAGTGCCCAAATTTTTATAGCTCTTGGAATAGGCTAGTTAGATTCTACGCCATTGGTGTCCCCTGCCTGTTGCTCAGGGCAGTGAATGGTGTGGCACTTTCAGGGCTTCCTGCTGCATGAGGACAAGTTTTCTAAATTTATTTTAAGGACATATTAGAGATATTGGGGCTGGGCATGGTGCTCAACCCTATAAAGCCAACACTTTGGGAGGCCAAGGCAGGTGGATCACCTGAGATCAGGAGTTTGAGATCAGCCTGGCCAACATGGCGAAACCCTGTCTCTACTAAAAATAATAAAAAAAATTAGCCAGGTGTGGTGGTGTGTGGTAGCATGCACCTGTAGTCCCAGCTACTGGGACGGCTGAGGCACGAGAATCACTGGAACACAGGAGGTGGAGGTTGCAGTGATCCAAGATCACGCCATTGCACTCCAGCCTGGGTGACGAAGTGAGACTATCTCAAAAAAAGATATTGTGAAAAGATTAAAAACATTAAAGATTATCTTTAAGGATGTATTAAAGATAACGTGAAAATGTCTTTTAAAATGAAAGCAACCTAAATGAAGATTTGGGCCATGACATATTAATATAATGGAATGTTGTTACAATCATTAAACCTCTGTTGTAGAAGCACATGATATAAAAGTGTTCACACTAAAAAAATGGTTGAAATGGTGAATTTTATGATATGTATATTTTACCACAATAAAAAAGTGTTCACAAATATTTTAAGTGAAAAAATCTGTTGTAAAACAGAATGTAGTAGCTTCTCATATGTGCATGCAAAAGTGTATCCTAAAATGGTGTAACGGCTATGTTCTTTGCTTATCCGTTGAAACTGCAAGTGATTTTTATTCTTCTCTTTTCTTTCTGTATTTTCTAATTCTTCTTCCAAGTATGTTTATTGCATATAAACCATAGGGGAAGTGAATAAGCTGAGTAAAAGGAGAGAACTCTCTTCCTCCAGTTATTTGTATGACTTTTTAATTGAGAATCAGTTAGTTCTGATTATTAAGTAGAGAAATAACTCACACAGAAGGAAATCTTAGATAATTTGTTAAAATATGGAACTCAGTTCTACCAATACAATATCTAATCAAATTACAATGTTGAAATACTAAACAAATATTAAAAAATTAAATATTAAATTTGACAGAAAAAATATTTCTGTATTTAAGAACTTGACAGTTATTCCTATGAGATTTATCAGAATGTAGTGCAAAAAAAGGAGAAAGTTGGAACCGCTCTGGAAGTGGACATCGAAACTTTAAAAAAACCAAAACTCTTGGGTGATTGGGCTAGGGAATGAATGATTCGTAATCAAAGCTCCGTTTGAATAAGAACAGTGTTTCATCTCTAAACTATCACCAAATGCTTGGTCTAGGCCCAGGTATTTTGTCGCTTTACTCCAGGGTATAATTTGTAGAAATTTATTATTAATGCATTCAAATGTATCACCATATATCTGCTCAGTGTAACAGAGACTTAACTGAACACCTACTATATGCAAAGCAGTATGCTAGATGTGCAAAAGAGAAAATGGCAGGGCTTCTTTTTTCAAAGTACACATCACTTTTGCTTGATTTGATACCAGAGTATCCAAGATCTATGTTGGAACAAGCAGATGAAGGGTTTATATGGCTAAAAGGGGTTCCACTAAATAGCTATCCACCCTGTCAGGCACCCTCAGAATAGTCAGAGTACAGAAGTTGGTAAACCCCTTCATGAAGAAAATACCTAAGTGTGTTCGCTTGGAAGGATCTTCTTTTTCTCATAAAATCGTGGCATATTTTATAGTTCCAATCACAGAGCCACCCAGTAGCCTTAAAGTGTAGAGTTAAATATGGACAGTCACATAGATCTATTCACAATTTATATGTATTTGAAATACTTTAAAAGATATTTTTTTACCAAAAACAGAGAACTTACCAAATGGTGTGCCCCAGCCTTCTGGTCGGTGTATCTTATGTCTGAGGGTATGGTCTCAGGAAGCAGATGGCCTTGCGACAGTTCCCATCCCCAGCTTGCTGGATGTGCTTTTTGTTTCACTTTCTGTGCCTCCTTTCAACCACCTCTACTAGGGAGGTGATAATAATACTCATCTCTTTAGCATGGTTTTGAAGAATAAATGAGACTATGTGTCAGACCATCTCAGAACACTGACTGACCTCTAGCAGGTTCTCAGTAAATGTAAGCTCAGTGGTAGAAGTCATGCTGGTGGTATTAATAGTAGTGAAGTAAAATTTTACATATAAGAATTCTAACTCCTTTAAATTTAAAAATTTATAGCCGTGAGACACACAAAATCGCAGTGTTTTACATTGCTGAAGGTCAAGAAGACAAGTGTTCAATCCTCTCTAATGAAAGAGGAAGCCAAGCATATGAAGACTTTGTTGCTGGACTTGGATGGGAGGTAATGCATTTCATTCAGTAGGTGTTTATTGACCAGCACTGTTTAAAGATGTGTCCAAACTAGACATTGTGTAAGTTTTTACATGTGCTTTTGCATTCAAATATAGCATAGATAGAGTTCTGGAATTGAAGAATTTATTGGATTTGACATCTGTTAGTTGCTTGTCAGTATTTAATACATGAACTTTTGTTTTCCTTTAACTTTCCTCTTAATATTTTTTCATTTGCTTTTTATCAGAACTGAATAGTCAGATGGGCTCTCCCAGACATAGACAGTTTGTAGTAAGAGAAGACAAATGTGGGCAGAGAAGCAATGGCTTTGGCCACAGTATGGAGATTGAAGAAGAAGTCAATGACTTGATGGGTGAAAAGATGAAGAAAGAGTTGGATGAAGTCAAAAGTTGCAATGAAAATATAATATAATAGCCATGATGGTTTAGCTATCAACCTATTTCCCTAAGGTAGATTTCAGGATGATTGATGTTGAAAAAGTTTATTTTTTCTTTATTAAATGGTACTCTGACATACAGACATATATACATTTATACACACATACACACCTTTCCCCAAAAAACATAAACCTAAAAAAAAAATTCCTAGAATCTGAAAGAATTAGGAGTAGTTAAAATGGAAATCAACATATCTAAAATAATTTACTTCTTTTTTTCTTTTTTTTTTGTCTTTTCTTAGACAGAGTCTTGCTCTTTCACCAGGCTGGAGTGCAGTCGCACAATCTCGGCTCACTGCAACCTCCACCTCCCGGGTTCCAGCAATTCTCCTGCCTCAGCCTCCCAAGTAGCTGGGACTACAGGCACGCGCCGCCACACCCAGCTGATTTTTTTTTGTATTTTTAGTAGAGATGGTGTTTCACCATGTTGGCCACGATGGTCTTGATCTCTTAACCTCGTGATTCACCTGCCTCGGCCTCCCAAAGTGCTGGGATTGCCCGGCCAATTTCCTTATTTTTTATTAGTTTCTTGAGTACCTGTGCTCTGAAAAACTCTCTGGGTGCCTTTGAGAGCTCAGTGCTAGCAAGGGGACTAAGGCAGGGATGGAAACAGGGTAAGAGTACATCAGAGTCAAAACGACATCCTTACTAAGAAGGCAAGTAGGTTTGAGTCTAACAGTTACTGTACTTCCAGTAAATCATTGTTCTCACTAGTAAGGCTACTTCTAATTTGTCATAGAATATAGTTGTTATTTAATATATTTTTAAGCCATACATTATCAATTAGAGTTTTGAGAGTATATGTTTACTCTATTTGGCACAGAAGAGATTCTTCTATTTCTTTTTTCATATATGTTAGAATAGGTATTTTACTGAAAGAATACTAGTTTATGACAAGTTAAAAATTTTGGATAAAGGCACTAAGAAGTGAACACTCATGCCGTAACTTTGAATTATGACTCATAAACTTTCGGCAGTGGTGTAAAGTGGTTGTTCAACCCTTTTGAAAGGCAGTTTAGCAAGGATTGCTAAATATTTTTAATATTGGTACCTTTTGACCCAACATCTTAGAAAAACACTCCTTTGAGTGTGCTTTCTGTTTTGAAAAAGCAGAAACCCCCAAAATCCATCAATAGGGAACCTATGTATACACACACATATATGCATATATACACATACATTTATACATACAGGTGGGAAAAAAGTTAGAGATTATATACCAAAAGTTTGGTAGTGGTTTTATTCAGTTGATATGATTGTAGAGCACTTTCATTTTTAATGTTTTTTATTTCTTTAACATTTTAATCTGGTCTAACTTTGTATTACATTTGTTTGTAATCAGAAAGAAAGATATAAAAACGAAAATAATTTATTTTTTTTCTGAATTCACAGTCCTGCTTAGTGAAAGAGCAGCTCATTTTTGATCCTCACTCTTTCTTCTTTGTGACCTTTGTCAGGTGGATCTCTCCACCCACTGTGGGTTCATGGGTGGCCTTCAGCGCAATGGCAGCACCGGGCAGACGGCCCCTTACTATGCTACCTCAACTGTGGAAGTGATTTTCCATGTTTCCACTCGAATGCCGTCAGACTCAGATGATTCCCTCACCAAAAAGGTAAGGGGTCTCCTCGGGCACCATTCTTAGCTGCCCTGGTTTGTAGGTGAGGCTCTCCTAGGACAGACAAATACAAGGGTAGAACGCACACTGAGATGGTTTCTCTGAACTCTACGACCCTGAGATTAAGGTTTGGGGAAAGAAGGCGTCTTAAATGTTATTACTTTTGGATCTTCCCTCCCGTGAATATTACCTGATGGAAAATGACATTTTTGATCTCACAGATTGTCAAAGGTTACAAAATATGATGACCCTGTACTGGTGGGGCTCTGGGAAAGCAGGCCCCTCTGAGGCTTGCTGCGGGGCGATTTGGCAGCATCTGTCAACATAAGTGCAGGTGTGCAGCTGCTCAGCCGCCCCACTGTTGCCCCTTACCTTTTATTCTTCAACTTGCCTTGTGGCCAGTTTTCCTTAGAATTCAAAGGAAACCTTATCCACCCCTGAGGAACCTCCCCCAGGGAACTTGGCCTTTACTTTCCAACCTGCAGGATGTTTGCCTCAGGCAACCCTGTGTTAAAAGTGAGGAGCGCCTTAAAAGAAGAGGCATTTAACTCTGGGAAGGAAGCCTCTAATCAGATCTGCTTCCAGATGAGGAGAACGTCTCAGAGCAACTGTGATATGCACTCACCTGGCCTGCTAGCAGGTGGGGAACCTAGAATCCCCACCTTACTCTCTCCCTACCACATAAATGCAAGGGACTGAGGGCAGCACCTCACGTGCTGACCAAAGCTGGCCACTGGGGAGTCTACTGTGGTGGTTATAGCCAGGCTCCGGTGACAGGCAGACCAGGGATCAGAGGTATATTCAGTTATTTCATCAACCTGTGCCTCAGTTTTTCATCTATTAAGTGAGATTAAAAACACAGCCTATGTTACAGGGTTGTTGAGTGAAGTAAATGAGATAATTCCTATAAAATTGCTTAGCACGGTGCCTGGGAAGATGTCTCTGACCATCATCCCTCATTATTGCCCATTGGTCTAATTGATTCTTTTTTTCCCCCTGCCCCGTTAGCCAGATGCTTTATATTGGCCGATTGGCCTCACTGTACCTGCTTTATTTCTTTATTGTACGGTTTTGCTTTTTCACCACTGCAGCCACAGATGTCTGGACTATGTACAGGCATACCTTGTTTCATTGTGCAGCACTTTATTACACTTCACAGGTATTACATTTTTTACAAATTGGATATTTGTGGCAACCCTTAATCAAACAAGTCTATTGGCACCATTTTTCTAACAGCAGATGCTCATTTGTGTCTCTGTCTCATTTTGTAATTTTCACAATATTTCTATTATTATTATCATTATCTCATATGGTGATCTGTAATCAGTGACCTTTGATGTTGCTATCGTAATTGTTTTGGGGCACCACAAACTGCCCTTATAAGATGGCAAACTTAATTCATACATGTTCGGTGTGTTCTGACTGCTCCACCCACCGGCCGTTCCCCTATGTATCTTCCGCTCCTTGGGCCTTCCTATTCCCTAAGCACAATAGTAGTGAAATTAGGCCAATTAATAACCCCTTGATGGCCTCAAAGTATTCAAGTGAAAGGAAAAGTTGGATGTCTCTCACTTGAAATCAAAAGCTAGGAATGATTAGAAGGCATGTTGAAAGCTGAGATAGGGCAAAAGCTAGACCTCTTTAACCAAATATTTACCCAAGTTTTGAACATAAAGGAAAAGTTTTTGAAGGAAATTAAAAGTGCTACTCCAGTGAACACATGAATGATAAAGAAAACGAAATAGCCTTATTGCTGATATGGAGAAAGTTTTGGTGGTCTGAACAGATCAAACCAGCCACAACATTCCCTTAAGCCAGAGCCTAATCCAGAGCAAGGCCCTACACTGTTAAATTTTATGAAGGCTGAGAGAGGTGAGGAAGCTGCAGAAGAAAAGTTTGAAGCTTGCCGAGGTTGGTTCATGAAGTTTGAGGAAAGAAGCTGTCTTCATAAAATGAAAGCACAAGGCGAAGCATTAAGTGCTCATGCAGAAGCTGCAGCTTATCTGGAAGATCTAACTAAGATCACTGATGGAGGTGGCTACACTAAACAACAGATTTTCAGTGTAGTAAAAACAGCCTTCTATTGGAAGAAGTTTCTATCTACCACTTTCATAACTAGAGAGGAAAAGTTAATGTTTGGTTTCAAAGCTTCAAAGGAACAGTCTGACTCTCTTGTTAGGGCTAATGCAGCTGGTGACTTTAAGTTGAAGCCAGTGCTCATTTACCATTCCCCAAATTCTAGGGCCCTTAAACATTATGCTAAATCTACTCTACCTGTGCTCAATAAATGGAACAACAAAACCAGGATGACAGCACGTCTGTTTAGAGCATGGCTTACTGAAGATTTAAAGCCAACTGTTGAGACCTGCTACTCAGAATAAAAGATTTATTTCAGAGTATTACTGCTCATTGACAATGTACCTCATCACTCAAGAGCTCTGAAGGAGATGTAGTGTTGTTTTTCATTCCTGCTAACACAATATCCATATTCTGCAACCCACAGATCAAGGAGTAATTTCAACTTTCAAGTCTTACTATTTAAGAACTTTCATAAGGCTATGGCTGTCATAGGGAGTGAGTTCTCTGATGGATCTGGCAAAGACCATTGAAAACCTTCTGGAATGGATTCACCATTCTAGATGCCATTAGGAACATTCGTGATTCATGGGAACAGATCAAGATATCAAGATTCACAGGAGTTTGGATAGAGTCCCACCCTCATGGATGACTTTAAAAGATTCAAGACTTCAGTGAAGGAAGTCACTGCACATTTAGCAGAAATAGCAAGAGAACTAGAATTAGAAGTGGAGACTGAAGATGTAGCTGAATTACTGCAATGTCATGATAAAATTTGACTGGATGAAAAGTTGCTTCTTATGGATAAGCAAAGAAAGTGGGTTTCTTGAGAAGGAATCTGTTCTCAGTGATGATGCTATGAACATTGTTGAAATTACAACAAAAGATTTAGAATATTCCATAAATTTAATTGGTAAAGCAGTGACAGGGTTTGAAAATATTACTCCAATTTCAAAAGAAGTTCTACTGTGGGCAAAATGCTGTCAGACACCATCACATGCTACAGAGAAATCTTTCATGAAAGGAAGAGTCAATCAATGTGGCAATTTCATTATCTTACCTTAAGAAATTGCCACAGCCACCCCAGCCTTCAGCAACTGCCACCCTGATCAATCAGCAACCAACAACATCAAGGCAAAACCCTGTACCAGCAAAAAAAGACTACAACTCACTGAAGGCTCAGATAATCATTAGCATTTTTTAGCAATAAAATTTTTTTATTAATATACATATGGTAAGAAATAATGCTATTGCACATTTAATAGACTATAGTAAACATAAGTTTTATGCACACTGCTTTCCCAGTGCACACAAAAGTTTATATGATTTGCTTTATTGCAATATCTGTATTTGCAATATCTAAAAAACCTATTGCGGATATGTCTGAAACCAAGCCTATAATATCTCTGAGGTGTGCCTGTATATGATGGGCAGCAGTGCATGTGAAACATCAGAACTCAAGTCATGGCCCAATTACAGACAACTTCCGTAGTGATCAAGTGTCTCAGATGTAGAAAGTACAATTTGCGTTCAAAAACTCAGCAGCCTTTCCCTCTCCTGCCCCAGCATGCTATAATGACCTCCTGGGGGTGGCAGTACTACAGCCAGAAGCGCTGACCACGTGCTGGTTCCCACACGTCTTGGAGGAGCTGCCTCAGTGTTGGGTTTTGATGGCTGCCCCTGGCTGTAGAGCTCTCAGCAAAGGGAACTCTGCCCTCCAAGAATTCACCAGGATCTCAGACTCTAGTGTAGCTTACCAGGATCCTAAGCTGGGCTCACACATCTTTTTTATTTGCAGTACATTGTAAATTGTTTCTGCTTTGCAAATGTGTCACCATATTCTATAATTTTCTTATGACTGAGAATTATTTTGTTAAAAGATAAAATTTATATATAAAATATTTTTTAAATTATTTCTTAAGTAAAGTAGGACTGTTTTTTCTTTTTTGAGAAAAGACATGTTTTCTTGATAAAATGCCAAGCTGTAAATAATGTTCTAAGACTTGGCCTGGTTGAATGATTCCCTACTGTAATAATCAAAATTCAGCTGATACCTTTTGCAGCTGTAAGGTTTAGCATCATTAGTGATAAACTCTCTTTATCAGATGTCTCACAGCTAGACTAAAAATCAGTCACAGTAACAGCAGCCCACAGTTCCTTGTCTTATTCTAACTAAATTGTCCCTAACAGCTTAAAAATGAGCTGCAAAATTCTAAAGTGATTCATGCTCTCTTCTGCCCCCATCATGGGGGGACTTTTTCAATTCTGCAATCCAGTTGCAACCCCATACTGAACTCTTGATCCTTCACTGCAGAAATTTGTTAGCTCTAGCTAGATTAGATTTTTCACAGCTAATCTAACTGCTGTAGGGGTTTGCAGAGTGGGGACAGAGCTGTGCTATTGGATTTGTCCAATTCATTTGACTCCAGGACTATAATTGCACTTATGTCTTACAAGGCTTTTATAGCCTCAGGCTGGCCAGCCACATAAAAAACAAATTGGCAGTGATACAGTACGAGTGAAAAGGGATGAAAGGCCCACATTATCAGTCTCCAGGCAGCGCTGTTCTGGCAGGAAGTTTCTTGGTTAATTTACAAATAAAACTTAGATTTTAGGATGGGCACACTGTCAGCTGAACAATGGGGATGTCAGGCCTGACTGTTACTTAGTAAAAGTAGCAGCCGGGCCCACTGAGGAGCAGGAATTCTTCAATCAAACAGACGACTCCTTCTGGAGCCAGCTGGCGATGTAATGCAATTAGTCGAGAAAGGAGGTCAGCCTATTAGGTGTGTACCATGACCGGTGTCACCAGTGGCGTGCAGCCTGGCAGCAGCAACAGACAGAATGGCTTAGGCAAAGGGACTTTAAAACTCTGTTAGGATGAAAAGTTGTGGGTCCGGGATTGATTTCTTAAGACTTAAAATCTGAGCATTTGTTCTGAGCCTGATAAGTATCCAGCCATTGTGGAGCCTGTTGTGCAGTTGAAGGAGTAGCTAACATAAACACCGGCTCCATTCCAGAAGGAGACTCATCATTCTTCCCCAGTTACACAGGAACCAGATCAACTTGACTTGTGTGCACTCACCGAACTCACTGATGGGTTTCTAATTTGAGGGCCTCTAATCCCAGTTCTTCAATACTCACAAAATGATGTGTCAATGATGGACTCTTCTTTAAATTGGGCAACACTTTGAGCCATCCAGAGTATTCCGTATGTTCTGACATGGTTGACAGTTTGCCCAGATGAATTTTATTTATTTTACCTACCTGTTTTCTTATAGGCAAAAGAAGGCATATTTTGCCCTTTGCTCCAGATTTATCAGCCGATTGCTCCCATGGCCTTAGCTTTTAGTTTTGTGATTTAGCTAATTAAACTGTGACATATCCAGAAGTCTGAGTCACGTGCCACTGAAAGCAGCTATGAGAAGATGAATATCATATCATTACCACACAAAAATTGCTCTTCCTTAATTACAGAATTGCCACACTGGGAGAATGGGTCTGTTAGTGTGAAACTAACCTCCCTCGCTGTAGTTCTGAGTATACAGATGCAAGTAAAATTAAGAGATACTTACTTAGGTTATGTAATTGAGTAACCCAATTTGAAATGGGAAAGTAACTACAAAACTTCAATAATCACGGTATTACCTCACAGTCAATGTTTTGCAACTAATACTTGTGGATCAAAAGGAGCTATCACAGATACTAGAGCACCAACATCGGGTGGTGGCAGCACGTTTGAGGGGTGTTTAGTAGGTGAGTGTTTCCATTCAGACATTTGTGCAAGCATTATACCAAGGGACCCAGAGCCACCCTGAAGCTGGCTGTCTTTGCAGGGTGAGGGCTGTGTGAACTCTAGGACAGCCCCAGTTCTCACAATTACTTTCTGCAGGTCTCAATTCCTCCTACAGTTCCAGTTAGATACTATTCATATTTCCCCGAAAACATACCTATATTAGGTTCTTGGTGATGCTGGCTACCGTGTTTTCACTTCAAAAGGACTGAATTTTAGGAGTGTATTGTAATGTCTTTGCATGTTTTATTAAAAAGGAAAAAGAAAAAAGCTGTAGCAAATATAGGAATGGAGAAATATAAAGAGATGTTCAGCACTACTAGGAGGCCCAGGGTTGTATTTTGTTTAAAACTATGTAAGGGGTTGGCTATACATTTTGCCTGCTATTCTTTTACTTTTATGTGGGAAGGAGGAAGGAAAAAAATGATGTACTGGGTAATTTTGCCATTAGAAAGTCGGAGATGCCATTAAATTGTTCTGGATCATCGTGACTTGTGCTCAGCACCCGCAGTTGCATTTGTCCCAGAGCCCACATTCAAACACAGTTGAATCGTGCACCCTTCAGTATAGGTACAATGGTATAGGCACAGGTCACTTTTTAAATAATTGGCCTGTACAGTCATTCCCAGAAGTATGAGAGAGTGAAGAATAAACAGGCATTGCAACAGATGAGCTTCCTTTTGTAACCTTATAAACAGAAAAGAGGCTATGTTGGGGTCACCTCAGATTTTCTTTTTGTGGTCAAATAGTCTAAAGAAAACTGTATTTATGCTAACACGTTTTAAATACATAGTATTCCAGAACACCTTTTTAAAAAATACTTTAAGACAAAACTAAAAATGTTAAATTTGACACATCTCTATTTTATTAAACTGCTTCTGAATTTAGTCATTTTTAATGTTCATCTGTTAGATAAGGAAGCAAGAAATAATTGTTCATGGTGCCAGAGAGCATCCTTCTGCAGTTCCACGTGAGAGAACGAGAATCTCAAATTCCCAGAAGATGTCAGAGGGCCTTACCAGCTTTTGTGGTTTCAGAACTTCAATTTTGGCCAACATTTTAATCTTCATAATCTAGTTTCTTTTAGTCACACTTTGATTCTTTGTCACTTAAATGATTTCGTGTGCAGCTTTCTCCAGCTTGAGATGGTACGGTCATCGTGCAGGAGATTGATCAAGGGTGTTCTTACACCTGACAGAGCCTGGGCCTGAAAGAACTCTCAAGGGGTCTTGTTTTGGAGATCTTTCTAGTAAGGCCTCCTCAAAGACGCCAGGAGTCTGTGATTTGTTTTTGTTCTTTACAGCCTCTTTGTGTATAAGATGATAAAACAAGTGGGCTACACTACTAAGCAATGACAGTAAAGTAACTTTGGGTGCAGGCTTAGGTAGCTTTGAAACAGTGGAAATGGCCCTGAATTGGAAGCCCCAGTGCATGTCCCGGGCCCACTCTGCCACTGCTACTCATGCATCCTCGGGTAGGTGGTGCCTTCACCTTCCTGAGCGCCCATTTCTTTTTTGTACAGTAAGATGAAGATGATGTCATCTACCTCAGAGAGTTAGTGGGAAGATTAAATGAGATAGTATGTGTGAACATGTCTTCTATACAGTAAGCACTCCTTAAATGCTAGGTAGGAGTGTTCTTATCAGACTTA
Organism: Homo sapiens; assembly: GCF_000001405.40. Taxonomy (NCBI): domain Eukaryota; kingdom Metazoa; phylum Chordata; class Mammalia; order Primates; family Hominidae; genus Homo; species Homo sapiens. The sequence goes on along the minus strand of NC_000020.11, from coordinate 20,495,827 downwards.
AGCAGTAGTTATTCATTTCCTAAGCAAAGGTAATTTTATACGTCCTTTTCTTAAAGGTTTGTCACAAATCTAGTTTCTTATACATTTGGTAACAATTGTGTTGTAGTGGCTTATGTTCTCTTATGTTCATATTCTTATTTTCATAATAACCATTGAATTGAGAATCTTATAAAGCACAACTGCAATGTGGAATAAAAGACACGTGTTGTTAATTGTTTAGAAACATATTCAGCAATATAAAGCACAGGACTCTGACGCAGGAGTAAAATTCCATTAGAAAATAAATTCTTACAAAGGCCTCAGCCCCATCCAGCTGTAATGTGCCTGCGAAGCTAGCATGCCTTATCTTGGTACCAACACATTAAGAAGACAGGCTGTGTTTTTATGCACTTGTGCTTTTTAAAATCCTCACAGAAGAACATCAATGTTGTAGCCTTTTTTGGTAGTGAAATTTTTTTGGCCTTTGAGTTTTATAATTCAATTTGTAAGCCATGACCCCTCATAAACTGCTGTTATCACCCTGATTAATAAACAGTCAATTTGCTGTTGCAGCTTCGTCACTTGGGGAATGACGAGGTCCATATCGTCTGGTCTGAACACTCCAGAGACTACCGCAGGGGTATTATCCCAACTGCCTTTGGAGATGTTTCAATCATTATTTACCCAATGAAGAATCACATGTTCTTCATCGCGATAACGAAGAAACCTGAGGTACGTTTTCATTGCATTGTTGTACTGACTCATAAAGCATTTGCCATGTGATTCATTGTCATTGAAAATCAGTGATACAAATATGTTAAAGGGGACTCTCATCCAGTTGTTGAATGTCTTACATATATCTGAATTATGCATGCTTTATAGGAATTAAATATGAATTGGGATTTTCAAAGAATTTTTCATCATGAGCACAAAATTGTATTATTGTATTACTAGGCCTCTTTGGAAATTATAATGTCAAATTTATTATTTTGTAAATGTTTTAAGTTTTCTAAATTTTGTACTTTTGAAAAATTGTATCTTGAAATTTTGGTTATGTTGATTAATAATAAGAGTTGAAGGAACCCCATATCACATCTAGCATTTTGTGGAGAACCGTGGGTATGGAATCCAGCCTTGCCTGGTGTCGGGCACTTGCCAAGCCTCTGACTGTGCTAATGGGGTCAATCCTGCAGAATTGCAGGCATGTCCACGAAGAGGCCGGGACTCTGGAGCACGGCCCACGTGATGAGTTTCAACAATTGGAGCACCTTGCTGCAGAATCAATTCAGCCATGTCAATTGGTATTGATCATGGGAAGAGCTGGAACAATCCAATGATCTGTGTGCTGTGTACTAAATTGGCTGCAGTTTCGATCCTTGTCATACCTTTAGTGGTATTTTAGCCATGCTTTATGTAGCGACTTGTTTTTGTTTTAGAATTACTAATAGAAGGGCGTTTTTAAAGTTCTTAAATTAAACATTAGCATATTAAGCCATCCCTCAAGAGGAATGACATTGTGTTTTTCAGCTTGATAGTATGTATAATCTTCATTTTCATTTCAAGTTGTTCTCCTGAAGGAGCTGAAAGTTACCCTTCTGAAAACTCTCTTTTAAAGCTTTGAAATAATAGGCAACAGATTTATTGTTCATATTGGGATTTATGACCTAATCTAAAGGGTTAAAGTTGTGAGGATTAAATGAGCTAATAAATAGAAAGTGCTTCAAACAGTGCCTGGTCCAGAGTAAAAGCTACTTAAGTGTTAGCTATTATTATTATTATTGTTGCTGTTGTTTTTTGTTATTACTACTATGGAGAGAGAATACTTAATGAATTCCAAGTTTAACATGCTTATTATTCTCAGAATAGATGCATTGTGGGTCAACTCCTGAATTCATAAAAGTCCCATTCTGGCTGTTGCAAAGCCTGACATAAAGGGAACCCTCTTTTCTATTGAGGGAACGCAGATGCCAAAAGTCACTTCATATTAAATATTTGCATCATTTTTTATTCTGATCTCCATGTGCGTGAAGTTTTCAGTTTTGTGTATGAAAATGGCTCTTAGTGCTAACATTTGTATTTGTCCATGAAGAGCACTACTTTAAAGAATTAAACTGAAAATTTTAATATAAGAGAACCAGTGAATTTAGTGTCTTATAGCTTTCAAAAAGAGGAAATGTGTTTCTTTAATATTTAGTATGGATTAATTGGCTTTATTAGCTCATTTTCAACATGGGCTTCTAAAATGTCATTTAATGTCCTAAAAATGTCACCTTTATTTTTAAGTAAAAAACATGCAAGCCATTTTAATTCACTTTATAGAATCAAAAGTGATTTTTTTGATTTTTTAAAAAGATAGTACACTTATAATGCATGAATATAATTATTAACATACCTTGTAAACTTTCTTATAAAATGTTTGCACATTTAATGAATTTGGCTATAAATTCTGACAAGATGAATTGAGCAAATCGCTTTCTTAATATTTTAATTCAAAAAGCCTAAAGGGAAGAAGAGAATAATGGCCAACTGGAAATTTAGTATTATCCTTACATTTAAAGTACAAACCATTACAATGTAATAAAATTAATCCAGACATTTCCAGGGCAAGTGTGGCTGACCTTTTGTTCACCAACCACTGACCCCAGGGTGAATGCAAGAGGCTTGCGGAGGGAAAGTCTGTTTGTTTGGCTTCAGTCCCTGGTATTTAAATTGCATTCCCTAATCAAATGAAAAGGCTGTCCTCTCTATCAGGTTACAGAATCCATGGCAACATTTGGCCTTTTATATCCATAATGTTAGCCTTTTTGTTTGCATCTAAGTAGAGACACCTGGAGCAATGTTAACATTAACCGATTTAGCATTAATAGCTTCATTATATAAGAATTTCTGATCAGATAGCTGTTACTTTTGTTATATTGCTTCAGCTTGTATTGTTGTCATTTTTTATCTCCCTGCTTGGCAACCAGGCAATGATTTGCAAATTTTTTTTGTCTTGATTAATTAAGCAATATAATTATCAGTAACCGTGATGCAGTCTTTGCTCAACAAAGCTTCTGAGAGAAAACAATGGTAAGTCTGTTAGTATGAATGCATTCCACGCGTCCCAGATGCATGAGGATATTACGGACAATGAGGGGAAAGGCCGCCTGTGAGCGAGGACAAAGGGTGCCACGCAGACTCGACACACTGCACATACCGCCAGGGACATGCTGCGGGCTCCCTGGGACACAGACGCCTCGTTAGATTACAGCTAGTCAGCAGAGATTAATTCTCAGCCATTTGGTACAATAATTTACCCATTCCCCAGCCTTTTAACTAGTGCTCCTTACTGTGGAAGGGAAGGCTTTGTACTCAAAAGGTTTATTTAACCTTGCCTACTTTTAGGGATCTCCACCAAAATCCGTATTTTTTTCTTAGAAATTGTAATGACGCAGCTGCTTGAAGTTAAGGAATATTCCTTTTGAAGGACAGGATATGCATGTTTCCAAAATTGTAGGTAGAGTCAAAGGCATTCTTTTAGCACCTGTGTATTTCATCTGAGTATAGTATGACTCTGTGGTCTAAGTACATTTATTTTACTGTTCTCTGGGCAGCCATACTCCTCTAAGAATAATTTTAATCCTTTTTTGGGAGAAAAAAAAACCTCATCAGTACACAAAAGTCTTGCTCATTGGGTAGAGTCATGCATATTCAAATTGTACTTTCATTCACTCGGCCTCATTAATAGCGTATGTAATAATGTAGGGCTATTTGTAATACAAGCTTACAGGCAGCATTGCTTCCAAGTCCTTTGAAATTTAACATATTTCGCTTTTTCATTCCATACACCTCCCTTAAATATACAAATTATGTGCCTGGCAGAATCCGCCTCCTCTTAATAATACACAGCATTTGTGAAATGGTATGTTGAAGAAGTGTGGGTGTGCTTGTGTGAACGCATAAAACCCTCTCATCTGAGTGGGCCTGTTCACTTCTTGAGCTTTGTATTGAACTTCTTTTTTTCATTTAAAAAAAAAAAATCAGTGTGCTTAGCAGCATCATTCCATTGTTAAATTACTTTCAAAATAAGTCCATCTCCATAAACATTGACACAATCATTCTTTGGTCACAGAAAAGAAATGTGTTATTGTTAGACTTATGTTTTTTCCAGCTTTTATTATTAAGTCAGCAGTCAAGGAAAGACTTGCATATAGAGCAGAATGTGAGTGATTCAAGGGGTTTGTTAAAATGCCAGAGTTGTTCTTCAGAAAAGTGATTCATAGAACTTCCACACTGCAGTGAGTACCCGTGCTGCTTTCCCTCTCTTTCAGTATCTGGAAAGTAATATTGGTGTTCAAAGTGTTTGCCTTCAGAAATTTGCGAAGGTAAGTTTTAGTGGTTTGGGCATGTTTATTTCCAGGCATAGTAGTGACTGGCTGGTGACCAGTTGACCAGAGGGTAGGTGTTCAGAAGCAGCCTTGAGCAGGAGCAGTTGAGACAAGAGGAAGTTTTGGTGAAGTGTCCTCCTCTTCACCTCAACCAGAGTGTCCCTTTTGTAAATGGAAAATATGCTAATGTCCTCTGAACTCTACTTACTCAGCCCTGGTACATACGAGCATGGAGAAAAAAATGATAGTGATTCAGTGATTTGTGAAAAGCGTAGGAGGGGAAGTAGTAAGACAGGAGATGGGACACCAGAGTTCCAGTTCTAAGCCTACCACAAGATGGTAGGTGTCTTGGGCAGATCTTTCCGTTTCTTTGAATCTTAGCTTCCTCAGCTGTGAAATGCTGGTTGAGAACCAAGGCTTCTCTGTAGTCCTTACAGGGATTCTAAATGCCTTTTTTTTTTTGGATCCTCTTGTTCCTAGCTGCCCGTACCTTTCCTTAAGTTGTCCTGACTATCCCCAGAGCGTCATGGAAGTAGTCGCTGGCTCTCTTGAAGGTTCAGCAGCTATTGTGAGTGAGTGAGTGTGAGTGTGTGTGTGTGTGTGTGTGTGTGTGTGTGTGTTCATGTGTGTTCATGCATCCCTCTTCAGGGTGACATCTAGCCCAGGACCTGTACCTGGAGCAGGTGCCCAGAAATGCTGGGAAAAGGCTGTTGTGCCAGAAGTTACAAGAGCATTTGCACATGGGAGGCTGAGAGGAGCCTAGGATTGGCACTGAGTTTGAAAGGAAGTCTTTTAAGCTTACTAGTGTGGCCTCACGGTATAGGGAGAGTGTTTGACTTTGCAACATGGTTATGTAAATTTCTTTCTTTTCATTTTATATGTGCAGTTTTCTTAAATATTTATCCCAATCACAGCCAACTAACCTGTTTAAGATTAAATCATGCCCTTTAAAATGCTCTGGGAACTTCTCAGGGAAAATAAATTGTTAACCTTTGAATATACAAAGAATTATTTATTTAGAAAAGATCATTGAAAATACCAAACAACCAGAATGTACTAAAATAGGTTATTAAATGGATTACTATGTTATGTTCTGTTTGGATAATTTATTATTATTGTTATTAGCATTATTTTTAGTAAAGGAATGACATTGAGAACTATGTGAAAAGGCATCTGTCATTTGCAGATGTTAAATTAAAATCAAATTTCTTCTCTAATTCATTGCCACTTCTAATTAGAGGAATTCCCTAGATACAGGGGATTTGTATTATTCCTTTTGTCCGGTTTTTGAAAGACTGAGTCACCCACGAGCAGTTGCTGAAGAATACTAAAGAACGTTTATTTATACAATAAGCCTTGATACAGATGGAAGAAAATCTATAGCCTACTATTATTAGCTCTTAGCTGCTGTTTTATCTTTCACAACAATTTGGCTTTTGAGAATTTCTTCTCAACTGATTTTCCTCAGAAGTTGACGTTGTTTCCCCTTTTTTAAGTTGGTCTTTGCATATACATCTTCTTCTTATTTGCTTTATCTTCTCTCCTTTGGCCAGCCAGAGCCAGCCTGTGTAAATGCATACCAAATGGCAAATGGTAATGTAAGAAAGCAAGGCAGCTCTCATTCTCTGCCTCTGAGCTACTCAGTAGGAAGGGCCTTTTGGCTCAAGAGACAGCACACTCCCCAGACCCCTTGGCATGCGACTGCCTAGGTTCCTGCACACAGGTGCACACAATGTCAGCCACTCAGCCCAGCAAGGAGGATGGGTGTCCAGAGCACACAGAACTTTTCTGTGAAAAGGAAAGAGCGCTCATTGCCCCAAATCAGATAATTTATCTTTACAGTAGTATTTTCTATGCTATACTTGAAATGTATTAGTTTGTTGTTGTTGGGTTTTTTGCTCTTTTTTTTTTTTTCATGAATACTTTCATTACAACTCCACCTCACTGATTACTGGACTGCTTTTAGTATAAGCCATAAGAGGAAGTACACTTATTTTTTTATATAGAATATTTTTTAAATAAACTCTTTGAAGTGTGGTGTTACTAAAGATAGAAGGAAGAAAGGGTTATTCTTTCTTATTTTCTTATTTCTTATTTGAACCTGGCAACACGAATGATCTTAGACTATGAGTAGATTCTTAATTTTCCTGTTTGGAACTGAAACGCCTGTGTTTTCTACCAGTACTGTCGTAGAGGGAAAGCTCATTATTAGTCATCACTAGTAGAACTAACAGTCTCCTCCTTCTTTGCTCCCATTTGAATTCTCATAGGTCCGACTGCTTCCTCTGTGCTGTAGACGCTGATATCAAAATAGCTTTGCCCAATCTTTGCAGTTTTTAAATCTTTATGTTTTAATTGTGGAACATTTTCTTCAAACCCACCAAACAAAACTATGGCAGTGGAAGAAGGCTACTCAGGATCCCAAGGCCACTCCCGTCACCCTTCCCCTGGCCTTTCATGCATCTCCATGAAGCAAAAGACAGATGGTCACAAGAGATCTTATTCTAGAAATGTCGAAAGGAGCAACAGATTTGGTTAATGCCCAGCAATTAGTCCCTTGGGAACAGGAGTGCTTCATTCAGTCAAGCAGGAAACATCTATCAGTTGAGGCTGCTTCATGCCAGGTACTGTGTCAAGGGCTGGGGGTCCCACTCTCCTGGAATCTAAATTTTAGTAAGGGAGAAGGCCAGTAAATAAGTAAATAAATGGTTGAGCTGAGACTCTTATAGCAATGGGTATTTCAAAGAAAGTAAAGCAGAGTGATAGAATGGGCAGGAAGGAGGCTGCTTTAATTCAGATAGGGAGACATCTGGTTTCCAGTCAGTATGTAGGGAGCTTGATAGTCATCACTGCCATCCTCACAGCAAGAAAAAGAACGAGCTGATAATCAGCAGTTAACTGATAATCAAACAGTTCTTAGATTCATCAGAGAATTGAAATGACCAGGCAAACCCCTGTCCCTAAAGTTAGAGAGATAGACAGGCAGATACAGAGAAGCACACCTTATCAGAACAGAAGCCCAGGAGCAGAAACCTCTGGGAAACCAATACCACAGTAGGAATACTTAAATTGTAATTCACCAATTGCAGGAGGCTTAGTGTGGGCAAATCTGAGAGTTAAATAGAGTCAAGTGGGGCTGGCTGACAATCCTCCACACTTTTGTGAGTTCTACCTCTAGGATACCTACCAGGTTCTCACAGTAAAAACTGGAGGAAAATCCCCTCTTTGGCAGAAAAAGGGAGAAAGCAGTCATTTGGAAATACAGTTGACCTTTCAGCAACATGGGTTTGAACTGTGTGGGTCCACCTACACATGGATTTTTTTCAACCAAACACAGATGGAAAATATACAGTATTTGTGGGAGACGAAACCCATGTAAATGGAGGGCTGACTTTTGGTATTTGTGGGCCAATTGTGGGAATTAAGTATGCTTGGATTTTGGCATGCACAGGGGTGGGGCATTGGTTTTGGAACCAGTCCCCCTCATATACCTAGGTATGACTATATACCCAAAGTATTTTGTTCTTAACAAAGTCTGCCCTCAAGAAAAACTTTTTTTTTTTTTTTTTCGAGACCGAGTCTGGCTCTGTCACCCAGGCTAGAGTGCAGTGGCACGATCTCAGCTCACTGCAACCTCTGCCTCCAGGGCTCAAGCAATCCTCGCACCTCAGCCTCCTGAGTAGCTGGGACTAAAGGCGTATGCCACCACGCCTGGCTAAGTTTTGTATTTTTTTTTGGAGAAATGGGATTTCACTGTGTGGCCCAGGCTGGTCTCAAACTCCTGAACTCAAGTGATCCACTCACCTCAGCCTCCCAAAGTGCTGATATTACAGGTATGAGCTACTGTGCCCAGCCAAGAGAAACTATTTTCACACAGCCTGTCTGGCCTGGGGGAACGGAAACACTTAATACCAACGCCTTCTAGTCTCCTACCTCATCTAAGTTGGAATTGGAAGGAGACAAGAAAACAAAACTGAAAAGCACTTTTGAAGGTCACAGTCCAGGGGCACAGGCTCACTGAAAGACTGAGACTAAATCCTAGGACTATAGAATGCTTCCTCTTCTCCATATCTAACTACGATATCAGGAGGGCTTTTGTATAGTAACAGGGAGTACAGCTGAAAGAACTGCACATCCCAGATCTTATTTAAGAAAAGTTATGTAAAAAAGCCTACAAATAACATGGGTGATAACAGCAAGGTCATTCAAAGAAATTTTAACCTCTGACATCTACAGCTATAGAAAACAAGAAGCACGGCCTGTTAGCCAGTTAAACATAAAACCCCACATTTGAGGCCTGATTACTTCAGTTCATTTTACCCAATACATCATATCCAGCTTTCAACAAAAAGTACAAGGCCCACTAAAAGGCAAAATAAACAATTCTAAGAGACAGAGCAGGCATCAAAACCGGACTCAAATATGGCAGAGATTTTAGAATAATCAGATTGACAATTTAAAATTACTGATTAATATGCTAAGGATACTAATGGAAAAAGTGGACAACATATAAGAAGAGATGGCTAATGTAAGTAGAGAGATAGGCACTCCAAGAAATAATTAAAATGAAATGCTAGAAACCAAAAACCCTATGACAGAAACAAAGAATGCCGGATGGGCTCATGAGTAAACTGGGCATGGCCAAGGAGAGGAATTGTGAGCCTGTGGATGTGTCAGTAGAAACCGTGAAACTGGAATGCAGAGGGGAGAAAAGGTTGAAAAACATCTGAACAGAACTTCCAAGACCTGTGTGACAATCACAAAAGATGTAACAACATGTAATGAGAATACAAGGAAGAGAAAGGAGAAGAAATATTGGAAATTGTCATGGCTGAGAATTTTTCAAAATTAATGACAGATCCAGGAAGCACCAGGAACACCAAGCAGAATAAATATCAAAATGTCTATACCTAGACACATACAAAGCACAGGAAACCAAAAAAGAAGAGAAAATCTTGAAAGGAGCCAGAGGGCTCCTATGCTGGCACCAGTAGCTGCAGAAGAGCAAGGGTAATAAATAGGGCTTCTCTTCAGAAACTGAGCGATCAAGAAGAGAGTGGCATAATATATTTATTGTGTTGAAAGGAAAAAACAAAAACAAAAAACTACCAACCTAGAATTCTGTATCCAGAGAAATTATCCTTCAAAAGTGAAGGAGAAAGACCTTCTCAGACAAAAGTTGAGGGAATGTGTGATTAGTAGACCTGCCTTGCCTTTCCTTCATCATAAAAAAAAAAAAAAATTATAGAAGTCATAAAGATGGACCCACTTAAAGAAGGGAAAAGCTTTAGAGAAGGAAGAAATATAAGTAAAATGAAATCTGTTTTTTTTATTCTTTTTTTGAAACAGACTGTCAGTCTGTTGTCCAGGCTGGAATATAGTGGCATGATCATGGCTCACTGCAACCTGGATCTCCCCAGGCTCAGGTGATCCTCCTACCTCGGCTTCCTGGATAGCTGGGACTACAGGCACACACCACCATGCCTGGCTAATTTTGTGTTTTTTCTAGAGACAGGGTTTTGCCATGATGCCCAGGCTGGTCTTGAACTCCTGGGCTCAAGTGATCTGCTCACCCTGGCCTCCCAAAGTGCTGGGATTACAGGCATGAGCCACCACACCCAGCCCTTTTCTTATTCTTAATTGATCTAACAGATAACAATATGTTCCAGATAGTAATAGCAACAAGTATTTCATGCTTATAGCATATGGATGAATAATAAATGATAGCAATGTTATAAGGATAGGAGGGAGGAATTGGGAATACTCTCTTATAAGGAACTTCCACTATCTGTGAAGCAGTATAGTGTTATTTGAAAGTGGATTTGGGTTAGTTATAAATGTATTTTCATACTCAGGGCAACCACCAATAAAATGTTTTTAAAAGAATTATAATATGCCGAGAGAGGAAAAAAATGGACTCATATAAAATTCTCACTTAAAACTAGAGAAGGCAGCAAATGAGTGGAAGACCAAAAAAGAAAACAATAAGGACAATGAATAAAATACATGTCAGTCGTCTTAAATATATCAGTTAAAAGAGACTGTCAGAGTGGGTGCCAAAGAAGCCAAGACCCAACTATTTATGTTGTCTACAGGAGACCCACTTTAAATGTGAAGACACAGATTAAAAGTAAAGGGGTGGAGAAAGATATACCATGCTCACACTAATCAGAGAAAGCTGGAATAACTATATTAATATCAGATGGAGCTAACATCAGAGCAGGGAAAATTATCAGGGGTACAGGGGACATTACATAGCAGAACCTGCAAGGCCACAGTGAGGAGTTGGCCCAAATCATGAACTAGAGCAGGGTTGTCCAATCTTTTGCATCCCAAGGGCCACATTGGAAAAAGAATTATCTTGGGCCACACATAAAATACACTAACACTAATAATAGCTAATGACCTTAAAAAAAATTGCAAAAAAAAAAAAAAATCTCATAATGTTTTAAGAAAGTTCCGAATTTGTGTTGGGCCACATTCAAAGTCATCCAGGGCCGCATGTGGCCCACAGGCCATGGGTTGCACAAGCTTAAGCTACAGCAAATCGGTTAGCCCCTCTAGCCTTCATCTCTTCCTCCATGAAGTAGGGATAAAGTGCTGGCCTCATGGGGTTGTTGTGAGAATTACATACTGTACATTGAGCACTGAGATCAGAACCAGGTTCAGTAATTAGGGATCACAGTCATTGGGCTCATCATCAAAAATGAAATGTTCCTGGGCTTTTAAACCCCTTGTCTATGATTCTTTTGTTATTTTATCTTAATCTTATAATCAAAAAATATCTATTATGTATATTATTTTCATCTCTAATCACTAAGAATCATTGACTCCAAAGGCATCAAAGGAGAATCACTTACAGGCCCAATTAAGTGATGAACCATCTTTAAAATATATTCATGGAGATGCCCTATTGTTCCCTAAGAGGACTTTCTTACTATTTGGAAATCCCTTTCCGTGTCTGGCTCAGGCTCTGCAAAATAGAATATAAATCAGTCTTTTCCCACCTTCAAGAAACTAGTCCAAGCCCAATGAACCATTTCCTGAGCAGCCTCTCCTCAGAGAGTGCTGCTTGCTGGTGCTCCATGGAGTTCCATGGAGTTATGTGTTCCTGGAGGGTGGTGCATGGCCTTCCCCTTCCCACATCCCACCCTGAACCATAGAACACACAAGAAGACATTTAGGATTGAACACATTTTACTTTTCATAAAATGTTTATAAAATGTTCAGTGCATGGACTCCTTGGTGTTTCTGGTAAATAATGTGACTACTATTGTTTTTCCCAACGGGAAAATTACTGTCTTTTGGTACAATATCTTAGCAGATTTATCTGTTGCCCACTTTGACATCTCAAGCATAAATGCACAAGTACAAACACACCCTCTTAATTCATAATCCCTGTGGAACTGTGAATTTCCCAGAGGGGGAAACTGTGTCAGATCCTTGAATCCTAGATCTCAGAGGTGAAGGAAGCATTTTAGGTTGTCTGTTCTGACCTTTATGCAGGACACCCCTGATAGCGTCCCTACCCTTGTGTTTGTGCACCAGCATCACTAGAGTACAAGATCAGCTCAAGGTCCGTATAGCTCTCTCTGAATATCCAGAAACCACTTTTTTTCCCCTTTTAGCCTCTCATTTTTATCCTTCATTATTTCCTGTCTGGCACTTGATTCTCTCATTATTCGTTAGAACTTCTTGATTGTCTGAGATTTACTTAAGGGATCTGGTTAGAAATGTGGGAAAAACATGTTGCTTGTAGTTCTAATGAAATGCCCTCAAGAAGTTCTGTTTCCTAAGTCTGTACACAGGATTTAGGGGGTTGCACATGGTTTCCCTGATGCATGAGGTCAGTGCTTTGTTATTGGCAGATCACCAAGAGAAGACCTGCCCTGCAGTATGAGGTTCCACAGGTGTCGTACAGATTGAGCCTTGATGGATGGTCCTGATGCCTTAGTGATGAGGAAATTTTACCTGTGGAGCAGCTGGGGCCAAGCTTCTCAGGGCGACTGTCCTTGGCCAGGCACTTACATGGAAAGCAGCTCTGGTCTGCTCAACCCACTGGCAACCCTCCACTTGCCCATTCTCTCATGTGTGTAGAAACTTTAACAGTTTCTTTTCTTATTGGCTTCTTAACCTAAAATTATTTTGTAATTCACTGTTGCAATATTCCCTACCAGTTACATTGATCTGTTTTAGAGATTGTGATCATGATTGCAATTACTATTGACTTCACAGGCCCTTTCTTTCCATCATTCTTTGATGGGCAGTGGTATTTCTCTCCACGTATAAAAACATGTACTCTTTCCTACCTGACTTTACCATTTTGGTTTCTGGCCACCTAACTTGTGAGGAACACCCAACAGATCTGCAGCCTTTCCAATTCTCACCACCCACCAGATCTTATCTCCTACTGACACACACAGTGAATGTACCTTCAGCTCAGCCTTTCCATTAAGTAAAAGATGGGAAACTTACCTGGTGCTCTGTGTTGCTTTCATTTGGATGACCAGGACATGATGTGGGTAGATGAGCAGGAGTAGGCAAGTACAGCAGTGCAGAGTCTTGAGAGCAAGCTGGTAATTTCTGCAGGGCATTTCATCAAGTCCCATATCATCTGGCTTCCCATACCTGTTCTTCAGCCTTTTCTCTTATCTGTATGCATTTCCGTACATACCTATTCCAGAGCTTTCCATCCTTCTCAAATCCAGTCTAGGCTTCTATGCCTGCCTCACTTCCTTTTGTGGCCCTACCTCTGACTTCACTTTGCTCTCAGGAATCCCTCAGGAGCTCTGTGCAGTCCTTTGCCATGTTCTGTCCACAGTCTTTCTGTTTATTTATCTGTAATACTTTAATCATTAACTGTAGGCACAGCATTCATACAAACCAGCTAGCACTCAGCTAAATTAGTATCTCTTAAAGTGCACTTTGGGGAACCCTGCGCTAGAAAAGAGAGCCAGACCCACCTCATCTTTTCATTCCTATTTTTACCATTTGTCTGGAGTGCTCCGCTCTTCCCACCGTGAATCTCTGCCAACACCCACTGTCATGACCACTTCCTACATGAAGACTTCCATGGCTTCTCTCAGCTAGAAAAGAACTCTCTGTAGCTTCAGAATATTTTATCTGCGTCCACCCTAAAGCTTTTTTTCCCTTTTGCCTTCTTGAATACATTGTTTTACCTCTTCTGCAAACTACCTACAGTTCAGAGCCTCGACTTGTTCATATCTGTATTCCCCCACAGCCCTTAACAGAACTTTGATCAAATGATGCAAATAAACAGATGGTACATGAAATCTCTGCCCCTTTTGACACAGAAAGATTCACTGTAGTCTTTAGAATTTTCAGACAAAGTTTTAGAGTCTTCTGAGTATTCATTTTTCCCAAAAGCTATCTTCTGGTATTTTAGAGAATGTATTTATATTATACAGAGATAGGAATGTAGGAAAATAAAAATTCTGTTTCTCAGAAATATACCTTACATTTCTCTTAAGGTTTTTACATATATCTCAAAATTGTTTGGTTTTTTTTTACCTTGCCTCTCATTAGGACAGTACTATTTGCAACACGCTTTCGGGGTTGGTAGGGCATTTGAACCTTTTAGTCACTCTGTGAGGCCCACAGGGCAGACAACACTGCCCTTGTGCTCCAAATATGTATGTAGTTGATAAGAGCATAAAGAATTTATCCAAGAGTACTTGATTCTGGCACCAAGTCCAGCATCCTAAATCCCAGTAGACTGAATCTCTTTAAGAGTAGAGAGGTATCAGTTTTCACACCTGTATGCAGATGCTTTTTATATTCTGTGTACACATCCTGTGTTCACATTATAGGTATATGTGTGAAGTCAAGGAGAAATTTGAATTCTAGACCTTTGTATTAAGTTACCCACTTCTTGCATGATAAAGGCAGTGCCAAAAATCTGGACACAGAAATCACAGCCATATCATTGTTATGAACACAATACTTGCAGTTTTTTAGCAGAATGAATAACTGACCAAACTGGGTAAGTTAAGCCACGCACATTCTTCATTTGTCATTTTCAATGTGGCCTGCCTCTCGGTAGGCCCATCCATGGCAATATTCCAATCCTGGAGGCTGGAGGTTATCTGTGAGGAATTGGAACAGAGTTCAGTTGTTCATTGCCCTGCTTTGGACCATCAAGATGTCTGCATTGCATCCTTGAAAGATTAATCCCCATCCCCACAAATCAAATGGGTATTTCAGATCATTTTCTGTGTCCTAAGGATTCTTTTTTGTCTTTGCTCCAACAACTGGGCACTTCCTTGTGCTGGCATGCTGGCTAGTGTTGCCACGTGGACTTCAGCGTTATCACTTTGCTGCAAAAGGCTCTCTTTGCTTTCACAGTATCTTGCCAAGAAGAGTCCCTGGATATGAAGTGTCTTCATCTGGACCCAAACCTGAGAAAGAAATTAATTTGGGCTGCACCTTCTAGGTGTGTGCCTCCCCTGAGCACTGTACTTCTTTAGTCAAGGAACACATGATAGGGGCTCCACAAGCAGCTCCTAATCTGCAGGTGGTAAGGAAATCCAGTTTGTCAGCAGTCATGGAAAATCTTATTAATCCCCAGGCTTTGGTCATCATGTTAGGAGAGGGCACTTATGAGTCACTCAGAAACTTTAGGTGGTTGTGAAATATACATGCTCAGCAGGATGAAATACTGCTATAAGGTTCTGATTAGGACTGATACTTGATGTTGTCTTCCATTAAATTTACCATTGAGCATGGGATCAGGAGTGAGTGCTCCATGAGAACCCTTCCGCATCCGCTTTGTACAGCAGCAGCACTGTTTTCCCTGGCAGGACCACTCACCCTGTCTATCCTGGAGCCTCCTTTACTGCCTCAGTGTCCAGTGGTCTGTGG
This sequence comes from Homo sapiens, assembly GCF_000001405.40. NCBI lineage: Eukaryota > Metazoa > Chordata > Mammalia > Primates > Hominidae > Homo > Homo sapiens. The sequence continues at coordinate 20,480,600 of NC_000020.11, read as the reverse complement.
AGCCTAAAATACCTGACCATCAGTTTCCTCTTCCCACTGAGAACACTGTATCTTCTTCTAGGAAGTACTTAAGTACTAAAGTACTCCTTAAGTACTAAAACTAAAGTCAGAGACTATCATCATAGGGATAGGAAAAAAGGACATACCATACCTTATGGGTCAGCATCCCCAACTCATGGGGTAATATATCCCACTTAGCTTGGTGAATGATTTTCAGCAGTCATCAAACAGGCAGGAGGCTGTGTGGGTAGGCCCTCCTGTAACTCCACTGGTCCCGTGTGCCTTACTCATACTGTATTTCTTACCACAGGTTGGGATATATCTTGCTGTAAGGCAAGTCCCTACCCAGTTCTTCTTTGGCTTTTTTTAGCCAATTTCATTTCTACAAATGTCTTAGAATCAGCTAGTCAAGATACATACATGCCATGCATTAAATCCATAGGTCAGTCTAGGAAGGAAAGTCACAACAATATTGAGTCTTCTAGTCCAAGAACACATCTATCATTTCATTTATTTAAACTAACATCTCTGAATAAAGTTTTGTAACTTTCTTTATACTTTCCTTGTTAGATCTATTTTATATTTTTATGCTGTTGTAAATAATATTTCCTTTTCTAACCATTTGTTGCTGGTGGAGAGGAATGCATTTGGATTTTTGGTGAATGTATTCTGTATCCATTGACTTTGATAAACACTCTTACTAATTCTGACCATTTGCCATAGATTATGTTGGAGATTCTGTGAGTACAGTTATACCATCTAAAAAAATGACAGTTTTTCTTCCTTTCTAATTCATAGTCCTCTATTTGTGTCTTGCATTACTGTATTGGCAAGGATCTCCAGTGCAAATGTTGGTAGATGTGATGTAGGGGGACATTTCTTTTCTCCTTCACAGTCTCCCACATCAAGTTCTCAATGTTTCACCATTTAGTGGTTGCTCTGGAATTCTGTAGGTATTCTAGAACAGATTAAGGAAGATCCCTTCTATTCCAGGATTGCTAAGAATTTTTTCCTTAACTGGATTTTGGATTTTATTAAACACTTGTTTAAATGTCTTTTGAGGTGATTACCTGACTTTTCTCATTCAATCTATTAATGTGGTTGTATACAGACTGATTTTTACTGAAAATTGTATTCTTGGGATATACCCGACTTGGTCATGATATTGTTATTTTTGCACATTATGGAATTGGCTTGCTGATATTTTGTTAGGGTTTTTGTATGCATGTTCATAAGTGAGATTGGCCCCTCATTTTGGTATTAAGATTGTACTAGCCTAATAAAATGAGTATATTTTCTGTTTTCCTATACTATGGAAGTTTCTCCAAAATAATAGTTATTTGTTCTTTCGAAGATTTTATTTGAATTTTATTATTTTGAATATGGTTATTCGAAGATTTTATAGAATTTGCCAGTGAAGGCTTCTGAGCTGGCTTTTCCTTGTTAGAATGTTTTTTTCTACTATGATTCATCTACTTTAAAGCTCATAGAATTATAGCTTTTATATATCATCTTGTGTCTGTGTTTGCTAAATTGTATTTTTTTTCTCATTTGGCCATTTCATCTAAACTTTCAAATTTATAGGCATAAAGCTACGTATATTTTCTAAGTATCTATAGTTGGATTCCTTTTTGTTTCTAATATTATTTAGTTGTGCTTTTTTTTTCTTGATTCACCTTGCCAAAGACCTGTCAATTGTATTAGACTTTTTTCAAAGAACGAACTTTTTTTTTTCAACTTTTATTTTAGATTCCAGGAGTACATGTGCAGGTTTGTTACCTGGGTATATTGCATGATGCTGAGGTTTGGGGTATGAATGGTCCTGTCACCCAGGTACTGAGCTTAGTACTAACTACCCAATAGTTAATTTTTCGACCCTTGCTCCCCTCCCTCCCCCTTCTGGTAGTTCCCAGTTTCTGTTGTTGCCATCTTTTTATACAATTTTTGTTGTTATCTTTATGTCCATGAGTACTCAATGTTTAGCTCCCACTTATAAGTGAGAACATGCGGTATTTGGTTTTCTGTTCCTATGTTAATTTGCTTAGGATAATGGCCTCCAGCTGCATCCATGTTGCTGCAAAGGACATGATTTTTTTTTTTTCTTTATGGTTCCTTAAAGAACTAACTGTCGATCTTGGTTCTCCTTTTTATTGTATGTTTGTTTTCTATTTTTAAATGATGACTTTTATCTTTATTAGTTCTTTCCTTCTACTTTCTTTGAATTTGTTTGATTCTTTTGGTTTTTCAGTACTTCTTGAGATGGGTGCCTATCTCATTATGTTGCAGTCTTTATTTCTTTCTAATATGAGCATTTCATTCTACACGGTCCCTGTAAGTACTGCTATAAGGTATAAGTTATAATATCTACTAGTCTTATTTTATCAGTTAGCTTAACATATTGCTAAATTTCCATTTCAATATTTTGTTGACCCATGAGTTATTTAGAAGTGTATTTCTTAATTTCTAAACATAGAGGTTTGTGCCAATTATCCTTTTGTTGTTGTTTGTTGTCAATAGCTTTTTAGGCACAGAATATGGATTGTAAAATTTCCACCCCTAGAAATTTATTGAGATTTGCTTTATAACCTAGAAGAGAGGCCAGCAAACATTTTTTGTAAAGGGCCAGATAGTAAATATTTTAGGCCTTGGGTCTGTCACAACTAAATAACTGTGTCATTATTGTGCAAAAGTAGCCATAGAAAATGTGTAAGTGGGCCGGGCACAGTGGCTCATGCCTATTATCCCAGCACTGTGGGAGGCTGAGGTGCATGGATCACTTGAGGCCAGGAAGTCGAGACCAGCCAGGCCAACATGGTGAAACCCCGTCTCTACTAAAAGTACAAAAAAATTAGCTGGGCTTGGTGGCACAGGCCTATAGTCTGAGCTACTTGGGAGGCTGAGGCACTAGAATTGCTTGAACCGGGGAGGCGGAGGTTGCTGTGAGCCAAGATTGAGCCACTGCACTCTAGCCTAAGCAACAGAGTGAGACTCTGTCTCCAAAAAAAGAAAATGTGTAAGTGGATAAGTGTGGCTGTGTTCCATTAAAATTTATTTATGAACTGAAATTTAGATCTCATAATTTTCACATAGTAAAATACTCTTTTAATTTTTTTCCAACTGTTTACAAAGTAAAAAGCATTCTTAGCTTGCAGGCCATACACAAGTAGGTGCCAGGTTGGAATTAGGCCCTGCAGGCTGTATTTGTGGATCCTTGGCTGAGGATATGGTCACTTTTTAAAAAGTATTCTGTACATGCTTGAAATGAATGTGTTTTCTGCAGTTGTTGGGTAGAGTATTTTATGTTTCCATTATGATGAGTTTGTTAGTTGTCTTGTTCAAATCCTCTGTATTCTTGCTGTTTTCTGGAAAACGTTTCCTTGGAAATATATTTAATATTGAAAAGGACACAAATTGTAAGTATACAACATGATGGATGTTTTCAAAGTGAACACACTTGTGTAATACCACCCCAGATCAAAATAGAGGATGTTGCCAGCCTCCTAATTCTTGCTCGTGCCCCATCTCAATCACTAATACAATGAAGAAGTGGCCACTATTCTGACTTTTGGGCCTATTGATTCATTTTACTTGGTTTTGAACTTTTAGGAATGAAATTATGTAGTATGAACTTTTTAGTGTCTGTTTCTTTCACTTGTCATTATATTTGGATTATTTTCATGATGTTACATGTAGTTGTGGTTTGTTCATTTTCGTTACTGTGGAATATTCTGTTGGGTGAATATAACACAAACTTTTAATTTGTTCTCCTCTGGATGGACCTTGTGGCTATGTTCTGTTTGGTGACTATATATAACTTGCCTTTTCATTTTTGTGATGGGCAGAGTTTTAGAAATTTCTATATAGTCCAATGTATTTTCTTTTATTTATTTATTTATTTATTTATTTATTTATTTATTTATTTATTTTATGATTTATGCCTTTTGTACCCTAAAAAATCCTTGCCTATCCTAAGGTCGTGGCAATTTTGTCATATTTTTTTTCTGGAGGCTTTATGGTTTTAGCTTTAATATTTCAGTCTATAACCCTCTCAATTTTTGTGTGTGATATGAGATGAAGGTCAAGGTTCACTTTTCCATATGGCTCTCCAGTTGTTCCAGTGTCTTTATTGAAACAGGCTTTTTTCTTCCACCAAACTGATATGCTGCCTTTATTGCAAATCAATTACCATGTAGGTATGGCTCTATTCTTGGACTCTGTATTGTGTTTTATTGAAATATTTGTTTATCCTGGTACCACTATAATGATTTCTTAATTATTATATTTTTATAGTGTGCCATGAAATTAGGTAATATAAGTCTTCTTATTATCATCTTGACTAATTTATGTCTTTTCATTTCCTTATGAACTTAGAAGTATTCGGTACATGTATATTTTTTAAAGGCTTGCCAGAATTTTGATTGGGTTTTGTTGAATCTATAGCTTAATGTTAGCAGAATTGACATCTTAACAATATTGAAACTTCCAGTCCATGAACATTGTACATCTTTCCATTTATTTAGCTTGTCTTTAATTTATCTCATCACTGTTTGGTAGTTTTCAATATAGATGTCTTGCACATTCTTTTATCAAATTCATTCTGTTTTGATGCAGTTATAAACAACATTTTTACATGTCTTTTCCCAATTGTTGGTTGCTAACATTCAGAAATATAACTGATTTGAGGAGTATATTGTTTTCTGAGGCTTATCAAAATTCACTCACTAATTCTAGTTAAATTCTTTGGACTTTTCATATACATAATCATGATATCTGTGAATAAAAACAGTTTTACTTCTTTCTAACCTTTATGTTCCCCTCTTCTCCCCTACCCTTCTTCTTTCTTTCTCTTAATTTTCTTTATTGTAGTGACTAGGATCTTCAAAAATGTTGAGTAGAAGAGGTGAACATAGACATCCTTGCCTTTTCAGATCTCTTTTAGAAAATACTTAATCTTTCATCATTAATTATGACACCTTTTTCCCCCTTTAAGCTCTCATTAAATTGAGGCATTTCCCTTCTATTCCTGGTTTGCTGAGAGTTTTTGTTCTGTTTTGTTTTTCTAATTATGAGTGAGAGTTAAATTTTATTTAATGCTTGTTCTGTGTCTGTTAAAGTCATATGGTTTTTATTCTGTATTTTGTCAATGTGGATTTTTGCACATTGCAAAAATAAATTGCACTGATGGATTTATGAATGTTAAATGAACCTTGAGTTCCAATGGAAAATTCTGCTTGATAAGATATATTGTCCTTTTTTATCTTGCTGGGTTTAATTTACAAAAAAATTATAAAGGATTTTTGCATCATTGCTGAGAGATATTAGTCCATAGTTTTCTTACCATGTCAGCTCTTTATGGGCAGAGACAGTCTCTCCTTCATTATTGTATCCCAAGCACCTTCACCAATGCCAACCACAGAAAAGGGGCTTTACAAATAAATAGTTTTTGAGAAAAGTTTAAAGACCTAGGATGGAGACCCACATTCATTAATTTAAATTATTTAAAATATTAATGAATGTAACTCATTTAGCAGGTATTTGCCTTCCAATTGTGTGTCAGGTACAGTGCTACTCAGAAGGGGTTTTCTTGCTCCATCTCCAGCCACTCTTTCTTTTCTAATTGTTTCTCATGTCTCTAAGCTCTAAACATTGGAAGGCCAGAGGATATAGTCATTGAGTCTCTTTTCTTGATCTTTTGTTGATGTTATGTGATCTCATGGCTAGAAACATCATCTCTAAGTGAACAGCTTCAACCTAGGCCTTTCCCCTGACTCTAGCATGGTATAGCTACTCCTGCCCAATACATCATCACTGGATACCCAGTAGGCATCTCTAACTTAGCATGTCTGAAGTTGAGCTATTGACCCTCCCTCTCAGTCTTCTCCATTTCAGGAAAACGTAGCTCCAGCCTTCCAATGGCCAGGCCAGAAACTGTGGCATCATCCTTGACACCTCTCTGTCTCTCCCACCTCATTAACCATCCTCAACAAATCCTGACAACTCTACCTTCAAAATATATCTGTCACCTTTCTCCACTTCTGCTGCCATTCTGATCCAAGCCATTACCACCATCTCTTGCTTTATTCAGTAGTCACCAGCTAGTCTCCATAATTCCCCTTTGCAGTTTTGTCAACACAGGTGCCAAAACAATACCTTTAAAATGTATTTTAGATCATATCCCCTGCTTCCCTAAATCCTCAGGAGGATTTGATCTTACTCAGAACAGAAATCCAGAACCCTTAAAACTTCCTATAAAGCACCCCTTGTGACCTGCTTGACTTTAGCTCTTAATTCTTCCTTTTTCTCGCTTGGCCCCAGCCATGGTTGCTTAAACATACTAATTCTACTCCCACCACAAGGCCTGTGCTGTTACTCTGCCTGGAATGTTCTTCCGTTAGATGTTCTCATAGCTTGTGGTTCATTCATCACTTTCTTTAGGCCTTTACTGAAATGTCATCCTCTTCTTAAAGCCCACCCTGGCCATTAGAGCCAACTGGAGACCCCTCCCAAAAATAAAGTTATATTGCTCTTCCCTGCTTTATTTTTACCTTAGCACTTTTCCTGCCTGTCATATATTTTATATGTTTATACTGTTTATTCTCTAAAATCTCCAATAAATTCCAAGCTCAATAAATTCAGGGATTTTTGTACTATTCACTGTTGTTTCTGCAGTGAGTAGAACAGTGTCCAACACATAATAAATATTTTCTGAATACATGAATAGGGGAGTAATAAGTGAATGAATATAAGAGTTACATGATCTCATGGAGCTCATGTAAGAATTGTGATCTCATGGAACTTACAATCTGCATGTTACTGAATAAAATTAAAGAAATTCTAATGGGGGAAAAAGGAGAGAGAAGAAATAAATCCAAAAAAGGCAAGCACAGAAACTTGTGAGTTTTCCACATAACAGAAATGGGTTCAGCTAAGAAAAGCCAGTCTCTATTAAAAACAGAAGCTGGGTGTGGTGGTGCAACTGTAATCCCAGCTACTCAGGAGACTGAGGTGGGAGGATGCTTGAGCCCAGAAGTTCCAGGCTGCAATGGGCTATGATTGTGCCACTACACTCCAGTTTGGGTGAGAGAAGGAGACCCTGTCTCAAAAAAAAGTAGAAGGAAATGAAGGTAATGCAGTATCTTGGAAGCAGAGGGGGAAAAGGTCGAGAAGAATGAGGACTGTGTAGGACTTTGTAGTTGTTGACAGGGATCATCATCATCTCCTTTAAGAGTTAATATACATCAGGACCCATGGCAGGAACATTACCAGTTCCATAACTGGTTTCAGACAGATGCAAGGATAGTGTGCAGTGAAGCATGTCTGTGTATCATGCATAATTCACATGATGTAGGCACTTAAGAGCAACACCATTTCTGTAAATGACAACAGAAGAGAAAAAACGAAGAACCTGGTAAAATTTTGTCATTGAAAGTTTTGCTGAAGAATCCCTAGTAAAGGAGCATTGTGGGGCAGTCCTGCTTCACTCAATTTGAAAGCCCTAGACCTGTGTCCTGTTAAGGTCAGCGTCTGCTCTGTGGGTGACAGCTTAAGTGCTCATTGCAGGTCTGACATCAGTCAGCTACTCTCATATCTTTGATTTGACTTTTATCAGTTTTTAAAATTTGTTTTTCCATTTCAAATCAACAGGTTCCATTTTTTGGGCCTCTGTTTGATGGAGCCATAGTGAGTGGGAAGCTGCTGCCAAGCCTTGTATGTGCCACGTGCATCAACGCCAGCAGGGCTGTGAAGTGCCTCATCCCACTCTACCAGAGCTTGTATCTTTTTGCTTTAAATGTGTAACTTACTAACCATCCCAGAATCAAGATTCCTGGCAGTTTTTCATAAGAGGTAAGTATTCAAAACTGAATTGAAGAGGGAAGAGAATTTTTTTCAACCTCTGTTAAAAATAACATAGTGGTTTTTCATAGCATTTGTTAATTTATATTAAATATAATAATTTTATGCTGCATTAAACTTAGAGTTTACTTTCATAATTTACTCACATACGTTTGTGTCTGAGAAGCTGTGACCATTATGAGATGCTCATATCTTCTTAGGTATTTTGCCCCACGTTCAGTCTCATCCTGTATCCCTCTTATTTGTGGCAGTCCATTGTATATAAGGTGGGATGCTGAGCAAAACGTATCGCTCATTCAGAGTGCCTACCAGAAACCAAAGCAAATGAAATGACCCTAATAAATCAAAGAATGTGGCAGGTACCACCTGAGAAGTGCAAGTAGGTTTCTGGAAGATCAGAGGAGATAGAAATTGCATTTGGTTGAGGGTAGAGGGAAAGATGTCCTGAATTAAGTTGCATTTGGACTTATCAATAGGAATAGCTAGAAATTCTTTTGTAATTTTCCCAAATCATTGATATTTTCTCTAGTTCCTGATTTTGTTTCCAAAAACAGAATAAATTTCACTCCTAAAATTTTTTCCTCAAACATTAATTGGCCTGCTGTAGTCCTTAAATTCAAGCATGATCTCAAGTTATAAGAAAAAGAGATTAAGATGGGTGACCTTATAAAATTGATGCAAAAAAAGTGACCTCCTAATAAAACTTAGAATCTCTTTGTTTCTAATTGGTATTGATAATAATTTGAAACATATTGTGTTTGACCTCTATATATACTTCTCCCAACCTGATAGTAAGTGATGTGTTGCTATAGCAAGTGAGAGTTGGGGGTAGATGAAAACTATCCCATGTGAATAGATACGGTTCATGAAAAAATACCTTTCATTAAAATCCTGGTCACTTCATTGACTGATATTCTGCCTTTAGATTAAAAAAAAATACATATGCCATGTGGCAACTTAAAATTATCATAGAAATGAGTAGTAGAAAAGAGCTATTAGGTCCCATCTGGTCCCTCCCCTGGGGGCCAGGGCAGGATTATTCCCTTCAGTGTACTCTCTCGTGCTTTGTCCAGGCTGGTGGTGAGTGTTTTGGAGATGGCATTCTTTGCAGTGATTTCCACAACACTGTAGACGTAATCTTGTGGCTGGTGTCAATTTGGCCTTCAGCATGGAGTTTTTATTTCACATACTATTAAAAAGAGCCTCTTGGCAGAAATGAGAAAGAACTATTCAGCGATTAGTTTGTCAGTTTGCATGTCAACTAGGACGAGCTGGGCACGCATCAGTCAAGTATGTTGGACCAAGGCAGCAAAAAAAAAAAAAAAAAAAAAATCTTATTTTACAAATGAGAAAATTCCATTTTATATTAATTCCATTGTGACTTTTGTCATGTCACCTTCTCTACTTACTGAACTTCTCATTATAAAATACTTGCTTTGTTATTTTGTTTAACACTGCTTTCTCAAATAAGAATTAATGTGATACAATTGGAATGATCAGGTTTAGGGAAAATGGTATTTTTAAAAGTTCAAAGGATACTATTCAGAATCACTTTGAAAACTTTTCAAGCAGTGACACATCAGGACTAATGTGGATACCAGCTAGGGCTACTGATGCTATTGTGTGTTAGTAAATGTACTCTAACTCACAAAATAGCTAACTTGACATCTCAAACAACAATGTAGTACAGAAATTAGGAAAAATATTTTAAAAACTATTATGTTGATCATTATCAATATTTTAAACTTTTTTTTGTCTTGTACCTGGAGAAAATTTAATTGGTATTATTCAAATAAATTGTTTAAAACAAGAAATCAACTGTTATACCTAATTTTTTATAGAGATGGAGTTAGTGGGGAAAACTTTGCAATCATTTAACTACTCTATTCTTTTAATTTCTGTCTGCAGAAGGGCTAATATTCAGGACAGAAATAAGGAATATAATAAGAGAAAACAAATAAAATGGAAAACAGTAATGTTAGAATAACATTAAATAGCAAATAAAAAATACCATGACAAGTTGAGAGATTGCAGACAAATAGGAAAACCTTTATATTTTAGGACCTTTAAAGGCATTTTTTCCTATTTTTTGAAAAAGGAGCCCTATATTTTCATTTTGCACTGGGACCCTCAGGTTATATAGCCAGCCCCGGTTCTAGGTGTGCCCAAGGTACTGCTGATCTCCTCAGCCCTTGGGGAGATTACACATGCTGGGCATGATGGGCCCTACACTCCCTCCCCACTTATTGCACCTGACATCAGGCAGCTGTGGGAGTTTACTCTGGATGCTGTGCTAAGATGACAACTAAAGAAACGAGCCAGTGGAATTACTTTGGAGTAGTTTTTCTTATCTCTCTGTCCTCTCCCCAGCTAATGACTGATACTTACTGCCTTAAAATCGTGTCAGTTGGGCTTTAGTTTTTATAATATTTAACTAGAAGTGGAAATGTGGGCAGTTACATATTAATTTTGTTCGCTATGTTTAAGAAAATGAAACATTTCTAATTAAGCTAAGGATGGGGGCATTGCTGGAGCAAATTTTCCCTTTGGGGGTCTTTTTGAGAAGTAAATGCAGTTAGAATCAATATCAAAGCAGTTCTTATTTGGGAGCCCTTGGCTGAGTTAACAGTTGGAACTCTGCAGCAAAGGCACATAGAAGACTGAAAAATACCATTGTCTTATATGATTAAAAAAAAATGTAAGCACAGTAGGGGTATCTTTGGAAAGCACCCTCAGGAACGGTTCATCGCAGCCCCTTTGTCCCTCCTGGGTTCTCCTGTGATGTCCTCTGCAGGCTAAATCAAATTTGTCAAGTGGAGCCTTCATCTTGTGGCCACTGCTTTTCTGAGTGATGAGGGCCAACTCACCTGCCATCTGCTTTTTCTATCCCTCATGGGCAATCAAAGAGCCTATTCCTGTGCCTAGAGGGTTGTAAATGGGAAGCTTGCCACATGTTATGTTTACCATTCCCAAGCCGACTAAAGATTCCAAAATCAAACCGTGGTCAACTGATAGACGTTTCCACAACCATTTGAGCCAAGGTTTTCATTCTTCTCATCAAATAACTTGTTTCAGGGAAAAGGTTGCCACACAATATGCAGTGTGCCCGTTAGGAGGAGTTCACCCTGAATCAAACAGATGGTGGCTTTTTAAAATAAACGTCCACTTCAATAGAACAATAGTCTCAATGGCATTCACCATCTCTACTCGCTGTAACTATCAGCATTTGATGGAGAGAACTGGGCTGCCTAAGAAAAAATAATTTTGTATCTCATTCTTTCACAAGTGAAATGTACTTTCATTTTCAGTTAACATATGTGTTTGATAGTACCAGAGTGTCCCCTCTTAGACCCATGACTTTGGAATCTCATTGCTAAATTCTGCTACGAATTTTCACATCTTCAAAAATGACTCCTCTCCCTAAAGCTATAACAACCTTGTTTCTTTCTTGTTCAGTGGGATCTTTGGTTCTTTTTCCTGGACAGATCTTTATTTTTTCCATTCATCTCCATACATTTCAGAAAATAAGTCAAATGGTACCATGTGTTCTATTTTGCCGGGCAGCACCAGTTAGCATTCGTCAACATTTACAGTGCCCCTGCCATGTGCCAGGCACAGTCGTTGCCGCTAGGAATAGAAATGTGAAGATACTCCAAATGAGGGGCCAATGTTTGTTCATGGACCAGGCTTTGAAAGAGCACATCATATTATCACATTTGAGAATGACAGATGCTTCCATATGGCAGAGTATAGAATACACACACACACACACACACACACACAAACACACACACACACACACACAGGATGGAGGTGATGGAAACATTTAAGGGGCCATGGACGGGGTTCTGAGAGAGAGCAGGGGTCTCGTCGAAGGCAGTGGCAGGGATGATGGATTGGATATCTAGGTAAAGGAGGTGGACTAAGTCAGTGTGGGACCTGCTAGATTTGTGGGGGTGTGGAGAGAATGAGAAGAATAGAACGGTGGTCTCTTGGTGGTATGAGAACAGAATCGCAGACAGAACTCTCTGGGCCATTTGAAGAAATGGCTTGAAAGGAGGGGGCAGAGATAAAGAAAGACGGGAATAGGAGAGAATGGTTTCACAGAAAAGCAGGAAAGAGAGAAATGAAGGGTTAGTTTCAGCAGACTGGCCAAGAAAGAGACATCCTACTGGGTGGTTTTATTCATGACTGGTTCTAGCAGACTCAAGTCTTCACCTGGAGGATTGGGTATAAGAGGACCTAGAACTGAATTACTGCAAGGTAAGATGTTAAAACATATCAGATAGTAGCAGCACCACAAAGAAACACTCCTGAGTGAGGTCAACACGTGCCTGTGAATGAAAAATGCATGGGGAGAGGGGCTGCATTGAAGAGCGGCAGCCAGAATGGAGTTATACCCCCAGATGGGAGGGATGGCCATGCTTTTCTAATCCAAATTTCTAAACAGGCCCAAAGCAAAATATAGCTGTAGTGGGGATTTCTACTACTTGATATCAGCTCTGACATACATTCAACCAAAGGTGACATGTGTTTGATAAATTCCTGGCTGGCAGACAATCTCATCTCTCTTCTGAGAGATGCAAACAAGAGGCACTACTATTTTTGTTTTGGATCCATTTCTTAGTAATTTGAAGGAATGGATTTTTGACGTTGGACGTTGCAAAAAGTAATGAGCTTTCAGTAGAGTTTGTATAAGAATGGGAGGGAAAAAAGAAGAAGAAGAATGGGAAAAAAATGTTGGTAGACCTGTACCCTAGACACTTGGGAAGCACCTTACAAAAAGAAGAGTTCAGAGGAAGAAATAGCATATTCCCCTGGGTGGGCTGAGACTGTAAAAGGGAATGAGGAATTAGAGATTTTTAATAAGGGGATTTTTATTAAAAACTTAAAATTATTCCTCTGAGAAAGAAAAAGGGGAGGCCTGGAGGAGCAACCAATATAGCTGCACAAGGTTGCGTTCTCTGATGCGTTCATAGTTAAAATACTCACATCAAGATTCAAAGAGGAGCTCTTGACTCTGTAAATTAGCAGGTGGGCACTGTTAGCCAGTATCTGAATGACTTCCGTCTTCTCTATCACATCTCCTTCAAATGGGAAGGGACAGAGAAGTGCCTAAGTGGATAAATTAAAACTCAAGTCGCTAAGAATACAATCAATCAATCAATCAATCAATCAATCAATGGCTCTTGCACCTAAGCTCCAGACTGCAGGGCCACGTGTATCTGGCTGTAGAACAAATAATCTCAGAACCACAAGAAATATTTTTTTAGAAATCATGTAGAATAAAGGATGTACCCAAAATTGGAAACAGGAAAATATTTTGTTTTCAAAAAGGATTAAAGGATGAATTTTGGAATGTTGCATGGATCCTTTGTAAAATTATTAGACTAGGTTACTAAATAGCCTGTGAGCCTTCAGAAATGAATATGTTGACAAAGTATCCGGAACACACTTACTGTGTGTTTTATAAGATTACTATTTTCGGAGATTAGAGGAAGCATATACATCTTGATTTTGGTAAAATATAAAATAAAATACTATCATCTGGCAGGTATAAGAGAGAAATATGGGCCCCTGAGAGTTGGGTGATTTCACTGTGACCAAATCTAAAATACATTAATTCATGGGCACCAGTCAGCAAGAAGCTTTGTGTGTCTTGTATGGTTTCGATGCCACAGCTTTGCTGTTAACCCGTCTTCCAGTCAGCAGTTTTTTCAGTAACTTTCATAAAGGTCTAAAACATGTTTATCAAGCCACCATTTGTCAGAAAGCTGAGAGGGTTAACTAATTTGACACGATGCAAAGTCACACATTAGGATTATCTCAACAGATGAGAGACTTCCAGGCCCAAGCCAGCAAGATGAGGTTTAAGAGGGCAAAATGTAACGTTATGTACTGGGCTTTGGATAATCAGCTGCCTGAGTACAGGGTGAGAGTGATGTGGTTTCATAGCAGTCATTGTGAACAATGTCTGAGGATTTCGGTTGGCCACAGATTGGAGATGAGAGATGAGAGTGATGCAACAGCCAGCCACACCAGCATTCTCTTGAGACCTCTGCATAGGAAACATGAGGTCCAGTCACAGGAACTACGGCCTGTGCTCCTGCAGCCTCAGGGAGCATCCAAAGGTGGTGTGCAGCCCTGGGGCCACATTTTAAAAGGGACCTCGACCAACCCAGAGCCAATCCAGAGAAATTGTAACCAAATGGAGAGCCATTAAAACCAAGAAGTAATTGTTTCAGGAGTCTGAGAGGTATTAAAAGAGGATGGCAGTCTGCAGAACTGTGACCAGTGAATAGAAGCAACCAGGAAGCAGCTTTATCTCAGTGTCAAGTCAAACATTCAAAAACCAGAGTGGGCAGACCAGCTGCCAGCACACCAAATCCAGCCCACAGATGGGCTTTGTTTTAACTGCAGTTGTCCTCCTCACATTACCAAAAAACTAAACTAAAAATTGAGTTTGTCAGCCATGCTGAAAAATTGGGAGAGTTTGCATTTTTAAAAAATCTAGACTTTTGACTTCTCCTGAAGAATCAGAATATCTGACCCTATGGGGCCTTCCTTCTACTGACAGCAGTCTCTCCACAGAATATGTGCTGTCACGGTCACCACAGTCCCTCCTGGTGTCTCCCCAGTGCTGAGGCCTGGTGCCAGGCACCACCACCATGGCACCCACCATTTGGTCTCTCTGAGTTGGTGAGAGGGCTAATGGGCCAAGCAGGTAAAACAGTGCCTGTTCCTTGGTGAAAGCCCAGCAAACGTTACCTGCAATTGTTGTATATTATCAGCCTGGCCCTTGCAGATACTGGAGTTTCAAACCTCTGTTGTAAAAATGGAACCACCTAACTGTGGAGTTAGGCCTCAGGAAATATTTACTTTTTTACCATTGTGGGTATTAAAATAAAGGCTGGTAGAATGCTGTTCATTCAGTGCCTTGCAGAAGGTCCTCTTCTGTGTGAAAGGCTGGTTCCCTGGGGTAGGAGCTGCCCTCCACTCTTGGTGCATGGAAATGAGGCCCGTGAGAAGTGCGAAGGTGCAGGAGAAATCTCGAGAGAAGGTGGTACACTCTGCTATTTTTGCTATAGAGTGACATCTCACTGTTAGAAAAAAGACCATCCCTTCAGAAGTTATTCTCAACCTCACAGCCTGTGGAGAAACCAGGCTGATGCTCCCCCTAGGGGAATATCAGGAACAGCCTCATTCTTCCTTCTTTCTCTCTTTCCCCCCTCTCTCAGCTCCATCCCCAGTGGGTCACTGCATCTCACTACCAACCATCATAGGGAGCGTGCTGCTTCCCACTGGGATGACCCCTAACCTGGGAGTCTCCTCTCAGCCACTCTGCTATACCCCACCCTTCACACTGCCCTTGAGGCCCTCCTGTGCCAAGGACCCCTCACCCTCCCATAGTCGTCTCTGCTCTGACTCACTCCTTGCCAGCCTGAACCTCCTCTATCCTCTGTCTCAGATGTGGCACTCTTGCCACAGTGCTGGCTTTCCCAGTGGGGGCCTTGTGTCCATTCTGCTGCTGTCCCCTAGTATGAGAGAGTGTGTGTGTGTGTGTGTGTGTGTGTGTGTGTGTGTGTGTGTGTGTGTGAAGGCCTGCGGGGGGAGGGAAGAAGCTGGAGAGTAATTTGGTAAGAAACATTTTGGAAAACAGAAGCCAAAAGTAAATCATATTTTATAAAATGATACTTTTTCAAAATTGAAGGCCTTAATTGCCTAAGGTGAAATATAGCCTTAGGAATAGAATATGTATGCATATGTATGTATATAAATATACATTAACTCTCTCTTTTCCATTTTTGAATGTTTAGTTTACAGCTGGATCCTGAACACTTAAAATAGCACCTGACACATAGTAGGAACTCAAAAATAGATAGGATTCAAGAGGAAGCAAATAATTTTTACCGAAAAATTGGTTTTTGTGTTTTTTTCTTCTTACTGGGTGTTTTGTGCATATTTTTATTGTGCTCTAAATAATCATTCTAACATTATCACCCCTAAGTTGTTGAAGCACATTTATATGGAAATCTTGGCAATTAGAATGGTAACTTCATATTTGATTTTAAATTAACAGAATCTTATTGAGATCACTATAAAGGAAGTGATCCCATTTTCTTAGAGCCATTAGTTTATTTAGTTGGTTTTTGAAAGAGAGATTGAATTCAAACATTGTTAAAGTCAGAAACCTTGCAGACAAGAAGGAAGTGGGAGGGAAATGTACCATCAAAGCCTTGGCCTCCTGAGAAAGGAGTGACTCTCTAGACCTGGGTCAGAAAGAAGTGTCTGAAAAGGCCTAATTTCATTGTCAGAGTCCATTTATAAATCCTAGGGACCTAGTTGTGGTTTTTTGTTTTTAACTCTTAATTGTATGTAAATTGTATACACATAAATAAAACAGGCTTGTAATGCCTAAAGGAAGCTCTCCATGGCTCTGAGACTGGGAGCGGGCGGGCCTTGGCTGAGCATGCAAATACTGACAGCTGAAGTCACTTGTTGGAAAGTCCGCAAACTCTGGTTACAGCTGCATTTGTCAGTAGCTTTAAGGGAAGTGTAATCAGCCAGAGAGATTAATTTGCATCTCAATTAGAAAAGAGTCTGGAGGAAGCACTAGGGTCTGTTGCGGGAAGGTTGTGGAAGAAATCTCACCAAGCACAAAAGCCTCCTGGCGCTTCGTCCTCCAGCTGAGTGGAGGACAATATCTGAGGTTTCGTTTCCATAGGGACCAGAAGCCTGCTGGGCCCCAGAAGAATCTCGGGTTTGCACCGTAATCATTTGGTCATGATGACACAAATTCCACTGTTGTTCCCAAATACATTTTTGCTATTAGAAAGCTGTTAGAAAAGTGGAAATGGTCATCATATCAAAAGCATGCAAGAGGGTATTTGCTGACCCAACTTACCTTTTTCATAGTGCTGCTAGGATTGCTAAGCATTTAACATTTATTAATGTCTGAGTATTCAAAGAGCAAAAGGTCATTCCATAAATGACAATATTTCTTTAGCATTCAGATGGTTACTTTGGGAATGACAGAGCTTCAAAGGGAGCCATTATTCCTGATTCTTCCACACTTTTCAGCAGTAGGCAAACAAGATTATAAATTTTAAAACACAGGCAAGGAAGAGACATGGAATCTTCTGGCCATGAAGCATAGAAAAAAGTCTGGCCATTACAAGACTTTTTATAATCCTAATGAATCCTAATAAAAATCATAATTTAAAAAAGCACAAAGTAGTCTAAATTTATTAATTTTCCCTTTAAATATTATCTAGTCATTTTCATAGGCTTTGATACTTATATCACACGGCTCCTTTGTTTTCAGAGGAGTTCTTAATATTATCAAAAGCGGGTACAAAGCCTGGTGAGATCTAAAGCTGTCTGAACCGTTTATCCATGCCAAATCACTTACTCAACCAGGAAGGCCCACCCTTGGCATTTTTGGAAGAAGACTTTTATTTCAGGTTTATTTTGTTCTCTCTTAAATAGTTAATTCATTGGCCCCAGCTTCAAAGTGAGAAAACAAACAAAAAACAGTGAGACAGAAAAAAAAAAAACTGAATCCTACATTATAAACTGTTGACTACAAACTGAATTCTTTAACAAAAAAAAAAAAAGTCAGGGTTTTAAGCCCATCCTCCTATTCTGGAAAGGGAAGGGAACAAGTTTCCTAAAGACAATCTCTTCTGGTGCCCACAGACTGAAATAACACATTGCAGTGAGACATCAGAACCTCTTAATCCAACATTAATCAAATTTCAGTTTACTAATTATCAGTCCCATGTTGAAAGGAACAGAATGCCATAAACAGCATCCACAGAACGTTTAGTGGACTCTGGGATTATAAGCAATATTTTGAAAGTGAGACTTTCTGTTATTCAAATCTCTAAAAAGGATAATACATACCTTATTAGAATAAGAGACGCTGCAAAGCCAAAGAAGGACAAAGCAGGCAAGTCCAAATGGTGGTCCCTTCTGTGCAGAGTCTGCCCTGGCGTATACAGTGAGCTCCCAGCAGGTTTCCGTGCTGGAGTAATTTGCAACACACTCAAGTAAATTTTTTAATGAAAGCAGAATACTTTTTTGGTAATCTAGGGGTGAGTACGACCCAAATGCCATCATGTTAGCCTTGAAAGGGTGTCCTTTCTGTTTTACTACTGAGGAATTTTACCACACTCTAAAAGGGGTACTTTGAATTTTGTGCTTCAGATACATTTCTGAGGCCCTGTGCTTTGAAAGCCTTAGATAGAGACCATTGGGGCCAGGGTGGAGGAAGGAAGGATACTGCAGGGTTCTGTGCTGGTGCCCACTCCCTTTTCTCCTCCGTGATGATCAGGTGTCCCGTGTGCCAGCCCTAGGGAGTCCAGATGCACTTTAATGTTTACATTGTGTTTTGCACATGGCTTTAACACATTCAACTTGAGAAGTGCACAGCTGCTTTCGTTTCTAGTAGGATAGCATGTCCCCAAAATGCCACAATATTTTAAATAGCCAACTCTTGGGTGATTTCTCATTATTCCTTAGAAAACCTACACCTGATATTCTGTATGTTCAGATGGTCTTTTTGTAACTCTTTTCATCAGAATCACAAAAATGAAATGCTACAATGTTTAGTGGCTTATGATTTTTATCTTTCCTTAGCTTATTTTTTCTAATGCTTTATTTCGGTCTTCAATCTTCCTCTTTGGTCCTAGGATATAAAAGAGCACAGAATATGTTGTCCCTCTGCCTTGTCCACTTGTTTAAACTCTCCAGCACAAAGCTTTGGTCCTTAATCCAACACCAATGAAGGGGCTGCCTCCTGAAACCTCAGGGTCTGCTTGTCATGGAACAAGCCAGCCCTTAAGATGCCAAGTCCCTTTGGTTCTCCCTTCATTTGCCTATGAAGTGGGATGTGAGTATATCAGTGCATCCCGGCTTTGAGGCAGATGTATGCCTGGAAGTGCAAAGTCTCATACCTCCACAAAGGGTAGGGCAGGCTTGCTGGCTGATGGGATTCTGAATTTATAAGCAGAGTTCCAGAATTCCCCCAGGGCCTACTTTTCAAAGGCAAATTAGTATGTTTGCAACTTGATCCCTGGGCAACTTTTGACAGTTGTTCTAAGAATAATAAAACAGATGGACAGAATAGATTTTGGGGTCTCCATCCAAACTGCCATCCTCAGTGGAATTTAAAGAAGGCGTAGAGCTGATGGAGAGAGCTGCTGCTGCTTACTATCATGCTCTGCCTTTAACATCCAAGAGCCATAGCTTTCTCCCAGAAGATGGCAACTGTCATCACATTACATTTGCCTGCTGAGAGTTCGGCTTAGCTGTGATGTGTGTTTTCTTCCCACTTTTGAAATTAAAAAAATTGAACTCAGTTAAATTGAATTTATACTCCAAAGAAACCAATTTTAATAAGAATATCAGTAAAAATGTAAGTTAGTTTTAAATTTAAGGAGTATTTTCATATAATTTTTAACCCCTATAAAAAGAAGAGCCTCTTTAGAATGTCTCAGAAATACCGTTTACTCATTGATTTAGAAAAATAGAATGTATGCCTCTTTAACAGGATAAACATTCTTTGCTTATAATGACATATGCACATCAGAAGACTACATCAGAAAACAACATCTAAATTATTTGAATAAAAAGAAACAGATTGGTTTTGTACTTATGCTCTATAATTTTGTCAAATGCATATAATTTTTGCAGAAAATTTGACTAAGGAAAGCACTTCACATAAACCACCCCATTTTTTGTAGAATTTTAGCCTAAGTGTGGGTTTCAGCTCAGATTGGGATGAGATGCGCTTTCCTTTTAACTTATATTGGCTTTCTCTGACATAAATTTCCAGACTCTGATTCCACACTCCTTCTCTCTGGATTAATTTGCCCAGTGATCACTTTTTTAGGTCATCAAGATTCAATAAGGTAGCAGGTCAGTCATGCTTTGGAGTTCCAGAGCTGCTGTGTGCTGTCAGAGCTGGTATGCCCATATGTGTGCACGAGCTGAACCGCCAGTTTCCTCAGTGGGTTTGTTATGTAGACCAATTGTTTAACTAAAATGCCCCTGACAATAACTCAGTAGGATAGTAAACATGTTTTGTTTGTTTTTTAATTTAGGGGAAACATAAAGCAATGTAAAACCTTTTTCTACGTCTCATGTTGGGCCGTGTAACTGACACCATAACACTGGACCCTTATGGTCAAGTCTTGGTTCTCAGTGAGAAGAGTTCTTGCACAGAAGAGTTTGGGGATATTCTCTTTCCTTCATGGCAGCAATTTTACTACAAGTGCCAGATAAATTTTAAAGTGTATCTTGTTTATTGTCATGCCCAGCTTAGCAGGTAACATGTCATAGCTGACCTCAGACCTTGGGTTTTGATGTTAGTTTAAATTAAATAATAACTTAGTTTTTGGCTTTGAATACTTTACCTCTGTCAGTTTCCTTACTCTAAAATGAGGAAAATAATCCCTCCAAGACAGATTATTGTAAGGATGTATGGAATGAAGTATATATAAATATGAGACTGAAGAATGAATGAACGGTTGAGCTGATGGATGCAGCAGTGTAGAGGAGGGCCTGGCCCCTCGCTCGTTCTCCCAGCCCCAACTAGAAGAACATCTCAGGGCCCAGACCCTGCCACATGTGCCATGGTAAATCAGGGTGGCCATGCTTCTGTGTTCTTCCTGCAACCAACATCGGTATAGCCGTGGCAAGCACTGTAGAGGGCAGGCAGAGGTGAGTGGCCTCAGGGGGCTTCACAGCCAGGATGGGTTATAACTGTGACATAGGGTAGGATGCAGCCTATGCTCTGGGAGAGGCATGTGGTCAGTGCCCAGTGAGTATTTGTTGAGTCACTGCAACACAAGATACAAGAGAGAGAATCAGTGGGTCATGGGAGCTCGAAGGGAAAAGATTATTTCTAGCTGCTGCTTCAAATAATTCACGTTTTTGTGTACCTCTCATTAGTTATCTCTTCACGTGTGTGTCATCTATAACTTGATAGGTGGGAAATGTCATAACTTTGTTAATTTGTTTGTTTTACAAAAAGATATTCATACGCTGATTATAATTTATTATATTGGTGTCCATGGCCCATTCCAGGGTGCTAAGGCATTTTTTCAGGGCGCAAGGGTCTTGGTGAACAGCATGCTCTTGAGGCTGTATGGTCGCCACTCCCCATTCCATTCCAGAGGAGGGCACAGAGGCCGGACTGTCGCAGTCCTCACTTTAGTGGGTGAGGACACCTGCCTCCAACCCACTACCTACCTCAGAAGCCTGCAGGCTTTTTCTTATTACATACCCCACCCAAAGACCTAAAAAAAAAAAAAAAGCAAAAAAACCTCTTAAGCATGCCATTCAGTAGTGCATATACTGATTTATTTTAAAGTATGTACAAGTTCTGCTTTACTAGTACATTATGACATAAAGTATAGTCAATACTGAGAATTTTTAAAGGATGCAATAAAGAGGAAATAGTAATCTGAAGTATTTTATATTCAATAGTGTAAAATTGTTTTGCTTTTATTAGGATATCAGTAGTGCTTTAGTGAGTGCAGTGGAATTAAAATGTGCTGCTTTATTTTTATAATCTTAGTTTAATAGTTCTGTGATTCAGTGATTCCAAGGGGTCCATCTAAGCTCAGTGTATTTTGATAACTTGGTTTCATAGCCGGAAACAAAACTTTGCAAAGAGGACATAGACCAGCTGGAGCAGATTGTTGTCTTGACCTCCTAAATCACAGGTTCGTGCTCAGTTTACATTCTTAGCCACCAGTTCTATGAAGGTTCCTGTTGACATTTGGAAGGAAATTTCCATCTTCCTTGATGTGAGATCAGTTGTTGTATTGGTATATATATATTTTATTTATTTGTGTGTGTGTATATATATATATATATATAGGTCTATATATATATAGGTCTATATATATATATAGGTCTATATATATATAGGTCTATATATATATAGGTCTATATATATATAGGTCTATATATATATAGGTGTGTATGTATATATATATAGGTGTGTGTATATATATATATAGGTGTGTGTGTGTATATATATATAGGTCTATATATATATATATTGAATGAGGGCTCTACTGCCAGCCCCTTGCTCCCTCTCCTTCTCTTTCTTAGTACAGCTTAGTACAGCTCATATATTTCTTATTGTATTGGTATATATATTATATATATAATATATATAAAATACATATATATTATATATAATATATATAAAATACATATATATTATATATAATATATATAAAATACATATATATTATATATTATATAAAATACATATGTATTATATGTAATATAAAAAATACATATATATTATATATAACATATATTATATGTATAAAAAATGTATTTTTTTTGGACAAACAGATTCAAAATGTACTCAGCTCTTATTTGGAAGTTTAGAAACAAATAAAATTCTGTTTATGAGTGTTTTGATAGTAGAGATATGAGTGCTTTCTGAAAACAGAAACCATCTTCGACAATAAATTCCCATGCTGAAGGCAACATTTTCCAACATCTCAATTGAAGGCTTTCTCTTTACAGCATGTTTCTTTCAAATAGCAGTTACTCTCTCACTCAGTGTCAGCGCTCTCCTTTTCTTTTGTGGGAGCAGTATCTTTCTTCCTAAAGGAATGGCTAAGGGCGCATTGCTGACCGTGGCCTCCTCCCCAGTCTCCTCGGAGCATCAGCCAGGGCCAGCGACTAAAGTGTGAGTCAGCCACGTCACTGCCAGCTCACCCTCACCAGGGGCCCTGCCTCCCTCAGCATCCAGGCCTTCAGGGGAGGCCTGTGCCCTCCATGCCCCCTGCCTCTACTGCTCCCCAGATGCCCACGTGGCATGTTCCCTTGGCCCCTCTTCACTGTCTCCCTATGCGAGAGCCCCGCACACATGTGCACCCACACCTCCCAGCACTGCCTGGGCTGCCCATGCTGTGTGTTCCCACAGCCTTTATCACCCTCTCAGTTACTATGTAATTCACTGATTTTACTCACACCGTGCCCCCTGCGTGAGGGCAGAGATTTCTGTCTGCTTTGTTCACTGGTGCCTCCAAGGGTGAGAGTGGAAATATTTAACAGTGGGTACATAAGGACACCAGTTTGGCACTGACCAGGACGCCAGCCATGCGGGTGTTTTCCAGGTGAATACCAACCCTGGATGTAGCCTCAGCACCTGCTGCAGAGTAAATATTTTTTCAGTGAGTACACGCCGAATGAACGAATTCAGCTCCTTGTCATCACAGAAAAGGTCACCAAATTTAGGACATTTGTCTTTCCATAAAAAAGAAAAATGAGCAACTCATCTTTATATTCAAATTTCAGCTTTTATAAGATCTTTCCTGTGAGATAAATGGCAAACTCGTGTGTGCGACAAAAGATTTCCATGTTCATGCTCTGCCTCAGAACAGTGAATTGTAAAGATAATACGATTTATAGGATAATAAAGTTCAACACTTCAGTTTGGAGGCTCATGTAAACCATGGTACCTCTCCCTGTGCTGAAAGTAAATGAGGGCTCTACTGCCAGCCCCTCGCTCCCTCTCCTTCTCTTTCTTAGTACAGCTCATACATTGAACCTGACCTAGGACAGTCTGATAGATGACCTAGCAAGAAGGGTGCAAGTGTCAGGCACGTGTTAAATTTCAGTAAAGCTTAATTGAGTTCATCATTGGAGATAAAAAGATAAATATTAATAGAAGTCCTAACATTGTCTTCTCACATGAGAGTCTGCAAACTTGCAAAATTAAGCATCATGATTTTTGCAAGAGCTGGACATGGTGTTGCAAGTTCCAGCTCCTCAGGAGGTGGGAGGATCACTTGAGTCCAGGAGTTTAGGCTGTAGTGCAATATGATTGTGCCGGTGAATAGCCTGCAGACACTGTCACTTAAAAAAAAAAAGGAACTTTATAAAGATTTTTGCAGAAATGTTTAAAGGCAAAATGGTGGAGGGAGGCTCTTCTATGGTTCTGTGGGTTGACTGGGCTCAGCTGGATGGTTCTTACCCAGGGTCTCTTACATCTGGCACCTGCATTGGCATAGCTGGAACAGCTTGGGGCTGGCCAGGCATACCTGGCTCAGCAGCCCCTCCACTTGGCTAGTTTGGGTCTTCTCGCAGCAGTCAGGCTTCTGACATGGCTGCTACAGGCTCCAGAGATCCAGGTGGAGGTGCCAGCTTCTTCACAATAGCACTTTGGAAGTCTCAGAACTATTTGGCCACAGCAGGTCACAAGGCCAGCCTAGATTCAAGGGAGGAGAGTGAGCCTGTTGTGAGATAAGCAGCAGCCTGCCTGTCCAAGGAGGGCCACAGGCCAACGGACATTTCTCTCTGTCTTCCATAGCTGGTGTAGCACTGACCACACTGGGTGAGGGGCTCACTATGAGGCATCTGCCCCTCCACTGGTCAGCAAGCTCCTTAAAGGTAAAGCTATGTGTTATTCATCTTTCAGTCTCCGGCATCTAACATCATAAGAAGTCAGTAGATGTTAGTTGGATTAAAATCAGAAATGCAAACATTTTAAGGAATTTCTAATTAGGGGAAAGTAGACTCTAGTGCCATTTATGTAATTACACCACAGGATGTCTTTACAATGTGCATGGGAGGAAATGACTTAATATGGATACTGAAAAGATAACTGATTTAAATAATGACTTCTAAATCCAGAGAGTTAAGTCATGAAAGCAATAGAGTTCACTCTGCTCCTGTGTCCACAGAAGCAAGTGTTGAAAGCGTGCATTTTGTTCCTGTTACACTTGATTTCCTTGAGCTCCTTATTTTCACTTTAACTTGGTCTCATGAATCCTAATTTTATATTGCTTTCAAAAATCATGAGTTTTGATGTACCTCATAATTGTATTTGACTTTTTAGATGAGTTTATGTCTTTGTGCCTTGGAAGTTGTCTCCCCCAAAATCTTTTGAAAACCATATAAATTGTATCATTGAGATTTCTTTAAGGAGAATGTCCGTTTGGACCAATTTTTTTAATGTTTTGCTTTAAGTAGGGGAAGGCATCAGCTTTTAGTGGGGAAAAGGATTGTGTCTTTTTATAGTAAGAGCCGGCCTGATGGCTCTGGTGAACCTCTCAGCCGCTGGAGGAACATTCTTAAAGATGTATCCACATTCTCTGACCACTTCTTAACATGACCCTTGGCAGTCCTCTGTGGCAGTGGTTTGTCCGTTCTGCCTTGGAAGACCATAGGAATGCCCGTCCTAGGCTTTTGTTGCCTGTGTTTTTTAAACAGCCAGAGATTTCACATGGCATCTTTGGATCTCGTGACCAGCTGACAGGCGAGGAGGTGGTGATGACATTCCAGCCTTTGGCCCGATCCCCCAGCTCTTTAGTGTTTCCGTGCACGTTATAGTAACTCATGGGTGATGTGAAGGAGTGCCACTCTGCATCTGGAACCACGGCCTTCTGCCAGAGCAGATCGATACTTGAGCTGTCTGTCTCTAGCGCTCACCTTCCTTTCGCACAGCGAGACCCTTCTGCAGGCAGCGATCGATAGCTCTAATCCGTGGCAGCCTGCAGCAAGTCATGCGAGGCAGAGCACTTAGGTGGCATTACACGGGACTGTGGAGGCAGCAGCTCCGGGGCTTAGATTCGTAACACCCTTCCTAGGGACACATTCTGTTTGTAATGTGTACTTTTTATAATCTCCGTCATGGATCACCATTCCTCTGAAACTTGATTCAGGGAAATGGACATGTGTTTGTGTTTGTGTATGCATGTGTGAATTACAGACAGATATTCATTCCCTTCTCAGACTTTGTACCAGCCCTCCCTGGTGCTGCTCCAGACCATCACTGCGTCACTACAGACCTGGGCTTTGTGCTGTAATTATTTCTAGTCTGGGTATTTTTAAAACATTAAAACTTTAAAAATATATATATATTTGAAATGCCAGTAACTGAAGAGCATTCTTACTCTAGCATGTACTTTCCCACAAAACATCATTAGAAGACAATGAACATTGGATGTCACTACCGTCTTTGAATGGCTGTGACCAAGTGAGAGGCTGGAGAGTGAAGATCTGTCTTTCCCTGGACCACTGAGGCCAAAGGAGCTTCCCCTAGGGATTAGCTTTGGAACTACCCCTGTGGCATCCTTGGAAGGCAGAGTGGGGAGTCAGGAAAAGCCTCTTCAGTTCTTTACCTGGCTTCCAATCCTCATTCCATTCCCATATCTAGTTATCTTGATTTTATCTGTGGATTTCAGGATACAACGTAAAGTTAAGGGCTGATCTGAAGAAAGCAAATATGTGGGAGACAAGTTTGAACCAGGGTTTCTGGCCACTGTTGTGTGCTGGTCCTATAAGGAGCAGGCAGCAGTGGCCAATAGAGCCACGAGTGTCATGCCTGCTGTGTGCGAGAGCCTCAGCAGCTGCCTGCCGGTCAGAGAGGACTGGTTTCCAAATTCAGACATGCTCAAATTCATTAGTGAATGACACACTGTATTTTACACAAAGGTCTCTCCTGGGATGTAATCTTTGTTTCGAGCTCTGTGGCCTTTTAAACTCTATGCTGATCATCTCACCTTTAAGGCCACTTTCACTAATCTGCACCTCACAGGCCACTGCATCCTTTCCATTTTTCACAGAGTACAGATAACACCTTCGGAGAACCCCTTAAGTTGAGCTTAGCTCACAGGAAAACTTCTGAGAAACAAGTTTTTCTCCAAGAACCAGGTAGTTCTCTCTCATATTTACACACATCCTGCCCTACGATATAGAGGTGCAAGGTGCATTTCTTGCTGGAGATGATCATTCAGTAAAATGTCTTTTACTTAGGGCTTAAAAAAATCTTGACAAAAAATAATCAACTGATTCTGATAATCTGATAATCTCATTCATATTCCTAGACACCAATTCTGAAAAGTCCAAAAGCATTTTTTTCGTTAGTGTACTCATTCATTCAACAAAATACCCATCGGCCATTTCCTGTATGCCAGGCACTGTGCTGTTGCTGTGGGTGCACAAATGGAAGGCCCGGTGCCCACCCTGGAGGGGCTCTTTGTTGAATACAGAGCACATTAGGGAAGAGAGCAGTGCACAGTTTCCTCATGGCTGTGATGCAGAGTGCAGCCCAGAGCCTCAAGGCGTCCCACAGAGGGCCTGTGACCTGGCAATTGGAGGGTGAATAGGCGTCACAGGGACTTGATGGAAGAAAGGAGCATTCAGAAAAAGTAAACGACTTTCAGCGGAAAAGAGCCTTTGGTAAACCTGGAACCATCAAGAAACTTGGTGATCTTGGAGCTTCAGATGCTGCTAGGAGCCCAAACCCACCCCCCGCAGTAATCAGATTGGGGTCCACAGCACCCAGATGTGCACACATCACTCCCTCCCCTTCTTATCGCTGTCTCATCTCACTGTGTCTGCCAGACACCTTCCCCCATCTCATGCCATAGACCCCTCACTCATAAGGAGATGTGCTACTGTCTTGTCTTGTGTGAGAAGAACAAGACCAGGAGGTGAAGCTGCTTGGAGCTGTCCTCTTGGGTCACCTGGAGAGACATCTGTTTACTTAGCTGCACCATTCTTTGCTCTGTCCCAGGCACTAAGAACCTCACATATTTTATTCAGTTATTAAGCAATCCTATCAGGAAGGCACAATTATGATCCTATTTTAATGTATTATGCAAACGCAATGCAATGTCTTAACACAATCTATTATGTCACAAACTTTTTTATGTTTAAAAAATATAGTTGAGGGAACAGAAGCCCAGAAAAGTTAAATAACTTGCCTGAGGCCACACAGTTTTGTGAATGGTAACCAGGACCTGAACCAGCAGCAGCTGCTCCACCTGTGCCATCAACTCACGGCTCCCCACCACCCCAGTGCCTGGTCAACACCTCTCCATCAGGACCCAAAGATGCCTGTGGAATTTTACTTGCATTTCAGTGCAACATTTTAAATCATGTTGGATCTGTTGGTCGGATTTATAACTTGTGATTTACAGCTGATTTTGATAAGCCACAAATACCAGTATCATGCTTTAATGAGACTGAAGGCATGAACGAGCAGATTCTACTCTTGAGGCTGTTGTGGGAACATGCCGGCCGACATTGCACTTACCCCTCTGAAGGCCGGCATTGTCGCCAGGCTCATTAGCATCCACGCTCCTCGCTGGGCCGTTGCCGCTTGCTAGCTTACCAGCTGTTCCTGCTGCTCCGTACAATGTCGGATGTGTTCAGCTCACTGGGTTCCTGTCCTCGCCGCCGGGAGGAGACAGCCCTTCCGCTGGGGATACCCACGTGGCTGCCTGTCAGCGGTGGCACCGAATAAAGTAATAGGCCTTCGCATGGCATATGGTGTCTGGATTCGTACAAGATGCAAAACTCTTCTGCAGCTAATGCACGATGACTCATAGCATTGCTAATTTTTCAAACAAAAGCTGACTTCCACACCCACACTTTTAACCCCTCCAGCTAAAACGTCTTGAGTTGCAAAGCTCTACAATGGTGACTTTTGGGTCACTATATAAAATTTGTTATACTTACTGAAAGTGTATGAAACGATTTGCTTTACTTTGGATTGAAGTTATTTTAAATTTCTATTTTAAGTTTATTTCCTCTCTATATGGGGAATTTTTAAGCTTTAACTTTCAATTTCTTTTTTACATTGGAAGAGTCAAAACAGTTTGGTAGATTTATTTTAAAAGCTGTTATTAGAAAATCGGTCAGAAGACACTGTATTAGTTGAACACTTGTAATTGTTTAGTAGAAGTTAACTTTCTCTTTTAAAAGCTTCATAGAAACTACTGCCTAATGCTCTTATCAATTCAGGTGTGGAGCATTTCAAGCTCACATTATAGTATTTTAAAGCTATAAGAGAATGTTGATTCTTTTGTGGAATATGATTTTGCATAGTCTCTTCTAGTATACTAAATAAGGCCCACTTAACCAAATTCTGGCAACAGAAATTTAGATTATAAATTTATATTAAAATGTCCATTTTTCAAACTAGAAAATAAATACATGGGATCTTCTAAAAGAATGTCCCTCCTAAACTTTGGATCAGTTGTGCTAATAGATAGCTACATTCAATCTGAGACCTTAAGTACTAAAATAAGGCAGTTATTTGCATTTACACAATCAGGCCTCCCTTTGAAGTAGTGATCAAAATATTGGTTCTTTTATAAATAACCTTTTACTGAACATTTTATTTAAACATTTCAGAGTCAGGAATTGCAACCATGAAATGATTAGGCAGTTTCTAATTATGGATCAGTAAGTGTTTTGTAGCCAGTCTGGCACATGAGCACTTTTGCAATCAGAATTTGGCAAATGAATGAATTTATAAAGGAACTTCAACCTAAGAGGGTAATATAGATTTTTTTAAAAATAGATTACTTTTTGGAAGCCCAAAAGATGTCTTTTGGGGAGCAGGCTAGACACTCAGAATTGATGTTTCATTTTGGTTTCATGTTTAAGTCTGAAGTTTTTGCTTTCTGATCTACAGATAGGAATTCAAATGCACATCTAACTTATAAAGGGCATTCTATTCTCTGAAAATGAAACAAAAATATATAAAATTTCTAAGTGGGCCTCACTTTCTATATTCCAGTTTTGATGCCATTTTTCAAGCATGCTCTCTAATTTTGCTCTTTGCCATTGGAAATAAGCTGGTGTGTATTTGGTGTGCCTAAAAATTTATTAGGCACTTAAAATTCTCCACGTTTGGCATATGTGAGGATTTCTAGTTTTGCTTTCACTGCCTTGAGTTTGAGAGCTATGTTTGTTGTTGCTCCTACTAGTACTTTTATTTTATCCTATTACCACTCATTTTTATGAAATGAGGGCAAAATTCACTGGAGTATTCAAATAATTACCTAAGGACAGAAGTGGAGACACTGCTGAGCCTGAACTCTTGGTCAGTAGTTAGTGTCTGCATGTAACTGATAAAATGCTTTCTCATCAGCCAATGGACCAGAGAGTAAACTCAGCTCCAAAAGGCAGTTTGGAACATCAGTGCACGATGTGCAAAAGCGCAGGCTGATCACAGGCACCCAGAAGGACTGTTGGACCATTATTCTCACTCTTGGCGACAACCCTGCAGAATGGGACTGTGTTAACCCACAGATGGGGAGAGTGAAGCTCGAGGAAGCTGGGTCTTGGCCTGGGGCCCACAGCCAGGGCAGGGCTGGGATGAGAGCCCAGACCAACCTGACTCTATGGCCGCCTGCTGTTTCTCATTTGTGCACACTTTTGACCTAAGAATAGGAGACCATCAAAATGATATAGCTTTCAGAAAGTGAAGCAATTCCAATTAGTTTTAGCTTGTTCTCTCATTATTGTTACCAAGTGAATCCTAGCCTTTTAAACCTTGATTGTATGGAATAAATATGAAAACAAAATTATCGTTAAGTTAGGATGGAAAGTATTCCCGTTTTGATACCATGTGTACATCTCTTACACCTAAATACATGTAGCTTCCAAATTAAAAAGCAGTGAAAATATTAAGTTTAAATATTCTTACTGGCATATCCCACTTAGAGTCCATCCCAAAATAAGCATCTAATTGATGTTAGTTAGTGTGCTTTTGCCTTGAGAAATAGTTGAGGACGCAGTTCCATCACAGTGATTTTTCTGTCTTTTTGCTAGCAAGATATTTATTTGTATATGTGGAATCCATTTATATTCTACCTCTCTCTAAAATAGATTTGAAAGAGCTTACATAAAGGCCATGTATAATGAGAAAGAGAAAATCAAAGCCCAGGAAGCGAGGATGAAAATAAGAGTATCATCTGAAGGCATACAGAGAATCCACAGTCATGGCTCTGGCAGCAGAGCAGGGCATCCCCATTGACTACTGCTGACCTCTAATGCTTGCTGTAAGGTGTAGCTACCACATGTCTTCGGGCCATTCTTGTTCTAAAGTTGTCAATTACTGTTAATGAAATTATATTTTGTATAAGTTGGAAGACATAATAGGTCATTCTAACCTAATAAGTTCCAGACAACAGCATATATTTATAGGAAATTTTTAATATCAAAATGATTTCTATTCTACCCCATGAGTTCAAAAGATATCTTTGGAGCAGACATGCAAGTTCATGTGCATCACAAGCTAATTAGGTCCGGGGGAAAAAAAAAAGTTAAGGGCTTAACAATAGCTGAAAAAGTGAAGAATTAATTAGTGACAGGGGAAAGTATGATTGAAAAATAATCTTAATGCCCACATTAGCTGGCTAGCTGCTTTTGCTAAGCCTTTTAGTTTAAAAAGCCCAAGTACCTGACATTTTGCATCTGTTTTTCTGTGAAGATAAAAGGAAACTTGAGTGTCTTATTCTCAATAATGGATTTTATGTGACAAAAAGGTTTCTGCTCCCTTCATTTCCATGGCCAGGCATTTTTATATTATTGCCCCACCGACTGTCATTTCATGTTTAACTCTTTGTAGACTCACACAGCTTTCCTCAACCCTGGGGATGGTCTGGGATTGAATGATGTCAAAGCCTCTCTGTGTACTAGGTGCTTCCATGCATGTTGGTCTTCTTGTTACCATGTTGCAGGACTTGTTGCCCTATAATCCAGCTCTTCTCTCAGGTTTGTTTACTTGTGATCACTATGTAATCATTCATTTTATGGAGCTTCATTAAGGACTGCAAACCTCTGTCCCAATTTAGCGTCATTCAAGCGTAGGTAGCATCCATCTGCTCCACCCGCACTGTTTAATTAATGAACTTCATAATGTGTTTTTGCCTGTGAAAAGCTCTCTGTCTCCTCAGGTTGTTAAATAAGATGTGCATTCCAGGTTTTCTGTGTTAAGATTCTAGAAAACCCGCCATGGGAGGTGCTAATTATGGACTCACCGAACTCCTGTTAAGTCGTAACTTGAAGGCAGATTTACCTTTTTTTTTTTTTTTCAATATACATTCATAAACCCAAAGTCAGGTCGCTTTTTGAGTAAGTAAATCACTGGTCAGTTTTCATAGTCATTCTCTTCACTGAGAGTAAAGATTAACATTTTTTTAAAGCTATATTTTCTTTCAGTACCCTAAAAATATATTTGTTACTTTGAGGTTTTTCCTTCTGAAATTAAAGTTGTAGAAATGCTTGAATGTCAAAAATGCTATTTCTGTTTTCCAATATCTTTTCGTAGAATTGCCTGGGAAACTTTGTAGGATAGATTCTATTAAAAATAATGGAGTAACAACTGTGTTTCTTGGAAAATAGTAACACTCAAGTAATATATTTTTTAAATTTCATTATCTGTTTAATTATTAGTGTGTTCTAAAATTCTGTCTGGATTTAGAGGTGTTTTGTTGGCACCTCTTCAAAGACCTGATAAATTTGATATTATATGGCAGATAGCATAAAACTAGCCACATTCATTTACTTAACACATCTATTAACTAAGACCAGGAGCTTAATCCTGATTTTTAACAACCGGACAACCTATGGATTATCTGCCTTTTCTTAAAGACTATTTAACATTGAGATTAAACTACACTCTACTCGGTCAAGTACTCTCAAGTCCTAGAAAAAATTCTTTCTGTCTTGAAATATGATAGAGTTCTACATTCATGTTGTATTCAGCTCTTTTCATCACAATATTAACTCTTATTTCTATAATGGTGAAAAATACATCTGAATATTCATTTTTCAAAAACAATTTTTACTTACCCCCATCCAAACTGGGGAGGGACTATATTTGTGTTCTCATCTAGCCATTATAAAGTTAATACATTGGAAAAAATGAACGTTAAAGTTGTTTCACATTAAGTACCCCATGTTCCATGAGGATAAAAGCAAAAGGGATTAAGAGTTGGAAGAATAATTGGAGCACAAGGAAGGCAGAATGATGCCCCCTTGTTTCTCTCCCTTCTCTAACATTTGTAGAATTGCATGCATCAGGGACCTGGCACATTGCTGGCTACACTGAGGATGCGGGGCAGAGATCCTCAGATACTGTCGATGTGGCTCAGTCCAGTAGGCAAGAGACTGTCCTACCTCATCCTCTCTACAGGTGCCCAGAAAAAGAGCTTCATGATGACAAAAAAATGAGAGACATTGTGAGATGAGTTCCACTCCTTATTTTATGTTGGGTTGAAGTGCATGAAGTTGTTGATATTTGACTGTTTGACCTAGTTAAAAAAAAAAAAAAGGCAATTTGATATAATTCAACCTAATTTTTTGCATTACAAAGCATAGAGAATATGTGAATAGCAACTTTGTTTACTAACCAGAGGAATCTGTGCACAGGTGCTGTGATGAGGGTTTAGCTGCCTTGACAGGACATCTGCCAGGGCTCAGGATTGTGTTTGTGAAGCTTCTCTGGAGCCCCTTGCTGTTGAGCTCTCTGCATCTTGAACCATTTTGGCCTCTCTTCGGGACCATCTTTTTCCTTTAGTGTTGTGTTTGTGTAGCTGGTTTCTCTGGGCATTGTGCCCAGTGAATGTTATTTTTGTTTATTGTATGCAGTGTCTCCAATCCTGTTTTCATGATAAAGTCTTTAAAAATCAATTAACAAATGAAATGCATCTTTGCCTGGGAAACTTTCGAATTGCTTGCCATGTTAGCAAATTCTCAATACTGCCACCAAGTCAGACAGCTGACCTCCTTCTGGTGCTGGACAATGGATAGCCCCCTTCCTTTATCAACCCATTGAAAAAGAGACTCAAACCACTTTTATCTTAATGAAATGAAAAGCACAAATGGAAAAAAGTTATCTTTGCTTTATATGCAATTGTATTAAAATGTTGAAATCTACAAGCAAGATAATTAAAATGCTATCCCTGCCAATCAGCTGAGAAATCAGTTTAACTGGGGTTTGACTTCATGACAAATGGGCCATCAAACTAAAACTTAGCAGAACTATGGCAGCCTGAGAGTTCCAGAGTGGAATTTGGCCTTAGAACATTTCCTAAGTGCGAGTTTGGGCACAGCCAGCCAAAGAGGCTCGGTGACTTGTCACTCCAGAGAATGCCTGCAGTGTCCTCACCCTGTCACAGCCTCAGACACATTTTGAATCTGCAGGAACTAGTTCAACCCAGGAAGTCACTCACTTTATCATTTATGTAGAACCACCAGGCCCAGTGGAATATTTGCCCTCTGCATTATACCTGTAGCCACGCAGGTCAGCTTTGTATAACCCAGGGCAGTGCTGAGCAGTGCAGTGTCATTCATCTCTTTATGCGTAGTAATGCATTTGCTTTCCACAGCAATCCTGCAAAGCCAAGGTACTGTCATTTCTTTTGCTTCTGGTGGCTGCTGTTCTCCTCTTAATCATCATTCTCCTCTCCTCCTTGTTGATTTCAAAACCTATTTAGATTGGTGCAAAAGTAATTGCGGTTTTTGCCTTTAAAAGTAATGGCAGCAGAATAGTTTGAAAATTTACCTCTTTCACTGTAAGATGATGTGGTGGTTTTCAAAACAAAAGATTGATAATCTGCCAGCATATGTGTTTAACCAATTTATAATATATTCAGAATGTTTTTTCATTTCTCTAAATGTTTTTCACTTGTTTTTATGTGAAACCCTCAAAATGGGGAAGTTGAGAGGGGGATATCTCAAATTTTTGTGTTTTATGTGAGTTTTAACAGTTCACACTTACTAACTAGAAACATATACATTCATTCAGCAATCCAAAGAGGTCACAGTTTGGGTTTCTATGAAGAACATATGCTCAAGTAAGAATATAAGATTTTACTAACCACAGCTCCTGTTAAAGAGGATTTTGAAAGAAAAAGAAAAAAAAAAAGTGCCCCAGCAAGAGAGATGATACTTTAGCTCTAAGAAGAAAATGGACTATGTTTGTAAATTCAGTCATTAAAAAAAAAAATGTTTTTTCCAAAGCAAATGTGCATTGTTTAGTGCTAGCAGAATGCATTAGCTTTGGCTCTGAGTCCAGCTTTTCAGAAAATGCTTTTGAGTTCAAATCTTACAGCTTCTTTCAAAGCAGTTGCTGGATTTTGCCAGTTTTTCTTTTTAAGATTATACTTCTTTACATACTAGTTCTAAAAATATTAAACACATTGGGCAATTAAATTTATTTATAATGAAAATTACATGGAAGTGTAATTCCTAAGAACCTGTTTGACCATTAATCAGAAGTTTTTTGGCATTGAGAGGAAAGTACTGTTTGGAGGCTATGCTATAGATCCCTTTACCCATCCCCAGCCATGGAGAAAATAGCCTAATTGGGTGGGTGGGTTGATTGGCCTTTTTTTGTTATGGTTTATTTCAAAAACAAGAATTTGAAGAAGCACCCATTTCTGAGTGATGTGGACTAGTCAGGGCCACAGTTGGAGCCAAAGGCCAGATTAGATTCCGTGGGGGATCTCCCCAGCTTCCAGTTCCAAGAACAGAGTAAATGTCATTCAGTGGCCCCCATACTCAGAACCAACATCTGACCAATATATTTACTCCATCATCTGCCTTTCTGCCATGCAAAATTCAGCACTTTGGGTGTAATAGGCTTCCATCTTCATGAATCTCCTTGCAAAACTCAGGCACTTATGGAATAGTCAGACATTACATTCGAGCATCTCAAGTTACAGTAGCTTCCCCTTATCTACAGGGGATACATTCCAAGATGCCCAGTGGATGCCTGAAACCTCAGATAGTACCAAAACCTTTATATTCTACGTTTTTCCTACACATACATACCTATTATGAAGTTTCCTTCTAAATTAGACAAAGAGATTAATAATAACTAATAATAAAATGTAACAATTATGACAATATGCCAGCGTCACTACTTTTGCACTTTGGGGACATTATTGAGTAAAATAAGAGTTACTCGAACACAGGCACATGCAACACAGAACACAGGTGATCCTGTGGCTGTTGATCTGATAAGTGACTAATAGGCAGCGCATGCGGCGTGGACCCGCTGGACAAAAGGACAGACAGTGTGCAGTTTAAAACACGAATTACTTCTGGAATCTTCCATTTAATATTTTCAGACCTTGCTTGACTGCAGGTAACAAACTTATGGAAAAGGAAGTCACGGAGAAGGGGGGACTGGCTACTGTATTAAAATTAATGTGAAAAATACCAAGTGTTGGTGAGACTATAGAACAACTAGAACTCTGAAATGCTGCTGGTGGGAATGTAAATTGGCTCAATCAACCACTTGGGGAAACTGACAGTATTTGCTAGGCTAATCTGCAGTGTATCAGGAGAGGAGTTATCCTTCCAGTAAGGGGGAGAGTGTCTGGAAAGCAGCAGGAAGGTGCTGGTGATTTTTTATTGGGGTGCTGATAACATGAGTGTGTTTAATTTGTGAAAATTCATTGAGCTTTATACTTCTGTGTACTGTGTGTGTGTGTCTGTGCGTGTGTGTATTTGTCAATAAAAAGTTTTAAAATTTCTTGAAATAAGTAAGATCTCCTCAAATTGGGAAACGAGGTGATGTGCTAGGGTGTAGGAGAGTCCCAGGAGACACACAGCGTGCCTTTGCAGATCATCAGCAGTACTTGATAGTTAATCATATACAACATTTTTGTATTAAAATAAATGCAAGCCGTGAATTTGCATTCCTTTTTAACACGTATCTGACACATTTCTTGCTTACAGGCCCCTGGAGGTCCTTCTGTCCCATTCTGTGGCCCTGTACAGAGGGGAGGATTCCAGAGGAAGTGTGTGTGTGTTGTGTTGCCATAAACCATGGTTCCCAACCCTGGCTGCACATATAATCACATGGGGGTTCCAATATTGACTGATGCCCAGCACCCACCCCACAGATTCTGGGTAACTTGGTTTGGAATGGGGGCCAGGCATCAGTGCCGATTAACCACTAGGTGATTCTCATGCGCAGCCAGGAATGGGAGCTGCTGCCCTAAGGCATTAAGCAGCCCCTTAGCAGGGATTCACAGATGCCCAAGGACTAGGAAGAAAGGATTGCTGCTGCTGTGAGAGATGGACTCGAGATTCCCCCATGGTTTCTTCCAGATCTGAGAGGGGAGAATAGTGGCTAACAGCTATCCAGGACTTAGCTTTTGTTGTGCACTGTACTAAGCACTTCATGTGGGCACCACTGTGTTCATCATTTAGCCATGCGGAAACAGGCCCAGAGGAGTCACATGACTTCCTCAAGCACTTTATAATGGTTATGGTGGGCCTGGCGCACAGGCATTCTGACCACAAAGCTGGACTCCACCTTATGAGGATGTCATGTGGTACGCCTTGCACAGCAGCCTGACAGGCAGAAAGAAGTTAGGGATGCTGGAAGATTGAGGTGGCTGCAACTATAAAAGACAAATAGCACCAGCTTCACATTTAGGGGCACCTGGTATGGGACAGCCAAGGCTCAAGAGGGATCCAGAGATACAAGGGGAAAAAGGTGAAGATCAAGAGGCACCTGGAGACATCGTTTCATAGTTCTCCCATGCCCCCAGAAAATGATGCAATGTCAGAAGAGTCACTATCTGGACTATCTCAGTTTGAAGCCATTCATTCACTGGAGGACTGCTTCCCGCATTCTCACCCAAAAAGATGCTTTTTATGCATCCTTCCTCATCCAGGAAATGAATGCAGTCCCCTTCAAATTACATCCCCACGCCACGGTAGTTTTACAGATCCTTCTGGTATTACAATCTTACCTTTTTAGACCTTTGTTAATTGATCAAAGGGTTAAAAGTATAAAAACTATGCAGCTTTAAGGAAAACGTGGATATTAATGCCTTTCTTTAATCTATAATAATGACTGGTTTTAGTCAGAATGCTTTAAATGCAGCTATTGTAAAATCTCTGCCCTTGTATCAGTGGTTAAGTATCATGGTCCATTGATAGAGCTTTAAAAAGTTCAAAGGCTATGCTAGCGTATCTTTTGTCTCTTCATCTTTTAACTGTAAAGAAAAAGATGTCCTTGTATCAAGCCTTAGCATTTATGTGAAAAATGAAATTGGGTTCAGTTCGTGCATAGATTTCTAGAGAGATTAAAGTGGGCATCACACAATTTTTCTCTGTAAAAGGCTTCCTTTGATGTGCCTTCTGTCTGTTCGTACAGAAGTGTCAGCCATTGTTTTTCAGCAGTAGAAGAGTGTCTGCTTGTCATCAGCACATTCTAATACCTTTGTGCTGGAGCCTTGTTCAAGGTGGATCTTATAATTCAGAGATAATGTTACTGGAACCGTACATTGTAATACCAGTCTGCTTTAGGAAGATAAATGCCAAGGCAAAGCCAAAGTGTTTATCAGAAATGATCAGGGAGCAAAACTAAAACATTTATATTTGGATGTCTGATTACAATCCATGCTTTAGATATTTCATTAGCAATATAACACAGTTATTCTTTGGTGCTTGCTTTGAGTTTTAATTTGTTTGTGCTATTCCACTGCAAAGGAAACGAATGAGATGGTTACATTAAGGGACTCAGAGTAGCTGAGTGTATGGCCATAACTTGAATTAGGCTAAGACGACAGAGAGCGGAGTGAAGATGCCTCATGGCATCTGAAAGTGTAGAACATTCCCACCAAGTATCTCTTGGCCAATCTATAAGTCATAATTTAGTGAGCTCTTACAATGTGTACGATGTGATAAATATTTTATGTGTACTTTACCATCACTAGAAAGTAGGGTTGTTGTCCCATTTTGCAAGAAAGAAGCGAAAGCACAGAGAGAAGCTGAATGACTTGCCCAAGATCTCTCAGCCATCAAGTGAGAAGTGAATTCACACCCCGGCTTGGTGCTCACTCTCTTAGCCACTGCTGTCTGTCTTCCAACTGCATTGTCACTAATTGCTAAAAATATTTTCACAGACTACTTTGAATGTGCAAACCAACTAATATTTATGCCTTTTTCTCTAAATTTATTCAGATACTCTTTTTCATTTCTGAAAAACAGTAAATTTTTTTTCTTAAATGAAAGTGAAATCCAATAGAATTTCTTTCTTGGCTTGTCTTATGTTATTTGTGATAAATAATGTATACTTCAGGATAATTTCACTTTCTGTTGATGCTGCCTCTAAATTAAAAAAAGAAAAATCCTGTTTTAAAATGATCTCCAAAACAGCTCAGACTACATCCCTAGGACAGCAGTATTTAAATGACTCTAGGATACCTCTGTAACTTTGTTTTTCTTACATTTCTTCCACTTAAAGCTTTCCCAGCACATGTCAACTCTACAGCTCTGTATCTGAGGCTGATGGCCAGTGCTCCAACCATGGGCAACCTAGAGCATTAGCCAGGAGGAGAGAGGGAGTGCTCCTCCAGCAACCCCCGCTGGTCTTGAGGGAGAGAAGCAGAGGATGACTGACGACTGAAGGGAGGGAGCTTGCTTCTGCTGCTGTCCTGCCTTGACCTGCCTCTGCTGTCATTGTGGTCACTGCTGCAGAGGCCCAGGGAGGGCAAGGTGACATTCTAGCTGTTTGTTTGTTTCAACAAGGCTAGCCACAGGTCCACCCACACTCACCTCATCCCGGTCACCTTCCACCTAAACATTGGCAGCAGTTCCCTAACTTACAGATTAACGGCTGTCCCACTTCCCACTTGTTTCCTTCTCTTTCATTTTCTGTTATGAAAAAGGTCCTCATGTGAAACAGCTCCCAAAAAGCATCTTATGTAAATTCATGCCAAAATATGTGAGAGTCCTCTTGCAAAAGAAAATTGGAATGTGAATTCTGAATTAAAATGAGATTTCCCTTTCTGACCACTCCATTAAATTCGGCTTTTGTTTGTTTTTTATTTGCAAGTGTTGGTGCATGTTAAGATGAAGGCAGAGCTACACTGCTCCATTCCGAAGAAGCATTTGGCCACTAACTGATAAAAGAGCCAGGATCCATGTATAAATTATTCAGAAATTTGGTAAATAAACATGCAAACTTCTAGCTGGGGCTATTGCTATTGCATTATTCAGCCCAATAAAGAGAATTTAATTTAATGGATTTTCAGCAACATTGTTCAATGATCAACAA
The DNA here is from genome assembly GCF_000001405.40 of Homo sapiens. Classification (NCBI taxonomy): domain Eukaryota; kingdom Metazoa; phylum Chordata; class Mammalia; order Primates; family Hominidae; genus Homo; species Homo sapiens. The sequence goes on along the minus strand of NC_000020.11, from coordinate 20,440,879 downwards.
AAGGCATACTGTCTTTTATGAATAACTGATTTTCCCGGGGCATTCTGAAGAAAGTGGGTCCTCGTTAACCCTAGAATGGCTAGCTAATGTAATTGAAGCGCGACCACCTGGCAGTGAGGTTGCCCGTCAGCTGCCAAGGAAGGCCCGGGCCGGGGAGTACCAGGTGCTCTGCTCTCGCTGTCTGATTGTTACAGTGGAATAAACAGCGTGATTGCACAGTATGGCCGGGGGCGAGAATCCAAGACTGCTGCCAACCAGAGCGCGGGCTTTCTTCCCTAGTCTTTGACAAGGGGGGCCAAAAGTGCTTCTATTCAGAGCAGGTAAAGCTGACAAAGCTCCGATGCTGTCTGCGCAATTAGGATGAAAGAAAATAAGACTGGCCCAAGAACGAACCAGCAGTGAGCCTCAAGTACCTGTTTCTGTATTGTACAAAGCCTAGGCCTATTTAATACAGGCTGGGAAGTTTAAGCATAAAAATTTAAAATAAATTCAAGAAAAAGAACTTAAATACTCAGTGACCACTGTTTCTTAGAGCAGGTCAGCATTATTATGCTTCCTGTTTTGAAGCAAAATTCCAAGTCGTCACCATACAAAAAACTTTATTTTGGCCCGAATTCCATAGTAACCCAAATACCCTGTTTCTTTGATTATACTTCATGTATTCTGGGCCAGGTCATTTTGCTTTCTCTATCTTCCTTTATAAAGCCCTACAAGCATCTATATTTAACTCACTGAAATAGTCCTCACTCTGTGGTGTTGTTTATTCTCAGTAATTTTTTTTAAGTGCTGCTGCCCGTGTGGAGATATAAAAGAAAATTAGCATTATTTGACTTGTAAAAACTTAATTAAGAAATAGACATTATGACCTAAGGGGTTTTGAATGTGAAATGGTTCATTAAGTTTTTGTTAATAGGAAAGTAAAGAGCACTTTCCCCAAACAGCAAGAACAAAATCGCTTTCTCTTAACACATTGATTTATTTCATTTGCTAAGCACAGGAACCATGAAATGCTTCATCCCATTAGCACATTAAATATGTGCAGAAGTAAAATTACAGCTGAACAGCACCTTGTACTTTGTACTCATGGTGTGTACATTTCAGTAGGCTAGGAGGAAAAAACGAACTGTAGAAAGATAATTTTATGGAATTAAATTACCTGTTTTGTATTGCTCTGAAGCTGTGCATGTAGCTGTGGATTCAGAGGGACTTGAACTGTTGCCTGCGGCTTTTCACTGGATAATCCCATCACCCTCCCCAGCCCACTCCCCCAGGATCGGTATCTATCATGGGAAAATAGAAATGAGAAAAATGTTTCCTGTTGGGTATTTAGTCTCTCTAGTGATACCTAACTGTAAAAAGTGACCAGGGGCTGGGTGTGGTCGCTCACACCTATAATCCCATCACTTGGGGAGGCTGAGGCCAGTGGATCGCTTAAGCTCTGGAGTTCGAGACCAGCCTGGGCAACATGATGAAACCCCATCTCTACAAGAAATACAGAAGTTAGCTGGGCATGGTGGTGTGCGCCTGTAGTCCCAGCTACTTGGGAGGCTGAGGTGGGAGGATCGCTTGAGCCTAGGAGGTCACGGCTGCAGTGAGTTGAGATCACACCACTGCACCCCAGCCTGGGTGAAAAAGTGAGACCCTGTCTCAAAAAAAAAAAAACTAAAACCAGGACTGCTTAGAAGGATGAATATTAGGTCTGTGGCATCTCTGTGTATTATCAGATGGCAGTCAGGGCACTTAGTAATAAATTGGGAGAGTGACTTGAGCCAAGCCAGGTCACGTCTCCTAGTCTCCGTTTCCATGCCTGGGAAAAGAGATGGTAAATAAATCCTACACGAAAAGTAATTAGTACAGGGCCTGCTAGAGACAGTGGCCTAATGAATGTGCTTTTCTTCCCCTTTTGCACATTGGGCCTTTCCCAATGAAAGGTGACCCAAAGTTTGCTCAGGAGAAACAAGAAGTCAGAAGAACAACACAATTTTACGCCTTTTTTTCTAAAGGATTTATTTCTCAGCCTCCATTTTGCATAAATAAGTACTCTGTAAGGATGAAGTAAATATATATGAATTTAGTTGTTTGGGGGGAAATACATATATATAAATAATTAGTCCGTCTTTTAGTCTGATAGCTTGAAACTCCATTTTGTTTTCAGTCAAATGTGAGAGTCTTCCTGGCAACCCCAGCTTGACCCTGTCTTTGGATCTGGAGCTAGAAACCCAGATTGGACAGTTGGCGTGCGTGCAGTCCCGAGCGCACTGCCTGGCAGCCCCGGGCCCATGCTGCCTGTGGTCCCTGGTGGCTGAGTCACCCTGATCACTGCCTCTGAGGGCTGTACCGTGAACATACCCTGGAACTTAGCAGGGACACTAAAAGGGATAAAGGGAGTCAGTCCCAAAGGCAATCTCTCAACCTTCTTTGTGCCATGGATGTCTTGCACTTCTCAGAATGTTTGTAAATGCAGAACATAAAGCATATAGGATTCCAGAGTACATCAGTTATAGTGAAATGCTTTCTAAAGCAAATGCATATATAGTAATATAGGAATGCCTTTATTCATGCATTAAATACCAAGCTCTAGTAGTAGGTCCAATAATCATTATAATTTTGAAGCAGTAATGAGCAGAATCAATATTTTGAGACACTGGTAACAATATAATGCGTCATGAAAATATCTGATTTCTACTGGTGACACAGTCACAGGTAGTATCACTGTGGTATGTTCCTATTTATAACGGAAAGAAATGTTTCATTTCAGCTAGAGGATAGGATAGTGAGAATGAAGATGTGCTTTTTTACCATCCAAGTTCAGGGACCCCTGGAATTTTGATCATCACCCAGAAGATCCCCATGGGGTCCATTGACCCATATTAAGAACCACTCTTTGCGGGATTCATAAGAACCACGGAGTCAGGATCCACTGGAACCACTGCAGTGTTGTTCCTTCAGCCAGCTAGCCTGCGAGAGTGGTTTCTGAGACTCTGTAGGTATGGGGCCTGTTCTCTGGGTGCTAGATATACCACAGTTCCTGCCCGCATGGAACTTCCATTCCAGTGGAAGAGGCTGACAGCAAGCAAGCTAGATCATGAAAATCCAGGGAAGTTAGAGCATGGTGAGTACTGAGGAGAAAAATGAAGCCAAGAAAAGGAGAATGAAGGGTCTGGATCACAGTGCCTCCTGAGAAAAGCTGGCATTTGAGCAAAGACCTGAAGGAGGTGAGGGAGGCAGCCAGACAGGGGTCTTGGAAGAGCATCCCAGGCAGAGGGCACAGCACACACACATCGTGTGTGTGAAGTGTGGGAAGGGCTCCACACCACAGAGGTGACAGCAGGGGCAGGCACCCAGTGGGGCAGGGCCTTGCCAGCCACAGTAAGGACTTCCGCTTTTCCTGTGAGGTGGGAGCCATCTGAAGGCTGAACGGAGGACGGCACCATCCCTGAAAGCCTCCTGCTGCTGGGTACAGAGGCCAGAAGAGGTAGGAGGCCACAGCCATAATCCAGGAACGAAATGACAATGGCGTGGCCTGGATGGTGGCGTGTGGTGGTGACAAGTGGTCAGGTTCTGGATTGATGGGGATTTGTGGCCAGATGAGACGTGGCATGTCAGAGGGTGCAGAGTCATGTGTGCCTCAGTGACCAGGCGGTCTTCAGGACGTTCAGAGTGGTTTGTGGTTGCCAGTCTCCTTAATTTCCCCATTTACAGGAGGTGAACTTCTGTTTGAATTAATAATGCCAACATTTATTGAGCTAACATTTATGAAATTATACATATTATGTATTCCCATGTGAACAGATGGTTTGTGTTCAGATGCCATTGTGCAGAGGAGGCCACAGGACCCAGGGAGGATGGGGACCTTGCCAAGGTCCCACCGGCAGCATTCAGAGCTCGGAGCCTCCCGTCAGTTAGTTAGCCCCGGAGCTTGGTCTCCCCGGTGCGGCTGCCATGATGGCCAATGCACAGGCTCGGATGAGGTGGCGCCCTGGCCGCCCGCCCGTGGCAGGGATTAGATCAGGCATGGCACATGAGTGTGTCTGGCAGGACGTAGTGGGCAGTCAAAATGGCAGTTTCCTGCCTCCCTCCCTTCCAGGAGCCTGGGGCTTGACGCATTGCCTCTCCCAGAACGCTACTCACCCGACTAGGCCAGGGTTTTATTCTTTTTTCTATTTAGATTACTCTTCGGCCTCCAACCTTATGGCAGCAGAGACGACAGTGTCAACACATTGAAGCCTTCGTGAGCCATCCAGTGTTTGTCTCCCCAGGGGAAGTGAGATGGCTTCCCTGGGCTGGTGTTCTATGCCTTTGTGTCCTGGCCAGGGCCCAGGACCGGCTGATGGCAGGGACACTTTGCCGTCTTACTCATGTATTGCCGTGACGCTTAAATACACTTTATCAACCACTACCAGTTTTTTCTTCATATTAGGGATGGCATTGGAAGAAGGAATAGATAAGTAACGTGTTTGAGCAAAGAAAGATCTACCCTATTAAATTGTTTTATCTGGTAGGGATGGTATTTAAATAGACTGAAATCTTTTTAGAAAACTCATGCAAAGCACATGTGTAGAGAACTTGATCTGATTTACTTGGAACATGGAAGTACTAAGGATTTCAGTAGCTCTGGTTTCTTCGTGGGGTTTTATTTGAAGGGTCCTGGAAGCACTGTATGCTGGAGGCTGCTGTATTTCCTGAGGAGCAAAGTGGCCTGAGAGAGAGGGAGCAATGTCCACAGGCAGGTCTGTGATTTAGGCAGACAGACGGGGAAATGTCTGGGGCCCAGCGGGCTTTTCCAAGTAATCTGTTACTGTCTGGTATTAGGGTTAGACCATATGAAATGCTGCTTTTGCAGGTTAAAAATCAGCAATTTTGTATGATTCAACTTGATACATAACTCACCCCATTTCAAGACTTGAGCAGCTACAGTATTTATGGGATTGTTCATTTAAACAGAACTTAGAACAATAAATTTCTAAGAATTTTTACTAATCCTGCTCACAGACTAATCTTGATTCTTGTCCATGTGAGCTCAATCCAGAGCAGTCCCTGAAAGGCCATAGATCTAGTGCAGTTCCTGCCTGTGGCAGTGTCCACAGACACATCCCAGTGTCGGGGTCCCTCGTTCCCTTCGTGAAGAGAACAGAGCCACCTCTTTTCACCACACTGGGACTCCGGGGCAGCATCAGCCTGCCTCCTTCTTTGCTAAAAATCACACTGTGCCACATCTTTATCCTGCCCCCAAGTGGAGAGACGCACATGCTCCTCCCACTTTGCTATGGCACAGCATTGTCAGCTCTGCAGCAGCCAACATTCTAGTAAGGGTGTGACCCCTGTTCCCTACTCTTCTCCTTCAGATATAATATGATTCCGTACACTTTATTCAAGAGTTCATTCTTTACTGTCCTTCCTTTTTTGCTCTGTATTAGCTGCATTTATGTAAATTTTTCTCCCCCAAATGACAGTGCCCTTAACTGTAGATGCTGTTATGCATCCTTTTCCTCAGCTGCTCCCAGCATCTAGCAGAGTACGCGCTGTCTGCCCAGGGTGGTGAACACCCTCCATCTCTGAAGTGTTGCTTCTGCCTCTGCGTCATGGACTTTAGTTCCATATTGTTGCAGCATTCGCCTGTCCCTCCCATGCCTCCCATGACCATTTTCTTCATCCAGGGCTGAGTTTAGAGCCAGGGGATCTGGCATCAACACCCAGGTGGCTGTGCAGGGCCTCCTTGAGGAAAAGGGTCTGCAGTATCCACCACTTTTAGATACCTTGCACCTCAAGCATTGGCAAACATGGCATTCAAGAATCGTAGGTGAAGAACAGAGTCCACATTGGAGCCATCTCTCTGTGATGTCCCGTCAGCTTCTGGGCATGGGGTAGGACACAGGAGAATAACTTGTAGATTTGTTTTTCATAAGTTCACTTTGAATGCCTTTCTCTAAAAGAAAACTTTTTTGAGACATGGTCTCACTGTGTTGCCCACGCTAGAGTGCAGTGGTGCAATCACAGTTCACTGCAGCCTTGACCTCCCAGGCTCAAGCGATCCTCCAGCCTCATCCTCCCAAGTAACCAAGACTACAGACATGCACCATCACACCCATCTAGTTTTTAATGTGTTAGTAGAGACGGGGTCTCATCACGTTGTCCAGACTGGCCTCAAACTCCTGGGTTCAAAATATACTCCTGCATCAGCTTCCTAAAGTGCTGGGATTACATGCATGAGCCACTGCTCCCAGCCTCTAAGAGGAATTTTAATATAGTCCTCTACCCAAACAGATGAAAGGCAATGGCAGACTGCTTTAAAACAAACACATCCCATGCAGAACGTGGTCATCTCCTCCTGGTCTTCACTTCTGAGCATTTGGCCATGCTGGTGGCCTCCGTCTGTTTTTAGTGTTAGGATATCAGAGGCTCACCTGCATCCATTTCTGGTTGTGGCTGAAACAGTCCCCTGCACAGCTCACAGGGGACTGAGAGTGTTTCTGCTTGCTTTTAAGGTGCTTTTTACAACCTTTTCCATCTCATCAGGCTTTGAACTTATTAATTTTAAAATCCAAGGCCTCGTTGCTGACTGTGGATTTTAGCTCTGCACTTTTCCCGGGACCCCCACAGAGGAACTACTGGCATTTCCCATGAGTTCCCATGAGAGGCCAGTGTGTGTGGCTATGAGCAACTTTTGTTTGGGAGAGACTAACCATGTGTATTAAAATTTGTTTTATTTTTGTCTTCATTTTGCTTTTATACACTTTATTCCTCACTGCTGGACCTTGCTAAATTACTAGAGCTTTGATTTTTCAGGGGCTTTTTCAGGCCCCCAGATGAACAAGTCATGGACTTCCCAGTACATCACCACCCCTTCTCCCTCTTCCTCCCTACTACAGAGAGCTTACAACTGCATGCCATGTCTGAGTACAAAGAACATGGCCAAAACCTTCATCTACATGGCTGTTAAGTATACTTTACTATATAAAATACATATCATGCAGTATTTTGTTATTTGATCTACTTTCTGTTCTGATAAATTTCGGAATTTCACTGATGTATACTGGATTTTGAAGTATTTTAGCACTTGTCTGTTGTGTGGTGAAGCAGAGATGCTAATCCTGGTCCTTCGTGAGCATCGTCTTCATCTCACAAAAACATCCAGACTATCTCATTTATCAGCTGACCTTGTCTCTGTGGTCCTTTGGTCAAAGGTCTTTGTGGTCCTTTTTAAGTAAGGGCTTATTTTAAATGAGCTGAGTAGGTTTGTTTGGGGAGTACTTATACTTGTTGGACCTCATCTGAGAAACATTTCAGCCTCATGAGATAAGTCAAACTGTTGGTGCAGCTTGCACAGAAAAGTACTGCGTTTTTAGGTTGCATTTGTATTGATACCTTACATCAAAGAGCTTATTCCTGTTTTCTCACAGGCTAGCAGCCTCTGGAGATATCCTGTGCCTGGCTGCAGCTTCTCCAAATCCCCTCAGCCCCTTGCAGGGTTTGAGTGCTCCTCCTAGTTTCTTTCTCTCACCTCTTTTAAGATATTGTATGAGAAGCCCCTCCCTGCCCAACCACCTTTTTGGGCTCTGGTTAAATTACTAGGTGGAACCATATGAAATTGCTAATATTGGTTTGCCTATCACCTAATCTTGAACTCGGAGCCTTAATTTCTTCAGCTATAAAGTGAGAGTAACAATACTTTCTTCATAGGATTTTGTGAGAATTATTCAAGATAATTTGGGCACACAATTGACTGGCACATAGTAGGACTGATAATTATGTCTGAATGGAGAGACAAATGGATAGAAGTGTTACTAGATGTTTGTTGGCATCACATGAAATGACCCAATGGCTTGCCACTAAATTTGCATAGTCATTCTTAAAATGCAGGCTCTTTAGAATGGGGAGAATTCACTTAGGAGATTCTTGGTGCTCACGAGTGAGCCAGATGTGCACCTCCAGACAGCTGGAGCGGAGGCTCTGCCCATGCACCAAGTGCTGCTGGGCAGTCAGATCAACCAGTCACTTTCACATGGACAGCTTGAGGGTGGACAATTGCAGAGTTGGAGTATTTAATGATAATGATGATTCTCCCTGGTAAAAAGAGGAAGCGGGCTAGTTTTAAAAAATATTCAGAAATGAGGCTATTTGGAGAGATTAGAATTCATTTTTTTTTTCAAAATCATTCTAAATAAATAAATAGTTTTTTGTTTTCCCATGTATGTATAGCATGGTGGAATGTATTTTCCAGTGTTTCCGAATATTGAAATAGTCTGCTATTTAGTCTCTCTCAAAGAATCATTAACTTTACATCAAGATGTTCTAAGGAAATGCTGTGGCTCTTGTTTTTAATTTTCTTCCACTCAGGGGGATTAGGTGGCATTACCAAGTGATTTAAAAATCCAGGTAGGTGCCTTTAATTTGTGCTGAAAAAATCCAAAAGCTCATTAAGTGACTTGCTGAAATGAATATATACGGCGCTCACCTTTGAAAAGGTTAGCACCGTCACGAGCTCAGGGAGCCACTGCTTGGTCACTCTCCACCCTGCCCTTAGTTGTTTAACCCATGGTAATCACCTGGTTTGTGACACAAGGCAGCTCCTTATAACCAGCAAAGGAGAGCCCTGGCAGCCCTCCACTACAGGCACAATGAGACAGTCACAGTCTTGGATCCGTCTCTGTAGAAAATGTACCTACGTGTTTTATTCCATAGTGGTCGGGTCATCAAGGGAAAATAAACATAGCTTCCTCTCATGAATTCTGACAGTGAAGACGATCACCAGCCTTGGAACAACGGTGGTTCCTATTTCACAGTCCTTACTGTTTCTCGCACCAACTGCTTCTTTAAAAAATTACATGACTTTAATGACCAAAATATAATTTATTATTAGTTACAAGTTAACTGATGTATAACCCATTTATCTCTCCCATTAAGTCTGTGCAAGTAATATTAGTGGATGTTTCTCATTGAAGATAGCCCCTACTTCAACTTTGCATAGAGGAAAAACCCGGGACACAGGCCTCTTGTAGACATTATGGCTGCATAGAGAGGTGCACACATGCTATAGAAGTGACATTTGGAACCATCAGATAATAATTGCATATATTTATGGGGTACAGTGTGATGTTGTGATACATGTATACATTGCAGGTTGATTAGATCAGGCTAATCAACTATTACTTCACATACTTACATTTATTTGTGGTGAGAACACTTAAAATCTGCTCCCTTTGCAATTTTGAAATCTATAATACATTATTACCTACAGTCACCATGCTTAATTTTTTTGCATATGGCCATCCTCCCATCTCAAGGATAATTTTAGAGTAATTTATTGCCAGTTTGCAAATTGTGTCATACATTTTAAAATTATATAAAGCCTGGTGCATGTTTAAGTTTTGGTTTTCTCTTGCATCATCCATTAAACCTGTCTGGTCTTTGAAATGTCCTCTACCTGCCTGGGATCCTCTCCCTCTGCCCAGAGCCACTTTCCAAGGCTGTGTCCAGGGCTTTCTGTACAGATCTCTGTGCTGTGGCACCCTTCCTTCTCCCCCCTCCAGCCTCATACCTGGCTGCCAGACTCACCACCATGCATTGTCAGCCTGCTGTCTACCCTCAGGAGCCTCCTCGCTTCCCTAACAGCAGTGTCAGTCTAGACTCCGGCCTCTCTCCAGTCCTACTTCTTAAGGAGCCCTGTGTTCCCCAGTTCTCTGGGCATGGCTTCTTGGGAAATGCCCCATGATGTTTTCCTCCTGCCTCCCCCATCACTCCTGTTCTGGCCTGTGTAGATTCCACTCAGTCTCAGAGCTACGCTTCAGGGGGACTCGCTCCACAAAGCCCCCAACCACACCAAAAGGGTATAGCCATTTCCTTCTCATGATGCCTTGCACATTTGTTCACACCACCAAGAAGCCCTGGGAAGAGTGTCCCAAAGTCATTCCTGTCATATCAGTAGTATGCTGGGAGACGATAGGGACCATGAGTTAACGTCTTTATGTCCTCCATGAACTCACAAAATAATTACTTCTGATTGAAAATATATAGAGGCATTTAAAAAGTTCTCTCGCTCATGTACTGTCCTTAACCTTTGGGGTCTACGTAGAGTATATACTGAGACCAGGTGATCCCAGTGATGTACATACGTGATGTTTCATGAAAACAGTGAGATCTTGTGTCTGCTATCAACATACAGACACAGGGAACTCCGAAAGGTAAAGGCAGTAGAGAAATACAAAGGAAATTTCTCAAGTGACATTTTTAATATTCACTGGAGATGAGTGAAAACAGTTGAAACATCAGTCTACAAAGTAAATCACCAGTATACTTGATCAGGATCAGAACCTGCTATAGGTAGAGGCAAGTTTCCATCATGTACAATGACTACTCTCCTTATCACTGGTCCCTGTGTTTCTGTTTTTAATTGAGAAAAACACTTCTCATGAAATATTCCCCCACCTGTTGGAGGAAGCATTCAGGCCATGGGACAAGGAGGTGATGTGGCCCTTTCCCATAAAGGGAAAGATCTTGCTGCCCTAGGCCTCCACAGGGCCCACAACTTTGAGCCAGATGCCTGGCCACGGTAGTCAGTGATTGAGTGGCACTGAGATCCAGGCCTGCCCTTGTGTCCCTACTCTGGAATGCCAGGGCTCTACTCCACGTTGCTGTTTTGCCAGCTGCTCCCTGTTAGGTTCCACTGACCGGGTGCCACTAGGTCCAGCAGCTGCTGCTGTGATCTTGAACAGGCACACCTGTGGCATCATTCCCCTCACTGCAGCATGGTCCTGCAGATCAGCCCTGAACCCCTCTTTCACAGATGAGGGGATGCAGGTTCTGCAGGGCAAACTAGTTGCCTGAGGTCACAGGGCCAGGACTCAGAGGAGTCTGCATCTGAACTCAGGGCTTTGACTTCAACCCTGCTATCTGTGATGACACATGAAATATCAGGCCTGAATTTCTACCTTCTTTTTTGTTCAGAGTCATTGCACAGGTGCTTCTACCCTCTTCAGGGTTTTTGAATGACACCAAGTGGCACATAATTAAAAATAAGGATTTATCAGAAATGGTTCACCCCCTTGGAAGATAGCAATGAAAGAATGACAGTTCATTCCTGTTCCTCTCAGTGTTTTGATTATGGTGCAAAAGGCCTTTACCGTGAGACGCTCTGCTCTCCAGTGTTGAAGCATGTCACGACTTCAGAAGCCACATCTGGCACCAAATTCATTCTCTCTTTGAAAATGTCCATTCAAAATAATTAAGAAAACTTTAGAATTTTGTACTGATTGTCTTCAAAATATCACTGGAAATAATTGCAGAAAGATAATTTTTTGTGTAAATGAGGTCATGTAAATTTTTCAAATCTTGCTGCATGAAGGAAAGAATCAAATTAATGTAGTTTATTCCTCTAAATTGTAGCTTCTTATGACAATTGTACAGATAATGATTTAGCTAGAAAGTCACCATTTATTCCAGATTAGCTATAAAAATGGCCAGTTTTGTGCTACTCTTGGTTCTGGGGGGAGAAAGAAGAATCTAATTTATCTATCCTTATTCTTCCTGTTAGCACCAAACAACAATGTTTGTGGATTAATTTAGCACTGAACATTGCAAGCATCTTAAATAAGTTTGAAAGATTAAACTGAGACAGCATAAGGGAGTAGGAAGAGGCCAGCATGTGTAACAGATCGCCCTGGGTTTGAGTTTCAGCCCTGCTCATTGCTAGCTGGGTGGTCTCAGAGCATCACTTTTGTTGCCTGTCTCTGCTTTATCATATGTGGTTTGAGTTTTGCAGGAGGACCCAATGGGCTCTTGGCTACAAAGAGCTTCATGAGTGGCAGCCAACTGCACCAACATTGGGTAGCTTGTTTTTATTTCATAGAGATTGTCTCTTTTATTCTAAGTGAGATGTTGCCCCAACAGAACTCAGGCTAATTATAGTGTAATCTCACTATGATGGGTTTTAGAATCCTCCAATATACTATAATACTCAGTACAACATTTGAATATTATAGGATCAAAGATTTAGAGGAGGGCTGAGATGCAAGGAAGTACTTTCCTTACATCTGAGGAGAGAATAATGGATATGTAGGAGGCACTTAGTAAATATCAGATGGAAGGGTTGGTGAGTAGATGGGTGAATGGGTGGGTGGGTGGGTGGATGGATGGATGGATGGATGGGTGGGTGGGTGAATAGATGGGTGGCAGGCACAATAATGGGAAGAAATGAGGGATTGAGAGAAGATGAACCTGGGCTCTCTGATGTGGATGGGCCACCACATTTGGGATCATGTCCAGCCTCCTGGCCTTGAGACCAGTGATACAATTCTGCCTCACATATGAATTGTGAGGATCATCTCCATGGCTCTTCAAATAAAATACAAAATGGCTCCAAAGGACATTTTCCTCATCTGGGTCATGTCTCATGCCATTAATATAAAACTGCTGATTTAATGGAGCTGCTTTTGATCTATCAAGAAAAGACGTACCGAATTCAATTTGGCTATTTTTTTTTCTAAGAGTAAGTGTCTTAATTTGCAAGAGAATGATTTGATTATAATTTTAAGTAATACTGCAGTTATATTTTTAGTCACGAAGATGATATCAAGTGACTCTATGAGGCTTAAATGTGGAAAGTCCCAGAGAATTGTGTGGGTTGGGAATTTTATCTTTAACAGCACTGGGGGCTGTTTCTGTTATTTGTATATTTTATGAGTTTAGGCAGAATAGATGGGATCTGTTACAAGGAATTTTGCATATAAAATATAAAAGCAGACAGTTTTCATTGAAGAGTAAAGTAGAATTATCCCAGAATATAAAGACATAAAAAGTTAAGATAAACACCCATCATTTTTTTCTGAAATTTTATTTTTAAAGCATGTGTTATTATGAGAGAATTTCTAATTCTGATCTCTCTTCTGACTGCAGCAGACTTTTTAACCTGAATTCCTTCTGCCTTACTCTTAAAAGTTGAAAAGATTTAGGTACTCAGAGGTACCTGCTGAAATGGAGTAGAAATGTTGAATCTGTTGTTCAAATGTCAGATTCAGGAAGGACCAAGTATCTGCTCTGCACTTGATGATATATGTTGTCCAGCTACAAAAGAAAACACCCCTTACAAAAAAAAAAAATCTTTTTTCCCTTGCACAATCCATCCTGGGCCAGATATAGTCATAGCTCAATAGAAAATTGCTTTCCTGTTACTGGCAACCTGTGCGGTCACTGGTATGACAGTGCCTCACGTCAAATTGCAAGCCGAGGGGCCACTGCAGCAGGTGCATGGTAACGGTGCCCAGGAGCACTGGAGGACATGAAGGACACACAAGGCACCCAGTGCTGTACACCACCACTTGAAACGGGGCACCAGGACCAGGGGCAGGAAGACAGCAGCCCCTGGGCTAGCCGGTCGGAGGGAGTTCTAATGAAGGGATGAGTGACAGGGGAAGAGACATCTGCATGAATAAGTGCAGGACGCAGGGCTGATGTGCTGTGCTGCAGACGCTCCCACCCCGCAAGCAGAATGGCACACAGATGGGATTTAGTGAAACTGTCACTCCCGCCTCTGCTCTAACCCACAGGGATTTCTCTCACTGGCTTGTAAGAGCCAAAAATACTTGAAATGCAAGTATTGAAGTTTAATTTGCAGGAGAAAACACAGTAAGTTTTCTTTCACCTGAAGTTGTTGGATAATAGAGTCCCAACTGGAGAGAGTGGAAGAAGGGCTACAATTTACTCCTTCAGCTTTCTATGAAAACAGCAGTGAGTAGATGGAACTGGGTCTTCTGCTAGTTTTGGCCTCACTAGTCTTTTCTCTTGTTGGGAGAATTCTGATCATAAGAGGCAGGGCCGTGACTGAGAGCCAGGCTCTCAAGTCAGGCTGCTGGTAGCATCTGAGAGAGGTGGAACAGAACACTTTTCCTCACTGCTCTTCAATTTCCTCCTCTACAAAAAAATTAGGATAGTACAAACCACAGAAGGAAGTTGTGAGGATTAAATGAGATAGAGCCTATAAAACTTCAACCCATTAAAAGCACTTGATCATTTTCATTGGCATCTTTATTTAAATGTAATCTTTGGTTGATGCAGCATCAGCAGAGGTGCCTGGCCGGGGGCTCACTTATGCTCAGGATGTAGTCTGATTCACCTGCTGCAGACGCCACACCTGAAGGGCTGTCAGAACAGGGACTTTTTCCTTTGAGGTGCATTCGTAAAAGGGCATCCCGTATGCTGTGTGTTGCTGATGATCTCTGAGATTATGTCAGTGACGATGCCTGAACTTCACACTTGAGCCCTGTTGCTTCTTAAGCCTTCCTCTAAGATCATTACAGTGTTTCCCTTCCTCACCCCTAAGCAGAAGCATCACAGGGCTGTATGACCACCTTGTGGGGTTCTCAGCCCAGTGCCCTTCAGCCAGAGACTCGTTAGCAAACAGGTGGCTTCACTACCCCACTCAAACACGTAGACCTTCATCAAGACTCATTATTTTCAACAGAGCTATATGTGTATATTTTTTTCTTTACACAGCCTAGAACCAGATTAGCAGAAGGTGTAGAACAGTACAATTGAGCCTGTTATGAAACCAGAGTAAGTCATTCCAGCAGCCCCTGGGAATTTTCATGACCAATCTTGACAGCAAACATAAAAATTTCAAACCACACTATGTAAGTCACTTATATATACTTCCTGATCATCTTTATTTTTTTTAACCTAACAGTGAACCAAATGTTAGAACAGATGTAAAAGGAGTAAAAGAGTTGCTTTTGCCCTGTGGCTGCTCAAAACTACTTTCCATAACATTAATGAGACCCATATTCTCCACGCTCATCTGGTCATTCTGGTTTGCACAGGACCAGTGTCTGTTGAGGGGCCCAGCCATGCCTACAGATGGAGCAGCTCTTCAGAGTGCTGCAGATAAAGACATGCTCCAGGGCCGTTTGTTGTGATGGCTCAACCCTTGTGTCCACTTAGTGTAGCTTCTTCCTAAGTGAGCCAGTTGCATCACATGCTGTTATTAATAGCCAGAAATCAGTTGCTTTTAATATTAACTGGCCAACATACTTTTGCTACTTCTGATCATGAGGGAGCTTTGTGTTATTAGAATTCCCCCAAATTTCCAGTGAGGTTTCAATAATTGTGGCATTATTTTTTTTGCTCTGATAGGTCTGTGGGGTGTATTGAGTTTCAAGTGTGGGTCAGCAGTAATATTTATCACTCAGGTGTGCTTTGCAACCCAGCGTACCACTCAAGCAGTCTGAATCGGCCAGGAAGGCCGCTTGGCAACCTTCACATCAGCTTCTTTCCTCATTTTGTAAGTCACTTTCATTTGGTAAACCCCTAACTTTTCTTGGAGTTTCTTCTTGACATCTGATAACTTGGTATCAGATGAATATCTTCCTGGAAAACTGAGATGCCTTTAAGCTATTAAAATTATTTCATAGAAGCATAGAAATACTATTTTCTGCTTCCAGAGGTAGTGATATTTATTATTTTAAAACGCACAGAAGAAAAAACAAATAAAGCTAAACTTTTGTAAATACCATGAAAAGGAATTATTTCCCCAAAATTGCTTTCAGAAATGAAAAACGAAGAAAATCTGTACACAACTTGGTGCAAATACTTTGGACCACAAAATTCAGTTGTGTCGTGCCTGAGCCTAGTCTGATTTCACGTGGGCCTAAGAGATTGTTTATAGGTAACAATTAAGAATGTCTCAAAGGAATGGATAACCAGAGTATCTGCTATAGATGTTTTCTTATACTTGTCAGTTTCATTTACTTGTTATCTATCGTATATCATATATCATGATCCTATTTAATTTCTAGAATCAACCTAGATATGAACTATTCTGTAGGCCAAATGAAAGTCGCTTTTGCCTTCAAAATAGAATGGTCGAAGAGTAAACATTGGATAATTCAATTCAAATTATGTTGCACTAAATAGTACCTGTAACGTATTTTATTTAATAATATTTTTTTCTCTTAGAGTCAGTGATGATAGAAACAGAGTTTACAATTCATGTGTGTTGCTCTTTAATTGTCTACTCTTTTTATACTTTGCCACAAACAGGATTTAAGACATTTAGAGGCAGTTCTGCATTTCTTCTTTTTTTTTTTTAATTATACTTTAAGTTTTAGGGTACATGTGCACAACGTGCAGATTAGTTACATATGTATATATGTGCCATGTTGGTGTGCTGCACCCATTAACTCATCATTTAACATTAGGTCAGTTCTGCATTTCTAATTATTTTCCGTTTTGTTGTCACTTCATGGATATTAAATGCCCCAAAAATGTCAGCAGTGGTCCTTTCTATATTAAGGTTGGGAGTACATTTTTTAGCTTCTAACATATGATGTCTTTAGGACGAGTGAAAATCTGTGAAAGAGAAACACGGTTCAAGTGACATTGACTCCCTTCCTCCCAGAAATCAAGTTATTGGCGTCAGCATGGCAGAACTCAGGGCTTCTATTGTTCATATTGATTCGTCACTTTTTCTGTCGTTTTCATCATTGAAGTAGCCTGTTGAATCTTTTCTCACTCAATTTGACAGCACTTTCTCTAGACTTGAAATAGGCTGAATGACGAATTTTCTTGTCACTTACATTTTTACTGATGTGAGACTTTGAGCGACGGTGTCACGGGGCATTTTCTCACTTGGTGATTTGCAGAAGGTGAGGTGCACTGGGAGAATTGGAGAAGATGGAAATGGAAAATGCTATAATTAAGGATGTGCTCCTTCACAAATCAATCCCCTGGGAAGAACTGATTTGAACATTTCTAATAACAGCATAGTCCAAATCCGTTGCATGTGTGGAGCGCCTCGGATTCTAGGAGGGAGACCTTCAGCTCCCTATGCCGGAAGGACATAGGAATATGAGAACAGACCATCTCCAAAAGTCTGTAATTTAATAGCCTGAAGAAAATCTTTTTCTCATTTCCATTTGCTCTTATCATTTCCTCAGAATTATTCTTAAACTTGGTTATATGGTATTTTCTTCTTTTTGAGCAGTAGTGGACTGTTTCTCTCCAGGAGTGTATCATTAGGGTTTGAAACTTAATCTAATATCTTATACCTCCATGTGTTTAATTTCCTTTTCCAAAACATCCATTTTATTTGGTTACATTGTTGAGTAAAGTCATCCTCTTTACCTGTTACCAGGCTGTGACATTTACTTTCAATGATTCATTTATTTGTGGCCTTAAACAGTCCTAGAATTTAAATTTACATTATATTGAAAGAGAGATAAAATCTTGTGAAAATGATGTATGGCTTTAGGATGTAACTGGCATCTGTTCCTGTCTTGCTCATTATGGAATTTTATCCATTTGTTTAGTTATTAAATGCGACCTGAGCCCACCTGTGGAGCATGTGCCTTTGAGGCAGGTACCAGGGAAGTGCATGGGAGCTGAGGCTCTGCAGGAACCCTGCTGCTCCTCCTTCCAGATGCTTCTCCCTAGGATCTGGGAAATGGCTGTCTCCCGCTCCCTCCATATCCCTTGACTGTTCTTTCACTTCTGCCCACCCTCTGGTGGGGGTGGGGGTGGTTCCCTAACATTGCATTCTCCCCTTTTCTCCTTCAAGCTCATCTCCAAACCCATGACTCAGCTCTTCAGCTCTGGCCAGGCCTCTCTGCTGAGTCCCAGTCAGCACTTCCCTGAAGTTGTCCCCCAGGAATCCCTTGGGCTCTTCAGACTCCTCCACTCAACCCTGCCCTCCTCCTCAGGTCCCTTTTTGTCCCACCCTCCTGGTCACTTACACCTTGATCCCAGGGTTATGTCCAGAATCCATCTCCATCTCTTACCATTGGTGAGCACCCCAAGTCCAGCTGGGTCTGCCCTGCATTGTGCCGCTTCCTCCCCTGCATTGTCTCCCTGCCCCATTATCTCTCAGGCATAGATCAGGTCCTGCTGTTCATCTGTTTTAAAACCTTCGGAGATTCCAAGTTGCCACAGGCTGGTGTTGCTTCTTCCCTTCTGTAACCAGCCCATTGCAGTCTGACGAAGACCCACTCCTCATTCCCATGAATCGCTCCACCCACCAGCTTCCTAGAGCTCGTTGTCCACTTGTCTTTCCATATAAGCTGTGAATGCTGTGAAGGACAAGACTATGTCTTTTTCATCCTCCAGCTGCTAGAACAGTCGCGGCACATGGTCTTCTGCTCTTCCTGTGTCTTCCATGCTTAAATGATTCAGCCACTATCTGCCTGGAGGGCTTTTGCTGTGCCAGGCCATCCTGCCATTTGTTCTCTCATGTGTTCAGTGAAGATCTTTTTATTAGCAGGCCTTCCTCACAGTACATAGTGTGCACTGCGTACCACTAGGCATTTTGGGGGGCATTTTTTTTTTGAGACAGGGTCTCATTCTGTCGCCCAGACTGGAGTGCAATGCCATGATCAGAACTCACTGCAGCCTCAACTTCCCAGGCTCAAGCGATCCTCTCACCTCAGCCTCCTGACCAGCTGGAACCACAGGCACGTGCCATTAGAGACAGGGTCTCACTATGTTGCCCAGGCTAGTCTCAAACTCCTGGCCCCAAGCGATTTTCCCACCTTAGTCTCCAAAGTGCTGGGGATTACAGGGGTGAGCCATTGCACCCAGCCTGGGGGCATTTATTTTATTGAGATATAATTCACAGACCATAGCGTTCACCCTTTTAAAATGTATAATACAATGGTTTTTTGTATATTCACTGAGTTATGCAACCATTGCCACTTCCAATTCCACAACATTTTTATCACCCCAAAAAGAAACTGAATGCCCATTAACTGTCATGCCACATTCTCCCCTGCCTCTGGCCCCAAGCAGCCACTGATTTCCTTTCTGTCTGTATTAATTTGCTTATTCTGGACATTTATATTAATGAAGTCCCACGATATATGGGCTTTGGCATCTGACTTCTTTCACTTAGCATAGTGTTTGCAAAGTCCATCCGTGTCACAGCAGGTATCAATACTTCATTCCTTTTTATGGCTGAATAATATTTTATTATATGTTATATTACATTTTGTTTATCCATTCATCAGTTTGCAGGCAAGGGGGTTGTTTCTGGTTTTTGGCTGTAAATAATAATGCTCCTATGAACATTTGTTGGCAAGTTTTTATGTGAACATATATTTTCAGTTCTCTTGGGTATTGAACTTCTAGGAGTAGAATTGCTGGATAATATGTTAACTTTTTGAGGAACTGCCAAACTGTTTTCCACAGTGGCTGCACTTTGTTTGTTTGTTTGTTTGTTTGTTTATTTTTGAGACAGAGTTTCGCTCTTGTTGCCCAGGCTGGAATGCAATGGTGTGATCTTGGCTCACTGCAACCTCCGCCTCCCGGGTTCAAGCAATTCTCCTGCCTCAGCCTCCCGAGTAGCTGGGGTTACAGGCATGGACCATCACACCCAGCTAATTTTGTATTTTTAGTAGAGACAGGGTTTCTCCACGTTGGTCAGGCTGGTCTCGAACTCCTGACCTCAGGTGATCCGCCCACCTCAGCCTTCCAAAGTGCTGGGATTACAGGCGTGAGCCACTGCGCCTGGCCTGTGGCCACACTTTATATTCCTACCAGCAAGGTATGAGGATTCCAATTTCTCCACATCTTCTCATCGTCCTCACTGGTTATTACTGTCGCTTGTCCTTTTGATTATAGTCATCCTAGTAGACGTGAGGTCGTATCTTATTATAGTTTTCATTTCCATTTCCCTAATGACTTGTGGTGTTGAGCATCTTTTCATGTGTTTACTGGCCATTTACATATCTTCTTTGGATAAATGTCTATGCACATCCATCCCTTGCCCATTTTTAAACTTGGTTGTCTTTATTGTTGATCTGTGAGAGTTCTTTATATATTTGAGATACAAGATCCTTATCACTTAAATGGTTTGCAGATGTTTTCTCCTATTCTGTGTGTTGCCTCTTCACTTTCTTTCATCACTACTCAAAACATTGCTCAAAAATGAAAACGTGTTATTTTCTTGTGCATCCTCTATACCAAAAGCGGCCAGTAGTGGGGAGCAGCAGAAGAAATCAGCTAATTAATTTCCTAGTTTTGTAAAATATTCTTAGCCATTCCTTCTCTGAGCTCAGACTCTGCCACAGTAGGGTCTTTTTTTTACTAGGTTTAAAACGCATCCGTGGGTGTATTTCACACATTCGAAACAGGGTACTATTCCTCAATCCACAGCTGCTGTTAACTCATCTCATTTTTATAAGTATCTGTGAGCCCAGTATCTGTCCTGTGGGAGGGTCGTGCCTGCCTCCTTGTGTGTAGTGCCTCATTCTCTGCCTCACCGGAGAGCCTGCTTCTGCTCCATTTCCTCTTCCCTCCACGCCAGGGTGTGTGTGTCACCCAGCATGGCCCTCTCTCTGCCATGCCATAGTCCTTCCTGGTTATGCTTAAGGTCATTCTCAGAAGTTCTGGTCATTTCAAGCCTGCAAGTAGCATTCTTACCTCTTCCACATGCCCAAAAGTTGTATGTCATCCACTTCTGAAAAATGCAAAGAATAAGTAAGGTATTGAAATATTTGGACAAGCCCATTGATTGAACGTATAGATGCCAGTCAGCCTTGACCTCTTCCAAACTAGAGGACACTCAGGACCCTCCTTAGTGGTGCAGTTCCTCTAAGGGCAATATAGCAACTTAAGTGACATCATGTTGCTTCCTTGCCTCAAGCCATTCGGGCCTCCTGTGCCCAGGCCCAGCTTGTCTTTCAGCTGCACCTCCTGCCACCCTCTTACTACCCCATGACTCCAGTCTCCTTTCTCCTCCTGAAGTATCCCAACTTCCTTCCCGCTCATGGCATTCTCTGTGCCCGAACTGCTCTTACACTCCTTACCCCACTTCATCCCTGCTTGGTTAGCTGCTTCCCTCCCATCAGAGACTTCTTTGAGCTTATCTCCCTCTTTCCTTCCTGGTACTGACATAATGACAGTTTGCCTTATTCCCTGGACTTGTCCTTTAACTAGTGTTCGGTCTGCCTCCCTGCTAGAATGCAGGATTGCTGGTGGCAGGAGCGACATCTATCTTGTTCCTTGATTACATGCCCATTACCTAGCACAGGGGGGCACTCAATACATATCTCTTGAATGGATGAGCGCTTGAATGAAGGTGGATTTGCTTTTTGAAAATAGCACAGCCACTTGAGATCCAGTTCTCTGAGCAGACTAGGATAATGTATAGAAATCTATGCTTAAGCCTATGAATATATGTAGTATTCTGACCATTCTCAGATTCAGCTGGTTTTGTCATTCTTAATGCATAGTAATTCTAACAACAGTAATTTTGTAGAAATACATTTTTATTTTTTGGAGCATTATCCCCCTCCCCTACAGGTGGCATTCGTATCCATGTTTGATTTGAGCTTTTTGAATCCCTTCTGTCAGAGTTCCCCACAACTTTCTGAAAATTTTGAGCTCTGACATTCTGGTCTATTTCTGAAATGAAATCCCTAAAAATAGTACTGTCTCTTTTCTGCTTTCTCTGTGTCTGAGTCAAATGGACTTCTTTGTGATCATCGTCAACTCTAACACCCAAACATAGACCTTTTATATCAACCTTCGACTTGAAGCTCATTCTGTCCTTCTGATGGGTGAGAAAAGATTCATTTGATTAGTGCTGTTTCATTCTGGCCAAATTGCCCATTTTTATTATGAAATATTTATATAGACTAGAAGACATGTCATTTACATACGTTCTAAGGAACACTAAAACACGTCCCGGTACTGACACCCACTTGCACCAGCCAATATATTTCAGAACCTCCCAGGTACAACCCCTCCACACCCCAGAGGTAATCCCAGGTTATTATTTCCTTGCTCTTTATCATTTCCTACATATGTGTGTAGCCCTAAGCAATATGTTTCACTTAACCTGTTTTTAAAATATATATAGGCCAGGTAAGGTGGCTTAGGCCTGTAATCCCAGCACTCTGGGAGGCTGAGGTGGAAGGATCACTTGAGGCCAGGAGTTCAAGACCAGCCTAGGCAACATAGCGAGACCTCATTGCTAGAAAATATTTTAAAAATTAGCCAGGCATGGTGACGCATGTCTGTAGTCCCAGCTACTTGGGAGGCTGAGGTGGGAGGATTGCTTGAGTCCAGGACTTCAAGGTGGCAGTAAGCTATGATGGCTCCACTGCACTCCATACTAGGTGACACAGTGAGACCCTGTCTATAAATAAATAAATAAATAATGTATAGCAATAGAATTGCACTCAATGTGTCCTTCGGTGACTGGCTTTTTTGGTTGAGCATGGTTTTCAGTTTTATCCTTATTAATACACATGCCTATAGTTCATTTATTTTCACTGCTATATAATATCCCATTGTGTGACTGCATTTATCCATGAATGTTAAAAATAGTTTCCTTTTCCTTTTTTGCTGTTGCCTGTAACATGTTATAATCATTCTGAACCAAGCACATATGTACCAGAGCTCATATACTGAGGAGCGGAATTGCCAGCCTGCAAGCACGCACGTCTGTTCTTCCCTGGATAAGGTCAGATTGCTCTCCCAAGAAGCCAGGCCAGTTCCTCCCAGCAGCAGGTTCTTGGGGCTCCTGTGACCCATGTCCTGTCTGACATTTGGCATTATTACATATTCTGTGTTTGGCCACTCTGGGATATATAAGATGGTATTTTGTTGTAATTCTCATAATCCCTGATCATTAATGGTACTGAGCAACTTAATTGCCAGTCATGGTTTATCTCTTGGTTGCCCATCTTTCTAGTAGGTTATTTGACTTTCTCTTATGGATTTGCTCGGCGTTCTTCTTATATTCTGGCACCTACCCCTTGCCAGCTCTGAGTCGCAGATGCTTCCTCCCACGTTGTGCCTAGTAGTTCTACCTTCTTTACAGTATTGTGGTAAACAGGAGCTCTTACTTTGAATGTGGTCAGATGTACCAGTCTCTTCTCCCTGTGGTTCATGTTTTGGTTTCTTAAGAGATTTTCCATACCCCAAGGTCATAAAGAGTTTGCCCCCATACATTCCTCTAAAAGTTTTTATCACGCAGTTTTCTAAATCTGTGTATAATTTTACTTCAAATTGAACTCTCTAACCTCTCCTTACAAGTTGCTATTGCCTAGAATATATCTAGCTGTCTCATAGCTTAAAGCAATGGACACGAATTTCAGGCCTTCATTTATTCATTCAGTAAATATTATGTGGGGTGCTTTTAAGCTAGATTGTATGAGTGACGTAAGAGAATAAATTTCTCTTGACATAAATTTGATGAACCTGACTCATATGGTGTCCTCAAGGAGTTTATTGAAGTAAACCATGGTCCCAAAAAACCATATGTCTGTGTCCCAGTTCCTGGAACCTGTGAATGTTAACTATTTGACTCAAGGCTGTGTGCTGATATAAGTTAAGGATCTTGAAATGAGGAGATCATTCTGGGTTATCCAGGAGAGCAGTAAATCCAGTGAGGAGTGTCCTTTATGAGAGACACATAGAATAGGAAGAGGCCATGTAGCCATGGAAGCAAAGAGGAGAGTCATGCAGCCCCGTGAATGCAGACAGCCACCTGGAACTGGAAGAAGCATGAACAAAATCTCTCCTGCAGCCTCTGCTGTCGTCTTGATTTTGGACCTGTGGCCTCCCAAAACTAGTGAGAGAATAAATTTCTGTTGTTTTAAGCCACCCAGTTGGTGGTCATTTCCAGCAGCCACAGAAAACTAACATAAGGAGGCTTAAGATGGTCATACGTGGTAGCTATTTAGCCAGAGGTTTTCAACCTTTTACACACCCTAATGTACTCAAGGGATGGAACAGTGGCAGCAGAACTCGGGGGCGCCAGAACTTTTGAGAGGGATGCGTGGATGGCTGAAGCGTCCCAGGTGGTTCTGAAACATGACATTCCCTCCTCTGCAGATCACTGCCATGGGAGTTAGAGTCATGAGAATGGCTAGCTCTGGGCTTGCTTGTGCCAGTGATTAGAGGCTGCATGAGTTCAGAAAGAAAACTGAGGTGGGTACGCAAACTGTTACAGCACACACACACTGATGTCAGGAGGCTGCCTGTGTCCGGGGCCACTTTGCCAGTCTGAGCGTCATGTCCACTCTTGGGAAATTTAGAGAAGGTTCAGGCAAGAAGGGTTTCAAGGGTTGAAAAAATACAGTCTGCAACATAGCCTCTTACAGACAGTTCTCTTTATTTCTTTGATAAAAGAAGCTTGATAGTGCTAAACAACAGTCAACAAACACATAGCCCGAATGAGTAAAAAGAAATTAAAATGGAATAATTGTTGTTTTGTTGTATTTTATAAAGTCAGCATGATCTGGGTATAGATGCAGCTTACACATACGCACTCAGGTTTACGTTGCGGGTTGGTTATTATAGCTCACGTATATTTAAGTCAGTTGATTTGTCTCATTTGGAGTTTAGTTCCCATCCTCACACATGATCTTGAACTTAACACCATTTATTCTAGAATTCAAGATATTAGATGAAAGCAGTAAAGGTTAGAGGACCTGGGCTGTAGCCTTAATTCCATTACTGTGTGACTGTGATTCAAGAAAATTTCTTGAACTCTCTGAGCTCTCATTACCTGATCAGTAAAATGGAGACCACAGGACTTCCCTGCTCATGAGGGTGTAGCCTAAAGGGGGTTTGCTTGCCATGGAGCCTGACACAGAACTCTCCTCCAGCTTACCTACTACATTCTTTCTGCAACAAAACCCTAGGCCCACATGGTAGAGGCAGGGAGGAGTCAATCCAGATTTATCATGCTTTTCTTTTTGTGCTGGAACCCAGGTAGATGCTTCATATATAGGATTCTATTTAATCTTCCCAGCCGTCCTGAGAACAGGCGTTGTTGTCCCCATTTTACATTTAGTAGGACAACTGAGGCTGGAGTCGGAACCACTTGCCTCAGCTGTCTCACATGTAAAATGGGGACATCAACACCTAGCAGGGAAAAGGGCAGCTGAGATTCAAACCCTGCCTTCCTTCCACCAAAATACAAGCTCCTTCCTGACTGTCATGCTGCTACTGTCATTTCTAAAACCTAAAACAAACAATAATGAGAGTAAAGTTGGGGGACAGGTTCAGATTCTCAGATTCTTACAGCTCTGCAGATTCAGCAGGGTGTGTCTTGAGAGTCTCGAGAAGTTCTCTTGGAAATTTTTGATAAAATGTAACCAGTAAAGGCGTATAACCTCTTTAGTAAAGTAGAGGAATATTATCCATTTTTTTATTTTTTATTCTAGAGACAGAATCTTGCTATGTTGCCCAGGCTGGACTCAAACTCTTGGGCTCAAGTGATCCTCCCACCTCAGCCTCCTGAGTCACTGGGACTACAGGCCTGTCTCTTAATCAAAATTCTTGATAAAAATTCATATGTGAAAATGTGAACAGAATGAGTGGCTAAAGAAACTGAGAAATGTCCAGAAGCCAAGATGGGTTTCTGGTCAGTAATTTGAATGTTCCCTGAATTGAGTAATCCAGGGGAAAACTGCTCTTTAAAAAAGTACTTTGTTGTGTGTGGCTTTTCATGAGATAATAATTCAGAACAGAATTAAAAGTTACACATTTGTTAGTAAACTTTTTAAGGGAACAAAAGGGCCATGGCTAGTATTGAAACAGGGATCGGATTGGTGACCTGGTGCCTCTTTCAGTGAAAGGTCTTTGACCGTCCAGGGATCAGCATTATTTCAGCATTCACTTAACATTTTAACATGTCTTACATGTGAAAAGCTTACAAGCATTTTGATGTCTAGATTATAAATGCCCTTTGTTATAGAAAGCAACCAGCATTGAAGCCCTAAGGATATTAGATAAGAAAATGTCAGATGATACTGCTCCAAATTGCCCTTGCAATTAATTCAGTTAAGATCCCAGCGCTGTGTTTTTTATGGCTACTAAAAGAAATGATTTTTGGCACCCACAAGCTCCTTGGCTGTTTCTAAACGCTGCCAGAGCTAAGGGGATATTTGTTTTCTCTTTGTCAGGGTGTTTACATGCCCTGGCTTGGGCCATGAGCGAAAATGTATTTGATGATCTCCTGGTCTCACCCCAATCCCTAATGGATGTTTGTCTAAATGACAGCACCCAGTTTAGCACTGTTAACACTCCAGTTAGTGGGCGGGAGAGTGTGGGCTGTGTGTGACAGTCGGGGGCATGCATGGCAGGGTCAGGAACCTTCTATGAAGGAAACACTTGCTCCTCCAGGATCCAGTTCTGGAAGCACCTTTATGTTTTCTGTCTCCTACTGCCTTAATTTAGGAGTCAGACCATAAATATTCATTGAATCAGAGAATCTCACAACTTCATTATTACTCCTCTAAATATAGTGCTGGACTTCCTCTAAGGTGCCCAGATCTCTCAGCCTTGACAAGGACAAGCTTATGACAAGAACAAGCTTATGATAGTGCCATCCAGGATTGGGACGGTGGGCTGCCGTCTGGGGTCAGTTCATCTGGTATTATGCAAAACGTCCCTTTGTAGGTTTGATCATGAGCTTGATTAACATAGCCAGCCACTTTCCAGATACGTGGCTTCCGCAGAGTAGTTAGCAAAATGCGCACGCATTTCCTTTTTGTTCACCATTGTCCCAAGCACTGTATGTGGATGTGTTGGACGCAGTGGGGCCTTTGAGGAAACAGCAGGACGATGCTAGGCAGAGCATGACAGGTCTTTAGAGGGACGTGCTTGCTCTAACCCAGGCCCACAAGCAGACGATGGACTGAAAGGGGGAGCCATGAATTGAGCGTTGACAGCGGGCCACGGCGGTCCAAAGGCTCAGGTGGTTGTCAGCCATAAGTTTAGCTCAGCTCTTTGAGTAATTTGTCACGCCTCGCTCAGCCCCTGCTGGGCCAGCACGTGCCAGCTTAGTGTCAGAGTGCCTGTTCGCCAGACGGCCACTCAGGCCTAACGTCCTGCTGTTCCCCGGACCAGCGGCTTGCTGGGGCCATGCACGGAGGGCCGAGCCGTGGCGACAGCCAAGTGCTGTGCAGAATAAGTGTGTTCATAATGAGACGTGAATGGCATTAGTGGGTCCCTCTAGAATTGGGCCTGAGCAGGCGCCTCTCGCTGAGGAAGTTTGGCAGCCTGTTCATTAAGGCGAGTCACCAGGAGTTCAGCCCACAGTCAAGAAGCCAGTTCAGGCTCATGCTGCCCAGGCCTTGGGCGGTTGTGCCCATCTATATAAAAGATCATAAATCATTAGAGGGGCCACTTTGGAAATCTTCAAACACATTTTCCTTGCTTGAGGTTGTATAGAACAAACTTACGGAGAAATTCTGGCAGCACGCTGTCCAGTAGTGCTTTCCACGGTGACAGGCACATCCTGTATCTGTGCGATCCAGTATAGAACCCCTAGCCACGTGCGGCTATTGAGTGCTTAAAATATAGCAAGGTGGGGGGAGGGGCAAAGCAACTGAATTTTAGCTCTTTACTTTAATTAATTCAGATTTAAAATGAGATATCCACGTGTGGCTTGTGGCTACTGTATGGGATAGCACAGCCCTAGAATGCCTCTGGTCTCCTCACGGTATGAAAATTATCCTCTGAATATAACTGAAGGAGTAGGGAGAGGAAGAGCCTGCATTTAGAGATCGGTGTGCACACTTTGCCATAAGAAAGCAGAAAAGTATTTGACCATTTAAAAACACGTGCTGTCTTGAAGGCTGATTGAAAGGACATAATTGTCACCAACTTGTATTTTTAAAGAGGCCATTTTGAAAAGATAGTTTGAAAATGTAGTGAGAAATGCTAGAGTTACTTTTCCTCTTCTGGAGCTGCCAATAATAAACTGATGGTGATCCGCATTCCCTGTGTTCCCGGAGAATTAGCATGATTTTCAAAACGACTGAAACATGTCTTTTAACTTTTGCATTGATAATGAGGAAGGGGAAAATGAGACGTCATGCGGACTTCCCCAAGTGTTAATTCATAACGTCGTATGTGCAGTGCCTCCATCCATTGTGGGATTGTTCTGACGTTATCCTGTTATTGGAAGTGCATGATTCACCTTCTAAGGAAACAGAAGCCACACACAAAAGGGGAAGATTTGCTTTCTGCCCTGTGAAAGCCTGCCACACGCAGGGGTCCTATTAAGACAGCTGGAAAGTTGCTTCAGTGTGTTACGCTTGTAAGTTTTATTGGTGACTGGTTTTTGATTACACATTTGAATGCTGTGTGTTCCAGACTGCAGTTTTAATTAAAAGGCAGTAGTCTTTTTTTTTTAAATTGCACTGTGCACTCTTGGTAGATTCTCTCACATAGTAGTTCTTATTTTCCAATGTTCACAGCTTGTCTTGGTTAGAGGCTCTGATGCCCCCTCAGAATCTATCTTCCTAGCCTTCTCTCTTCCCAGTAACTTGCATCTTCTTATTTTTAAGAAGCGTCTGCACTGTCGTATCACCAAGTTGCTTGAAGTATCAACTCATATGTCAGTAGGCTAAGAATGTTTTATCCACTGAAATAGGATGTAAAAGATCTACCACTGTCAGTGGAAAGAGATGCTATTGCAATCAGTATCTCCTGTTTTTGTTTAAATCGACCCTAATGATCTTATGATGTTATTCTGTAACTGTTGCTTTACATGTTTTTTAGTGTTATTAGTATTTAATGCAATTAAAGTCTAAGAGAAACTTAGGTCTCAAAACCAGAATTTGGGTATGAATTATGACTAATACTTAATTTTCTGCAAGATGGTAAAGAACCTGCAGGATACTTTTTTACACAGAAAAAATTGCACAACGGTATTAAAAGTGAATTCTGTCACTGCTCTGCATGCCACTTTGCACGTGCACTTGTTTCCTTAACCGATTACCGCAGCTATGAAGAGCGAGCTCTGTATCTCGAAGCAATAATTCAGAACCACCGCGAAGTAATGACATTCGAGGATTTCGCAGCCCAAGTCTTTTCTCCCTCTCCCAGCTACTCCCTCAGCGGAACGGGTGAGTGTCTACATTATTCTTCTCTCACGCGCTTAAGACGCATTCGAGCAGCAGATGTACACCTGTTTTTCACAGATAAATGCTTTGCAAATTTAAGAAGAGCATTCTCCCTCTGAATCAACTAATGAATATCAAAAGGAATGATGACATTCATTTTAATTTGTTTTGTATTCGAGCTGTTCACTCAGTTCCTTTCTTCAGCTATCCTGTTAACCTTCAAATCTAGCAAGGTTAATGAACTTTTTCTCAGTAATGTGCTCCGGTTCATTCAGGAGTGTGGGTTTCTTGCTGAGCTGGGAATATGCTGTTTAAAAGCGATGCCCGAATCAGTGCTTACTTATCAAAAAAGAGTTCCTCACAGTGGAAGCCGTTGCTACTAATGCTAAATGGGGATTATGCTGCCGAGATTCGAAGGTCAGGGATTAATGCAGGAGACATGGAAGGACAGTGTCCCGGGGTCCATCATTACAGCAGTGCAGTGTGCGTGTCTCTCTGGAGTGGTTTGTGTCATGTGGACAAGCCGCCGACCGGAGCAGCACCTGGTGTGGAACCCGTTTAGAAACTAGCTTACAATAATTTTCATTTATTAGGGCCAGTGGAAAATTGTGAAAGTTTCCATAGATTTCCTTGTTTTTAGGTTTTTATTCTTTTTATATTTCCAGTTTGGGGGGAAAAATACATGTATTGCCACTTAAACAGATTATGTGATTACTGTGTGTTTCTTTCAAATAATAGAATTATTACTTGTAAATTTCTGCATATAATTACAGATTAATTGCCTTTCAGAGAATAAATGGGATATTTAGCCAATGCATGTTGAGATTCTCAGTGAGGAGCTTCCTTCTTCTTCCACTGCTTTAAATGAAACTGTTAGAGTGCTTAATAGATTTCTAACCTGTGTCAATTGTCTCTGAACACTGCCTTACTTCTCCTATTCTGACTTGTTAACAAATATCTTATACACAAAGTGAAAAAAAATTAAATCCAGTGAAATAAATCACTTACAAATAAAATCAGCCATGCATCATTGTTTAACATCGCTGGCCTCAATCCTTGCCTCTCAGAGCTTTGTTGGGAGATAAGAGGGAGAGGCACGCACTTGCGCAGGGAGCCAGGAGCAGCAGGCAGAAGGCTTGGGAGATAAGCAGGCTGGCAGAGGTGCAGGAGCAGCGTGATTTGCATAATCACGCCTCTGCTTCCTGGTGAGGCGTCAAGGAACACTGGGATGGCCTCTATTGATCTTTGTTGAACTGGAATACTAAGCAACATGAGAAAAGCTTATAACTTAAAGCTTTGATTAATGTTTCTTACATTAAAAAAGTGGAACAGCTGTGAATTGAATTCTTTTATACACTCTGCCAACATTCTATCTAAGACAAAAACAAATTCGTTTCAAGGGAAATGAAGATTTCATACTCGGTCTGGCTAGAGATTTTAAATCGTTTCTAATTTTTCAGTGAAAGAACATGAGGGATCTGTAGCAAAGCTAATTTTAAAAAGATCTCATTCAGCTTTTTCCCACCCTCATGAGATTATTCCCCTCTTCGTGAGGACTTGATTTTTCAGTGCAGGTTGTTTTTTGTTTTTTGTTTGTTTGTTTAACTCTTGAGAAAGCTTTTTACTTCTTAAAATTAAACACGTAAATAATAACTAGATGTTTTCATTCCTTAACTGTTACATTCTTAAGATTATTAAGATATTATCAAAATGAATAATGATGGACTTTGTTTTCTATGTATATTTTAGCCTCTGTATAAACTAATTTGATCTTTTCCAAACATCCATAATTATTTAAACCAATAGAAATGAGTGAGATTCTAGGAGCAATTTGAGTTTTTAAGAACTCTACTTGGAGAGGATTGTCAATAGGCTTCTTCAAGAACGTCATATTTTTGAAAATTGCTTAGCAGAATGAAGATTCTGACAGCATGTGAGGGTGGGCATTGGAACTCTTCTAAAAGGAACGTGAAACCAAACATGGAATATCAAGACAAATGCTACTCCCTCCGCTTTTCAAATTATTAACATCAGTATTACATTTCATAGTGTTCATGGTTTAAGGAATTCAGTGTTGAGTGGGAAACATTTTTATACGTCTATCATGCCTATCCTTAAGTGTGATTTTTAAGTCTAGGCATAATGTTCTGTTTTAATTCTTTGCATATCTTCTCATAACGCTGAGTAGGAATGAACTAGATATAATCTTGATTTGAACTGAAATGTGGGGCAGTACAATGAGGACAGAGCATTTCAGCACCATAGACAAGCACGTTTTCGGAAGCATCTTCTAGCTTACATACTGGCTTCGCTTTTGAGGAATCCCTGTCCACTATCTGTTACTACTTCTACAGATGAAAACATTTGTCATTTGTTTACACTGTTATGTTCTTGGGACAAGGGCGATCAAACCCAGATGAGCCAGCCAGCTTAAACTAAGAAATTGAGGTGAAGTCTGTTCTTCCAAGCAACAAGCCAACTGGAAAAATTGACCCTGAGCGGCTTAAGCTCCCACAGTGCACTTAGGACCCAATCAGACCATCTCTGGCCCTCAGTGTCATCAAAGCAGGGCCTTGGGCTTGGGCTCACATGCGTATGCACAATCTGAGGAATTAGGGGCTCCTAGGTTTTCTTTGTATCCTCACCACCAGGACTTTATTATTAATGAAGAGGGAGCATCACCTGAACACTGCATTCATTCTGCACTGTATTGGTAGCAGCAAGCCAGAAAGCAGCATGCAGCCCCCACTTCTAGAGGGAAAGCCCCAAAATCAGCCTTTAAGTCTGAAGTAAAAGTGGGAGATGCACTCGGTGGGAATGGCCTGTGCCTGAAGCTTCCACTGTTGGAAAATGCCCTCTGCTTCTGACTCTCCCCATCCAGGTGCTGTTACCCATCCGCCCAACAAGCCCTGCGGGGGTGGGTTGGCCAGGTGAACAGGCTTGCGTTCAGGATGCGCCGTCAACCACACATGGTGGTGTAGCTGCTAATATATGAGCGCTCGGCATTTTTCAAAGAGCTTTCAAAACAAAATCTATTTTCCTAATGAGAAAATATTTTTAAAGACCATCGTATCTACCTTGTATCTATTCCATCCATTACTTGTATTGATAACACCTGACATGTAAAGATATTTCAACTACTTTTTTACCTAGCACTATAGTTTACCTTCCTTTTTTGACCAGCATTAAATAATCTAAAATGTAGCCAGTATTAAAATATTGGTTGCAATTAACATATATATGTTTTATGTATAAATACATTTATATACACATATACATTTCTCTCTCACACACACACACATATTGGGGTGGGGGACTAAATTTGTGCTTTCAATCATATCACCAAGAAAGAGGGACCGGCAGAGAGGCCTTGAAAGGGTTAACTGGAATGGGCACCCTCGACTGCTGGGAGGGACTGATGTAATCACTGCAGCTCACAGCCAAGTGCATCTGTTCACCATGAGGTCATTCTTCTGCATGCTAATGATTTGGAAAATCAAGTCTAGTGTTTGACATTATCAGAAAAGATATAAATAGTGTAAATCTTTGCTTTTTAGAAGTTGCTCTTATAAAAGAGAAAAAAAGGAACTTTACATTGGACCTGAGATTTTTTTCAGAACTGCCTTAAAGATTGTGTCTGGATCTAAAAATTTTGGAGGAATCCACTTGTGTCTGTTGATCAATCAATCCCCAGATCACTATTACGGTCACAGCTAGCAATCTGGTAGCCAAGGGCTACAGGTATGTCTCATTTAATATCTAATTTTAAGAATTTCCAAGTGCCTTTGTCAGAAGTTGATAGATTTTTCTCAAAGAATGTTCAAAACCAAGTTAAATGAGTGGTTCTTCTCGGAATACCCAAACTGACTTGTGTTTGCTGAAGATGCCAATACTACGTATGGTTCCTTTCTGCTTCAATATTGCTATAGAGAGCCAGCAGAGGGAGCACAGGTCTTTGTTTATTTGTTAGCCCTGCATAAACACAGCATTTGATTTCTCCAAGATATGGTCAGAAATACTTCCTCCTTTATGATAGGCTGGATTGTCAAGGCTCCAGGATTTAGAACAAGTGGGAGAAAATTCCTCACTATGCTTCATCAGAGTCTGCCACTTTTAATGTAGGTCGTATTTGGAGCTTAAACCAGATTAGTCTGAGTCGGTCTTAGGATGCCACTGCCATTCCTGCTACTGCACAAAACTGCAAACTTTCATCTTTCACACAATTGCTTGGATGCCCTCGTGGAAAGGGTTATTATTGCCACTTACCTAATGAAAAAGACTTCTGTAGCTTTTCTTCTACAACACAGTCGTTATGTTAAGTTTGCAGAACCTTTGCCAGAAGACTCTGCCTGGTGTCACTGAGTCATTTTGGTGGCCAATAAAATCTTCTCCTAAAACTGCAGATGGAGGCACTTATGTTACACATTCGCCCCAAAGCAAATCTGAGATGTAGACACTACACAAACTCCTCTTAGAACTCACCAGCCTTTGCCCAGAGGGATATGGCTACACCCAGCTTTTGCTTGCTAAGGCCTCCGCGCCATATGCAGCTCGTCATTCCGCATGCAGTCCTGACAGGCAGTCTTCCTTGGCCGTTTCACTGGGCAGTTAATAATCAAGTTAATTCCCAGAAACAGCACAAGTAAATCCTAACCCAAACCACCAAAAAGAGTTTCCCCGCTCATTGAAAGGATAGTCATGTGACAGACTCATCACATTCATATTCATTCCCTCCCTGTTAAAGTGGTCTTAATACGGTTTTAATTAATAGTGCTTCTTTTGAATTGTATGTGTTCAGCTTCCCCATAACTTTGCTGAAGCCAGCAAAGAACATCATAGAATGTTGAACTAGAAGGGACTTCAGGAAAGATCATGTCTAACCCTGTCACATTAATTTGGAGCAAGCTGAAGACCAACCCAGGAAGGGACCACCGAAGGTCATGGGCAAGTTGGAATCAGTGCCAACTCAATCTTCACCTCCCCATTTCACATGGAAATGCCAGCCCTGTGCCCACCCTATAGTGATAATCCCATAATCAGAGCCGTAGCTACCAGCTCTTTATTCATACTAAAGGCCAGAGTCAAATTTTACTCTATTCAGATAATACAGAAGTTTTCCCTTTTGGTCTCACTCTGTCGCCCAGGCCTGGATTGCATTGGTGTGAGCACAGCCCACTGCATCCTTCCCGTCCCAGGCTCGAGCAATCCTCTAGCCTCAGCCTCCTGAGTAGCTGGAACTACAGGCATAAGCCACCACATGCAGCTAATTTCTGTATTTCTTATAGAGACAGGGGTTCACCATGTTACCCAGGCTGGTCTTGAACTCCTGGGTTCAAGCGATCTGCCCACCTCAGCCTCCCAAAGTACTAGGATTACAGGTGTGTGCCACTGCACCTGACCCAAAAGTTTTCCTTAAATACAAACTATCTTATATGACCATCTATTCAATAACTCAGCCATCCCACTCAGCACCCTCAGCACACTTGGCTGTAGCTGGCCAAAGTGTTGCCACATGTCCTACAGACAACTGCCTTGGACAGATGTTTCTTCTACCCCCATAATCCCTTCTGGACACAGCCCAAGTCTTCCTTCCCTCATAACCGGCTTGATTCTGACCACTTTTGCTTTGATTTTTTTCCAATTTAAGATGTATTCTTCTTGGAAAGATGGTACAACATTGATAGAAAGTTTTTTTTACCAGCTATCATTCCATCACCAAGACCCAGTGGGATTCAATTCTGGCTTCACATTGGAATCCCCTGTGAAGCTGTAAAGATACCGATGCTTGAGTCCCTCCACTAGATTCGGATTTATTGGTCTGGGGTGTGACCTGAGCATGGAATTTTAAAAAAGAAAAAAAAGAAAAAACTGAGGGTATTTTAACGTGCAGGCAGGACTGAGAACCACTGCCCTAAATCCTCTCTGAAATATTTAGGCCTTAATTTTAGTGCCATCCGACTTGTGGTTACATATATCTTGATTTTCCTTAGCATATGTAAGCCTTTATCCTGCGTGTGTGTCTCCTCTCCATAATGGACTGTAAATTCTTTAGAGACTGGTACATGGGATTTCTTTCCTACATGCAACAGGAGTGAATAGAAAGGAGGACAGAAAGGAATCAGGCTGTTGCTTTAAGCAGCACAGGTGTGTCTCTAGACCACAGATGTGTGGGCCTGATGCAAGATGCAGAGCAAACACTCGTAATTATGTTTCATCTGTCCCCTCCTTCCCAGTCTCTTAGTGAAAGTGGGCCACCGACAAGAAATCTGATAAGAAGCCGGTGTGGAGAAAGGCAGGGGAAGTCAGGAGCCAGCGAATCCACAGACCGAGTAACTGAAACTTGATTCGAGGTGCTTTCGTAGATGGTCTCGAGGGTTTTAAAGGGAATTATCGATCACCTTGTTTAGCACCACTTTAGGCTTCGTGCTTCTTCATCCCTTTGTTCTTTTAAAACTTTTTTACTCTCCTCAGTGTCAGCTCTGGAAGAGATGAGACAAGCATTCTTTTCATTTGCTTGGCTAGGAAAGTGCCACTGCTACCTGTCAGATGTTACCATCTCTGACGTGGTCCTTGTTGCCCCTGGAGGCTGCCACTGAGCAGGACTGTGCAGGGCACTTCAGGCAACACAAACTAAGGCTCTGGGAATCTCATGCAGGCCTGTGTCTCTCCTTCCCTTGTGAAGCTTGAAGTCTTATTGGAGAAAAGCAGACACTCGTGAGCCACACACAAAAAAAATGGCTATTTATTAATAAGCTCAGATAAGTTTCCTCCAAACTATAACCACATGTCAAAAAGATAGCCAGCCAGTGGTTTAGGCCAGTTGGGTTGAGATTTCCCTGAGATGGACCATGCCATTTGCCTTGTCAACTTGAGGAGAATGAAAACTTGCCTCGTTTGTATTAGATATTCTACTAAGCATCCTGCCAGTTGGTTTGGAACTTCCCCACATTGCCTAATGTCTGAGAACTGGAAGGCCCATGGACAAAAATAAAAAGATAGAGGATAGTAAATGTGAGAAGAGCAGAGAGAAAGAAACCACATGTTTCAGAGCCACTGCGGGGACAGTGACACTCCTGACAACCCTGGGGCTGGTGCTGGGAGTATTCATAGGTTCCCAGAATAAGAAGCGGCCTGAGATCATTCATTTTGAAGTGTGACCTTGCACTGAATCTGTTCCCTTGGCAGAACTCTGAAGGTGCGGTTTTTCTGTGAAATGCTGCGTTAGGTTCTGGGTTCCCAGTCCTTACAGAGTTTTAAGTGCAGGTGGCATCTTCCTCCTGCCTGACTGCTAATTACAGCTCAGGGGACGCTTTAGCAGTTGCCAAGAGATGGCTGGCAGGTACCAGGAATTTTTCTCAGAGACAATTTTTGGAAATAACTCTTAATTAAAGCTTATTTGAAATAACCTTGAGAATGTATTTCAGAAGAACCTGAAGCTCCCGACACCCCGGGTTCACATTCCTTGTGAATCGTGACTGGCCCTCAAGTCCTCCTGGCTCAGCAGGTGGTGCATGCACAACCTCAGCTGCTGAGGGGCCTCCTAGAAGACTCAGTGGTTTTGCTCAAATTCCTGTTTAGGAACAGCCAAACCAAAGCAGAGGCCAAATGGAACCTCTCTTATTCGCAGTTAAGTCTTCTGACAGAAAGAAGAAAGAATATTTTGTACTACCCTTTTCCAGGAAGATATAGGATGATAACAGGAACTAAACCTGCCGGTTCCTTTTTGCCCATTAGCCTTTAAAGTCCCTCAAACAGCAGAAGGAATAAAATCCCTTAAAAATGGGAAACATGCCCATCCATTTGAAATAAGTAACTTTACATATTTACAGCATTGATGTGGCCAAATTCACTTCTCAGTACACAAGAAACCTAGTAGCATCACAGTAGACAATGCCGAGAAAGAATAGGGAAAACCCTATTCTATTTTGTGGCCACTTCAAGAATATGAGACAATAAAATCCAGATGCATAGAGGACACGTTCCACCTACCTGTGCCCCCACGCAGAGGCTCCTCTTGCCTTTCCCGCAGCACTCAGCTGTGACCTGTGGTGGGAACCAGTGGCCTCCACCATCCCAGCATCTGTCTTCTCCTGTGTGGGATTGTGTGATCTGTGAGATTGCCTGAGGATATGGAAAAGGAATCATGGGTATGGCTTGGGAAGGTTCCACTCCCCCATACCCCTAATCTCAGGCAAAACAGGAAGTGTGCACACCTTGCCTTGCCAGTGCTGCTGAATGTGTATGGGTAGACTCTGCAGTCAGCGTGCATCCCAGAGCCCACGTGCAGTCATTAGGGAAGCCCTGCTCCCTAGCTACATCCCTAGGGTGCAGAGAAGCAGCTGGAGAAACAGCGCAACTCCAGTTAGCACCACAGCCTCCAGGTAACATCTGGGCATGCAGCTTCGTGAGGCTGGGCGCTCCGGACCAGGGTGACAGTCGCTGACCCAACAGCATCACATGTGAGAGTCCCAGAGGAAATAGATCACCACGGAGAAGGAAGGAGGAGGCCAGAAGTGGAAATCTGTAGCCCGCTAGGCTGACTCTGCTCTTTCTCCCACTTACCCAAAGCTAGCAACTTGCCAGAGGCCAAATTGAGATATTAAAACTCAGGTCCACTTAAGACCCGGGGACACAGAGGGATGCACCTTTGCTACAATTTAAGTAGATGCGAACTGCAGCTTCACTCCTCAGAGCATCTCATAAAGCCCACGAAAGTGGGTTTTCAGACATTCATCCCATAAATGTTTACCAAACACTGAATATGCCAGTTGCAGAGATGGGCAAGACAGACAGCAGCCCTTCCTTCACTGGAGGCTCACCTTCCAGACGGGAAAGGAGACGGCAGTGTCTGCTCTCAGGAGCTGAAGAGTACTGAGGAGAAAAGACAACAGGGAAAGAGCCTTGGGAGTGCCACTGAGAAAATCCAACACACCTGGGGTGGGGGCGCACTTTAAAATAGGGGGTCAGAGAAGGCCTCCCTGAAAAGGCGGCGTGTGAGAAATGACAAGGAAGGAGGGGCAGGAAAGAGCAGGTGGAAGGGCCTGAGGCAGGGACTTTCCTGGCACAATCAAGGAACAAGGAGCCCAGCCTCCTTAGAGCTGAGTGAGCCAGGGTGGGCAGGAAGAACAGGAAGGTCAGAGTGGCCTTACGGGCAGAGGGCAAGACCTTGGCTCTTGCTCTGGTGAGATGGGCAGCACACAAAGATGTGAAGCAGCAGAGTGCTGTGATATGACTCTTCCACGAAGGTCAGTCAGGCTTCAGTGGGGAGGGTGCACTGTGGGGATGGGGGACAACTTCCATGACAGTTTACTCGCCATGTATTCCCATCTCTGGGCACGCAACAGGTATGTCATATGTGTCTGGTGAATGAACAGATGTTATGCTTATACAATAGGTGTTCTGCCTGAACATTCCCTGGGGGGCACTAGAGGGGCCCTCAGCGGTGCCCCCTCACTCCAGCACCACAGAACATAGCCCCTGTCCTGGATTGCCCAGACAGGCAGAACGTGGAGCTCAGCCACGTGTCCCGCCCTGCCCTCAAGACCCTGCAGATCCCTGTAAGTTCCAGTGGTCATGAGCACGCGTGTGCGTGAAGAATCGCGCAGATGGCCATCCCCACTACACAGAAAGTGATTCAAGAGACTTTAAACAACTCAGTGACACAGAAGGGCAAGGATGGGAGGCAAGGCTCCCTAGCTTTTTTTACTCTTACAAAAATGGTCTCCAGGACTCTCTGTGAACTGTCACCATTCTTTATGTACATGTAGAGATTTGCAGTTTACTGCACACTTTCCCCAGAGTCCCCCCTCCCATGGGGCAAGATTTCTCTGACAGTTGAGGAATGGAGGCAGGCTGGTTTTTCCATCACCAGGTGGCTGGTCATGTCCAGACCAGAGCTCGAGCACTTAGGCCTCTCCATTCTCAGACAGGACTCATTGCTCCACCCTACAGCCCCGCTGCCTCTCCGTGCCTGCTGTGGGGGACCCACCCACAGGAATGAACAACCCAGTGGGGGAGAGGAGCCCTTCTTCAGTGGCAATGGCAAAATGTCCCTCCCTGAAGGCAGAAAGGACTGTTTTCTAGAATGTATGGCCTGTACAATTTATACAGTGGCAAAGACCATGCCACTTTGGCACGGATAACTGAGAAATTTAGCTAAAGGGTTGCCTACTTTGCAATTCAAAAGGAGCACCACAGAAATAATTCACATATAGGAAGTATCTTAATTATGGGCCAAAATTCCTTTCTGGGGACAAGACAGTTTTTATCGGTAAAACTACCAGACATTTCCATTGCTTCTGCAATGTTTCCTCAGACACCTCACACAAATACCTAGAACTCACTGTCCTCCCACAGTCATCATGGATCTAACTGCTACATTTTCTTGAGCTGTTGATTATTAGGGAAACTTTTAAAAAATAGTCCTGAGTGGCACACACACTCCCAGTGTATCTTGGGACAAATCACACAGTAATCCCACCTCACTGCCCCGGTCACTCCTGAGTTGTTTTAAGACAGATCAATTCAAGTTAGAATAAGCTTGGGAGACACCCTGGAAGGGAAAACAAGTCACTGAAAAGCAGTGTGCCAGCAGTGGGTTGGCCCTATTTGCTTTGAGGGTGGTGTGAGGTTTGGGGGGTGGCACAGCAGGAGAGGTGCTGGTGGCATCTACAGAACCTCACAGCTGCCCTCATTCCCCTGCTTGCCTGGGTGCCCCAGGGGATTTTTCTTCTAAAATCTTGGAGCCACTTCTGTTGTGTCACTTTTGGAATCATGGGAATAGTAGTGCCACCCAGACCACCTTCTATTCCATTTTGCCATTTTAAAAACCAGCTTATTGAGATCTAATTCACATACTGTGCAGTTCAACCACATGAAGTATACAAGTCGATGTTTTTGGTCTATTCATTAGGTTATGCAACCATTACCACAATCAAATTCTATAACATTTCATCCCCCCTTTTAAACAGCCTGCTGATAGGCAATCCCACTTCTCCCCGCCCACTCCTCAACTCTAAATAACCACAAATCCACTTTTTGTGTCTATGGACCTGCCCATTCTGGACATTTCATATAAATAAAATCATCCCATATGTGGTCTTTGGTGGCTGACTTCTTTCTTTTAGCATATTCTCAAGGTGCCTCCATGTGTAGCCCATATCGGTATTCCATTTCTTTTTATTGCCAAATATTCTGCTGTACGGATAGACCACATTTTATTGGTCCATTCACCAGTTGATGGACATTCGGGCTGTTTCCACTTTTGGTCACTGTGAATATTGCTGCTGTGAATGTTCGGGTCCTCTGTGGCCACTCACTCATGTGAATTCAGTCTGGTAAAGTACACAGACTTCCCATGGCTAAGATGCAGCGGAAATCTTGGTGTTTATGTTCCATGAGAGTGAGAGAGTCTGGAAACATTTCTTTATGATGGCCTAACAAGAAAGTTGACACCAAGATATTAATTTTAAATTTATAATTTAGTTTAATTTAGTCATAGAGCCACACACAAGTACATTATAGTCATGGGAGAGAAAGAAAAAAATGCCAGGAAAATTTTTTTTACCAATGATCCACCTGCTCACTTAGCCCCTGCACGGGAGCAGCACGTATACAGGCACACGCTCCATGCACTTTCCCTTCCTCCCTCCCTTCCTGTCCAGCTGTCCCAGCTTTCGGCTTCTGAACCAAGGGTGATGGGCAAGACCAACAACCAGAAAGAGGAAGCCAAACCCAGAGTCAGAGCCAGGGCCAGGACACAGCCACTGCTGCTGGATTGGAAATACTGGAAGCCATCCTTGGGCCATTTGGAGATGTTAATTAGGCTGGCTAATTCCCACTGGCCTTGGGTTGCCAGTGTTGAGTGTGTGGGCTTACCCCATCCACTGCCTGCACCTGTTCCCTTCCTCAGAGCCATTCCAAGGGGTCTGAATAGCCCAGACAGCTCTCTGATCTCCCACTCTGTCCGCCTTCCTGCTGGTAGGATATTTAGCACTTGCCTAAAGCTGGAGCCCTAGTCCACTGTTTCTCTCCCTCATCCATGCCAGCTCTCAAAATCATTCTCTTTCCTAATTATCTTGAACCAGTTAATCATTTTCCACACTGACTGTTCAGTAACCAGGATCCAAGGACAGGCAGCAGCGTTTCTTGTCCTGACCCTGCCCAGCCTCATCCCAGGTGGCGGTTCTGGATGGCAGCCTTTCTTCAGAGGCAAGAAGCTTGGTTCAAAGCCTTGCTCTCTTGCTATCCCAGTGAGTACAGCTGGAGAAAGCATGCCATAGAAAGGCCCACCAATTCCTGGAACGCCTCTGCTAGGCGGAGCCGCACATAACACAACACATCTCCAGCCAGCCTCTTGTTTCCTGTGCTGCTTTAAATCCCTGTTGATATCCAGAGT
Organism: Homo sapiens; assembly: GCF_000001405.40. Lineage (NCBI taxonomy): Eukaryota > Metazoa > Chordata > Mammalia > Primates > Hominidae > Homo > Homo sapiens. Next base: position 20,399,632 of record NC_000020.11, on the reverse strand, counting down.
ATCGGAGAAGTCACACAAGGTGGAAGAAGCAAGACATCTTTCTTCAAAAGTGACTTCTGGATTCCCCCGGCTCAACTCTGTGTCTGAGCCGCCAGTTGGCCACAGTTTGGCCTTTTGGTGTCTGAGTTAAACTGCTAAGGGCTGTCCCCGAGGAGTCTCACTCAACTACTCTTAGATATGAGTAGGGCTGGCTTCGATTCCCAGCACCACAAATAGGTAAAAATGACTTCAAATTTAAGACACTGTAACCCTATAACCTAGTGTCACAACTTTTTTTTTTTTTTTTTTTGAGACGGAGTTTCGCTCTATTGCCCAGGATGTAGTGCAATGGCATGATCCCAGCTCACTGAAACCACCTCCCCAGTTCAAGCGATTCTCCTGCCTCAGCCTCCCAAGTAGCTGGGATTACAGGTGCCCACCACCACACCCAGCTGATTTTTTGGTATTTTTAGTAGAGACAGGATTTCATCATGTTAGCCAGGCTGGTCTCAAACTCCTGACCTTAGGTGATCCACCCGCCTTGGCCTCCCAAAGTGCTGGGATTACAGGCGTGAGCCACCGTGCCCGGCTGTCACAACCTTTTATCCATTATCACCCCACCGTGGAGCCTTCTGAGACATTTTGGTTTCCTAATTTGTCCCCTCCCCTGAAACACCACAGAAACACTGTGTATCTGTTTACTTACAGTACTTAGACCTGTGCTGTATGCATATAAAGAGTAGGCTATTTTGCCACCCCAAGGGGTGATATCCCCTCATTAGACTGCATGCTGTAACTTTTCTCCCAGATCCCCTGGAGGCAGCGGTTTCATCTGCTTTGGTCACCACTGTAACCCAGAGCCTAAAACAGTACCTGGCACATATCTGCTGCTCATTTGACAAAGGGATAGGACAGTTAGGCTTTGTGTCTCTCCCCTATCGCCCCCAGACGTCAGGTCCCTCCTGGCCTCTTCCCACCCCCCATCTCCGAGCACATTGCCCTCCAGGTGCCCTCCACACTGCCCAGGTTGGTCAGTGCCCTGTGCGTACCCCAGAGATGTATCAGGAAGCTGACAGCTTACTCCTCTGCTCCACGACTGGAACCCCACCCTTTGGGAGCACCGCCGTGTGTCAAGGGCAAGTGACATTTGAGCCCCATGGAATAATCAAGGCAGCCCCCAACTGTCTCTGTCTTTGCATCTCCTTAACTCAACCATGGATTGGCAGTTACTGAGACATTCTTTGTGGTCCAGCACACCACACCAGGCTGCGTCTGGGGATGCACAGGAGAGGGGCAACCCAGTCCTCATCAGCAATTACAAACAAGTCCTCCATTGTTAGCTGCGCCATCTGCTTTCTTGGTTTCTACCAATCGGGTGCCTGTACGCACAGCATAACCAGGGCTGAGGGGCTGCAGAGGAGTGAGATCAAGGAGCGCCTTCATAAAGAGACCCTTTGCTCACACTGGAGGGTGTCAGTGGCATGGTGCTCTAAAAGCCGAACTTCCTCAACTCAAGGAAGACCCACGCAGATATGCTCTATGTTTGCCCTCTTCCATGAGAGGAAATGGGGGCCCTTCAGCACAGCACATTGGGGGGAAATCAGAAATCTAAATGATTAATCATCCCGAGGATCCATGGAAAACATTCTAGCCCATGACCAACAGTCAGCAGCAGCCCAGAACCTCTTGTGCCCAAAGAGCACAACCAGGTGTGGAGAAGGAACGGTGTTAACGGTGGTTGGAAATCAAACCAAGGATCATACACGACCCACGATCAGTTACTGATCCAGAATCTCCTAACCCCAAATAATTTTCTTGGGAGAAAGGGACAATTTTCATCAATAGATTGGAAAAGATGTCTCCATAGCAGTGCACGTTTCTTTCATGGAGCCTTGGCTAAAAGAATGTTAGTGGTCACCTCCTGATGGCTGCTGGAGCCACCATCTTAGAAGTTTGCCCCTGTCACTGTGCCAACCTTGGCAACCTTGGCAGAGGGGGTCAGCAGAAAATCCACGTTTACAACTGTGACTGTGCAGACAATGGTCCACGTCACTGATAAATGTCCTTTGTCCAGATCTGATGGTCGTCTACTGACACAGAATTCAGGAGAGTTGTGGGGGCTGAGAGTTCAGGAGAAGCTACTGCCTGACGCAGAAAGAGGATGCATTTGCCAAGGAAACCCCGCCGTAGGAAATAGGATGGCGTGGAAGGGGTGGAAGAACCTGTCACAAGGCATAGAAAAGCTAAAATCCCCCTCAGTTCTGTGTGACTACTGAGACCCTGCTGCTCTGTGGGTGAGAGTGACCTTATGGTCCAATTTCACCACTCCAGGGAACCCTCCCAAGCTTTCCTCTGCACAGGATGCTGTGTGTTCCCTCCCTGGGGACTGTCATATTGCAGGTGACACCAGTATTAACACACTGTGTATAACTCAGAAACCTGTAAAATGAAACTTGGAGACATGTAAACTTGCCCACCTAGGGGGTTTCAATTATTTTTTCAGGTCATCCATTGAATTTCAAATGCTTGTCTTGAAAACACTTTTATCTTTGTATTTTAAACAAAATCAGTCAGGAAAAGTTGGAGAGCAGGGAAAGGATATAGCTGTCAGTGCTGTTCAGCATCTGTAGGGCTCCTGACAAGGTCTGCATGCATAGATCCTGACAAGGTCTGCATGCGTAGATCCTGGGAGTTCTAATGTCTCTCTCATTTCACATTTGTAAACACGACATCGGCTTGTATTTTGTCCTATCAAGTAGAATTTTCAAGTGAATGTTCAGTTTTTACTGATTGACAAGGCTGCAGAAATGCTTGGGCAGCTCAGGGATAAATGTATTATTAGCACTGTGTTAGTTATCAAGTTGGAGCTGTGGGGGTGTTGTGTTTGTATTCATTCCATTTTGTGTTCTTTCCCTTCAGATTAAAACACGTAAAGGTCTCATTTCAATATTTGAGCAAGGTAAGACAGACACTTCAGTGGATTTGTCCAGCCACCCTGCTTTGGGGAGGGGGTGGGACTTTTCTAATCGGCTGCCCTCGGTAGCGGACCCTGCATCAGTGCTCCTCGCCCTCCTGGGCCTTCCCCTCCCCGGGGGCCCTGCCCACACTCCTGCCCCTGCATGTCTGCGCTGCCCGGGGAAGCCCAGCCTTGCCTTTCTTCTGCCCGTGCACTCGGGGAGGAATCCGACACCAACACCTGCCATCCCGGAAAATGTCTTTGTCGCCTGCCCTTTTGTGTGTGGGGCTGCAGGGAGCCAGCGGGCGCTGGGGCCGCCCCCTTTTTTGTTGCCCAGGCCTGAAGGAGCAGGGTCTTGAGATGGGCCGATAAGACACGGCACGTGCTGGGCCGGCCTTTGACCGCCAGCCTTAATGGAGGCCTCTGAGACCTCCATGCGGGGAGGGCAGGTTGTGGCGGGGGCTGCTGAATGGAACAGCTGGGGAAGGAAAAGCGGACAAAAGCTGCGGGAGCGCAGAGGGTGGAGACCTAGGAATGGGCTGCGGTCTAGGACCCAGAGGATAGGCTGGCCATGGCAGGTGTGACCTCCCCAGCCTGCCTTTCTGTCCTGGGTCTGGGGTCCAGGCCCTGCCCAGAGCGCTCTGATGGATGGCAGCCGCCTTGGCAAGGCTGTCTGAAAACCCTGTCCCGTGTGGCCTGGGCTGCACCACCTCCCAGGCTCACAGGCGGAAGGCGAGCAGTTGGTAATGACAAGGATCACGGCAATGCCATTCACAGGAGAAAGCAAGTGAGCGAGCTGCCGTTCCTGAGCCTGTCGCCCACAGTGGAATGCAAGGCACAGACACCAGTCACTTTGTCTCAGTAAATATGGAAGTGGGATGTTAGGGTCCAGATTTGTTGGTTTATCCAAACCTTCACCCTCCTCTGCTAGGCAGGGCTGTTGGACCTGCAGGCCAGAGGAGCAGCCAGCATCACAGCCAGCCGACCCTCCAGCCAGCTGCCCTTTCTCTTCCCCTCACCCAAGGCTTAAGCCCAGTCCTGATATTGTCCCAAACTGGGCTCACTCGTGTCAGCCCCAACAGGTGACACGAGCCTCAGAGCCCAGGTGCTCATGTCAAGATGGGGCAGAGAAGGGTTGTACAGTCCCCTCCCAGCAGGGCACCTTGCTGCAAAACTTCGCATTTGCCGAGACCCCCGTCTCCATGCATGTCCTCCTGCTCCTGCCGCCAAAGTGGGGAGGTGAGGTTCGAGTGTCCTGTGAATAAATCCTTGGCTTCCATCACCGGGAGGAGGCAGTGCGAGTGGAGCAAAGCTGCGAGTGGACGTGTCATATCAGGAAGGCGGCCGTACCTTGTGTCCCGCCTACCTGTCCTGCAGCTGCCACCTCCCCACCACGGGGTGCTGTGGCACGAGGGCCCAGTGCAGATGAGAATGTCCCAGCAGAAAGCTGGGGACCAGAGGCCTGTGTAGGGCACTGTGGCACTGGCTGCAGCCCAGCTGCAGGGGTGGCTTTGCCCTTTGCCCCTGGCCATGGGATCCCTGCTTTCAGGTGCACAGGCCCCCTTCTCTGCAGAGCTTCCTGCTGTTCTCCAGGCTCACTCAGCGGGACAAAGCTGGCATTCCTCTGTCCATCTGCAGGAACTCGAGGTGCACCCCTCTTTCCCTCTTTATCCTCCCTGGGTGAGTGGGTGGGGCAGAGGAACTAAAATGTTTTCCTTCGAATCCAGAATTAGCAAAGGTTCGCTCTTTCTCTTTGGATCTCACTTTATATCTTTCATTTACTTGCCTTTTTTTTTTTTTTTTTTTTTGCTTATTTATTAGAATCAATCTGATTACCATAGTGGGCTGGGCTGTTGGAATATTGTCTGGGATTAAATCAAGTCTGTTCTCCCATGCTGCCCCACACCCTGGATTAAATGCCAGTGCCCACCACCAGCTGCGAGGGGATGGAGAGATGCCTTGTAACAATCTAGCTTCTCTTGTGGATGATGGTCTAGCTGTGCTGCCTTTGTCAGAAGCAGCCTGTTTTTGTGTTCTGAGGTTTTTCATGTGTGGTGTTTTTTTTTTGAGACTGGGTCTCACTTTGTCACCTAAGCTGGAGTGCAGTGAAGCCATCACTGCAGCCTTGACCTCCCAGGCTCAAAATCCTCTCACCTCAGCCTCCCAAGTAGCTGGGACTACAGGTGCGCACCACCATGCCTGGATAAGTTTTGCAATGTTTTTGTAGAGACGGGGTTTCACTGTGTTTCCCAGGCTGGTCTGGAACTCCTGGGCTGAAGCGATCCGCCCACCGCGCCCGGCTGCAGCCTGTTTTAAAGATGAGAATAGTGAGCCTTCTCTGTATGCCCGACCTGACTGAGCCTAGAAGAAGGGAGGCAACCATGAAGCCCCTGGACTCTGAAAGTACTGAATTTCAGGACACCCTGAGCCAGGCTGCCTCCATAGGTCCAAGCACGTTTGCAAGTATTGATTTTGGAAACTCCTCCTAGAAACAATAAGGGAAGGTCAGAGAATGAAAAAAGATGCGTCTGTGAATAAAATAACTGACTTAAATTAATTTCAAATGCCAATAATAATAATAATTTCAAAGGCCAAAGCCCTGCAAGTGAATCACGCAGGGAGGAAGATGTGGAAACTCTGCTTCTGAGGTTGGTTCCCAGCAGAGGTCATGCAGGAAACTTGGGGCATAATACAACAGGGTTTAAAAATACACTACGAGGGGAAGGGTGATGAAATGATCCTCTCGCTCGCAGAACGGTGCTAGGGGAGACCCAGCTCCACCCGCAACAGTGGCTTGGTGTTGCAGCAGGCATTCTTGTATTCCTCTGAGCACACCGACAGCAGCCCTGGGGAAGCGGGGGGTGCAGATGTGCAGGTTTTAATTTTATTCCTTTTCCCTCCAGTGATGAACAGCTGTATGCTCATCTGGACTCATTCAGACAAGCAATTTAGGACTGACCTCTAGTCTTAGACCCTTTGGGGAATAATCGAGTTGTAACTCATTGTGTAGAATATCGATATGTAAACACGTGGAGATTCCAGGAACACCGCCAGGGATCTGCAGAGCGGCCTCTGAAGTTTCACGGGCTTTTCCATTGACTCCAGCCACTGCTTCTTCAGTGGCTCTTCCTCCCTTTCACTGTGACCAGATGCCTTTTCTCTTCATTCTTTACTTATGAATTGGACAGTAAGTCTGAATTAATTTCACAAGATTCATAGCTTCTTTTATGCTGCAGAAAAGCCCAGGGCAAAGAATAAGAAGAAAGACATTCATGTGTTTATTCATTCAACAAACATCTTTGCCGGCATAGCGTGGGAGGAGGTCACCAGACCCTTCTCCTGGGAGTTTCCCTCCCTTCTGAGTGCCACAGATCCTCCCTGAAATGTGTGGCCGTAGAGCCGCCGTTGCCTCCATGACTTAGCAGTTCTCTGCTTCCTTTGCAGGGGCCCTGGCCTCCAGTCTGAGTGCTGACCTCGAAGAGCCCCTGAGTGAGGAGGAGACAGAACACCCTCTCCTGCCTCTGCCCCGAGCCACTAAACCCAGAATCTCCAGGAAATTTCGTTGCTGTACTAGTGCCCTCAGCAGGTCTTCCCATTAGTGGACTTCTGAAGCCCATGGTGAATCCCACTACCGTGTCTCAGATGGGACTCAAACTAGGCTGTATCATCTTGTCCTGAAACCTCACAAACCTTGGACTTCCAAAGAAGAAAAGAAAAAGTCACCAAAAACCAGAGATGAACCCACTGACACGTGGGCACTGGTGTGGCTGCTCTGGGCAGATGACAGCAGGAAAAGATTCTGCGCTTTCAGGGAGGGGGCAGAGGGCAGCTTGCTTCTGCACCCCAAGTTGTTTCTTCTCATTTATGAACCCAAGCATGATTCACAAAGGGGCTGGCAAAACAATTGTCTAATTGAGGAATCTGATCTGCATTGATTTTGCTAGTTCCTTTTATGTTAGGATTTATGGTTTACTCAAAAATTTCATCATCATGGAAATTGGCTTTCCCCGGGGTCTTTTGCCCAGGAGAAGTTTTACCTCAGTTGTCCAGTGTTTTCCCACATGGTACCTGACGCCCGCTAACTAAGCAGAGGCTCTCCTCACCACGCAGAGGCGCTTCAGGTCATGACAGTGATGCCCCTATCTTAGAACACTCAGAAGATTCCAGAAATACAGGGTCCTGTCCTTGCATAAGTTCCTGCAGGACAGGAAGTGTCCCAAGGCTCAAAACAACACAGACCACATCCACACAAAAGGCGCATGCCGGCTTCAGGCGCTAGGCTGAGACGGGTACCCCCCGAATGGCCTTGTGCCTCCAAAAGCCTCACGCTGCAACTTTGCTGCTCCTGTCTGTTGCCCAGAGAGGCCTCACACAGGCCTCAGAAATGTTTCTTGTCACACAAAGCTTTTGGTAGCCGATTCCAAGCGAGGGATTTAATCCTTACATTTTTGCCCATTTGGCTCCAAGGAAGGCTTATTAGACCTGTTTTTTTGTTGTTGTTGTTTTTTTTTCTTAAAAACAAAATGAATGAATGAATGAAAAGAGAAGCAATGGTGAGCCCTCTCCTGCTGGGGCGCCCTGGGTGGGCCTTGCCCGTCCTGCAGCAGAGAAATCAGTCAGCAGCGAAGAGCTGCTGGCGCAGGCCCCAGGCTGTGTCCTGGACCCTTGACCTGCCTCAGAGCTAGAGGTTTGCTCCACCCCGCACTTCACTTGGGAAGTAAATCCAAGAAGCTTACCAGAGTCCATCGCCACTGCGCAGGCTTTGTTCTCACAGCGGCCAGGTACAGAGCAACGCCCTGCAGTGGGAAGGGACAGCAGCACGAGAGACGCAGCCCCTAACTCAGGGCTTATGATGGGTGGGCTGGTCCTGGGAAAGGCGGGCCCTGTGCGGGAGGCCTCCCCACCTTCCTGTGCCCTCTGCCCTCTGCCCTTGCACACACTTGTTACCTTCAGGCTGCTTGGCCACCCAGGCCTGAAGAAGCCTTCTGAGGCTCTCACCCCATCAGAACGGCCATTTTCACTGAGGAGCCAGTTTTTTCCATTTGCCATGGAGCTGGTTTGGCTGGAACCTGGCCTTTGTAGGGAAAACGGGGAGACTCAGGAGCCAGACTCACTCTTGGGACAAATGAGAAAGAGCTGAGCCAGTCGTTCCTGTCGGAAGGGCGGGCCTGCTCATCCTGGCGAGAATTTGCTTTTCTGCTTTATAGGGGATTGCAGGCCAGGCCCACTGACAGGAGCACCTTGAGAACCACCTGAACAGAAGAGAATGAGGGTGCCCCAAAGTGGAAGGAAGCTTCTGGCCCCTGGGCCGTTTTGGGAAGGGCCCAGGATACTCACGGGGGCTGAAGGGCAATGTGAAGAGTGACTGCAAGTCCTGGCATTTTCTGTGGTGTCAGCAAATGCCCCTTTATTTTAAATGATTCCAGACATCTGGGCAGCATAGCTTGGCCACCATCACTCAGGCTTGATCCTGCTGTTGAGCTGCTCCTGTCTCCTGTTTACCTCACTCCTGTTGGGAAGGCCATCGCATGCTCCTAGGCTCCAGAGTCCCCTGTAGGTCTCTACCAGCAGGTCGCCTCTGGGAGAACGTTTCATCTTCAGGCTCTAGAAACTCCTGTTGCGGAATTGCTGGCTTTAGTAGAAAAGATATGTCAGGATTTAGAAATCGTATTGAACTCTCCTGGACTTCTGCTCCATGATTTCATTTTGCTTTCACGAACCAGCGATCCCTACCTTGGGGTGGGAAATTCAATTGTAGGCAGCAAATAACTCAACCCTCCTGTAACCCCTGAGGATTATAACGACCCCATGACCCCCGATGACAGCCAGCAGTTTGGTGACTAGAGTTTTTTGAGCCTGCCATTCTCAGTAGCAGCTTTGGTCTGGAGATGGAACGTGGAGCAGGGAATCTGACAGCCACGTTTCTCGTGATCACGTGGACTGGAGTTGTTTTTGTTATCTGGGGTGGAAAATTGCAATGATCAAGTTTCTTTTTTATTTTTTTTTTACTTAGAAAAGCAAATATTGTGTTTTTGTAATAAATCCCTTTCAGCAAAATTGCGGAGGATCATTCATCCACTAGGGCCCCACCTGAGGCACAGCGCTGACTCATCACGGTGGTACCAGTAGGTCAGCCATCTGGAAACAGAAGTGGCCCTAATTGGGCCAAAATGTGGTAAGACTCGCTGGCCTCAGGCAGGGCCAGGCCAGTTCCCTCACTTCTCTGCACACCTATTCCCAGATTCCATCCAGAGCAAAGCTGATGTTTATCGTCTCATTGTACTTAGGCTTTCGTACTTTAAAAAATTATGACTTTTTAAAAATAAGCCTTCAGCAGACAGAAGTGAAGAAATTTAGCCTGGGTTGCCTCAGCAACAAAGTCTGCGGTTCCTAAGAGCCACATGTTGGGGAAGTGGGGTGACCCAAACTTGGTGACATAGGTTGATTGATCAGACCCTCAGCCTTACAAGCAAGAGCTCATGCAGATCCACAGAGCCATGCACATCCTGTCTTCCTGACCTTCCTCAGGTGGCACCACCTGCGCCCCATGGACCTGCTGTATCGGTGTCATGTGGAGGTCTGATGAATCCTTTAAAACCTAACTGTGATGTCGTAAATGTAACTGTGCTACCTTTATATCTACTGAAGGGCAGCGTCTGCATCCGAGGGAAATTCAACATGAAACAACCATCGTTTTAGTTGCACTCAGTCTGTCCATATGACATACACATGAAGTGAATGTTTCCTTATGTTTTCAGGTCTACAATGTTTAGTACATGTAAATAAGGAAAAAATTTGATAAATATGGTAAATTAAGTTATAGCGTGTCATTTGATTCTTATTTTGCTGTCTCTTGTTATTTAATTTTCCTAATGCTCCACATCTAGGTTCCTTCCTAGGTGGTGGGAACACCTTGCAGACGTGTGTGCACCAGGACACACCGCGGCCCAGGCAGCCACACCGAGAAAGCACACATCTCCACTGATGGCAGCCACCCGACTCTCCAGTTAACCTCTTTTACTCTTTAATTCTGATTTACTGTGATGATTTAATAAAGTGGAAACACAGCACTTCAGTGCTATATGTTTCTCTCATTCTCATTATAGTTTATAAGAAAATAAAGTTCACCCTGGCATCTAATAAAAAGGTGGCTTTCATTTTTATTGGACAGAATTGTGTGAAAGCATATTTTAACCAAAGCCTAAACATGTATCCAAAATGGTAGCTGGTACCAATGCGGGGAAGCTTACCAACATGTTTATGTAAAATTCACCTCGTTTCCTAACATGGAATGCTGAGATCCAGTCACAAGAGGCTCTGAATCCAAGCATCATGGTTCTAATCTACTTAAATCGCTTTCTCTCTTCATGATTAAAGGGCTGGGTCAGTATCACCTGCTACCGCAACGTCCATCCGAGCCCACAATGAGCTGTGCCCCTTGCTCCGTCTCTCTCCAGGGCAGCCCCCATACGAGCCACCCTTCTAGCGGTCAGGAGCCCCTATCCCTGATGAGCAGGAGACAGCCTTAGAGGGCTTGTCTGTGTGAGTAAGTGATAGACAGGGTGTGGTAACAGTCCCCTGGTGGTATGGCTGAAGCCGGGCTGATGCCCCCGTCTAAAGACCCCAGCCTTCGCATGACAGCCTGGCCAGGTGGCCTCTGCCAGCATCGTGGGCTACTCATGGGCTAGGCAGCAGTGACCTTTCAGGACATTGTATTAGAAGTCTGTAAAAATCATCCATTTGTCCAGTTAGCAAATATTTTGAGTACCTAATACTTACAAAACATGGCTGTGACCTCACAAATGGTCTGGATGCCTTCCTGGGAGTCAGGCAGACCCTAAATTCAATGTTTAGCTTTTCACTGATAACAAGAGCTTGCTTGATGGTACGTCCTGCTTCTAATACTTGGTACCTCATCACATGAAGCTTGTTGTGGAGTTTTAGAGCTTTGTGGCTTGGACACAGTGGGTCCCAGCCTGTGCGTCAGCAGCGTTGAAGAATCTGTGTAAGTCAAATGCAGGTTCCTGTCTGCTACAGACTCTGACCCACCAGGTCTGGGCTAGAACCTCAGCATCTCCACTTTTTAAAGCTACCCAGAGGACGCTGACCTACAGGTAGATCTGGGCCAGCCCCATCAGCGATGGTCTGGGCAGCATTCATCCCCTGCCTGCGCTGAGGGAACATCAGAGACCACTACCTGCAGGACAGCTCTTTGCTCTACAGCTGCTCCTAGGAGCTGCGTTTCTGCCACTCACTAATGACTCGGCGTCATAGGTGGCCCTCAGGACTCCCTGGATAATCTCCCTGGAGATGCCCCCGCCCTGGATAATTCAGGGATACTTCTCAGATATGGACATGGTTATTTGAAATTCAAAGGATATTGTTCTCAAAGTCTTAAACAGTTTACTTTTTTATATCTTTGTTTTTGTTTTCACCAAATCGTTTTCTCTGCCACACATTTTATTTCTTGCAGAATGATGAGAGGGTGGGGAGACATTCTGGTCCATCATGCCTCCTGTAAGTGATCAGGTCACCTTAAAAAAGTACTCATCAAATCTTGGGCCATATTAGGCCAAACCTTCAGCAGAATTCCAAAGAACAATCCAACTTCCAGTGCTTCCAAAAGGACCATTGTTACAAGGCCCTGACAGGTCTTTTGGGGCTTCTGCTAGGTGCCAGAATTGAAAGACTATTTTTAAGGTACACCTAACCATAGTCAGTGCTTCCAAAAGGACCATTGTTACAAGACCCTGATAGGTCTTTTGGGGCTTCTGCTAGGTACCAGAATTGAAAGAAAGAATATTTTTAAGGTACACCTAACCATAGTCAAGTGGTCTTGACTATGTCTAAGTGTTTCAGAAAAAAAAGCGCCAGTTATTTATGCCTCCTGCAGTGAAGCGTGTCTTCCAGCGAGAGGCTCACACACTGATATTTGTTCACTTCAGTACACATTCAAGCTAGCATTATGGTGCCGTGTATGTGCAGAAACTAAATTGAGGCCACTTTGGTTTATTAAACCGTTTATGTCAAGGGACACTAATCATTTGCTCTTTTGTCTATATCTGGAAATGGTTTTAGTTGCATTTTGTTTTTCAAACCAAAAAGTGAAGGCCGTGGAAATGGAGCACAAAGTAAACTTTGTCCCTGCATATTTGGTTTACTCAAGGCACGGATCTACAGCTGGAAAGGTCGCCCCCACCCCCACAATCTGACCACCTTCTACAGGTATGAAAACTGAGGCCGGAAGACGTTGGCTCACTGAGATTCACAAGGTCAGAAAGTGAGGCTCCAGGCAGGAGATGAGTTTCTGGGTTCCCACTTCTTTTTTTTTTTTTTTTTTTTTTCTGAGACGAAGTCTCACTCTGTCGCCCGGGCTGGAGTGCTGTGGCAGGATCTCGGCTCACCGCAAGCTCCGCCTCCCGGATTCACGCCATTCTCCTGCCTCAGCCTCCCGAGCAGCTGGGACTAGAGGCGCCCGCCACCGCGCCAGGCTAATTTTTTTGTATTTTTAGTAGAGACGGGGTTTCACTGTGTTAGCCAGGAAGGTGTCGATCTCCTGACCTCGTGATCCACCCACCTCGGCCTCCCAAAGTGCTGGGATCACAGGCGTGAGCCACCGCGCCCGGCCGGTTCCCACTTCTTGATGTCACCCCCACTTAGCAGCAATCACCGTTCTTCACCAGTGCATGGACTGTTTGTTGAAAATGTAGTTTCCACGTGCATTTTTGGTCACTGTAAAGGTCCCCTAATGCCAAGGCTTAGGCCACCCTGACCCTGCTGTCATAGGGACCAGGCACAACACAGACCAAGGGCTTGGAGTGTGGGAGAACCTGTTTTAACAAGAGACTTACCTACTCTCCCTACACGCAGAGACGAAAACGCTGGAGTTAACCTCTCTCTGGCTCCAGAAGCCATGGACTGGAACCTCTGGAAAGAAAAATTGCTCGTCTTCAACTCTGAAAAATAGACTTTGAGGTAAGAGCAGGTAGCCAAAGCAGGTTTTTCATGCTTGATGTGATGCCCAGGCAGGTCGGCCACGCTCTGGAAGACCATGGTCTGCTCTCTGCACTCAGACATCCACACGTTTACCAAGCACTTGCTACATACAGTTTGGCCAAAATTGTCTCGTTTCTCTCCTGAAAATGTTTTCTGTTTCGGGAGTTTGAGACAATAAAGACATATCAATGTCCTTCCATGCCACAAGAACCACCTTGAGTGGAGTAGAATGAGACTCACTTCCGAAACCGAGGTCTGTTCTTAGTCTGCTGCAGATTCAACCGCACTTTCACCCGCAGAGAACAGCCGGCAGCCCAGCTAGGCAGTGCATTTCAAACAGCAGTGATACCCTCTCTGCCCTCGAGGTGCTCTCAGATCTGCCCCCAACACACACAAACAGCAGTGATAAAAACAGCAGGAACTCTCCAAAATGACACTCTTTCTGAATAATGAGAAAAAAATAGCTGGAATTGGCGATTGCTTCATTTTTGTCATTGTTAGAATTTTAAGTTATAAGTATTTTAATACCTAAGTGTCCTAAGTTGGACAAGATGGGGGCAGCGAGACATTTATAATAAGCTGTCACATCAGGCAGTATTTGTCTGGAAGATCTTGTGTTTCACAGAATGAGAGTGAGAAAGTAGGTCCCAGCTAGCATCCTCCCTCCGTACCATGTCAGACATGGACAGCGCTGATCGGATTGTTGTTGTCGTTGTTGCTATTTATATATCAAGATATTCCTACCTCAGATATCAGAGAGCATTACGTATGTGGTCAAAATTCTATTCAAACATTATTTTAGGAAAGAAAGAATAAATGCATAAATTATCTCTGGGACAAGAGGGCACTTTTTTATGTGTCAGGTGTCATTGCTAATCTTCCATTTATGTTCCCCCCACCCCCGTGAAAATGCTTGTTGAGTTTGACAAGGAATATTTTCCATGAAGAGGTCAGAGCCCTCGGCTTCCTCCTTGGCGTGGGGTCCTCAGGGCCTGGAAATTGGAGTGTGCTTCTCACTGAGGGCGTGAGGTGGGAAGGGGCTTGCTATTATAGATCCTGAAAGGATCTTTTTGACTTTAGAAAATAGCCTGGCAAAGAAAAGCTTTTTTCCGTGAATACTCAGGGACTGCATTATGCCCCTCAGATGATAGAGGAGAGTACTTTTGATCAATATTCCCTAAGAAATGGCCGCTGGGCTAAGTGCAGAGGGCCTCAATAGCAGTCTCCCTCCCGCCCGACCTGCAGAGCGCCTGCGGCAAATGTCTCGGAGCAGTGGGAACCAGCAAGGGCGGTACATTAATGGTATCATCTTCTCCTTTTAAAAAAATGTCACCCCATTTTGTCCTCCATGTTGATGGCTGATTATGGGCCCAGTGGAAACAGTTATTTCTATAGCTTTCTTTGGGGAAATCTTGGATCTTCGTTTCAGGCACCAGGAAAAGTGACCCCCTGGAACAGTTTCAACCTAAAGGCGAGAGTAAAATGCTGGTGGGAAAACTCACATCAGGAGCTTCTTTTAATCAAGGAAGGTTTTTTTTTTCTTTTTTTTACTAATGATCAAGATTTTAATGAAATAGCCAAAGTACAAATTTGTATATTACATCGGGTGTTCTATACTTTTTTCTCTTAAAAATAATGATCTGCCTCTATTCCAACCCCCATCTCCCTAAGACTGATAAGCAGGTTATTCAAAAGAACATTCTCAGCTGGGAGCAGTGGCTCATGCCTGAATCCTGCATTTTGGGAGGCTAAAGCGGATGGATCACTTGAGGTCAGGAGTTCGAGACCAGCCTGGCCAACATGGTGAAACTGTCTCTACTAAAAATACAAAAATTAGCAGGGCGTGGTGGCTCATGCCTGTAGTCCCAACTACTCGGGACGCTGAGGCAGGAGAATCGCTCAAACCCGGGAGGCGGAGGTTGCGGTGAGCTGAGACTGCACCACTGCATTCCAGCCCGGGTGACAGAGTGAAACTCTGTCTCCAAAAAAAAAAAAAGGAACATTCTTTCCAGATTAATGCAAAGACATAGAAATAGCATCATACAATACACATTATTCTACAACATCCTTGTTAAACTTTACAGTGTCATAGGCACCCCTCCATCTAGTTTATCATTTTCCGTAGTTGCATTTTATTCCTTAATACAGATGTACCTTAATTTACTCAGCCCATCTGTGCATTAAGGTGGCTTCCAGTGTTTGTCATAACAAAGACACCTGTAATAAACACCAGCACGCCTATATCCTGACACACTGCTGCTTTTATTTCTGTATGATAAATTTCCAAAAAAAAATGAAATTACTGAGTCAGAGAGTATATGTCATTGTTATGGACTGAATGTTTGTGTCTTCCCGAAACCCATATGTTGAAGCCCTAACCCCCAGTGTTTACTAGGAGGTGGGATCTTTGGGAAGTGACTGGGTTGCGATGAGGTCCTGGGGATGGGGTCTCCATGGTGGGATTAGTGCTCTTAGAAGAAGAGAGACCAGAGCTTCTCTCTCTCTGCCATGTGAGGACACAGGGAGGAGGCTGCTGTCTGCAAGCCAGGAAGGAGGTCTTCACTGGAGAACCAAATCAGCCCACTCCTTGATCTTAGACTTTCCAGCCTCCAGAACTGTGAAAGATAAATTCCTGTTGTTCACGCCATTCCTATTATTTTAAGTTTAAGCCACTCAGTCTATGGTATTTTGTTAACGGCAGCACAAGCTAACTGAGACAGTCATTATAGTCCTAATAGATTGATTATTTGACCACTTTTGAATTCTATAAAGTCGGTTTTGGAGTTATATTTAAAAATGAAGCTAGGACCCATGTTTTCCCATGTTTGTATAGGATAACTCAGTAAATTACCCAACAGCTTAAGAAAAGAAAAGAAAAATTTTAAGGGGCACCCAGGAAAAAGGCATAATTTCAGCCATGACAAAACGAGGCATTTGTTGACCAAAGTGAGGACTCCCAATCAGTGTGCCCACACCGTATGTCTTTTCATGATAATGTTCCAAAGAATTTCTCAATTTTGAAGAAATTTTTGAAAATACTAACATAAATGCATCAAAATACACCACAAATTCACCTTGTGTCATAGATTGGAGAGGAACGTGGTCCTAGGAATCAGTGTTGGCTTCCGATTCCACCTGCACACACTCTTGAGCGGCCATTCCCTAGTCATTCTGGCTCATTTCCTCACCTGGGACTTGGGGCGATAGTACTGATTGTGGTAGCCAACCTCAAGGATTGCCCCAGCAATCATCACCTCCTGGAATTCATACCTATGCGTGGTCCTTTACATGCTGATTCAGAGATGACCTGTGGGACCAATGGAACTCAGCAAAAGTGATATATCTTCCAAGATTAGTCATAAAGGTATTACAGTTTCCACTTTGGTCTCCTGGATGGCTTGCTTTGGAGAGAGCCACCATGCTGTCAGGACACTCAAGCAGTGCTATAGAGACCAGCATCCATGTGAGGGAGCCATCTTGGAAATAGATCCTCCAGCCCCAATCAACCCTTCACTTGACTGCAGCCCCAGTGGAAAACTCAGTGTAACTTCATGAAGGACCCCAAGCCAGAACCACCAAGCCAGGCTGCTACTGAATTCCTGACCCACACAAATAATTAGATATAATAAATCTCTGTTGTTGTTGTAAATGCTCAGTTTTGGGGAGATCTGTTGTTACACAGTCATAGTGCTTGGGACATTGACCTAATGGTTGTTTTCAAGACAATGTACAGAAGGCATTTACATACAACAGTGCATTCTACTAGTGAACCGAGACCACCTCATTTTGTGGAGGGCTACATCAAGGAGCCAGACACCTGGGTTCTGCTCTCTATGTCTTAGATGAAGAGCCTTCTGATTGAGGGCAAGGCATTCAACATTCAGACTTTTCTTAATATACAAATCAATGAATCATAATCTATAAAGGATTGTTGTGAAGGCCAAATGGAAAAATTCACATGCAGGCCGGGCATAGTGGCTCACGCATGTAATCCTAACACTGTAGGAGGCCAAGGTGGGAGAATCACCTGAGCCCGGCGGTTCGAGACCAGCCTGGGCAACAAAGTGAGACCCCCCCCACCCATCGCTACAAAAAATAAAACATTAGCTGGGCATGGTGGTACGTACCTGTGGTCCCAGCTGTAGGGGAGGCTGAGGTGGGAGGATTGCTTGAGGCCCAGAGGTCAAGGCTACAGTGAACCATGTTCATACCACTGCACTCCAGTCTGGGTGACAGAGTGAGACCCTGGAGCAAAAATAAAAATTCACACTCAGGCAGTCTAAAAGCCAGAGAGCACTGAAAAACTGATATCAGGTGTGTTCCTGATATCAGTTATCTATTGCTAATGAATCAGTAATAAATATCAGTTGTCTATTGCTACATAACAAATCACCCCAAAACTCAGTGGCTAAAAACAACCACTATCATTTTATTACAGTCTCACACAGCTCTGGGGGGTGAGCAGGCCCAGCTGGGCTGTTCCCACCTGGGCTGTCTCATGCAAATGTTAGGGTAGAGGGGGCTGGCATCATCTTAGGGGCTCACCTGCTCCCCCAAATGTCTGGGGCTTGGTCGTTGACTGAGATCTTAGCTCGGCCTCAGTAGAACACCTAAATGTGGACTCTGTGTGTAGCTTGAGCTTGGCCTTTTCTAGCCTAGTCTCAGAAGTCACACAGTGTCACTTCTACTGCTTTTTATTTGAGAAAGCGTCACAAAGGCCCTCTTAGTTTTGGAGGGGGCAGTGAGGGAGGTAAGACTTCACTTCACAATGGGAGGCATGTCAAAGGGTTTGCAGAAGTGTTTTTAAACCTACACCAGGTGGCATTGAGATTATATACAATTTAAAATCAGTGTTCAGCCGGGTGCAGTGGCTCACACCTGTAATCCCAGCACTTTGGGAGGCCAAGGCGGGTGGATTGCCTGAGGTCAGGAGTTTGAGACCAGCCTGGCCAACATAGTGAAACCCCCATCTCTACCAAAAATACAAAAAATTAGCTGGGCATGGTGGTGGGTACCTGTAATCCCAGCTACTCAGGAGGCTGAGGCAGGAGAATCACTTGGACTCAGGAGGCGGGTGGTTGTAGTGAGCCGAGTTCGTGCCATTACACTCCAGCCTGGGCAACAAGAGTGAAACTCCGCCTCAAAAAAATAAATAAATAAAAAGTAAAATAAAATCAGAATTCACTCCTATCCTTGCAAGGGTAATAAGAGTGAGTTCTCACCAGCACTTGACCTCAGTAACTCATTTAATCTCAACAGTGGCCTTGGGAGACACTTAGTTGCAGACAGCCAAATCCACTTTAGCCAGCTGAAGGAGATAAATAATTTATTAAAGGCTCTTGGCTACCTTGCTTTATGTCCAGGAGGGCCACACAATCAGGCTTTGTGACTAAAAGATCTAGAAACAACACTCAAATTGCCCTGCTAGAGAAGTGCAGTGGCAGCTCACCTTACAACGCTGGGCCTTCACCACAGCCACCTCCAAGAGACAAATGCCTCTGCTCTCCCCTCCCCAGCACTGACTGCACCCAGTGCCACCTCTTTCATGTCTCTCTTCTGGATCCACATCTCAGGGGCACATTTGATGAGTGGTCAGGCACCTCCAATCCGAGTCAGGGTGACCTGACTCCTTTCTGTTGGACATTGGTCTTAATGCACAGCACATTTTCCATTCCCTTACAGCAGAGCCTAGCTGCAAGGGAGGCTGGAAAAGCAAGTTTCTGGATTCTACCTTAAGGAGGCAGAACTCATTGGATAGAGAATTAGCTGAGCATAAGAAGGGTATTCAAAAGGCATGGGGCAGGCAGAAAACATAGTAAATGTCTGCTACAGGTGGGCACTACTCTTTCCTAATTTTATCAGTGAGAAAACAGGCAGAGAGGGTTAATAACTTGCCCATGGCCACCCAAAAATGGTGGCGATGAAATGATGAAAGCAGGCGTTTGTGCTCCAAACCCCTGGCCCCTAACAGCCCCAGCATGCTGGAGAAGGGGCTGGGTTCTTTTGCATGTGAGCACATGAAATCTCACCACGGCGGAAGAGAGAGTGACCTGCTAGGATTATCAAAATCTGTCACTTCCTGAAGCTGAAACATTGGCACTCTCTTTGAGATATAAAATTAAATTTTTAATTGAATCATTTTGTTAAATATTACTAGACTTTGCATCTCAGAGTTAGGGTTTAGGTCCAGCCCATTTGAGTCCCTCTGCTGCCCTGATGTTAAAAGTGGGCAGGGAGAGCCTGAAACCCTGTGCTCAGAGACTTTTCCTTCTGCCACTCATGCTGGTTGCCATGGTTCTGGAATGGCCTATTCAGTTGCTTGCAGGTGTAGAATAGTAAGTGATTTCTACAAACAAGTGCTTTTAGAACCAAAGTGGAAGGTAGAGACCTCAATAGAACGTGGCCTGGGCACGTGGTGGCAGGCGCATGGTGGCGTGCGCCTGTAATCCTAGCTACTCGGGAGGCTGAGGCAGGAGAGTCACTTGAACTGGGGAGGTGGAGGTTGCAGTGAGCCAAGATCGAGCCATTGCACTCCAGCCTGGGTGACAGAGCAAGACTCGGTCTCAAAAAAAAAAAAAAAAAAAAAAAAAAAAAAGAAAAGAAAAAAAGAAAGAAGAAAAAAGAAAAAGAAAAAAAAGAAAGTGGCCCGGGCAAGCTAACTTTCAGCAATATCCTCACTGTGGAGCTGCTTACGACGCCACCATTCACAGTGAATTCTTGCCTCTCTTACAGTTTGCATCTGCAGCACGTTAAAGCAAAGCAAAAAGTGGTGTCGAATCTAGAATCTGCTACGACGCAGATACCAGTGTGAGCCGTAGTTAACATCACGCAGTACTAAATTTACCCAGTTCTCTCGCCAGCATCTGTTATTTGTGTTTGCAAGTTGGGTCATGTAGAAATAACAAGTTTCTCCAATGCGTAAGATAAGAAATAACTGGAAATGATGTTACATTTGGCTTCTCGCTCTCTCTCCCGGATGGGACTTTCAGCCCATTATTTTGGAGTCAAATTGCCAAAGCACAAATCAACTGTTTCACGGTCTGGACTGAGAACCATACATGTTCCTGGGCCACCGTATTGCACTCCCTGCTGTAGGAGCCCCTTGACAAGTAGGTGGAACCAAGGCCCCGGTATTTCACTGTCCATTTGAATTCTCCCACACTGGAGCAATTGCTGCCTTGGAGGTTTCTCTTTATGAACTTTCTTGATCTCAACTAAATTTCCGCACTTTCAGCCCACATCATTTCACAGGGCCTTCCATTTCTTCAGATGTTACACAGGGTAATGACGGCTCCAACCTCTTGGAGGCATTGTGAGAACTCACTGAGTAATTCATATGAAGACCTTGGACCACGCAAAGTTGGTCAGCTAAAGTTGCTGAGTTAAAGTTATCTTCTGTCTTTAACTCAATTTTTAATGAATTGCTACCAAACATCCTTAAAATGTTAATATGAATTTAGTCTGTTAGCATTGTTATGAACCCATCGTGAGTTGGGGTTAGCGTCCCTGGGTTGGTGCCCAAGCCATCAACCCTTCCGAGGCCAAATTTACTGGGGCAACAACTGGGAGAACTTACTCTATGACCAAGACCTCAAATTTTTAACCAGTGCCTGTAAAACATCAACGGACATAGAGATTCCCTGGGGATCCTGTTAAAATACAGATTCTGACTTAGGAGGCCCGAAGCATGGCTGGCACTTCTGCTCCCAGGGGATGTGGACTTACAGGTCCTTGAGCCACACTTTGAGTGGCAGGGCTCTAAATGATACATACTACAGAAGTACAACACGTTGTCCACCAGCACCACTGTAAGGGAGATGCTCATGGGACAGGGTCAGAAACCTGCTTTAGAAAAAAGTTTCAAGTAATGGTTGTGAACCTCTAATCAGAGCAGAATTCTCATTGGTGGACATTGATCTATATCCTCCAAATGCTCAAACGCTAGCACAATTAAAAGAGGTCATCAGTTGCCAGGAAGGTGCTTGTTGCTATTAAATTAACACACTTTTGAAACAATTCAATTCTGAGTTAAAGTTATATTCTGTCTTTAACTCAATTTTTAAGTTAATGTTTACAAAAATCCTTGAAATGTTAGGTTAAGCCATATAAAATTATTGATAGCAAAGTTTTTATTTTTACTTATAAAAACAGCAATGAGCCAAGCACTCACACTTGTAATCCCAGCACTTTGGGAGGCTGAGGCGGGCAGATCACTTGAGGCCAGGAGTTGGAGACCAGCCTGGGCAACATAGTGAAACCCCATCTCTACTAAAAATACAAAAAAAAAAAAAAAAAAAAAAAAGCCAGACGTGGTGGCACACACCTGTAATCCCAGCTACTCAGGAGGCTGAGGCACAAGAATCACTCAAACCTGGGAAGCGGAGGTTGCAGTGAACTGAGATTGTGCCACTGCACTTCAGCCCAGGCAACAGAGTGAGATCCTGTCTCAAAAAAAAAAACAAAAAAAAAAAAACAAAAAAAACAGCAATGTCCTATGGTTCAACCTAAGAGTTGTGACTTCACCTGACAAATTAAACCATCACTGCAGTGAGAAAACAACTTTCAAACCAGGAGATAACCCTCCTGTTCTGTGTAGATTTCTGTGGCTGACTTAACAGATTGTGATTTGTGTGTGTTGTCTGAGAGTTCCTGTAACTGATATGAACAGGAACAATATTAATAAAACTATCTTGGAAGCCGTTTCCAACTTTCAGAAAAACTAGTAAACTTCCTTATTTAAATTATCAGGGCCAGGTGTGGTGGCCCACACCTGTAATCCCAGCACTTTCAGAGGTCAAGGTAGGAAGATTGCTTGAGCCCAGGAGTTCGAGACCAGCCTGGGTAACATAGTGAAACCCCCATCTCTACAGGAAATAAAAATTAGCCAGGCATGGTGGTGTGGACCTGTCATCTCAGCTACTCAGAAGGCTGAGACAAGCGAATCACTTGAGCCCAGGAGATTAAGGCCACAGTAAGCCATGATCATGGCACTGCACTCCAGCCTGGGTGACAGAGTGAGACCCTGTCTCAAAAAAAACAAAAACAAAAACAAAAATCAGGTTAAAAAAACATGGCACCTTGGCCAGGCATGGTGGTTCATGCCTGTAATCCCAGCACTTCAGGGGGTCGAGGCAGGTGGATCACTTGAGGCCAGGAATTCGAGACCAGCCTGGCCATCATGGTGAAACCCCATTTCTACTTAAAAAAAATACAAAAATTAGCCGGATGTAGTGGCACATGCCTGCAGTCCCAGCTACTCAGGAGACTGAGGTGGGAGGGTCACTTGAGCCAGGGAGGCGAAGGTTGCAGTGAGCCAAGATCGCATCACTGCACTCCAGCCTGGGTGACACAGTGAGACTGTCTCAAAAAAAAAAAAAAAAATCCAAAAAACAAAAAACATGGTACCTTAGGCAGTGACACCTGTAAAAACAGTGATACTAAATTTTGCAATTTTCAAGACTTATGAATGCTGAGTGAGTTTATGACGCGCAACACACAACTGAGCAAAGCAGTCTTCATAAGGACAAAATTTCTATCTAATCAAGGGGAGGAATTACTGCACTATTTTATTGTCTATTGCATGATATTTTGTCGGCAAACTTTTTCTATAAAGGGGCGAATAGTAAATATTTTAGGCTTTGAAGGCCACGTGGCCTCTATCATAACTACTAAACTCTGCTGCTGTCGCATGAAAACAGCCATAGAGGCTGAGTATGTGAGTGAACATGGCTATATGCCAATAAAACTTTATTTACAAAAGCAGGCTGGATTGAGCCAGTAGGCCTTAGTTTACCAACCCCTAGTCTAGCCTTTTCTGTTATAATAATAATAATAGAGATTGTGAAATACTGCAATGATGGCAGTAATTCTGGAATCCCAATATAATCTTAGAATGTAAGGTCACATTTACTGCTACAAATAAGTTAAGGTAGGTCTAATATGCATTTAATTGTTTTTTGTCCTTTTTAATCTGAATTACCAAATTTTGAAAATACTGAGGGGAAAACATGGTTTTCTCTGTGATTAACAGAACAAAAAACATAATGTTTCAAAAGACACAATAAAGATCTATTCCAAACGTGAGGAAAACAGAATGTGTTCCTTTATGGTATAAAATATTTGATGAAATCTAACATGATTCTGTTCCAAATTGGGCACCCAGATTTGATTGATCCAGCCGCCTTTGTCCTGGGCAGTCTCAACCTGATCATTCTCATGCGCACCTTTCCTATTGGTTTCTGCCCATCTCCTAATAACAATCTCCTTGTAGCTGTACTCATAAAATGGTAAAGGCTCGTTTTACATACTGTAGTTGATAAATAGCAGTAGAAAAGAACTGCAATCGATTGATGTTACAAGCTTTTAAATGGCAACACTGGACACATGTGTTACAGCCTAACTTCCCCATCCTTTTCTGTTCTTTATGCTGGGAGGAAACTGTAGCCTGATGTTTTTTCCTCCTGTGGAAAGCGCCCTCCTCTAAAACCCACCCTTCCATGCTGTAACGCCTCCTCTGCATCCTATCAGATTTGACACATAATAGCCTCTTGGCTCCCTCTCTTCATCCTGTCACCGTCAGGTGTGACTGTCACCTGGCTGTGGTGTTTGAGAAGGGGGCATTGCATCAGGGCCCTGGTCTTGCACAACAGAGACGAAGCAGATGTTGCATTCAAATAAAAGGCCCTTCTTTGACGAGTGAAAGAGAAGAAGAATGAATTCAGGTTGACGTTGCCAGCATTATTGTCTCCCTGCTGCGCAATGCTTGGTCTGCTGGTTCAAACCACAGGGAAGGAGCAGGGGACGCCTGGGTTCTGATGAAGGGGAGGCAGCTCTGGGAAACTAGAGGCAAATTGTGCAAATAAGCTTCTCATAGACATTGGGGGAGCTGCAGGGCGTGCACATGGCATGCTGGAAACAGGCTCTCAGTAATCATGCCTTTGAATGTGTCCTGCTGGCAGTGAACATTCTGTAAGTTTCGTTTCAATGCGGTGAATGTTGAATGTTCTAAGGATGGTTTGTCTCCGTGGTGTGAGCTTATGCGAGGAACTAGAGAAAAAACGTTAGTGCTGATGCTTGTGTGGAAATACCACCAGGAAGACCACACAGGATAGAAATCTTCAAACAAGACAAACACGAAGGCGATCACCCCAGAACCCATCTGCTCAGCATATACACTGCCAGAAGGAAGCAGCAGGTCCTGGACATTCCACTTTCCAGATGCTACACAGCAAGCCCACAATCCAAGTATGCGGGGTACAAATGATGACGGTAGGGGCTTAAGATACGAAGGAGTGTGTTTGGGTTAGTGAAAACGTGTTAACTGACTCCATATCATATGCTCAAAGGTGCTCTGTGATTCTGAGAAGCATATCAAGCCTTAATAATGACCAAAAAGTAGTTGTGATTGGTAAATTTGTAAGCCAGTTTGATTATCTCATCTAGCTATGAGAAATCAATTCCCTTCACCCCAAAGGTCCATCGCACATCCCTTGCTGGGTTGACCCTTCTCATGAGGCTCTGTGACTTTCAAAACCCAATGTGGCCTGTGTTAATTTCCTCCTGCAGGTCCTCATGAGGGATGTGTCCAAAGAAGCAGGACTCAATCATCTTCAGAAAATCCTCTTGCCTGGGAAGTTGCCCTGATGACACCAAAACCTGTAGCTGGTTGTTTGCAAAAGGTGAGGGGATGTTGAAAAGTATTGATCTGTTTCCTTAGCAGTGTCAGAAGGAGGCTGTAGTTCCCCAGTCCCTAGTCATCGAGATCACTGGGCAAGCAGGTGCCATCCATCTCTGGTCCCTTCTTCCTGAAGAGTCAACATACCTGGCCTCACTTGGAAACCTTAGCTGATGAAGGTGCGAGGGGACACGAGGAACTCTAGGCTGCAGCCCTTCAGAGGATGGTCTTCTGGCTCTGCATGTTTGTGAAGAGTTCTTTATTCTAGGATCACTGGGCTCTTGGGGGACTTGTGACCAGGTCTCCTTAAGTTATAGAGCCACCTCCACTGCTGAACTTGTCTTTGTGTTGCTGATGTGCCTGCTAGTGACAATTGCCATATTAGAACCCAGGAGTCATGAGTTCACCAGACTTTCCCTATGAGTATTGGTCATTTAATGTTGCAGGCAGGCAGTAGAGAAACGATGTTTCTCCAATAGATATGATGGGATGGAACTTGAAGATGCCTTCAGCTGCTATCTTTCCCGCCTGGGTGGGATTTTGGGGCTATTTGGGGTTGTGTTGCCAAAAGACCCATGAGATGTTTCCATCATTGAAGATGAGAAGCTGAGTGTCTTTAGGTCGCCACTTTGAACTCCCCGCTTTGGTACCTCCTTGACGATTAAATGGAATCAAGATCCCTGCATGTTGCTATTCAGTTGGTTCTCACACTGGTATGTTTTGCCACCTGTGGATTTCTCTCTACAACTCAGTTTCCTCTTCGATCTCTAAATTCCATCGTCTGTAACTTTAACTACCAGAGCATTACAAATTCCTTTAGTCTGACCATCAAAGAACCGTAACTAATTCTAGCTCTGTAAGAAGCTAACTGGGGGACTCATCTTATCCCATATATGATTCCATAGACTTCGCCTTGGGTCTATTTGCCAGAAAATTTTTCTACAAGACCTGAATGTCCGTTCTGCAAAAAGCAAGTTTCGCTCAAAGTAACCCTGCCACAGGCCAGTGGGTATGTAACGAATCCTCAATGCCATGGAACAGTACTTCTGGCAAAGAGGAGTGCCCCTGTCTAAGCGAAAAATGCAGGTCCCTCTGGGCTCCTCACTGCCCTTCATCTCCTGGGCTCAGGAATCTTTCCCAAATGTCCCACAAAGGCTCCAGAGACCCTCAGGGCATCTGCCAGGAGTATGATCTCTGGTTTACAGATGAGGAGACTGACGCTTTCAGGAAGTCAACTGACTCAACTTCAGAAAGCCCAACCTTATATGAGGCCCCTGTCTCTTTTGCAAGACAGTTGATACATGAAGAATTCCTGTAGTGTTATCAGGTCACTCAGGGTGGTTAGGAGACGCTTCTGCTTTGTTTTGAAGACTCTGTGGATGGCTGTGGAGTTCAGCCCAACTGGGGGAGGAGATAGCTACTCACAGAGCAAAGGGAAGCTGATGAGAAATGTCACACCCTCCTCGGCAGCATCTGGGCACGGACGTGCTAGGCGCATCCACCTGTGGCTAGTGTTGCCCTGGCCGATGTTGCACACCCAGGTCTCTGCAGGACCCCAACATGCCGACAGGTGCCCTTGTGCAGCTGGAGTCCAGCCAGGCTCCTGGCTTCATTTCTGCTCTGCAAGATCTGGGTACTCCCAGATTGAACCCAGTGACAGGCCCAGGATCAGCTGAAAGGTGCGATCACTTAGTCCATGGTGCTACACAGAAGGAAGGCGTGCCTCGAAGCACAGGCCTCCGAGTGAGTCACACAAGTCAAACTCTTGCCAGTACAACGTGCCTGCTCCGAGGGCGGCAAGAACCCCAGCGTTTCCAGGCCTCCAGGGAAAAAGCAAAGCAGGCAACAGGGGAAGCTGCTTCGAGAGGACATAGTAACTCTGGAGAAAGGGCTCAACCAGCGTGGCGTGCAGCTGTTCTAGCCACAGGCTCATTGTGGAACCAAAGGAATGCTGAACAGCCTTTTGCTTTTTATTATACCACATTTGTATGGAAGTAGAGAAGGGTGAAGGCACTGGCAAAAATCAAATCTCTTCCTTTATTTCTTCCCTCTTTTAGCTCCTCCCTCCTTAACCTTACTACTTTTCCTGACCCCCTGGGCCTCTCACCACCAAATCCTTGCTGTGGGATGGTAGGGAATTCTCGGGCAGTTTCCACGGATGGCCTTCCCAGCTTGCAGCAGCCCCAGAACACACGGAATGCCTACAGCCTCCTTCACAGATTTGTTAAAAAGTGTGTGCGTTTCAACGTGATGTTCTCGAATGGGAACCTTGTGAACGTATTATCCAGGGAGGCAAGCAAAAGGGGAGAGAGCCTGATTCCCTTCCTATATTCTGCTAACTCATATTGTGTTACCGTGATAAAAATTGACCAAGTTTTTCTATTTCTACGCTGTTTCATTGCCTTCAACTCCATTTACTATACAGTTTCATTTAATATCTCACATAGATGTTTCGGGTTCCATTTATTCCATTGAAATAAATTTATACAGGGGATGAAGGAACATGTTTGTGAACAACCAAATTATATTTACCCTCATGAAGGTGGATCTTAGATGAATTCATGTTTTTGTGATTACAGACGAGAACCACAGTGAGCCCAACATAGTTACAAGCTACCATTCCTGCAGACGAGTCTGGACTCCCCATGTGCGGCCAATCTTCCAGTTTTTAAGGAAACTTTATTGCCACAGAACGTGCATACACTGACCCTCAGTTTGGGGTATCTTTTAATGTTTGGTGTAACTCAGAGAGAATATTTTCAATGCTCCCATTCTCCAGTATTACTGTTGCAGGAGGGGAGAAGCAGCAGCCATCAACCCACACATTTGAGTTTTTCTTTGTTTCGTTTAAAGTTTTTAGGATGTTATAAATGCTGCTCTGTCCCTGTGCTTTCCTATTGTACCAGCCCTGAGCTTTTTGTTCTTTTATTTTCCAAACTGGTAAAATATGTAGTCATCAGTGATAAAAAGCTCCATGCAATTTGTCCTGGAGGCAACTTACCTGTAGAGGTTTCTCCTTCATTGTTATTCGAAGGCTGTTTCCAGACCCTCACAAAGGGAGGAATATTCCACATTCCTGCTAGCTGAGCCTGCTAGCTAAACCCCGTCCCACAGAAAACTTGAGGCTCACAATCTGAAAATGATCTCTTTCCTCAGTTTGTCCTTCCAAGTTCCTCATGGACTGCCCTTCCCAGCCTCATTCCAGCTCTTCTTTGGAGATGCAAATCCCTTTACTGTGCAGATTTCTAAAATCTCTTTGGCAGGCAAATGTTAGCTTTAGCGGACCTCAGGAAAAAAAAAAAGGCAGCAAAAACACACAAAAGGAAGGGAACACACACATGCACAATTGTGAGATTTAGCACAGCTCCTTCATGAGATGTTTCCAAGACAGAGGAAAACAACCCAAAATATTCACTGGTGAGAGTCAGAATTGTTCTTGAAAGAGCTGAGTGACACATAATGGAAAACATTGTAATTACCTGTTATTAAATTTAATACCCCAAACAGATGGTGTTCCATTTTCCCCCCAAACAGACTGCTCACCTGATTGGAAAATTATTTCTAAGCCCTTGCCCCCAGTTGCTTAACTTCCCATTGCATCCAAATGTGAATCGGGTTGCTGCCCGTGCTTTGCAAATCTGACGGTAAAGTCATTTCTCCTTTCTTGTCGTGAACAAAAACTACCCACTTTATTTATCTGAGGAATTACTATCACCCTGAGCCCCAAATTTTTGGGAATGAAGGACTTGCTAAATGAAAGTGCAGTGCAAAGAACAGCTTCTTAGGGACACTGATCTAGATTTCTCTGAAAAGATGCCCAGGGCCTTCATTCTAACCCGCCTCCTGGCACATTACTAAGGACCCCAACAAGGCTTGTTTCAGCCAGCCGCTACCAAGGCTATACCCTCAGGCTGCCAGAAGGGCAGAGTTCCGCAGCTGAGGTTCAGCTCTGAAAACCCACCATCCTGGTGGTTCCCTTTTTCCTAATAAAAAATAAAGTTACATTTTAAGAAACCATCAGAAGCTCTATTTTAAATTCGTCCTGAAAGCATGTGATGCAGAAATCAGGCCACCACACTTTGACTTTGAAAATATTTTATTTGAATAGTAAATAGTTATACAGTTGAAACAGTTCTATTGAAGCTTTCTATAAATAGCTAACAATTAAGAAAATAATGTATGTAGAAAAGAGATTGCATTTAAAAGTAAGAGCTGTCGGTTGTACAAGGGCCCTGGGGACCCTCGAAGCAGAATAAATGATAGGTTGTCTGTAATTCACTCAGATAGGTATAAAAGTTAAAACTTTAAGCAGATCCCTTTAGAAAAAGGCTCTCTTCTAAAACGCACAGTGGAATGTCAAGAGTGGCAGGGTGGGGAGGGGGCAGCGCGCCAAAAAAATCTGCAATCAAATAATATCATAATCTTCATAATTAATATAAATAAATAAAGAATAAATAACAATTACTCATAAATCAACATATACATTTAGAGGGAACTGATAGTCCTACCTCAACAAAGATGATCAAACCAAAAAGTCTTACGTGAAACACTGAGGCAGTTACTACAGCATCTTCGGAACACTCCCTTCCCTCCCCCCACAAAACAATCCCAGACAACAGTTCAAGGCATTTGTGGCTATACTAAAGAAAACTCTTTTTTAAGCAATTTGATTTGTTCACATACAAAAAGGTAAAGCCAGACTCCAGCAGTTCACAAGCCATAATAAAGCTAATCGTGTGGGAAGTTCAATTTACAGCCTGTGAAATATAAAGGCATTTATTCCTCAAGATTCACCCAAAACAACCCGTACGCTACATACATAGAGAGCAGAGATTGGTAGGCGAGGCGAGACCAGACCGCATTTCTAGACCATGAACACAGCGAATACTAGCAAGAAAAAAAGCTTCTCCCCGCCAAGGGGAGGCTTCCAACCACGAGACAAACGCGTACAGCTTTTCTCCCTTGTACAGAAAGAGACTGACTCCTGTTGCGCCATGGGGGAGGCGGAGGGACACAACGTAAAAGTGGGGGTTCCAAAAGGAGTCAAAAGGAGAGTATGGGGTTACCGTCACGCCACACCGAGAGAAGCGGAGACGACACTTTCACCCGGTGGGGGCGGGGGCGAGGCTCCCCCAGCGCGGACTCGGGTTCGGGGAGTGCAGGGCGCACTCTCTTTGTGGGTCTCCAAGCGAAGGCACAGTTCGGGGGCCGGGGTGGAGGGCGCGCTCTAGCAGGCCGGGCGCACGGGCACCTGCAGGAGGATCACCTGTCTGTTTTCGGATGGGTGGCACTTGTTGATGTGCCGCGTAAGGCCGGGCGAGCTGTAGAAGGTGGCCGGGCAGTACTTGCAGGGGAACACCTGGGCGGCGTGCAGCAGGCGCAGGTGGCGCTCCTGAGCGCCCTTGCTGGCGAACGACTCTCCGCACACTGGGCACAGGTGGCACTCGGCGGACGCACTCAGGCCCAGCACGCCGGCCCCCTCGCCGTCGCCGGCCGCCTCCTGGGGCGCCTTCTCGTCGGGCCCGGGGTACAAGGCCAGTAGGTCCTCGGCCGGGGGCGCTAGCGGCGCGCCCTTGGCCTGCAGCGCCTGGTGGTGCGCCAGCAGGTGCTTGCGTAGGTAGGCCTGGCGGCGGAACTTCTTGGCGCAGTGATGGCACTCGTAGAGCCCGTCCTCGGAGCCCGACTCGGACACGCCGCCGGGGCTCGGCGTGTCCCGGTCGCTGCCGCCGCCGGGTGCCTCCCGCGCCTCAGCCCTGGCTGCTGCTTCTGGCTCCGGCGCGCGGGCGGCGGCGGGCGCGGGCCGCGGTTTGTGCCAGCGGCGGTGCGAGGCCAGGTTGGCCGGGCAGCTGAAGACCTTGGCGCACTCGGGACAGCGGTACTCCACACGCACGATGCGCGAGCATTTGTGCTGCGCCAGCGCGAACGGGTCGGCGTACTCCTCCTTGCACAGCTGGCAGATGAACTCGCCCAGCGGCCGCGCCGCGCCCCCCGCGCGGCCCCGCGGCGCCTCCACCGGGCCCTCCTTGATCTTGAGCCCCAGCACGGGCGACGTGGTCACCTCGTCCTCGAAGTGCAGCTTGCGGATGGCCTTGGGCTTCTTGGCGCCCGGGGCCTTGACTGCCTTGGCGGGCGGCTCCGCGGCGGTAGGGGGCGGGGGCCGCTTTCCCGGGGGCCGCAGGGCGGCGGCAGGGGGCAGTGGGGGGCCGGGGCCCGGGCCGCGGGCCGCCTCGGCGCCAGCCGAGAACGCCGTGCCCATCTTGAGCTCGGCGGGCGCGAAGAGCAGCGGGTCGCCGCCGCAGGTGCCGCCTCCGCCAGCTCCGCTCGCGCCGCCGCCGCCGCCCCCTCCGAGCAGCGCGGCGGGCGTGGGGAAGGACTCGGCCGAGACCGGCGAGCCCAGGTTGAAGCTGCGTTCGAAGTACTTGTGCTTCTCGTGCTCGCGGCTCACGGGCCGCGTGGGACTGTAGAGCGGCGCGGGGTGCGCAGCCTCGGGGTTGCCGAAGTGCGCGGCCCGCGGGCCCTGCGGGGGTGGCTGCGGCCCAGGCGCGCAGGCAAGCGCGGCGGCGAGCGCTGCATGGGCGCGCTCCGCGGGCGGCGGCGGCGGCAGCGGCCCGGGGACCGGGCTCGGCGCCGGGGGCTCGGCGCGGGCGCCCCCGCAGCTGGGCGAGAGCAGCAGTGCGCGGTCGCCGTCCTCGCCGCCGCGGACCCGGTAGGAAACGGGCGTGGACTTCTTGCTGCGCTTCACCAGGAAGCCGCGGGGCATGTTGGCGCGGCCCGAGGGCACGGCACTGGCTCGGTCCCCCCTCCGCGCTCGGCCCCGGCGGCCCTCAGTGCCCCCGGCCCATTGCCCGGGCGCGGCGGCTGCGGGACTCGCGTGGCGCCGGCGACGGCTCGGCCCAGCTCTGCGCCCTGCACGCGCGTCCCTGTCCCCGGGCCCGGCAGCCGCTCCCTTTTAACGGGGGGAGGGGGCCATTGTTCTCGCCTCCCGCTTCCCCTGGAGCCAATCAGCGCGTCCGCAGCTCCTCAGCCTGGCAGGGTGGGAGGGCGATGGGGCGGCCAAAAGGGGGCCGGGACTCGGGGGTCGCCCGGTAGGTGCGGCAGATGTACCTGAGGGCGCGGGGCCCCCGCGCGCGCCCCTGGTCGCCCCGCCCGGCGCCGCCGCCCCGCCCGGTCCAGGCACACGCCCGGCCCCGCCTCCCTTCACGGTCTGCTGCTTCTCTATGGGGAGGCGCACGTGCCTGGGCTTTGTGTCTCTCCTCCGGGGGGCGCGGAGCCGCCAAATGGGCCCGTCCATCAGCGCGACAATGCACGCCCCCCTCCCGCGCGGGGATTACCCGCGGGTCGCTAGCAAAATAGCAACAAAGGAGAAGAATGGCCCCAAATATGTCAGGAGGGTTCAATCCGCGAGCCGGAGCCGAGGGGGAAGTTGTGCGCGCTGATTGGGTGGGGGCGGGGGCGCGCCGGGGCGGTGCGGGGGAGATCGTTGCGGAGGCGCAGTGGCTCCGCGTGGTGTTTGGGAAATAAACAAGAATCCGAGAGAGCAGCAGGGTCCGGACGGCCTCCGCCCGGACCTTGGACGGATGGGCCGCTGGACCCAAGAGGCCAAGCAAAAGGGTTCCCCGGGGTTCCAAGTGTGGACAGGGGGCCCGGCCTTCTGGCAGTGGCCGAGGGCGATGTTTGTGCTCGCAGCCTCCGCGCGCCCACGGGGCTAGAGAAGGTTTCTTTCGAGTTTGAGAAGGAATTGGCACGGCCTTCTCAGTCTCCCGAAAGCGCGGGATTGGAGCGCGGGCGGGCTGGGCTGGGTTCCCAGAGGAACGTGAATTTCTGAACTTTTGGGTTCTTGGAGGCTTGGGAATGGCATCTTTGGCGGGGCCCGACCCAGGCCGCCCGGAGCTTCCGCGTGGTCCAAGGCTCGGTTAATCCGGGTCGAGTTGGCCGAAGCCCGAAACGCGCGGTCGGCCTCGTGCGCCCCAGTGAAGTTGGCTTTCTCCTCCCCGCGCGGCCTCATGCATTTTCATTCCGAGCGGGCATTTTGTTTGCCGGTTGACATCAGATGCTAAATCAAGGGCTCCAATCAAGGCGCTGCGAAATAAAGGGGCTGCCTGTCTGGGCGCAGCCCCCACGGAGCCGTGCCCCCTTCACCTTTGTGAAGGAAATTAACCTCCTGCTATTGAGCTCCGGTCGCGGCCAATCTGGACGCAAAAGAGACGCGTGCTGGACGGGGGGAGGGGGGGCAATCTGTACTCTGAGGCAGGCTGAGGCCTCCGAGAGGACAAGCCGCCTCCCCTGTGCCACCAGGAAGAGACAACAGCGAAGATTCCCCCCGCCCCCACCCCCACCCCCACCTCCGCTGCCGTTCCGTTTGGACCCAGACTGGGCCGCCTGCCTCCATCCTCTGTCCAGCCCAGCCCCGAGGAAACACAAAAGGCAGAATCTTCGGGGGACAGGGCAGAGAACCCCACGAGTGCGTAGTGGCCCTGATCGTCCAACACTGGGGAACAAATAGCCAAGCCACATAAAATGTCATATGCTGTGAGGAAAATGTCACTTTATTGAAAGAGAAGGAAACATTTTTCTGCAAAGCTTTGTATACCAGACAGATTTTGCTGAGTTTTACTTACGCTTAATTCCACTGAAGGTATTTAATTGTTTTGGATTTTCCCTCTGAAAATACCCTGGCGTAGAAATTAAACATGTAAAAATAGAGTCCACATGAGTCATAAGTTGTGATGGGGACAGTTGTTAGGCTTAATTAATTAAGGGGTTAATCAGGTTGGTTAATCAAGGGAAAGATATTTGATAATTTTATGTTTGTAATATTTTAACTCACACACTGAAAAGGGAAGAATGCATATAGTGAAATATATTTTGAAAAGTCTCACCCTAGTTTTAAAAATGCTGTGGTGAGTGCTAGTCTCCCCAAAAGTTAGAAATCTTAAAATGAGTTTATCTAAAATTTATAAACATATTTCTATCTAAAAGTAACTGATGTTATTTCCTTGCTCTTTTGAGCTCTGATTAATAGTGCTGATGAAATTAGAAGTGGGAAAAGGATTCCGAGACAGCTTTGGCCAATTTTATTTTCTAATCACGAATCCCATCTGGATTGTAGAATAGCATAGGGCGGGGGCTCGGCCTGCCCCATTCGGTCTTGCATATGTAACACTCCTTCCATTCAACAGATAACAGAGAGTTAGTCACCTTGTGAATCCTTTAAAAATAACAACACCCATAATTGTAAATAAGCCGTGGGGATGGGAAACCGGCACCTCTACCAACAAAAAAAACAAAACAACTCCTGCGTGAGTGAATTCAAACAGGGCTCTGAATTTAGCCAAGGGAATCTATTAAACGCTACTGAGATACTGAGATTCAATGAATCCGTTTCTTTTTCTTTATTTGTGGCTTCCAGTCTTGCTAGCGTAAATGAAATCTGCTTTCAGACGGGTACAGTCAAAATAAATGGAAACTTGAAAGGTACTAGTATTGGAAACTAATTTCACCACCCGGGGCTGGAAGGAGTTAGGCTGCGCACGCGCGCACGCACACACCAGCGACCTCCAAGCAGGTGTAGCCCAGCCCGGGCCGTGGATCGCAGCCGCCTTCTGCGTGATTTTCTCAGAACCTGTGCACCCGCATGCATGGGGACATCGGGTCGAGATATTTGTCTTCGCCTGGGAAGAGCAAAGCGCCATCACAGTGCGCCCCCGACGCCGGCCTTGGCGCACGCGATTCGGAGAATGGGCC
This sequence comes from Homo sapiens, assembly GCF_000001405.40. Lineage (NCBI taxonomy): Eukaryota > Metazoa > Chordata > Mammalia > Primates > Hominidae > Homo > Homo sapiens. Next base: position 20,365,283 of record NC_000020.11, on the reverse strand, counting down.
GCGTGAAGTTAAGTTGGGGGAAACAGCGCGGATTTGCCCCCCTCCAGGGGGGCTTCGCGAAAGTCAGTGAACATAAGGATCCAAGGCAGAGCACCCAAGGGGCCTTCCCCGGCTTCAGGTGACTCCTCCCCTTCCTTCGGGGTCCTGGCCAGCGCTTTGGAAAAATCCCGGGCCTCTTCACTTTCCCTTGCGGACCCCGCGGTGGGTTCTTCCTCCGACGACTGCGGAGCCCGAGGCCCCAGGCCCTCCAATTTCTCCTATCCTGGTGTGCGGGGATGCCGTCGGGGAGCGCGCCGGGGTTCACTCTGACCCTCACCACGGCTGGAAATCAAAGTCAAGGCAACAGGGAGTTTGTAGAAAGCGCGAAGCTTGGAAATAAGAGCAGAAGCGGGGAACTTCTGCGGAGGAGTTGGCTCCTTGGGGTGTCTAGGAGAACAGGAGGCCCTGGCCTCACGGGAGGAGCCGGGCGGGCCCGCATTCTCACCCCGCAGAGGGTATCGCGTTTGGAGACGTCGGCGTTGGGGGTGAGGTGTCAGCGCCCCTCATCACCACTCTGCTGCAGACTTCTCTTCTGGCTTCACAGAAGCCCCCACTCCCGGCCCTCAGTCCCCCGAGCCACAACCGGCAGGAACCGTGCGTTACCGCTGCAGTGCCCGCCGCCCGGAGGGACCAGCGCCTCCCTGCGCCGGGTGCGCCCGACCCGAGCCGGTGAGAGGCTTTGTATTTGCAGGAATGAGGGGTTGTTGTGTCAGTCCCAGGGGCACGCGAGAGACACGCGCAGCCCGCCTGGCCGCCACCCCGCCCGGCCCGGCCCCAGGCACCTTCCGGGCCTCCCGCCCGCGGGCCGTTGCCTTTGTTCGGCGCATTAGCATAAAGCTGCCAGGGATCTCCCGTTTAGATAATTCCACACAAAAGGAGAGTGCATGAAAGAGAGCGAACAAGGGACGATCCGCGAGGCTGCGTCGTGCGTCCTCGCGGGGAGGGACCGCGCTCAAGTATTTCCCTCCCCTCGAGTTTCAAGTGCCCCCTGGCAATCTGCTGCGCGCCCATTATTCGGCCGGGGGCCGACGGCGTGGCTGGCCACCTCTTTTATCCCCCCGAGAGTACCGTCGGGGCCACTGCACGCTCCTTGAAGTGCCCTCAGGGCTGTTTGTTTTTGCCTCAGTGGGACCGTCGGGCCAGGGAGGGAGGAGAGCGGGTAGGAAGGCCCGGGCGGGCGGCGGGAAGGGCGACGTCGGCGAAAGCTGGCAGAGGCGAAGCCCAGAAGGTGAGAAAGTCATAACCAAAGAATTAGGTCAGGGAGAGTCAGGACGGCACGGGACCCATCGGGATGACATTGACCTTGGGGCGCAAGAGGTGTCCTCCACCTGTGAGGTGCTGGCGGCCGCTAGTCCGTGCGCCTCGGTCTCAAACGGAACTGACAAAACCCAGCGAAACTGACCAGAAAGGCTGCGGCGACCCCGATCCTTTCCCCTTCCTCCCACCCCACTCACACCTGCACCCCGCCTCGCCTGCCGCAGGAGGACGAAGAGGCAGCCAGACTCCTGGGGTCCACAAGGGCATACTTTCTACCCTGGCGAGCGTTCTTGCTATGGGGTTGGCGGGTGCTCCTCCCCCCCCACCGCCGTTCCTCTCTCCTCCGCCTTTCCCTCTTCTCCCGTCCCTGCTCTCCTCCCTCGCCCTCTGGTTCCCTCCTTGTGTCATCCGCCTCCTCTCCCTCCTCCTGTCCTTCTCTCTCCTTCTGTCTCTTCCTTTCTTTTCTTTCCCCTCCTTTCTTGCTCCCCACGGTGTCACCTCTCCCTCCTTCTCCTCTCTCTCCCATCTCTTTCACTCCTAATCCCCCCCCCGACCTGTGGTGTCCCCCCCATAACTGGCCCCCTTCTTCTCTCCCAGCCCCTTCTTCCCACTGTCCCTCCCTCCCCATCCAGTTCCCCCAGCCCTCTTTGCTGTCTTTCTGCTCCCCTCTCTCCTCTCGTCCCTCTCTCCTGTCTCTTCCCTCGCTTGTTTCTGTCTTCTCTCCCTCTCTTCCCCCCCACCTCTCTCCCAGTCTCCCATTCCTCTCCCCTTCTCTCTTTCCTTCTCTCTCTCCCCCCTCCTTTACTCTCCCCCCACTCTTCTCCCTGCTCTTACTCTCCCCCCACTCCCCACAGGCCAACGTGTGTTATTTTATTTGTCTAGAGAGAGCCTATTTGTTCAGTGATGTGTGGCCTCCTGGTCGCCTGCTTTAATGGGGGACGCGGAGGCTTGGTTTCTGTGAGCATTAGCATACAGCTGCGGGCTCTGCGCCCCTGCCGGCGCTCACTTTATCCCAGCCTTATCATCACTTCTTCTTTCAACCAGAAAACAATCAACAGCTCCTCGCACTCGGCGCTCAGCGACTTTCGAGCCCTGCTCCCTGCTTCTTGGCTAACACTGGCTCACTCGGATGCGCACCCTCTCTCTCTCTCTCTCCCTCCCTCCCTCCCTCCCTCCTCTCTCTCTCTCCCTCTTGAAAGGGTAAATATTGATTGGCTGGCTTTACATTTTATGCTCCATGCCATATTTCCTTCCCTCCCTCACTTCATCGTTGATTTTTCTCTTGCCCTCCTGTGATGTTTGAGTGTAGTAAAACCATAATAAGCCATTTTTGGAAAGGCGGTGGTTACACTCTTTATTAAAAACTGACATCTGTTGGGAGAGCAATTAGAGGCATCAGAAGGCGGGGTTGTTGCATGTGATTTGGGGGAATAAAACTTTGGAAAATTAACTTTGGTATTTTCTGATTAATATTCTTTGCTTAAAACTGTAGAATTCCAAGATCAGGCTTACAGCCCAAGATGTCCCCAGCTCAGCAGCAAGTGCTGAAATATGTAGAGACGCCAAGCATTCAATCCACTTACGGAATTCATGCCTTGTGCAAGCCAAGTCCAAATATTGGTCTGTTTCAAGCCCTTCCTTTTAAAAGCCAGGCTTTATCTTCACCGTTATTTTCCCAAAGCCCTTAGAATAGTCAATTGCAAGTTATAACCAACAACTCTTGAATTCCTCTTTTATTCTTAGGCAACTTGTTCAGTGATAAAGTTTTCAAGTCTGAACAGATATGCTAAGATTCTTAGATTCAGGAAATTATTTAGCATCTATGCTAAATAGCTTGTAAATTACCCACTTTCGAAGTGTGAGATAAGGATTAAAATAATGTCACCCAATATACTTTGTACACTAAAATATATTCTAGATATTTTCAAGTCTGCTGTGATACTTATGGAGCACTAACACTCCTTTTTCAAAAGGCAGCAAAGGAAAACTTACTGTCACATTTATGCATGATTTGGTATTAAGGTTGACATTGTCATTTGGGGTCACTTTTATGTGACTGGAGGCTTTTTAATGCTAATACTTGGTCACAGAAGTCATAACTGTTGATCCTCCGAGATTGTTCTGTTAATCTGCATCCAGGGGTCCCAGGACCTGTCACAGAAACTTACTCCTTTTGCTTATGAGTTTGACCCAGGTCCTTTCAGGGGAATGGGACAGGGGAGGAGAGTTGCTTGAGCTGACTCATTCACCAGCCCCTGAAATATGGTTCCACGTGTGCTGGGTCTGAATTCTGAAGAGTGGACCAGTAGCAATTGTTCCCCATTCAAGTGACACAGTGTGTACCATATGGCCAATGCTGGACCCTCCCCCCAGTGACCCATGCATTTGCGGAAAACGTGCATGTGAAGGAATTAGGAGCATTTATTGCTTGCTTTTGCCTGCCTTGGGAAAATCAAGAGTCCAGTATTCTGGAACAATTTTATTTTGCAGAAATATCAATATCAAATAACTTTGCAGTTCCAACAAGTTGGCAGTTTGCAGCAGAGAGTTTGATAATGTGTACACAGTGCTGTAATGCCAGCTCTGACTTTCCTTCTAATAGTTGTGTATCCCTTATCTTGTGCCAACTTTTGCTCAACATTTACATAAAATACAACACATGAAGAAAAAACTGGAATTGTTCACAAAAACCAGTTTTAAGCCCTGCTGTGAAAAATTGTGTCACACTGTCTACTGAGAGACCCAATAAATGAGCACAATCTTATGTGTTGTTCCCCCTCATTCCTGAATCCATGCAGTTAGTTACTAGTGGGCAATTAATTTGCTTTATTTATAAGAAAAAGGGTTTCTGATCCACATTAGAGTTGACATGTACTAGGGACCCCTTCACCCCGCCCCCCTCAATGCAAAGCAACAGTGCTAAGGATCAAAGAAAATGAACTTTGATGAACTTCCCATTACCACGTTACCACGTTCTAATCTAAAACCTATGTGTGAACCCCTTGAGCACCCAACTTTTCTGTGACTTTATGCTCCTCATCTGCAATTTGAAACAGAAATACAGCCTCCTCCTTTCCAAAGGTCATGTAAGCTTTCCTACACAATCACTGCTTCTTATGTTGGACTGCAGATTTAATTTCTCATCATCTGTTTACTAATTTTCCATTCTGGGCACATTTTCTTTTTTATCACCCACAAGTACTGCTGGGTAAACATGTGAAGAACTAACAAGACTGGCAGCGGAAGTTTCCAGGAAATCAAACAGAATCACACCCAAGGTAAAAACAAGTTTTACACACTATGATCTCATTTTATTGCTGAAATGGATTATTCTGCACAGGAACATGCCTGGGATTTGTAAAGCGAGCCTGCCCCAGAAGAGAGGCACACGGCCGTGTGCCACCTACTGGGATGATAGAAAACTACAGGCATAAGTCAGGGAAGGAAAGGAATGAACAAAACCACCAGGGGCTGGCTTCGCTGTCAAACCAGGCTGCAGAGAACTTTTCTATTTCTACAGAGCGCGTTTCCAGGAACTAAATAAATGAAAACCATAAAGGGGAGACCCTGCCTACAACTAAACGATGCCTGGCCACGCGTACATGGGCAGGTGGTAGCGGTTATAGTGCAGGTAGTCAAGAGTGCTTCTCTCCACCAGGGTTTTGTAGATGGATTCCTCAAAAACTCTTTTGAGGTATTGCCTGGGCTTCTCAGTCGGGTTGATTTCCTCATCTTCTATTTGATGGGCTAACTGCTCTATGGAAGGAAGATCTTCCTCCTGTAAAACACAGTAAGAGGCCAGATACAGAAATTAATTGGACCCTGCACAGTTGTAACGGCAGTTTCATGAGAATGAAAACAACAGTAGTCAGCTCTGCAAGGATGGTCATTTTTTTTCTAGCTTTTGAAAATTTATTTTTAATTGTGGCAAAGTATACACAACATGTCTTATTTTAATAATTTTTAGGTGTACAGTTCAGTGGCATGAAGTACATTCACATTGCTGTGTAACCCTCACCACTGTCCATCTCCAGGACTTTCTCATCTTCGTCAGCTGAAACGCTGTCTCCATTAAACACCAGCTCCGTACCCTCCCATCCTCCAGGCCCTGGAAACCACCTCTGTCTCTATGAATGTGACTACGCAGGCATCTCATATGAGTGGAACCCTGTAGTACTTTTTTTTGTGACTGGCTTATATCACTTAGCATAATGTCCTCAAGAGTCATCCAGGTTAGTCATTTCAAGCCCTTCATTTTCAGATAAAAATCATCTGTAGATCATACTTGTTTTGTTGTTGTTGTTGTTTTGTTTTTTGCTTTTTGAGACGGAATTTCGCTGTTGTTGCCCAGGCTGGAGTGCAATGGCATGATCTCGGCTCACTGCAACCTCCGCCTACCAGGTTCAAACTATTCTCCTGCCTCAGCCTCCCAAGTAGCTGGGACTACAGGCATGGCCCACCATGCCTGGCTAATTTTGTATATTTAGTAGGGACAGGGTCTCTCCATGTTGGTCAGGCTGGTCTTGAACTCCCGACCTCAGGTGATCTGCCCACCTCGGCCTCCCAAAGTGCTGGGATTACAGGCATGAGCCACCACGCCCTGCCTCTGTTTTAAAAATAAAAAAATTTAAAAATAAAAAAAAGGAGTGATTAAACCTTTTTACTTGAAAGGTCCTATATGAAAAGTTTTCTTGCTTATAATTCCCAAGAAGTGGGATTTTAAAACCTTAGAATAAATTCACAATCAAGTCAAATTTTATTGATATATTTAAAAAGGTAGGGCTCAGAAAGAATAAAGTTGTTTGAAGCTGAGAATCTTATGCTGCACATAGGTACAGTGTAGTAGAGATTTTCCTAACATTTCATTATAAAAATTTTCAGAGACAAGTTGAAGAATTGTCCACTGAACACCTGCACACCTGCACCTGGACTCCACAGTTAACATCTGCTATATTTGCTTCACCACTGCATATCTGCCCTCCAGAGCAGGGTACTTCTAGAAAGCACATCCCCCAGGGTTGAGCTGGCTGCTTTCCAAACACTGTGATTCTTGAACATCACCCTAGATCAAGAGTCTGTGGACTCTGATGGTACATTTATTTCAACTTCCAATAATTCCTTCTATTTTGAATAGAAAAGGCAATTCCTTGCAGGGTTTTGTTGGATTATTAACTTACTAGTGATAAGAGCTTATAGATAGGAAAACAGACTCAAGCTATATGGAGGCATAAAGTCATTGCCACTTGGCTAAGCAAGACACAACGGGGTGCTGGAGATTATGCACACATTGGAAAGAGCAGTCAGTGAGGGTTGCAGGAATTCAGATTTAAACTAGAGCAATAAAGGCAGTGATAGGGAAAAAGCAACTGATTCTCACAACTAAGTACTGGGAGGTTCTGAAAACTTTGGGTGCCACCAGTAAGGCCTCGTGGATATATTCTGCAATGTGTATGAGGTTGGCTCTTTCTTCCTTAATTTTTCTGGAGAATTGTATCAAACCAACCAAAAACAATTACCTTACTAAAATTATACAAGATTTTGAGCTCATATTGTATGCTGCTGTTCTGACACTGGGTTAAATAGCGTAAAACCACTTTTAAAGTTTATTTCAGGCAAATATTGCTCTAGATTATAAACAGATTTTTGGGCACTTGCCTCTTGAAGGATGACCTCTCATACTGTGATCATCTTCTTTCACAGTGTGACCACCTCCCCTCACAGTATGACCATTCCCCTCAGTGTGACCACTTCCCCTCAGTGTGACCACCTCCCCTCACAGTATGACCATTCCCCTCAGTGTGACCACTTCCCCTCAGTGTGACCACCTCCCCTCAGTGTGACCACCTCCTCTCAGTGTGACTACCACCCCTCACAGTGTGCCCACCTCCCCTCACAGTGTGACCACCTCCCCTCAGTGTGACCACCTCCCCTCACACTATGACCACCTCTCCTCAGTGTGACCACCTCCCCTCACACTGTGACCACCTCCCCTCACACTATGACCACCTCCCCTCACACTATGACCACCTCCCCTCAGTGTGACCACCTTCCCTCAGTGTGACCACCTCCCCTCAGTGTGACCACCTCCCCTCACACTATGACCACCTCCCCTCAGTGTGACCACCTCCCCTCACACTGTGACCACCTCCCCTCACACTGTGACCACCTCCCCTCAGTATGACCACCTCCCCGCACACTGTGACCACCTCCCCTCAGTGTGACCACCTCCCCTCACACTGTGACCACCTCCCCTCAGTGTGACCACCTCCCCTCACACTATGACCACCTCCCCTCAGTGTGACCACTTCCCCTCACAGTATGACCACCTCCCCTCAGTGTGACCACTTCCCCTCAGTGTGACCACCTCCTCTCAGTGTGACTACCACCCTTCACAGTGTGACTACCTCCACTCGCAGTATGACCCCCTCCCCTCAGTGTGACTACCTCCTCACTCACAGTATGACCACCTCCCCTCAGTGTGACCACCTCCCCTCAGTGTGACCACCTCCCCTCAGTATGACCACCTCCCCGCACACTGTGACCACCTCCCCTCAGTGTGACCACCTCCCCTCACACTGTGACCACCTCCCCTCAGTGTGACCACCTCCCCTCACACTATGACCACCTCCCCTCAGTGTGACCACTTCCCCTCACAGTATGACCACCTCCCCTCAGTGTGACCACTTCCCCTCAGTGTGACCACCTCCTCTCAGTGTGACTACCACCCTTCACAGTGTGACTACCTCCACTCGCAGTATGACCCCCTCCCCTCAGTGTGACTACCTCCTCACTCACAGTATGACCACCTCCCCTCAGTGTGACCACCTCCCCTCAGTGTGACCACTTCCCCTCAGTGTGACTACCTCCTCACTCACAGTATGACCACCTCCCCTCAGTGTGACCACCTCCTCTCAGTGTGACCACTTCCCCTCAGTGTGACCACCTCCTCTCAGTGTGACCACCTCCCCTCACAGTGTGACCACCTCCCCTCACAGTGTGACCACCTCCCCAGTGTGACCACCTCCCCTCACACTATGACCACCTCCCCTCAGTGTGACCACCTCCCCTCAGTGTGACCACTTCCCCTCAGTGTGACCACCTCCTCTCAGTGTGACCACCTCCCCTCACAGTGTGACCACCTCCCCAGTGTGACCACCTCCCCTCACACTATGACCACCTCCCCTCAGTGTGACCACCTCCCCTCAGTGTGACCACTTCCCCTCAGTGTGACCACCTCCTCTCAGTGTGACCACCTCCCCTCACAGTGTGACCACCTCCCCAGTGTGACCACCTCCCCTCACACTATGACCACCTCCCCTCAGTGTGACCACTTCCCCTCAGTGTGACCACCTCCTCTCAGTGTGACCACCTCCCCTCACAGTGTGACCACCTCCCCAGTGTGACCACCTCCCCTCACACTATGACCACCTCCCCTCAGTGTGACCACCTCCCCTCACACTGTGACCACCTCCCCTCAGTGTGACCATCTCCCCTCACACTGTGACCACCTCCCCTCAGTGTGACCACCTCCCCTCACACTGTGACCACCTCCCCTCAGTGTGACCACCTCCCCTCAGTGTGACCACCTCCCCTCACACTATGACCACCTCCCCTCAGTGTGACCACTTCCCCTCACAGTATGACCACCTCCCCTCAGTGTGACCACTTCCCCTCAGTGTGACCACCTCCTCTCAGTGTGACTACCACCCTTCACAGTGTGACTACCTCCACTCGCAGTATGACCCCTCCCCTCAGTGTGACTAGCTCCTCACTCACAGTATGACCACCTCCCCTCAGTGTGACCACCCCCCCTCAGTGTGACCACTTCCCCTCAGTGTGACCACCTCCTCTCAGTGTGACTACCTCCCCTCAGTGTGACCACCTCCCCTCACAGTGTGACCATCTCTGCTCACAGTGTCACTACCTCCCCTCAGTGTGACCACCTCCCCTGTGTGGTCACCTCCCCTCTCACAGTGTGACCACCTCCCCTCACAGTGTGACGTCCCCTCACAGTGTGATCACCTCCCCTTACAGTGTGACCATCTCTGCTCACAGTGTCACTACCTCCCCTCAGTGTGACCACCTCCCCTCACAGTGTGACCACCTCCCCTCACAGTGTGACTACCTCCCCTCAGTGTGACCACCTCCCCTCACAGTGTGACCATCTCTGCTCACAGTGTCACTACCTCCCCTCAGTGTGACCACCTCCCCTCACAGTGTGACCATCTCTGCTCATAGTGTCACTACCTCCCCTCAGTGTGACCTCCCCTCACAGTGTGACCACCTCCTCTCACAGTGTGACCACCTCCCCTTAGTGTGATCACCTCCCCTCACAGTGTGACTACCTCCCCTTAGTGTGACCTTCTCCCCTCTCACAGTGTGACCACCTTCCCCCTCACAGTGTGACCCCCTCCCCTCACAGTGTGACCATCTCTGCTCACAGTGTCACTACCTCCCCTCAGTGTGACCACCTCCCCTCACAGTGTGACCACCTCCCCTCACAGTGTGACCACCTCCCCTCAGTGTGACCACCTCCCCTCACAGTGTGACCACCTCCCCTCAGTGTGACCACCTCCCCTCACAGTGTGACCATCTCTGCTCACAGTGTCACTACCTCCCCTCAGTGTGACCACCTCCCCTCACAGTGTGACCATCTCTGCTCATAGTGTCACTACCTCCCCTCAGTGTGACCTCCCCTCACAGTGTGACCACCCCTCACAGTGTGACCACCTCCTCTCACAGTGTGACCACCTCCCCTTAGTGTGATCACCTCCCCTCACAGTGTGACTACCTCCCCTTAGTGTGACCTTCTCCCCTCTCACAGTGACCCCCTTCCCTCTCACAATGTGACCACCTCCCCTCACAGTGTGACCACCTCCCCTCACACAGTGTGACCACCTTCCCTCTCACAGTGTGACCACCTTCCCTCTCACAGTGTGACCACCTCCCCTCAGTGTGATCACCTCCCCTCTTGCAGTGTGACCATCTCCCCTCAGTGTGACCACCTCCCCTCTCACAGTGTGACCACTTCCCCTCAGTGTGACCACCTCCCCTCTCACAGTGTGACCACCTCCCCTCAGTGTGACCACCTCCTCTGACACAGTCTGACCACCTCCCCTCTCAGTGTGACCACATCCCCTCACAGTGTGATTACTTTTTCTCTCACAGTGTGACCACCTCCCCTGACACAGTGTGACCACCTCCCCTCTCAGCGTGACCACCTCCCTTTCACAGTATGATTACTTTTTCTCTCACAGTGTGACCACCTCCCCTCACACAGTGTGATCACTTTTTCTCTCACAATGTGACTACCTCCCTTCTCACAGTGTGACCACCTTCCCTCAGTGTGACTATCTCCCTTCACACAGTATGACCACCCCTTCCTCCCCTCATTACCCTTATGAATTCAACTTCTTTAGATTCCACATGTAAGTGAGATCGTGCAGTATTTACCTTTCTGTACCTGATTTTTTTTTTTTTTTTTTGAGACAAGGTCTCTCTCTGTCACCCAGACTGGAGTGCAGTGGTATGATCTTGGCTCACCACAACCTCTGCCTCCTGGGTGCAAGCAATTCTCCTGCCTCAGCCTCCTGAGTAGCTGGGATTACAGGTGCATACCACTACTGCCTGGCTAATTTTTGTATTTTTAGTACAGACGAGGTTTCACCATGTTTGCGAGGCTGCTCTTGAACTCCTGACCTCAAATGATCCACCTGCCTCAGCCTCCCAAAGTGCTGGGACTACAGGCCACCATGCCCGGCTGTACCCGAATTATTATACTTAGCATAAAGTCCTCCAGGTTCATTCATGTTGTTGAAAATGACAGAACAGAACTTCCTTTTTTTCAAGGCTGAATAGTATTCCATTGTGCATATATACCATAATTTCTTTATCCATTCATCTGTTGATGAACACTTAGGTTCATTTCATGTCCTGGCTATTTTGAATAAGCTGCAATAAGCATAGGAATGTAGATATTTCTTTGATACATTGATTTCATTTCTTTTGGATACATACCCAAAAGTGAGATTGCTGGATTATATGTAATTCTATTTTTAGTTTTCAGAGGAACCTCCATACTGTTTTCCAAAATGGCTGAACCAATCTATATTACCACCAACAGTGAACAAGAATTCCCTTTTCTCCACATCCTTGCCAACCTTTTATCTATAACAGCCATACTAACAAGGGTGAGGTGGTAGCTCACTGTGGTTTTAATTTCCATTTCCCTGATGATTCATGAGGTTGATCCTTTTTTAAATATATCTTTTGGTCACAGTAAGTCCTCGTAGCTTCCTGGAAACTGTAACTTTAAGCGAGATGACATATAACAAAACCAATTTTACCATAGGCTAATTGATAAGAACAAGAGTGAAGTTCCGACAGCATATTTCTGGTCACAAAAACATCATCAAACTTCTAAATAAAGATGAAAAACACTTCTAATATTAAACACTAAAATAATTGTGGGCTATGATACATTTAAGAAAGATTAACATAAACAAGTAAGGTAATTATTTACCGAGTTATTTCAGTTCCGGGTGGTAGGTTGCTGGAGCCTATCCCGGCAGCTCAGGGTACAAAGCAGGAACCCATGAACAGGACCCCTCCCATCACAGGGTACATTTCCATCCACACCTGCACCCACACTCACGCACACTGGGACCATTTAGACATGCCAATTAACCTTTTGTGTCTGGCTCTTTTCACTTAGCATAGTGTTTTGTTTTTTTCTGATCTTTGAACTCCAGTGTACCTGGTGAAAACCCACAATGCACACAGACATGGGCAGAACATGCAAACTCCACAGACAGTGGCCCGGGAATGACTTTGTTTTCCTCATCAATGTTACAACGAAAGGATGTTATTCAAGGACCTACTGTATGTCTTCTTTTGAGAAGTGTCTATTCAGGTCCTTTGCTTATGTTTATATCAGGTCATTTGTTTTCCTGTTAGTGAGTTGTTTCCTGTTAGTTAGTGAGTTAGTGAGTTATATAGTTGCCTGTATATTTTGGATATTAGCCAAAATTGGATATCATACATCAAATCAGATGTATGATTTGCAAATATTTTCTCCCAGTCTGTGGGCTGTCTCTTCACTCTGTTGTTTTCTTTGCTGTGCAGAAGCTTTTAAATTTGATGTAGACCCACTTGTCTGTTTTTGCTTTTGTTGCCTGTGCTTTTGGTGTCACATCCAAAAAAATCCTTTCTGAGACCAACGTCAAGAACTATTTCTCCTATGTTCTCTTCTAGAAGTTTTACAGTTTCCGGTCTTATGTTTAAGTCTTCACTCCATTTTGAATTGATTTTTGTGTATGGGCTGAGAGAAGAGTCCAATTTCATTCTTCTGCATGTGGAATGTTCCCATTTTCCCAATACCATTTATTGGAGGGACTGTCCTTTCCCCATTGTGTGTTCTTGGCACTTTTGTCAAAAATCAATTGCCTGTAAATGTGTAGGTTTATTTATGACTCTCTATCCTGTCCCACTGGTACATTTATCTGTTTTTATGGCAGTACCATGCTGATATGGTTTGGCTCTGTGTCCCCACCCAAATTTCATTTCAATTTGTAATCCCCACGTGTCTGTCGAAAGACAGAGGTGTTTGGATCATGGGGGCGAACTATGCTGAGAACTATGCTGTCCTCATGATAGTGGGTGTTCTCATGATAGTGGGTGTTCTCATGATAGTGGGGTGAACTATGCTGAGAACTATGCTGTTCTCATGATAGTGAGTGAGTTCTCATGAGATCTGATGGTTATAAGTGTTTGGAAGTTCCTCCTTTGCTCTTCTCATGCTCCTGCCACCTTGAGAAGAAGGTGCTTGCTTCCCCTTCCACCATGATTGTAAGTTTCCTGAGGCTTCCCCGGCCATATGGAACTGTGAGTCAATTAAACCTCTTTCCTTCGTAAATTACCCAGTCTCAGGGAAGTTCTTTATAACAGTGCGAAAATGGACTAATACACATGCTGTTTTGATTACTATGGTTTTGAAATATATTTTGAAATCAGGTAGTGTTATGCCTTCCGTTTTTTTTTTCTCAAGATTGTATTGGCTATTTGTGGGTCTTTTGTGGTTCCATATGATTTTTAAGATTGTCTTTTCTATTTCTGTGAAAAATGACATTGGCATTTTGATAGGAATTGCATTGAATCTGCAGATTGCTTTGGTTAGTATGGACATTTTAACAATATGAATTCTTCTAATCCATGAACACATGATATCTTTCCATTTATTTGTGTTGGCTTCAATTTTTTTCATCAATGTTTTATAGCTCTCAGTATAGAGATCTTTTAACTCATTGGTTAAAAACTCCTAAATATTTTTTTTGATGCTTTGTAAATGGAATTGCTTTCTTAATTTCTTTTTCAGATAGTTTATTGTTAGTGTATATAAACATTTTTTTTTTTTTCGAGACAGAGTCTCGCTCAGACTGGAGTACAGTGGCATGATCTCGGCTCACTGCAATCTCCGCCTCCTGGGTTCAAGAGATTCTCCTGCCTCAGCCTCCTGAGTAGCTGGGATTACAGGCACCCGCCACCACATCTGGCTAATTTTTTGTATTTTTAGTAGAGATGGGGTTTCACCATGTTGGCCAGGCTGGTCTTGAACTCCCGACCTCAGGTGATCTGCCCGCCTTGGCCTCTCAAGGTGCTGGGATTACAGGTGTGAGCCACCATGCCTAGCCAACACTACTGACTTTTGTATGTTGGTTTTGTATCCTGCAACTTTACTGAACTCACTTATCAGTTCCAAAAGTTTTTTGGTGGAGTCTTTAAGGATTTTATGTGTATAAGATCATGTCATCAGCAAACAGAGACAATTTCACCTCTTCCTTTCCTAGTTGGATGTGTTTATTTCTTCTTTTTCCCTGATTGCTCTGGCTAGGAATTCTGATCCTATGTTTAATAGAAGTGGCAAGAGTAGGCATCCTTGTCTTGTTCCTGATCTTAGAGGAAAAGCTTTCAACTTTTCACCACTGAGAATGACGTTAGCTGTGGGCTTGTCATATACGGCCTTTATTGTGTTCAGGAACATTCCTTTTATACCTAATTGTTGAGAGGTTTTTTATTTTCAATCATGAAAGGATGCAAATTTTGTCAAATGCTTTCTCTGCCTTCTAGCATAATGTTTTGAGGTTCATGTGCTTTGTATCAGTACCTCATTTCTCTTCATGGCTGAATACTATTCCATTGCGTGGCTAGACCACATTTGTTTATCCATTGATATGTTGATGGACATTTGGGTTGTTTCCTCCTTCTGGCTGTTCTAAACAGTGCTGCTTTGAATGTTCTTGTACAAGCAATCATTAGAATACCTCATTCAATTCTTTGTTTGTTTGTTTGTTTTGTTTTTTTGAGATGGAGTCTTGTTCTGTCACCCAGGTTGGAGTGCAGTGGTGTGATCTCGGCTCATTGCAACATCCACCTCCTGGGTTCAAGCGATTCTCCTGCCTCAGCCTCCCGAGTAGCTGGGACTACTGGTGTGCACTATCACGTCCGGCTAATTTTTGTATTTTTAGTAGAGATGTGGTTTCACCACGTTGGCCAGGCTGGTCTTGAACTCCTGACCTCAGATGATCTGCCCACCTCAGCCTCCCACAGTGCTGGGATTACAGGTGTGAACCACCACGTCTGGCCTCAATTCTTTTGGATATATATTTAGAAGTGCAGTTGCTGAGTCATATGGTAATTCTGTGTGTAACTTTCTGAGGAACCATCAAAACATTTTCTATAGCAGGTGTAATTTTATGTTCCCACCAGCAATTCAGTTCCCATTTTCCCCATATCTTCACTATTTCCCCCCTTGTTTTGTATTATAGCCATGCCAGTGGCTGTAAAGTGGTATCTCATTATGGTTCTGATTTGCATTTCCCTAATAATTGATGATGCTGAACATATTTTCATGTAAACAGGTTTACTTCTGGACTCTGAATTTTAGTCCATTGATCTATATATCTATTCTCATGCAAGTACCACACTGTCTTGGTTACTGTTGCTTTGTAGTAAGAAAATGTGAGTTCTTCAACTCTGTTCTTTTTTCCCTCCAGGATAGTTTTGGCTATTTGGAGTCCCTTCCATTTCCATAGGAACTTAGGACTTGCATTTCTTTTTAAAAATGCCCTTGGAATTTTGACAGGATTGTACTGAATTGTAGATTGTTTTGGGTGGTATTGCCATCCTAACAATATAAAGTCTTCAAATGCATGAACACAGATGTTGTCCCATTTATTTAGGTAGTCATTCACTTCTTTCAAAAATGTTTTGTAGTTTTCAGTGTGTAAGCCTTGCACTATTTTGGTTAAATTTGCTCCCAAGTATTTTATTCTTTTTAATGCTATTATAATAACTATAATTGTTTTCTTCATTTCATTTTCAAATTATTAAATGCTAATATGGTCTGGATGTTTTTTTCCCTTCAACTCTCATGCTGGAATGTGATCCCCAATGCTGGAAGTGGGACCTGGAGGAGGTGTTTGGGTCTTAGGGAGGATCCCTCATGAATGGCTTGCTGCTGTCCTCGTGGTAATGAGTGAGTTCTCACTCTGAGTTCATGCCAGATCTGGTTGTTTAAAAGAACTTGGCACCACTTCCCTCTCTCTTTTGCTCCCTGTCTTGCCATGTGATACACTGTCTCCCCCTTCACCTTCCATCATGACTGGAAATTTCCTGAGGCCCTCACCAGAAGCAGATGTCAGTACATGTACTTCATGTACAGCCTGCAGAACCATGAGCCAAATCTCTTTTCTTTATAAACTACCCAGTCTCAGGTGTTCTTCTAAAGCAATGCAAACAGATTAATACAACTGATAATGTAGACAATGGATTATTGTGTGTTGGTTTCATATTCTGCAACTTTGCTGATTTCATTTATTAGCTCTAATAGTTATTTTGTGGATTCTTTAGGACCACATCACCTGAGAATGGAGATAGTTTCACTTCTTCCTTTCCAGTGTGGATGTCTTTTATATCTTTTTCTTGCCTGATTGCTCTGGCTAGAACTTCCAAAACCATGCTGAATATAAGTGGTGAAAGCAGGCATCCTTGTCTTATTCCAGATCTCAGGGATAAGAATTCAGGTTTCAGTAATTCATTACTGAGTGTAATGTTATCTGTGGGTTTTTCATAAACATCCTTTGTCAGATTGGAGACATTCCCTTCTATTGACAGTTTGTTTTTTTTTTTTTTTAGTGTTTTTACCATAAGAATGTATTTGATTTTGTCAAATGCTTTTTCTGCACCAATTGAGATGATAGTGTTTTTTCCCCTTTGTTCTTTTTTTTTTTTTTTTTTTTTTGATACGGAGTCTTGCTCTATTGCCCAGGCTGTAGTGCAGTGGCACAATCTTGGCTCACTGCAACCTCTACCTCCTGGGTTCATGAGATTCTCCTGCCTCAGCCTTGTGAGTGGCTAAGATTACAGGTGTGTGCTACCATGCTTGGCTAATTTTTTTATATTTTTACCAGAGACAGGGTTTCATCATGTTGGTCAGGCTGGTCTCAAACTCCTGATCTCAAATGATCTGCCTGCCTTGGCCTTCCAAATTGCTGAGATTATAGGCGTGACCCACTGCACCCAGCCTCCCCTTTGTTCTATTAAAATGGTGTATTACATTGATTCATTTTTATATGTTGAACTACCCTTACATTCCTGGGGTAAATCTCACTCAGCTGGGTGTTTAGTCCTTTAATATGCTGCTGGATTTGGCTTGCTAATAATCTGCTGGCTATTTTTGCTTCTAAATTTAAAAGGGGTGTTGGTCTGTAAGTTTTCTTTTCTTGCAGTGTCTTTGTCTAGCTTTGGTATTAGGGTAATGCTGATCTCATTGAATAGTTCCAACCTCTTCTATGTTTTGGAAGAGTTCAAGAGAATTGGTGTTAATTCTTTAAATATTTGATAGAATTCACTAACGAAGCCATCCGGTCTTGGGCTTTTCTTTGTGTGAGGTTTTTGATTATTGATTCAAGGTCTTTACTTGTTATAGCTCTGTTGAGATTTTCTATTTCTTCTTGTGTCAGTTTTTAGTTTGTTCATTTTTTTTTTTTTTTTTTTTTGAGATGGCGTCTTGCTCTGTGGCCCAGGCTGGAGTGCAATGGCATGATCTCGGCTCACTGAAACCTCTGCCTCCCAGGTTCAAGCAATTCTCCTGCCTCAGCCTCCTGAGTAGCTGGGATTACAGATATGTGCCACCATGACGGGCTAATTTTTGTATTTTTGGTAGAGAAGGGGTTTCACCATGTTGGTCAGGTTGGTCTCGAACTCCTGACCTCGTGATCGGCCCACCTTGGCCTCCCAAAGTGCTGGGATTACAGGCGTGAGCCACTGCACCCAGCCTAGTTTGTTCATTTCTAATAATTTGACCATTTCATCTAGGTTATGTAATTGGTTGGCAAATAATTATTCATGGCATTTTCTCATAATCCTTTTTTATTTCCATAAGGTCGATAGTAATGTCCCCACTTGTATTTCTAACTTTAGTAATTTGAGTCTTTTTTCTTAGGCAGTCTAGCTAAAGGTTTATCAATTTGGTTGATCTTTCCAAAGAACTAACTTTTGGTTTTATTGATTTTCTCTATTTTCTTATTCTCTATTTCATTTATCTTTGTTCTAATCCTTATTATTTTCTTCTGCTGGCATTAGGCTTACTTTGGTTTTCTTTTTCTAGTTCCTCAAGTTATAAAATTAGGTTACTGATTTGAGTTCTTTTTATGTAGGCACTTATAGCTTTAAATTCTGCTTTCTTTGGATCTCATAAATGTTGGTATGTTGTATCTTAGTTTTCATTCATCTATTAGCATTTCTAATATCCCTTTTTTATTTCTTTTTTGACCCACTGGTTGCTTAAGAATGTGTTATTTAACTTCCACAAATTTGTGAATTTTTCCAATCTTCCTTCTGTTACTGATTTCCAGCTTCATTCTGTTGTGGTTGGAGAATATAATAATTTTAATCTGTTAAAATGTATTGACACTTGTTTTGTGGCCTAACATATGGCCTATCCTGGAGAATGTTCCGTGTGCACTTGAGAAGAATGTGCATTCTACTGTTGAACAGAGAATTTCATCCACGACTGTTGGGTCCACTTGGCTTATAGTGCTATTGAAGTCATCTATTTCCTTATTGATTTTCTGTCTGGTTGTTCTAGTCATTATTGAAAGTAAAATACAGAAGTCTGCATTATTGTTTTAGAACTATTTCTTCTTTCAATTCTGCTTTTATTAATATATTTTGGGGTTCTTTTGTTAAGTGAGTATATGGTTATAATTGTTATATCTTTCGTAAAGGATTTTGAAGGATCATTTTGACTGAATAAAATTTCACCTTGGTCAGTGATGCTGTGGCTTTGCCTGCAGCTAAATAATGCAGTGCCAGTGTTCCTCTCTTTACCTCCACAAGGGCATTTCAGATATCTTGGAATGAGTTTGCTTTTTAAAAATAAATGTTATGAAGATTTTTTTTTTTTTTTTTGAGACGGAGTTTTGCTCTTGTCGCCCAGGCTGGAGTGCAATGGCATGGTCTGGGCTCACTGCAACCTCTACCTCCCAGGTTCAAGCAAATCTCCTACCTCAGCCTCCCGGGTAGCTGGGACTACAGCCGCCCACCACCATGCCCAGCTAGTTTTTTGTATTTTTAGTAGAGACAGGGTTTCACCATGTTGGCCAGACTGGTCTCGAACTCCTGACCTCGGGCGATCCACCTGCCTCGGCCTCCCAAAGTGCTGGGATTACAGGCATAAGCCACAGAGTTTTGCTCTTGTCTCCCAGGCTGGACTAAAGTGGCACAATCGGCCGGGCGCGGTGGCTCACACCTGTAATCCCAGCACTTTGGGAGGCCGAGGCGGGTGGATCATGAGGTCAGGAGATCGAGACCATCCTGGCTAACAAGGTGAAACCCCGTCTCTACTAAAAATACAAAAAATTAGCCGGGCGCGGTGGCGGGCGCCTGTAGTCCCAGCTACTCGGGAGGCTGAGGCAGGAGAATGGCGTGAACCCGGGAAGTGGAGCTTGCAGTGAGCCGAGATTGCGCCACTGCAGTCCGCAGTCCGGCCTGGGCGACAGAGCGAGACTCCGTCTCAAAAAAAAAAAAAAAAAAAAAAAAAAAAAGTGGCACAATCTCAGCTAAATACAACCTCTGCCTCCTGAGTTCAAGAGATTCTCCTGCCTCAGCCTCCTGAGTAGCTGGGATTACAGGCACTTGCCATCATGCCTGGCTAATTTTTTGTATTTTTAGCAGAGATTGGGTTTCACCATGTTGGCCAGGCTAGTCTCGAACTCCTGACCTCAGGTGATCTGCCTGCCTTGTCCTCCCAGAGTGCTGGGATTACAAGCATGAGCCACTGCACCCGGCCCATGTTATAATGATTCTAATCTTCATAACAGATGACTTCTAACAATATTCATAGATAATAGATAGATAATGGTCTTTTCTTCCTTTCTTTACATGTGGAAGAAGAAAATTGATATACCAAGCTCTAGGATATGATAGTTAATGGGATTGAACTTGTATACTTCCCTGAAGACAAGGTAGAAGGTGAAATAAAATGGTTTACATCATTTGAATATTTTAAAAAAATTAATTTTAATTATTATGAGTACATAATAGTTGTGTATATTTATGGAGTACATGTGATATTTTGATACAGGCATACAATGTGTAATGATCAAATCAGGGTAAATGGAGTATCCATCACCTCAAGCATTTATCATTTTTTTGTGTTAGAAATATTCCAATTCCACTCTTTTAGTTATCTTAGAATATAAAATAAATTAGTGTTAACTATAGTCACCCTATTGTGCTACCAAATACTAGATCTTATTCATCCTATCTAACTGTATTTTTGTACCCATTAATCATCCCCACTTTATCCACCCACTTCTTGCCACCCTTCACAGCCTCTGGTATCCATCATTCTACTATCTCCAAGAGTTAAATTTTATTTTTTTTAAGCTCCCACACATGTGTGAGAATATACAATATTTGTCTTTCTGTGTCTGGGATATTTTACTTAACATAATGTCCTCTAGTTCCATCCATGTTGTTGCAAATGACAGGATTTCCTTATTTTTATGGCTAGGTACTATTCCATTGTGTATATAGACCACATTTTTTTTTTATCCATTCACTTGTTGGATGCTTAGGTTAATCCCCTATCTCGGCTATTGTGAGTAGTGCTGCAATAAACATGAGTGTGTAGGTATCCCTTCGATATACTGATTTCCTTTCTTTTGGATATATACCCAGCAGTGGGACTGGTGGGTCATATGGCAGCTTTATTTTTAGCTTGCTGAGGAAACTCCAGACTGTTCTCTACAGTGGCTATACTAATTTTCACTCCCACCAACAGTATGTGAGGGTTCCCCTTTCTCCACATCCTCGCCAGCATTTGTTACTGCCTGTCTTTTGGATAAAAGCCATTGTCACTGGGGTGAGATGATGTTTCACTGCAGTTTTGAGTTTTATTTCTCTGACGATTAGTGATGTTAAGCATTTTTCATATACCTGTTGGCCATTTGTACCTCATTTCAATATTTGAGAAAATAAATTATGATTATTCTTTAGTGCAGGCTATTCATTTTATTTTATTTTCCTAATACCAGACTCTTTGGTGAAATTCCTGTATATCTGATTGTGTGGCTGTCGTTTCCACAGCAGCCCTTCTCCACTGTCACCTCCACTGCTGCTCGTGGTGGTCAGCACTCACTGGGCCACTCTTCTGTGCCATCGCACACTTCCCCTCTGCTACTCCCCCACAGCTCTCTGAGGTGGGACGGCTGGCCACGGTTCTGCAGGAATGGGAGGGTCTGGCAGAGGCCACATTGCATAGTCCAGCTGAGCTAGGCAGACACCACTCTATGCATCACCACTTCCTGTGGCCTTTCCCATTTGACAAACGAAATGCTGCAAATAGAAAAATCCTCCAGTGGAGATTTTTTTCTTCCGGAGGTTTCATTTTCTGGAAATCTACAAGACCCACAAGAATGGCTGGAGGGCCTTTAGTGTGTCTTGGGCAAAGGTCCGTGGCCACTTCTGGTCTGCTGCCTGGGCCTGCTGTCCACACTGAGTTCATAAATGGGTCCACAGCAAATATCCGTACACAGGTAGAAGTTTGAGGGTATCTCAGTGAGTTGTATGAAACGTGGTGGATGCCTTGGGCTTGACAGTTTCCATGGCTTCCCTTTTAAGCTTTAAGACTAAAACCCCCTGGCTTTGTGCACAATGTTAACTGAAGAGCTCAGATCTGGGGTTAAGAAAGACGGAGGCACAGAGTTTTGATGGGATCACTTGGAAACGAAGGGCCCTTTACTGTAGGGGCAGTAGGAAGCTGCGGATGACATTCTGCAAGGAAGGAAGGTGTCTGAGGAGCTGAGCATTCAGTGAGCCCCAGCCTTACAACTCGGGTTCAGGTTTCCAGTTAGGTTGGCCTCCTGCAGCCCTGGGTTAAGTGTAGGGCTCTGTTTGGCCTGCAGCATCTTTAGTGGATTCCATTGCCACATGCACGCCTTCAGCAGCCTCTGACTTGGGCATTCAGCCACCCAGCCCTCCACTTCCCTCAGCTGCATTTACTTGCTGGATCCTAAGCCACTGCTGTTTGGTTTTAACTTTAAACCTCTGTTTCCCAATCTAAGCCTGCTTCAGATTAGGAAATGATTTACAGTTCCCAGCTGGACCCTGGGAGTGAAACTGAAAAGTGGGGGCACTGAGGAGAAGGTCCCAGGACACGCACTTCGGCCCTGTATGGTTCAGTAACCATGTTCCCAGCTTTGGGGTGAGACACCCCGGAGTGTGAAGCTTGCTGTGTTACCATGGAGCTGATTTAAAATCTCTAAGCTGGTCGGGCGCGATGGCTCACGCCTGTAATCCCAGCATTTTGGGAGGCCGAGGCGGGCGGATCACCTGAGGTCAGGAGTTCAAGACCAGCCTGGCCAATATGGTGCCCTGTCTCTCCAAAAATACAAAAATTAGCTGGGTGTGGTGGCGGGTGCCTGTAATCCCAGCTACTCGGGAGGCTGAGGCAGGAGAATCGCTTGAACCTGAGAGGCAGAGGTTGGAGTGAGCTGAGATCACGCCATTGCACTCCAGCCTGCACAACAGAGGGGGACTCCATCTCAAAAAAAAAACAAAAACAGAAACAAAAAACTCCAAAAACCCCTCTAAACTTCAGTTTCTTCACTGGGAAAGTCAAGATGATAACAGTGGCTTCTCCACTCTCCTTAAATCACAGCAAGAGCTGTGATTAAGTGGGGCACGCACTGGGAACAGGGTGCGCGCTCCCTAGCAGTGCCGTCCAATAAGGCGCGTGGGGGCTCCCAGGAGGAAGTGACAATGGAGATGTGGGAGTTGCCTATGTAGACGGTAACACGAGGTAGAAGCTAACCCAGGCCCCGGCACTTGGCTGAGTGAAGCAGGGTAGAGCCAGGCTGGAGATTCAACCACTCACTGAACACAGCTCTTAACGTTCCACAGTTCTGCTAGAGATTCTCATATTGAAAGAAATATTTTAACTTAAAGTTTCACAAATACCTCACTATTTATACCTTGGGGTCAAATTTCTTGCTGAGCGTGCAGCCCTTGGGCTACGCAGCCTAATGTCCAGTTAATTCTGTAGTATTTTGAGAAAGAAGTTCTGGTTATAAAAGGAGTGTGCTTTTGAGGCACACTGGATGGCTTCCCTGTACATCTTTAAAAGAACACACACACACATATGTTCCGCAAATGGCTGGCAAACACAGGCAGAAACTAAAGGAATGCAACGTTCGTTCTTGAGGGCAAGTAGATGCAACTCAGATTCAGTTTTCTGCCAGCACTCTGAGCTGATCAGAAAAATACAGTTCTTTAAAAAAAGGAAAAAGAAATTTGCCCCCTATAAAAAGATTTAAATAAAATCACTTCCCCTGAAATAACACAGTCTGCATTTACATGCTCCGCAGTTTGTTTATATGAGATACTGTTGTTTTAAAAAGTAAAACCATAAAATGGGAATGTAGGGAAAAGTCTAAATGATCAACAGCTATCAGCTGCTTATAATTTGCAAGGAATAATCCACATATCCATTAATCACTCTTACCTCCTTGGAGGCTAAGATTTGGCGTAACTCTTTCCTGAGATCAATAAAACGATCGTGGAACAGGGCCAGGCACCACGGCTCGGTGAAGTAGCTGGTAAGGAAAGAAGAGACTCAGTGAGCTGGCAACCCTCTCATTACCACTAATAAAGTATTTACCTGCTTTTTTGCCTTTATAAATTACAGTTCTGGCCTCATTGCAATCGTTTGCTCATAAAATGTCTTGTGGAACAGCCTGACCAATCAATTTTTTAAATGGATGTTCCTGCTGTAAGGCCAGGTCCCATAATTACATTTAAAGTGGTTTAATTCAGAGCTGGGGCAAGACCCAGTGAAGAATCCTGATTTTATCAGAATTTAAAAGCCTGAAGACTTGTAAAGAACGGTGTCTCCATTATCTGCCCTCGTTTGAGAAAAACAGATTGCAAGATTAACTGCTGCATAAATAAATTAAATTTGGGTAGACAATAACACAAATGTTGTTCATCATTAAGCTTTCTAGATTAATAATGGCCAGAAAAACAGGCTGCCTTTGTGCTGCAACATGCTGTTCGCACGGTTGCATCGACGCTTAATTGAATCTCTTGTAGGAGAGCTGCATTTTTTGGTGTTCATATTTGCTAACTTTTCACTGAAAGTTGAAATGCTTCCTTATATGGAGAACAATAAGATTATCCTTTATTTAACTGGAAAATTTGATGCATTTTTGGAATAACCAAGAACTCTTATTGGTATTTTAACTCTTACTTTAAGTGTCTTGGAACAGGGAACTTAACTGCTTCAGGGTCAAAGCCACGTCGCTCGGGTGGGCTTTGCTCTCCTCTGGATGTGAGCTAGCTGCCCTTATTACTGTTTATGGATGTTGTGTGTGCGCACAGGGGAAGGAAAAACCTGGTGCCCCCACGTGAATGGGCACCTTCCGTTTTCCAAGACGTAAAAGTTAGTTCTTAGGGATGGAGGTAAAGTGTCCCAGGGGCCACGGGGGCACTAGAGGACAGATACGACGCCGAGAGTCTGTGTTAGGGACAGCCTGGCACTCAGCAGTATCAGGCCTCACCCCACGCCCACTCGCTGGATCAGAACATGGCATCAGTTCCTGCTGACTTGCC
This sequence comes from Homo sapiens, assembly GCF_000001405.40. Taxonomy (NCBI): domain Eukaryota; kingdom Metazoa; phylum Chordata; class Mammalia; order Primates; family Hominidae; genus Homo; species Homo sapiens. The sequence goes on along the minus strand of NC_000020.11, from coordinate 20,340,815 downwards.
CGCGTTGCTGTTTAGGTGGTATGTTCATCCAGCTGTTAACACACTGTCTTTCCTCAGCGGCTGAAATCCCCCATGTTTGTTTCCATGGCACCATCGGAGCTCCCACCCCCTTGGTTTTGGGGGTCTACGGCCACCTCCGTCTGGTGGCGGAACCGCCTGCTCGCTGCTTTCCTCATTTCCAGTGCTGCCTGTTCCAACAGCCCAGGTGCTCTCGGGCCATGCTCCCTGCCCGGCGCCTTTAAACTCTGCTCTCTGTGTTGCCCGTCGGGGACCCTTCATCGTCTGCTTCAGAGAGGGAGTTCTGTGAAGTCCCACTTTCCTTGGGAACCCACTGTGGTCTGTCACGAGCTCTGGCCCTCCATCTAAACACCCAGGTTCCCACAGCCTTATCATGCAGAAGAGCGTCACTGCCCTAAAAAGCCCTCTGTGATCTGCCTACTCACCCTCTCTCCTTGCCTCCCTCTGAACCCCTGGCAAATTAACTTTGGAGGAACTTGAATTGTATTAGAGAAAATGGGGGCTGTGTAGCAATTTTTGTAAAACATTGAAAAAAATCCTAGTGTCCAGGTTTTATTTCAGAAATAGAGTGGTGTTCTCCCAACCACACAACAATACACATCACACTTGCCAGCAACTCTAAAGGGAATGGATTTGCGACTTGAGGCTGTGCACTCCAGGTGCCCATGATGGCTGGCCCAGGGCTGGGCCTCGGGGCCCAAGCTCCTGGCAGAGACCTGCATGGTGAGGGCAGGGCTCAGACCCGGCTGCTTTCCCCTATCCAAGGAGAACTTCAGCACCAGCTACAGGCTCCCAGGTGAAGGTGGCCAGGAGGAGTGAGGGTGTCTCGGATCTTGTGGGCTTCCTAAAATCATCCTACAGCAGCAGCATGGCAGCTTTCGTCATTCAAACTGGAAAAGCTCTGAATTTAACCAAACCTATTTTACAATTGATCGTAATGTTGAGTCAAATGAAGATGGTTTCCTTTTGATACAAGAATGTTAGGAAGAAATTCTGCTTTAAGAAAAGTTTTAGGAACCAGGTATGATGTGTCATGCCTACAATCCCAGCACTTTGGGAGGCCAAGGTAGGAGGATCACTTGAGACCAGGAGTTCAAGACCAGCCTGGATAACACAGTGAGACCCCCATCTCTACAAAGAATAAAAAATAAAAAAAAATTAGCCAGGTGTGGTGGTGACATATGCCTGTGGTCCCAGCTACTAGGGAGGCTGAGGTGGGAGGATCGCTTGAGCCCAGGAGTTCGAGGCTGCAGTGAGCTGTGATCACGCCACTGCACTCCAGCCTACTGCACTCCAGCCTAGGTGACAGAGTGAAACCCTGTCTCTAAAAAAATAAAAATAAAAGTTTTAGACCTCCCCCAGGTTGAACGATTTCTATGCTTTAGGCTCCTTCTGTATCCATAGGAAGGAGAGGGGCATCTTGGATCCTGGTGAAGCTTAGGGCCAGGTTTCTGCATTTTTGGCCGCCAGGTACTATGGTGCTATCAGCATTCGTGATGAGCTTTTGGGAAATTTGTATTTCCATGAATATTGTGAATTTTAAAAATAAAAAATATTAACTTTTTCCCCCAATTTATATTCAAAAGGGGAAGACTACTAGGAGCCATGAAGTAACCCACACAGCCTGCCGTCTAGAAATCTTCAGGAGAGAGGGCCAGGTATGCACATGGCTCCAACGTGCTTTTTAAGGGGCTGTGTGCACGTGGGCATCAATGCCACAAAAATCATTTTTGCACAGCTGGGAGAAAAAAGTTATACCTCTTCAAGACTGAAATAGAAGACATTACTGTCTCTGTTCATGCTGCCAATGGCCAGCCTGGTTTATCTGGGAGGACTTAAATTCCCCATCACTTCTGCAAGTAATACACTTTTCCAAGAAGCCCTGGGAGATTTTGACTTGCGGAACTGAATTAACCATTTCTGGTCGATATAGTCCGATCATTAAGCAATTGACTAGACGTCTCCAGAGGTCATCCTTGCCTGCTCATCCAGGCAGTTACATCGACAGACTCATGAACTGAGTGGGGATGTGAAGGCCGGCTTGGCCATTAGACACGCTGAAGGCTGAGGAAAGCTGATCAACATAACACACTGGGAGAAATTGTAGGAAAAAGTCCAACACATCTACGGGGAAAGAGAAGTGGTAAAGGTGTCCTTTAAAGGCCGGGATCTCAAGTCCAAGGCCAAGGCCTTCCTGGCCAGCAGGAAAGGAGTGCTGCGACTGCAGGTCTGCCCTTTCCAGCATTGGCACAGCGTGGCGGTCCGCGCTCAACTATGCACCAGGTGGCAAGGAGGAGGCGGGTGGCAGGGAAGAAACATATCACTTTTTCCAAGATTTTTTTTAACAAAAAGCATTCTAGTTTTCTCTTGGCATGAAAAAAAAGTGTCTACTTTTAGAGCTGTTCACAGGCTCCCCAGCTGACACTCACGCCTACAGAGAGGGCTGCTGGAAAGTCAGGAGGAGCCACTTTTCTCCAGGCAGGCAGCTGCCGCCAGGGAGGCCTGCGGGTTTCCTTAGAGAATGATGCTCTTGCTTGTATGTGTCTTTTCTGGCACGGTGGAGGGCAGACTGTTCTCCTTCTAAGATGCCTGCCCGAACGTCAAGCTCAGCCATGAGTGTCAATCTTGTGATGCCAGAGGATGGAGCATAGCTGGTGGGGCTTTCCTCTCTATGAAGCAGCCTGTGTCCTGTCTCCATTCAATACACAGAAGGCAGGCAGTGATAAATATCATGGTAGCAAACAGATACCCAAGGCCAGGTATGATATATGGACGCATCTACTTTGGCCTGAATGACATTTGGAATTTGGGTTTCAGGCCTTTCTTTGATGAGTCAGATTAGGCAATGCTGTGTCCTCATTTTCGTGTGGCAGCTGTCAGCTCAGTTGCCAGGGATGGCCTCCGTGGTTCGTCCTTGCTTTCCCACCAGTCTGGCCAGAATTGCTCCTCTCCATTGGTCACAGCAGGCATCTGGGTGTGCCAACCCTGGCAAGAGGTCTGGGTGAGAGGCAGGCAGGATTGTAAACACCTTTCCCAAAGCCCCTGTGCTCCATGACCTCTTCCATGGTGGGACGTCTGCTAAGAACACTAGAACCATGTCCTAGCTTTCTTTTTTATTCTATCCATCCATCCATCCATCCACCCACCCACCCATCTATCCATCCATCCATCCATCCACCCACCCACCCATCTATCCATCCATCCATCCACCCACATCTATCCATCCATCCATCCATCCATCCATCCATCCATCCACCCACCCATCTATCCATCCATCCATCCATCCATTTATCCATCCACCCATCTATCCATCCATCCATCCACCCACCCATCTATCCATCCATCCATCCACCCACCCATCTATCCATCTATCCATCCATCCATCCACCCACCCATCTATCCATCCATCCATCCATCCATCCATCCATCCATCCATCCATCCACCCACCCACCCATCTATCCATCCATCCATCCATCCATCCATCCATCCATCCATCCATCCATCTATCCATCCATCCATCCACCCACCCATTCTGTCCATCCATCCATCCATCCATGCATCCATCCTAACAGGTCTAGTGAGGCCTTCCTAAACCCTGTTTCCTTATTTCCAGTGGCTGCTTTCCTCTGGTCCTCTTCCTCTGCTGCATCACACCACCCCTCAACAAACATCCCTTCCTTCCCTATGCTTCCACGTAAACTTTTCTCCCTCTCTTCTCTGTCCCAGGTGTCTTCAGAGCTTCTGACATTAACGGTTGCAAGGAAGGAGAAGACCTAGGGTTCAATTCTTTGCCATGAATCGAATATGGCCCTCACGCCTGTGTCAAACATGTGAAGGGCACTGAGGGTACCATGGTGAGAGAAAGCCCCTGCCCCCAGAAATGCACACATGGTGGGTGGGGGTGGAGAATGTCAGAGCCACTTATGATGGCCTGGCATGGCAGGGCTGCAGAGGGGTGCACGCTGGGGAGGTGGGGGCTGGAGTGTGTTCCACAAGGCCTGGCACTGTGGCCCTCTTGACCTCACTTCTTTGTCCTCTCTGCAGCTTCATCCCTAGGCTACCTCTCTTGGGCTAGTGTTTGCCAAACTTCAGTCACTTGGGAATCAATCGTTTTCTGTGTGACTACATTACTGAATACTTCCAAATTTTCTTAAAATTTTTTTTTTTTTTTAGAGACAGGTTGTTGCTTTGTCACCCAGGCTGGAATACAGTGGCACAGTCATAGCTCGCTGCAGCCTCAAACTCCTGGGCTTAAGTGATCCTCCTGCCTCAGCCTCTCAAATAGCTGGGACTATAGGTGCACACCATCACACCTGCCTAATTTTCTATTTGGAATCTTTCAGAAACGGGGTCTTGCCATGTTGCCCAGGTTGGTCTCAAACTCCTAGCCTCAAGTAATCCTCCCAAGTAGCTAGAATTACAGGCACCAGGCCTGGCCCAAAATTTTCTTTACATTGATTTGTCTTTAAAAAAACTGAAATAATTACTTTTGTCTTGTCCTAAGTAATGATACCTATGAAATCACAGGTTTGATGTGCTCGTTATGTTTTATTCTAATTCCTGTTGGAACAAATCCATCATTAGTAAGATGTGGCTGTGCTGCCTGAGCTATCCTGCATACCACCTGGTGGGTGCTTGCTACACTCTGGGAGGCATCCTGTTCTATTATAGCTTCATGCTGGAGGCACACTTAGATTCATCTGGGGACACAAACCCACAGACTCTGTTGCACACCATTTCTGTGCATTATCTCATTTCATCCTAATTCTAATCCTAGAAAGTGGGACATGCTGGCCCATTTTACAGATGAAGACATAGATTCAGAGAGCTTAAATGAGTTGCCCAAGGTCACAGAGTTAATAAGTGGCTGAACTAGGTCCTACCCATAGTTCTGTGTAACCCATGCTCTGAACAACTGTGCAACCAAATCTTATTTCCTTATGCTTTTTCCCGAGTCTTTCTAGCAACTCTCTTAATCACCCCAGTTTCCCAAGTATCCCCTACATTAGCTAGGATTAGATATGATTGAAATTACAGAAAGTTTCAAAGTAACTGTGGCTTTCAAAAGGCAGAAGTGTACTTTTTTCAGGTAGAGAAGGTCTAGATGGGGAGTCTAGGGCTGCCAGGGTGGTTCCATGGACATCAGAGCAGAGTACATTCATAGGGGCCTTGGCCTCATGATTCAAAATGGCTGCTGAGCTCCAGCCATCACATATATGTTCTGGGATGAAGTATGGGAAAAAGAGGACTCATCTCCTTTCTTCTAAGGAGAGTTCCTGGAAGTTTCACAAAGCACTTCCATTTATATCTTATTGGCCAATAGTTGGCCATATGGCTTTCTTGGTTGCATGGGAGGCTGGGAACCACTGTCATTTATTTTAGATATGATGTACTTCCTTATAAATCAGAATTCTGTTCCTGAAGGGGAAAGAGAGAATGGATGTTTTATCAGCTGTGATACCCCGAAGACTCTACAGCATCTACTTTTAACAAAAATCTTTTCTTAAATTTATGAAAATTGGGAGATGTTTTTGGTTGAGGTTTCCAGAGCTAGAACATGTTTATCACTCTAGACTCCAACTACTCCAAAACCGAACACTCTGGGGAAAAAAACCCACAGAATATTTTCCATGTGTGACTTCTACCTCCAAGCCAGTGGGAAACTCCCTGTATCCTCAGAGTCCTACATGTTCCCATCTGGCCCGACCTGGCTTAACTGCAGAGAACAGGCACAATTTGCATTCACACTGTCAGGTAGGGTTATGATCATTTTATTCTACTCATGAAAGAATGTAAATTCATGCATTTCAGTACAATTTTCAAAAATAAGAATAGGAACAAGTAAGTATTTCTAGTTATTCCTGGGTTTGCTTGGAAATGAGACCCCATGACACGAGCAGACACAGCCCTGATGCCCTGCAACAAAAAATCCCAAAGACTGAGATGGAAATCGGACTGAATATTTCCTTGAGTTCAGCCTGAGTTTGCAAGAATCCGTATCTAGTCAATTTTTTGATTGCTTTGAGGCAGATCTAGAAAGGTAAGATTAATGATTTTGAAAGCAAAACCAACTAGTTCTTTGATGACCAGTTGTAATTGTCACATGCTATGATTTACATAACCGAAAGAGCAGCAGCCTCGAAATATAATTTGGCTGTGGTCTCATTGTCACAATGCAGAGCTGGCCTCAGATGTTTCCTGCTCTGCAGAAAAACGGCTTACAATTCATTGGCACTAAGACTGAAATTCTAATTTTCAGCAGAAATCAGCTATTTTCTGAATGGCTTGTAAAATTCCTCTCTCTTAATGCTACAGAGCACTGTTTTGCCAATGATCCTGGTTTACCTGGGAATTCAGAGGCTAACACTATGGCCACACACAGCGGCTTATGCCTGTAATGCCAGCACTTTGGGAGGCCGAGGCAGGCGGATCACTTGAGGTCAGGAGTTCGAGACCAGCCTGGCCAAGATGGCGAAACCCCGTCTCTACAAAAAATACAAAAATTAGCAGGGTGTGGTGGTGCATGCCTGTAGTACCAGCTACTTGGGAGGCTGAGGCAGGAGAATTGCTTGAATCCGGGAGGCAGAGGTTGCAGTGAGCTGAGATTGTGCCACTGCTCTCTAGCCTGGGCGACAGAGCGAGACTTTGTCTCAAAAAAAAAAGAAGAAGTTAACATTGCTTAAAACTAGGTGCCTCCCACACCCTGGGCTCCCTTGCCTGGCAGCACTGGTGCTGGGAGGCACTGCTTTGCAAGGCTTTCTCTGCTCCAAGTGCATGGTTTGCCTCTGCTGGAGGCCACTGGGACCAGCATGATGTGTGTTGTCTGTGAGCTGAACACCCAGAGCTGTCTCGGAGGGAAATCCTGACCAGCCCACAGGCCCCACGACCTCCCCTGACGAGGGAGGGAGGCTGAGCTCTCTTGCAAGCACAAGTTTTCCTTTAGGTCCTTTGATGTCTATAAGAACATGGAATCTGACCTTCTGTGCCTTCATCAGGTCACATTTGCTCTGGACGGGACCAGAAATTCCCTGCCACCCTTGCAACCAGAGTCTTAGTTTTCAGAATGTTGAAGAATTACCTGAAGGATCTGTCTGCTGTCCATTTGTTTTTCTGAATCCCAGACACTCAGCCCGGGAACAGCTTAGAAGATGGAATATGTTAATTCATGAATTACGAATCTAGCCAGTGCTAACATTTCTCTCCTTGCTCTGATCTCTAAGGAGTGGGAAGCCACACATATGGGCTGAGTTGGTGATCCATTCTCAGGATGCAAGTTGACTAAACAAAGACCGATGCTTGCGTTGGTGGTCTCTCCATCTCAGCTCAGATTCGTGTTGCTGACCTGGCCTCAGTTTCCCATTTACTAATGTCCTTTTTCTTTTTACCCCAGCTCTGCCACTTGTCAGCTTATGTAATCTGGAGCTAGTTAGCGTTAGTCTCTCTTAGTCTCAGTCTTCTTAGCTGTAAAACGGGGATAATGATGGTCCTTTGTTCCAAGAGTTACTATCCGAATTCAAGGAGACACTCCAGGTAAAAGATGTGGCATTATGCCTGGCACAGGGGAGAGGCTCCGTATCAATGATTATTACTGCTATTGTTCTTAATTATCCTATTGCATATGTTTGTGTAGGCTGCTTCACATCCTTTCTGGTGTGAATTAGAAACTAAAATATTAAAATACTTTTTTGTTTGCTGCTTAATTCAAAGAAAGTCTTTCTTTGGCATAACTGCAGTTTTTCTCCTCAGGGAATGCTTTTCCTCCATTTGAAAGTACTGCATAAATTAATTTGCCTGCCATTTTATAGAGCAATAAAGGTAAGAGGACATCGTAACTAGCTTTCTTGAAGTTTTGTCTTTCACTAAAGAATTATGTGGAAATGGGCCAGGTACATTGGCTCATGCCTGTAATCTCAGTGCTGTGGGAAGCTGAAGTGGGAGGATTGAGGACAGGAGCTTGAGACCAGTCTGGGCAACATAGGGAGACGCTTGTCTCTACAAAAATTAAAAAATAAAAATTAGCTGGACGTGGTGGTGCGTGCCTGTAGTCCTAGCTATTTGGGAGGCAGAGGCAGGAGGATCACTTGAGCCCGAGTTTGAGGCTGTAGTGAGCTATGATCATGCCACAGAACTCAAGCCTGGGCAACAAAGTGAGACCTTTTTTAATTTAAAAAAGAATTCTGTGGAAACAAATAAAAATTGCATGGAAATTGTTAAACTGAGGCCTTACTTTTTTTGTGTCTGAATTGATGAAAATTAAATGCAAACTGTCCAAATGGAGTTATTTCTTTGCTGTTTTGCCTGCTTACTACACTGGGTGAGCCAAGTAAATCAAAATAGTTAAACCAGTTGTTCACTGAACATATTGAGATGGCAGTTGGGAAAAGTGGCCCCGGAATTAAGGCCCAGGCATTCTAAAGCCCAAGCAGGCTGAATTTTCTTCTGACCTGTCTGACTTTTGGTCTTACTTGCCAGAGCGAACCAGTTTTCTTGTAGAAATAGCATAATGTTTAGACACTTAAGAATTTTGTTTCTATTTAAGTTTATCCTGAAAGCACAGCCGCGGGTCATTCACACACTTTGCCATGGTGGGAAGCTGGGTTTGGCAGTGCCTTACAGCAATGTCTGCCGTCAGGGTACAGGACTGAGTCTTAGTGCTCTGCCTCTTCCCTTTTAGTCCATCTACAGTATTTGTTTGCACATTGCTGGTTTCTTAGGGGCTGCACTAATTGAATTTGCACAATAAATCTAGTGCCCTGGAAGTTGGCCAGCTATTTACATTGATTTGTTATATAAGTTCAGCACTAATAGTATGAGGCAAGGTTAGCATTTAATTCTGCAGAAAAGGGGAAGCTCTTAGTGCTTCAGCTTCCCTTCCTGTGCCTGTCTGCTCTCATTCTGCTTCTCTCTTCATAGAGAGCACAACCATTTTCCTTTAATTAGGCTGCAGAGAGCCCAGGCCAGCATTAGGCCAGGCGGCCACTCAGCCTCACTCACAATCATGCCCATTTCCTATCTATTTTCTGTAGGAAAAGAAAAAAAAAAGTGTATATGTGCACATATAAACCCCCACGAGTCAGGGGGACAAAGGAGCAAGAGAGAATGACCTTTTGTGAGGCTGAGGCTGCAAGAACTAGCAAACTCCATAGAGCAAGATATTTCACTCCCTTATTATTCCTTTGGTTAAAGTAATGGCTCTTTAAATTCTGAACAAGTGCTCAGTAGAAATATCATTGACCAGGACAGAACACACACACCATGTTTGAAATGTGTTTAAAATAATTTTAAAAATAAATAATGAATACATGTTAAAAATAATTCTCTTTCAGCAAATAGGCTTTTCTAATTAATGTGTTCCTTTTTTTTTTTTTCTAAAGCTTTTACAGAGAGAATAATAAACCACAAACTGTTTCTTCACTTTTTTTTGTCACTCTTAGGATTTCAGGGTTGTGGTTTCCAAAAATCAAGCATGAAAATTTAACTAACATATTCCTAGTTCATATCTCACCAAAACACAATAAGAGGGTAATGGATTACAACCCACAGAAGAGTGCAGGAATCCTTAAGTCCACAATGATAAAGATGAATGAATGAGTAAATAAACGGAGGAGAAGGGACAATTCTTCCTTACAGTAGGATGCTAAGTAATAAATATGTAAGAATTATGGAAGTAGAAAAATCACCATTTGGTAAACAGTGCAGTAATAGTTATTTCAGCCAAGAATTGTCCATGGAGTCTAAAATTTGTAGAAGAAATTATGAGACATAAGGTATTTATATAGTCTCAAAGTATCACTAATTAGTTATGAAGGTAAAAATACCTGTATAAATAATCTCAAAGTAGCAGCTTTCCAGGGGAAGAAACCTGCAGCCTCCATTCTAACCAAGTGATCACAGTTAACAAAACTGCTGGGATCCAGCTCACCAGCTGGTGAAGGACACTTCACTCTGAGAGAGGACATTCTCTTGAATTCCTCACAAGGTATCAGAGCCCCATTTTTTTAGAGCTGGGAGGGATAAGAGATTACAGATTTTGGCAACCTTCTTGTTCTACAGGTAGGAAAACAGAGGCCCACCGCTGCACCTGCTGAAGCCCCCATGGTCTGGTCCAGGAGCCATGAGCCACCAGCGGCTTCTGAGCACTTAAAATGTGGCTGGTCTGGGCCAGGTGTGGTGGCTCACACCTGTTAATACTAGCACTTTGGGTGGCTGAGGCAGGCGGATCACTTGAGGTCAGGAGTTCGAGACCAGCCTGGGCAACATGGTGAAACCCTGTCTCTACAAAAAAATACAAAAATTAGCTGGGTGGGGTGTCACATGCCTGTAATCCCAACTACTCAGGAGACTGAGGTGGGAGGATCACTGGAGCCTGGGAGGCAGAGGTTGCAGTGAGCTGAGATGGCGCCATGCACTCCAGTCTGGGTGACAGAGTGAGACCCTGTCACAAAACAAACAAACAAACAAAAAACGGCTAGTCTGAATTGAGATGTACCTCCTGTATAAAATACACACTGAATTTTGAAGATAATGCAACAAAAATGTAAAATAGCTTATTACTGTTTTTGTATTGACTAAATGTGGAAATGACAATAGTTTTGGATATCTTGGGTTAAATATAATATATTATTAAATTAATTTTCTCTGTTTCTTTTTATGTTTTTAATGTGACCACTAAAAAGGGTACAATTTTGTATGTGGCTTCTGTTATATTTCTACTGGACATCACTGGTCTAGATAGAAAGGTGAAGAAAGTGAGTCTGTTGACCGCCTCCTGTGAGCATCATTTCAAATGCAAGGATGAATGTGCAGTGGGCCCAGCATCCAGAGGTGCTCTGACAGCAAGAGATGACGGACATGTAAAGAGAACCACAATACGGTACAATACTGTGGGATGATGGCTGCACTAGAGCAGGCGGGAGCTCCGCCATCACTTACAGGCGCTGCGTACAGAGGCACGGGGAGGATCTACTGAAGCACTGGAGAAGGAGTCGGTGTTTGCAAGGGAAACCAGGCCCGGGAAAGCGTGGAGGCACAAAGCAGGCAGGGCCTGCTGGGAATGACAGGTGGTTTGACTGCTCTAACGTCCAGTCGGATGCAAGGTGGGGGGCAGTGGGCGGGGCAGACTCTAAATGCTTGTGTATGGGGCTTGGACTTTATCTCCCAAGTGATGGAAAGCCATGGGAAGGCTTTAAACAAGTGAGTGCTGTGGACATCCTATTTATGGTTCAGAACAGGTGCTCTGGAAGCCATGTTGAGGCTACACTGGACAGGGTATGGCCGGAAGCAAAGGGGCCCTGCTAAATGCAGCTGCAATGGCAGCAGATGACTGGAGACACATTTAGGAGGTGAGGGAGAAGCGAGTGAAGGAAAAAGATCTGCAGATATTCCCAGGCCCTGGCTCAGAGGTGCAGGGAAGCAGGAGCACAGGACAGAGAGGTGAACAGGGGCAAAGGACAAGGAATGAGTCCATTCCTTTTTTAAAGTGGAGACAGAAGTGCCTGCAGAAGTCCAAAGTGGGAATGTCCAGTTGGCCAGACTGACCCTAGCACAGATGGAGCTGGATAAGGGCCCCAAGAGACAGGTTTGGTTCAAGGAAGAGATGACAAGACGGTTGATGGCAATCCCAGGGAAATCGCAGTATGTCCTGAGGGGTGGTGGGATCAGGGGGGCAGTGAGGGACACTTGAGTAAAGTGTCAGCAGAAGAAATGACAAGGAACACAGGGAGAGGGAGCAAAAGGTTGATTCCTACCAGCCAAAAACCACCAGGAACCTGGCGTGTAAACAAAGTCAGGTTTATTCAGCTGACTGCAGTAGGAAGAGTAAGGTCCCAAGGGGTTTCTTGATAAGAAGGAGTTGAGAGGATCTTGAGACCGGATTTGGGCTGGTGCCCAACCTCCACACCCCGACAACGCTTGTTAGCTCCTGTTATTTCAGAGAGCAGCCATCCTATCGGGTACGAGGTGACATCTCATTCCGATTTTGATTTGCATTTCCCCGTTAAGTAGTCACGTCTAACACCTTTTCATGTACTTCCCAGCCGTCTATATGTCTTCTTTGAAAAATTGTCTATTTGGGTCTTTGGCCCACTTTTAATTGGGTTATTTATTTTTTCTATTGAGTTATATGACTTCATTATATATTTTGGATATTAACCCCCTATCAGAAGTATGGTTTGCAAATACTTTCTCTCATTTCATAGGTTGCCTTTTTTTTTGAAATTGTTTCCTTTGTTGTGCAGAAGCTTTTTAGTTTGATGTAGACCCACTTGTTTATTTTTGCTTTTGTTGCCTGTGCTTTTGGTTTCATATCACAAAAGTCAAGGCCAAGGCCAATGTCAAGGAGCTGTTCCTCTTTGTTTTCTTCTAGGAGTTTGGCCTTGTTAAGTTTGAGAGTCAAGTAAGCAGTTGTATATATCACCAGAGCTTAGAAGCAAGTCTTGCACACACTGCCTCTAAAATACATCTGAAATATGACCATCCAAAGTACCATCTCTCACCTGGGGTATGGCTGTGTCTCCCTAACAGCTCCATTCCCCATATAGCATATGGGGAATGTTTAAAACATGAATTGGCATGTTGCTACCCTTCATGCTTTGAAACAACGATCCCAAGTCCAAACCTCCACATGATCTACATGATCCAGCTCTTCTGACCTTCTCTCACTGTGCTACAGCCACGCTGGCCTTCTTTTTATTCCTCAAACATCCTGTACTTAGTTACTTATCAAAGCGAAGCAGCACTGAAACCAGCCTGCACAACCACAGCTGGCGCTTCCGCATGGATTCTGACTGGAGAGAAGAGCAGTGCCTGAAAGCAAGGGGTGTTGACGCCCAAGACTGTGGGTGCTCACCCGGGGCAGATGAGTGCTGACATCATTATGAGTGATCACCCAGCAATTCATGTTACTCATGGATATGATCTACTGGGAAGAAAGATTTGCAAGAAATCCTGTGATAGGGACTTTGAGGGACCTCAAAGCCTCCTGTTTCTTCTGTTTTTTTTTTTTTTTTTTTTTTTTTTTTGACAGGCTCTTGCTCTGTTGCCCAGGCTGGAATGCATTTCTTTTCTTCCAGGAAATCACCTTCTCTAGGATTGGGTAGATAGCTCCACTTCCTCTTGGGGAAGATCTTGATTATGTCATAACATAAACATAACTAAAATAATGTTTCTCTTACCTAAAGCTGAAGGTAATGGCAGTCCAAAGATACAAACATGTGACCTTAGCCCAAAGAGAGTCTCTTAAACAATCAAAATGAGAGCTCATGCCAGCCATTTTGGAAACATATTACATAATGTGAGTTACATTTATATTTTTTAGAGACATTTCAGTTTAATTTTTCTGAGGGAAGAAAGATAATAAGAAGGTGCATTAATGTTCCTAATTCATGAAATATGCACTGGCCTTCGAAGTTCCTGATTTAGTTTCTCTTTAAAAAATTACTTGTTCATTGTCTCTTTCCCATAAAAGGCAAGAAGAGGACAAGGGTGGGCACTATCTCCACTACCATTTAATATTGTACATGTAATTCCAGGCAATTCAATAAAATAAGAAAAATAAATAGAAAGTAGAAGTATTGGAGAGGAAAGAAAAAAGGTGCTGTTATTGTAACTGATAATCATCTGTCAAAGAAATTCCAAGATAATCTAATAAAATATGCTTAAACAAAAAAGAGACTTCAACACAAGAGCAACATACAAAACCCACATCTTTCCCAACTACCAATATCTTTTTTAAAATCAGAAAATGTAATGAAACAAAAAGATTCCATCTACAGCAGCAACAAAACTATAAAAATACTAAAATAAACTTAAATATAAATGTGCAAGCTCTATGAAAAAAAACCTATCAGAGTTCATGGAAGAAAATTTAAAAAGACCTGAATGGTAATATTCCATTTTATAAATGTACCCCAAATTAACCTGTAACTTCAATTCAGACTCAGTTAAAATTCCAAAAATAATTTTTATAAAGTTGGACATGATAATACATTCGGAAAGAATAGCTAAGAAGACTACACATTAAAGATATCAAGCCAACTTATAATGTCTCAATCATTACAACAGCATGGAAGAGTACAGAAACAGACAAAATGGAGCAAAGAAACAGGGTAGGAAATTCAGAAACTGAATTCTCTGTAGAAAAAGATTTTGGCTCAGTGTATGATAATGGTAGTATTTCAATTACATAGGAAAAAACATGAATTATTTAGAAAGAGTTGTTGGGAAAATTATCTCTACACTTGGAAACAGTAAAATTAAATTCTTATATTACACCACACACAATCACACACACAGTTTTCCAGATGAATTAAAGATGTCAATGTAAAACAAAGCTACGAAAGTGATAGAAGAAAATAGGAGCATATTTTACAATTTCCAGGTGGAGAAAATTTCCTAAGTAGGAGACAGAATTCAAAAAGAAGAATTTTGTTATTCTTCTTTGTTAGAGACGGTTTGATTATGTAAAAATTCCAACCTTTATAAAAAAAGATATCAAAAACAAATAATAAAAGTGAATAAAAAGACAAGCCACAAACTGGGAGAAAATCTTTGCAAAACACATATCCAATAAAGGAATAGTAAACCAAATACACAAAGAGCTCTTAAAATTCAACAGTAGGAAAACAGACATCCAAATTTAAAAATGGGCAAAAGAGCTGGACACGTCACCAAAGAAGACATAGAGATAGCAAGCAAGCATTTGAGTTGGGCATGACAGCATGTCCCTGTAATCCCAGCCACACAGGAGGATGGTTTGAGCCCAGGAATTTGAGACCAGCATGGACAACTTAGTGAGACCTGTTAAAAATATATATACATTTTAAATTTATTGATCCCAAAATGGTCAATATGGTAAGTCACTAGGGAATTTCAAATTAAAAACAACAATGGGTATGGCTAAAATCTAAAACATTAACAACACCAAATGCTGACATGGATGTGGAACAACAGGAGCTCTCATTCATTGCTGGTGGAAATACAAAATGGTGTATAGCTACTTTGGAAGACAGTTCGGTGGTTTCTTACAAAAACTAAACACTCTTACCACATCATCCAAAATTGTGTTCCTTGGTATAGTCCCAAAAGAGTTGAAAACTTATGCCCATACAAAAACTTGTACATGTTACAGCAGTTTTATTCATAATTGCCAAAACTTGGAACCACCAATATATATTTTAGTAGGTGAACAGATAAACAAACTGTGGTATATCCAGACAATGGAATATTATTCAGTGCTAAAAAGACATGGAGGAACCTTAAAAGCATATTACTAAGTGAAAAAAGCCAGTCCGAAAGGACTACATACATACTGAATGATTCCAACATATGATATTCTGGAAAAGGTAAAACTACGGAGACAGTAATAAAATGAGCGGTTGCCAGAAGCTTGTGGGGGAGGCAGGAGGAAGGCACGAGTAGGCACAGCACAGAGGATTTCCAGGCATGGAAAGGCGTTCTGTTTCACACTGTAAGGTGGGTACATGTCAGTATACATTTGTCAACACTAACAGAATGTGCAACATCAAGAATGAACCCTAATGTAAACTATGAACTTTAGTTAATAATAATGTATCAATATTGTTTCATCAGTTGTATCAAATAGACCACACTAAAGATGTAAATAATAGTAGAAACTGTGTAAGTGGCTGGGGGTGGAGGAGGGTATGTGGGAGCTCTGTACTTTCTTCTTACAGAGAGGAGGTCTTGCTTTGTTGCCCAGGCTGGTCTCAAACTCCTGGCCTTAAAGGAACTCTGTACTTTCTGATCATTTTCTTCTGTAAACCTAGAACTGCCCTAAAAATGTCTATTAATTTTAAAGACAGGCTGTAAAATATTTGCAATGTACATAATAAGGATTACTAGTCTTTAAATATAATAAATTCTCATAAATGAAAAAGAAACAGGCAACCTAATTAAAAATGGGCAAAGAATGACACGCAATTCACAGAAGAATAAATACAAATGACTAATAAACCTATGAAAAGATTCAGTGGACACTGAAGAGAGGCAAGTTGAAAGTACAATGAGAGATACACTTCCCACTCTTTCTTCCTCCTGCAGAATATATCCAGTGTTCATGAGCATGGGGAGAAAAAAGCTCTCTTCTGTCCTGTTAGTGGGAATAACCTTTTTTGAAGATAATTTAAAATAATATCTTGATCAAAATGTAAATGTATATACCCACTGATCCAGAAATCCCATTCATGCACACAGAGATATATGTTCAGTGGTAACATTATATACAATGCCAGGACAAACTTGAAAATAACCTAAATGTTCATTAGTAGAAAAATCATTAAGTAAATTGGGATTTAGCTATTCCATGAAAGATAAAAAAGCCATTAAAAAGAGTGAGAACTATGTGTACTGACATGGAAAGAACTTCAATATTTATACAGATTCTTAAGTGAAAAAACTAGAAGGAAATAGGTACAGTATAATCCCATTTGAGAAACACATATTCACAAACTGAGACTGCGGTCAGTGTTGGCCAGAGGAGTGGGACTGAGCGGAGGGAGAAAAGTTCAGTTGGGTGGTGGTAATTTTTTTTTAACAGCCATGTACAATTTTCTATCTTTCCTACTTAATCTTAAGCTCTGTGAAGGAAGAGGGCACGTCTCAATGGCTGTGTTTCAAGTAAGCAGCACACTATTGTTCAATAAAAATACATTGAATGCATAAGAATTGAGAATATTAAAACAATTTTAATGGAAATAATCAAGGATACGCCAAAAAGATGTATCATCAAGAATGTTTATTGCAGGGTTAATTATGAAAACAAAAAGTTAAGAGCAGCCCAGTTAATTAAGTAAGGCACGTTGGTATGGTAGAACTCTATCCAGTCGTTAAAAAATAACGCCATTAAAATAGAATCTCAAGAAATGGGAACATGTTCAGAATATGCTGAGAAGCTAAAATAGCAAGCTGCAAATCAGCACGTGAAATATTGTTTATATATACATTGTATATTTAGAGAAAAATATGAAAGGACACACACCAAAAAAATTAACAATTGGTTTCTTTGCAATTCTTTATTTCATACCCCCGCCACAACCCCCATGTTGGGCTCTGCAATGATCATGTACTACTTTTATAAATAGAAAACAAGACTTTATTTAAAAAAACCTCTAGAAATTTAGCTCTGCAGTTTAGGTTTTTACATGGCTTCTTTCTAGGTGCCTCTAGGTGCAGCCCTTGGCTTTTGGATACTGGCTCTGTGCATTCCATTCGTTATTAATACAACTTGTCTGTTTACATCTTAGCCATCAATACTCTTCAACTTCTGTCTATCTGCTGAACTGAGACTTTCACGTGCTAAAAATAATAAAGAACATTTTCAGCAATCATATGTTAACTCTTGGGAAGAGAATTCTCTTTTTTAAGAGATGGGTCTATTATTTGGTTTCTGGGCATTTGAATTCCATACTTGCTTTTAGGAACAAATTGTGTTTGAAAGTAGGGGACTGTCTGTATTTCTTACTCTCTTTTGAAGGCCTGAAAATTTAGGGTTGTTTGTTGTCCTTTTTTAGAAAAATCGAAGACGAAGGCTGAATAACTTCTCCAGTGCCTTTCATGCCCATGCTGAATGAGATCCGTTTATTCCATGGGGCCCTCTTTAAAGGTATACTGGCTCAAACTAGAATCCTCGCCTAGCTGAGCCTTGGCGGGAAGAAGTTGAAGTCGAGTGGCAGAGTAGCTCACAGGTATGGGGCTAGGCCCCAGGGCAGCAGTGCTTTGTCTAAGAACAGTGATCACAAAGTCAGAGCTGCATAATCTCATCATGAAGGGCCATCTGACATTATTGAAAACAAAGTCATTATTATGATAACTTTAACAGTCTCAACCCTGGAAACCACTCACAGTCTAATTCAATAAATAAGCTACTTAAGTATAGAAAGTCACAAGGAAGAACAGATTTTGTGTCATATTAGTAAATTTGATTTTCATTAATGCAAGATGAATGTCTTCTATGAAACACTTTCCTACCATATTAATAACATGATAGCAAACAGCATTCACAGGTTGCTAGGCAACACGAGGACCCTCTAATGATCTCTTCTGTTCTCGAGAGGCCACAGAAGGAAGATGCCAGAACTCTGAGGGTAGTTCCCATTTCTTGGTAACTGTTTCTGCTGGAAGACCACCATGGGACTGGAAGGGAAGGGAGTTAATGATACCATTTACCACGGCAAATATATACCACTTCCCTCTTTCCTCCTTTACACTGGCTTACTATGTGGGAGAACAAGAATTGAGAAGGGGGCTTAGATACAGGAGGTCAAGAGTTCTCAGTCCATACCTCCTTTCCTGCACCCAGATAGGCAACAGGCTGCTGTGAAATCAGGCTCAGAAATGGAGTGAAGGCCTTGAGGTTTGTTGGAATCCGCTCAACCCCCTGCCATCCCTCTCTCTTTGTGGGGGTAGGCCCCCAACAGTCATGTTGGGACTTCATGTCAGGAAACAGGGAACGTCATTTGATCCGAGCATTTCAGTTATGTATTAATGTGCAACAACCACTCCAAAACTCAGTAGCATAGAGCAACAGCCATTTTATTATGCTTACGATCACTTGGCTCTGCTCCATGATGACAGGGGTATCAGATGGAACAATGAGTGACTGGGGGCCACTCAGATGACTGTGGCTGAAACCATCTGGAAGCTTCTTCACTCACATGTCTAGCACCTGGGTTGGGATGACTTGAAGGCTTGGCTCAGCTGGGACACTTGCTAGAGTGCCTGTATGGCCTGTCCATGTGGCTTGGGCTTCCTCACAGCATGGTGGTCTGAGGATAGTTAGACTTCTTATATGTCAGGCCAGGAAATTCAGAGGGAATATTCTAGCAAACAAGTTGGACACTGCATGGCCTTCTATAAGCCAGTCCTAGAAGTCACATGGTCTCACTTCTGCCAAACTCTATTGGTAAAAGCAAGCAATCACAAGCTTGCCCAGGTTCAAGGGCAGGGGACATACACCTTACACTCTTTCTGGGAGGAGGGCCAAATGGTTTGCAGTCATAGTTTGAAACTGTCTCACCAAGCCATACCTATCAATCACTCTCCAAGGAAACTGGAGTTGGGACCAACGTACATCTGGATAATTTCTATGGGTTTTGGGGCTTGCAACGTAAACATGGGAGCTGTGGGGGAAGCAGAGAAAGCCAGTCTGCAAGAGAAAGAAGCAGCCACTGCATGATCTCTCCCTACCTTGTCTGTCCTGCTGTGGTTCCTTCCCAAAACCTAGTCTTATCTCTGCCCTTTGTCCTGTTAGATACAACCATGAAACTTCACAATGGATTCTCCTTTTTACCTTAAATCTATAGCTTTGGTTGATTTCTGTTTCTTGCAACCAGAGTGTTAAGTAATTCAGAGATTATCAGATACTTTTTGAATGATTGTTGACATAAATATGATTACTTATATAAGTTACCATCACCTATCACCCAGTTTCAACAGTTAACGACTCATGGCCCATGTTGTGTCATTGCTAGCTCCTCCTACTCTTCTCCCTCCTAGGTTATTTTGAAGAGAATCACCAGACACTCTCATTTATTAACTTTAGGCATAACTATTGACACCTTGTTATGATAAATGAAGTTTTATCTTTTTAAAACACAAACCCTCACTTCTCTCTCTCCCAATTTCCCAAATAGTTTGTATCACAGTTTTTTGGTTAAATTTGAATTCTGTGATTACATTATTTTAACAATGCAATATTAATCACAGGCCTTTCTTGTATAACTTTTAACTTTTCTTAGAATTAATAACTGCCCTATTTTTGTTAGTTTTTAATGTATCTAGTATAATTTTTTTCAAACTGTTCCAGCAGCTCTGTAAAGCACCCTTCAAAATTATTTTCCATGTAAACATTTCAAATAATCCAAGTAATTAATTGTGTCCAGGACCCCTCCCTCCTCTCCTCTTTGGCCCACCTGGCTGTCCTCTTGGCAGCTGGGACTTCTCTACATTGCCCCTCAGTGCCACAGCCCCTTCCTTACTCCTTCTTAGTTTACAACTTTGGTTGCTTCTCAAAAATAACTCCTTATTATGAGAATTTTAAATTATGTTTAAGTTAGAAATATACCTATAATGAGCTCCCATCATCCATTACCCAATTAAAACAGTTATTAGCTCAAGGGCAGTCTTGGGTCATCTCTAGTTCCTTCTACCATTCTCCCTCCTGGGTTATCTTGAAGCATGTCTCCAGACACTTCAGTATGTATCTCTAAAAGATAATGGTTCTGTTTTTAAATATATATATATTACATATATAATATATATTATATATTACATATATAATATATATTACATATATTATATATTACATATATTATATATTACATATATAATATATATTACATATATTATATTACATATATAATATATATTACATATATTACATATATTATATATATTACATATATATAATATATATTACATATATTATATATATTACATATATATAATATATATATATCTATATATCTGAAATACCATCTTTACTGCTAAAAAAATTAATCATAATTGCTTATCATCATTAACTCTCCAGGTTTCAAATTTCCAATCACCTCATAAATGGCACAGATTTTTGTTTAACAGTTTATCTGAATCAGGATCCAAATAGGGTGATATGTTTTTAAAAACTATGCTAATTCATAGGCCCCCCTCCATTGCAAGTTTTATTTCTTGCAATTTATTTGTTGAGGGAATCAGGCTGTTTGTCACATAGTTTCCCACTCTGTATTTAATATACTTCAGCTCTGTGTTTTACATGTTTTACATGTTCCTCTATCCTCTCGGTTTCCTACATATTGGTGGTAGATCAACAGTCCTAGTCAGACTCAGGTTCAATTTGGCTTGTTTTTCGCAGGTGGTGTGTTTTCCCACCAAGGACTGCATGAGGTCTGGCTGCCTCCTTTTCTATATCAGCAGCCACTGATGCTCCATACCCATGTCCATGATTCCCTAGGGGGTTCTGGAAAATGATGATATTCTAGTCATACTATTTCTCCTTCATTTATGAGCACTAATAGTCCTATCCCATTGGTTCTTACTTGATGGATGGTAATTGTATTAGTCCATTCTTGCACTGCTATAAAGAAAGACCAGAAACTGGGTAATTTACAAAGAAAAGAGGTTTAATTGGCTCACAGTTGCACAGGCTATACAGGAAGCATATCTAGGGAGGCCTCAGGAAACTTTCAGTCATGGTTGAAGGGAAGCAGGCATGTCTTACATGGCCAGAGCAGGAGGAAGAGAGAAGGGGAGGTGCTACGCACTTTTAAACAACCACATCTCATGAGAACTCACTATTACAAGAACAGCAAGGGGAAAATCCGCCCCCATGAAACAATCACCTCCCACCAGGCCCCTCTTCCAACAATGGGGATTGCAATTCAACATGAGATTTGGGTGGGGACACAAATCCAAACCATATCAGTAATAGAATTATTGTTTGGAATTATTTCCTTTCAGACTTTTGAAGACATTGCCTCATTATCTCTTAGGTTCTGAGGTTGCTATTCAAAAATCTGACACCAGTTTGATTCTAGTTCCTTTCTAAGTGACCTGCTTTACTCACTGGAAGCTTTTAGGAGCTTCTCATTATTCCTGGAAGATGGGGAGCAATGCAGAACTATGTATTATGGGCAGGCCACTGCTTCACGCTAGGAGAACTCACTCAGCCATGAGGGATAACTTAGGACAGGCTGTATAGAGAATCAGGGTCTTGGGACAGCCAATGGGAGGCGGAGACAAGGGTTTTGTCTTCTCCGGCTCCTTCCTATCCACAGAGAATTACACCCTGCATTTCTGCCCTGCATCATGTGGCCTCTTGGGAGCCAGATGTTATGAACTGTGGTGGAGGATTTTATGCAATACCAGAAGTGGAAGGAGGAGCCAAAACCACTCAGGGAACCCAGAGAGGCTGAAAGTCTGTGAATACATCCAGTAAGTAACTGATGTTTAAGGAAAGCTTTTTGTCTGCCCAGGATCCCTCCTGACCCCCAAGCAGCCTTGCCCCCTGGCCTCAGGGCTGGGACATGGCCATGCTGATGGTCTAAGTGGGCAGACACATCATGGGAGCCAGGCTGTTTGGAGTCCTTCCCCAGGAACTTTTCAAGGTGGCACTAGGCAAGAGAGGGTGCTCTATCCTCTAAATAGCAAGCTGTAAGATGCATAAGCCTGGGACTCCCCATGATTTCCACCATCAGGGGAGGCCAATCCCAGAGAAGGAAGCAGGGACAAAGGGCCAACGGCGTTTCAAATCATGCCTCCGGTGCCAGCCCTGCACTCCTCGGTTTAGCTGTGGGAGACACGAAAGTCTCCTCCCAGTGTCCGCTGGTTTCAGCTGGGCTTCTGTCACTTGCAGACAAGATTCCTGACTAATGCTTATGACCAAGAAGAATATAAATAAAACCTTTTAAAAATGCTTTATCCAATAACCTCTTGAAATGAATGATTTTTTTAAAAACTCTGAAATTAAAAATGCTTCTCTGCTTCAGATCTCTTCCTACTTAGTGTGCTGCAGATTGAGCTGTTGCAATACAGGCCTAAGTTGGCACTTCAATCCAACACATAATTGGAAAAAGAGAGTGGGGTCACATTCGTTCATGTGTCAAATCCTCCCCAGGACTCCAGCAGCCTTGGAGGCACCCTGCATAAGATCCACTTGCAGATCTGTCCTGAGGGCAACGATTGACCCAAGAAGGGACGTCCTTCCTGGTACAAGAGAGGGTTTGAGTTGGGGGCCTGAAAAGCCCAGCAGATCCCTGGTAGCCAGTCCATGTGAATATCCTGAATGACTTCCAGCATTTGTCAATTATCACATGCAGAAAGCCTACAGCTTGCAGGCGCCGTTTGTCAGCTGGGGCTGCTAGTGGCTGGGAACTAATCATTAAGCCTGCCAAGGAGCAGAGAAGCCTTTCTCCCAGCAGCCTCACGGCCTCCAGCGTGGTGTACACTTTCCTATTTCACTTGGATTTGCTCCTAATGATTGAACTATAGATTATTAATGCCGTGAAACTCTGGGATCCCAGCGTGACTGCGCTGGGTTCTATTCTGCCCTCAGAGCCTTCAGCACGTATCCTGGCCTGGCAGACAGTGCCCCAGCAGCTGTCAGAGCCGCTGGGGCCAAGAGGGTACCGTGGGATCCAAAGAGTGGCACCTATTAGCAGCTGCAGGGGCATCGTTGGTGGCATTTGGTGCCCTCTTCTCCCCAAATTACTAGATAGAGTGAACAATAAGTCACAAAACACAACTTAAGGTTTGCGAAGAAGGTGACAAAAAGTATCTTTAAAAGAGAAGTGAAAATGGCTGAGGCCATGCTGGGGCTCTGCCATCTGTCACTGTGCACAGCTGTCTGGGTGTGTGCTGGGGACACCGCTGAGCAGCACGCACAGTGCCAGGTTGAAGACGTTTGGGGCCTGCAGCAGTGCAATCCCAGGGCAGAGAGAGGAGCTGTGCAGCCCAGGGACTGTGGAACAGTCCCTCCAGGGGTGATTCAGATCTGAAAGCTTCCTGTACAGCACCTCCTTTAGTTTTCAAAGACACCCCAGGGAATAATTATAAGGCCCCTTTTACAGATAAGGGAAACAAGGCTTAGAGGAATCAAGAGACTTGCATAAGAGGCCAGGCACAGTGGCTCATGCCTGTAATCCCAGCACTTTGGGAGGAGGCAGGCAGATCACTTGAGGTCAGGAGTTCAAGACTAGTCCGACCAACATAGTGAAACCCCATCTCTACTAAAAATACAAAAATTAGCCGGGCATGCTGGCTCAAGCCTGTAATCCCAGCTACTCGGGAAGCTGAGGCATGATAATCGCTTGAACCCAGGAGGCAGAGGTTGCAGTGAGCCAAGATCGTGCCACTGCACTCCAGCCTGGATGACAGAGTGAGACTCTGTCTGCCTTGGTTTTTTTCAGACAGAGTCTCACTCTGTCATCCAGGCTGGAGTGCAGTGGCACGATCTTGGCTCACTGCAAACTCTGCCTCCTGGGTTCAAGCGATTATCATGCCTCAGCCTCCCGAGTAGCTGGGATTACAGGCAACCCTTCATGCTAAAAACTCTCAATAAATTAGGTATTGATGGGACGTATTTCAAAATAATAAGAGCTATCTATGACAAACCCATAGCCAATATCATACTGAATGGGAAAAAACTGGAAGCATTCCCTTTGAAAACTGGCACAAGACAGGGATGCCCTCTCTCACCACTCCTATTCAACATAGTGTTGGAAGTTCTGGCCAGGGCAATTAGGCAGGGGAAGGAAATAAAGGGTATTCAATTAGGAAAAGAGGAAGTCAAATTGTCCCTGTTTGCAGATGACATGACTGTATATCTAGAAAACCCCATTGTCTCAGCCCAAAATCTCCTTAAGCTGATAAGCAACTTCAGCAAAGTCTCAGGATACAAAATCAATGTACAAAAATCACAAGCATTCTTATATACCAACAACAGACAAACAGAGAGCCAAATCATGAGTGAACTCCCATTCACAATTGCTTCAAAGAGAATAAAATACCTAGGAATCCAACTTACAAGGGATGTGAAAGACCTCTTCAAGGAGAACTACAAACCACTGCTCAAGGAAATAAATGAGGATACAAACAAATGGAAGAACATTCCATGCTCATGGGTAGGAAGAATCAATATCGTGAAAATGGCCATACTGCCCAAGGTAATTTACAGATTCAATGCCATCCCCATCAAGCTACCAATGACTTTCTTCACAGAATTGGAAAAAACTACTTTAAAGTTCATATGGAACCAAAAAAAGAGCCCGCATCGCCAAGTCAATCCTGAGCCAAAAGAACAAAGCTGGAGGAATCACACTACCTGACTTCAAACTATACTACAAGGCTACAGTAACCAAAACAGCATGGTACTGGTACCAAAACAGAGATCCAGATCAATGGAACAGAACAGAGCCCTCAGAAATAACGCCATGTATCTACAACTATCTGATCTTTCACAAACCTGAGAAAAACAAGCAATGGGGAAAGGATTCCCTATTTAATAAATGGTGCTGGGAAAACTGGCTAGCCATATGTAGAAAGCTGAAACTGGATCCCTTCCTTACACCTTATACAAACATTAATTCAAGATGGATTAAAGACTTAAACGTTAGACCTAAAACCATAAAAACCCTAGAAGAAAACCTAGGCATTACCATTCAGGACATAGGCATGGGCAAGGACTTCATGTCTAAAACACCAAAAGCAATGGCAACAAAAGCCAAAATTGACAAATGGGATCTAATTAAACTCAAGAGCTTCTGCACAGCAAAAGAAACTACCATCAGAGTGAACAGGCAACCTACACAATGCGAGAAAATTTTCGCAACCTACTCATCTGACAAAGGGCTAATATCCAGCATCTACAATGAACTCAAACAAATTTACAAGAAAAAAACAAACAACCCCATCAAAAAGTGGGCGAAGGATATGAACAGACACTTCTCAAAAGAAGACATTTATGCAGCCAAAAAACACATGAAAAAATGCTCACCATCACTGGCCATCAGAGAAATGCAAATCAAAACCACAATGAGATACCATCTCACACCAGTTAGAATGGCAGTCATTAAAAAGTCAGGAAATAACAGGTGCTGGAGAGGATGTGGAGAAATAGGAACACTTTTACACTGTTGGTGGGACTGTAAACTAGTTCAATCCTTGTGGAAGTCAGTGTGGTGATTCCTCAGGGATCTAGAACTAGAAATACCATTTGACCCAGCCATCCCATTACTGGGTATATACCCAAAGGACTATAAATCATGCTGCTATAAGGACACATGCACACATATGTTTATTGCAGCATTATTCACAATAGCAAAGACTTGGAACCAACCCAAATGTCCAACAATGATAGACTGGATTAAGAAAATGTGGCACATATACACCATGGAATACTATGCAGCCATAAAAAACGATGAGTTCATGTCCTTTGTAGGGACATGGATGAAATTGGAAATCATCATTCTCAGTAAACTATCGCAAGAACAAAAAACCAAACACCGCATATTCTCACTCATAGGTGGGAATTGAACAATGAGAACACATGGACACAGGAAGGGGAACATCACACTCTGGGGACTGTTGTGGGGTGGGGGGGTGGGGGAGGGATAGCATTGGGAGATATACCTAATGCTAGATGACGAGTTAGTGGGTGCAGCCCACCAGCATGGCACATGTATACATATGTAACTAACCTGCACATTGTGCACATGTACCCTAAAACTTAAAGTATAATAATAATAAAAAAAATAAATAATAATAATAAAAAAAAACAAAAACCAAGGCTTGTATAAGAAAGCATCACTCAGCAAGGTTTGAAGGACCCCCACTGCTATGGTTTATGGTTTCTTTTTCCCCAACAAAACTCATGTTGATTTTTTTTTTTTTTTTTTGAGATGGGGTCTCACTCTGTCACCCAGGCTGGGGAGTGCAGTGGTGCAATCTTGGCTCAATGCAGCCTCTGCCTCCCAGGTTTGAGTGATCCTCTCACCTCAGCCACTAAAGTAGCTAGGAGTACATGCATGCACCAAGACACCCTGCTAATTTTTTTTTTTTTTTTTTTTGTAGAGATGGGGTCTCACTATGTTGCCCAGGCTCCTCTTGAATGCCTGGGCTCAAGTGATCCTCCCTGCTGAGTCTCCCAAAGTGCTGGAATTATAGGCACGAGCCACTGCACTCGCTCTCATGTTGAAATTTGATCCCTAATGTGGCAGTGTTGGGAGGTGGGGCCCAGTGGGAAGTATTTGGGTAGTGGGGGCAGATGCCTCATGAATAGCTGGTGCCATTCTCATGGTAGTGAGTGAGTACTTGCTCTGGAGAAACTGAATTGGTTCTCACGGGAGTGGATTCATTCCCTCAGGATCAGTTTGTTTTAAAGCCAGAGTGCCCCTTGGCACTGTCTTTGCAGGTCTCCATTTCCCCTTTGACCTTCCCCACCATGTTATGACGTAGCAGAGAAGCTCTCACCAGAAGCCAGGGTCATGCCACTGTTGAACTCCCCAGCTTGCAGAACTGTGAGCTCAATAAACCTCGTCTTTACAAATTCCCCAGTCTCAGGTATTCTACTACAGCAACACAAAACAGACTAAGACACCCACGAGGTGCTCTCTCATTTTCACTCATGTTACTCGGTTTGGTGAGAATGAGGACACTACCTTTATGCCTAGAGAATGAACTTAAGGCTGGTATAATGTTAGAACCCGGGACTGGATCCAGGTTCTGACATGGATGCCATTCCCATCACTGCTACACAGACGTGTCCAGTGGGTACCATGGGCCTTGGACAGAATGACCATCTGCCATTGGAAAGAGCAAAACACCCTCTGTTTGCCTACACCGCAGCCTACTGAATTGCGGGGATATAAAGAAGCAACAAACTTGGGGTGTAAATCTCTTAGCCTGCTCAGGCTGACATAACAAAATGCTATAGATTGGGTGGCTTAAACAACAGAAATGTATTTCTCACTCTTCTGGAGGCTGAAAGTCCAAGATCAAGGTGATAACATAGTTAGGTTCTGGTGAGGGCTCTCTTTCTAGTTTGTAGATGGCCACCTTCCTGCTGTGTCCTCACATGACAGAGAGAGAGATAGAGAGAGAATCAGAGACAGAGAGAGAGTGACATCTGTCTCTTTCTCTCCTAAGAGTCCCATCCTTATGATCTCATTAAATCTTAATTACCTTCTAAAGACTGTATGTCCAGATACAGTCACATAGGGGGTTAGAGCTTCAACATATACATTTGGTGAGAGGACATAATTCAGTCCACAGCATTGGGGCTATACGCAAGGCTATCAGTTGGAAGACAGTAAGGCAATAGAGAAATTAAATAGTTAAATAATGAGATACAGAATAACTCAAGAAATGTTGGTTGGCATGGGTAGGATGGTGTATGTAATATGGGGGGGTATGCCATGTTTATTAGTCCGGAGCTGTTACATAATATATAATCAATGCATTCTAAAATTTGAAAAAATAATGGTACTTTAACAATGTTGCTCCACTGTTTTCTGGCTTGCATTGCTTCTGATGAGAAATCTGTTGTCATTTTCATCTTATTCGTCTGTAAAGAATGTGCCCGTGTCTTTTGTTGCTTTTAAGACTTTCTCTTTATTGTGGGTTTTGAGTAGTTTGATTATGATATGCCTTGGCATAGTTTTCTTCATTTTTTTTTATGCTTGAGATTCACTGAGCTTCTCAGATTTGTGAGTTTTCATCAAATTTGGAAAAATTTTGGTCGTTATTTCTTTAGGCCACTTGAAGTTGTCCCATTCCTCACTGATACCCTGTTCATGGTTTTATATTCTTTTTCCTCTGTGTGTTTTATTTTGGGCAGTTTCAATTGTTATGTCTTCAAGTTCACTTACCCTTTTCCCAGCGAGGTCTAATCTGCAACTAAGCCCATCCAGGGTAGTTCTTGTCTCAGACATTGTAGTTTTCATCTCTAAAAGTTTGATTTGGGTCTTTTATGTGTTTTCCACATCTTAACTTTTTAATCACATGGAATGCAGTTATAGTAACAGTTATAATAGCTGTTTCAACATACTTGTCTGCTAATTCTAACATCTGAGTCAGTTCTGGGTTGGTTTTGTTGATTGATTTTTCTCCTCATTATGGGTTGTATTTTCTTGTTTCTTTGCCTTCTCAGTAATTTTTTGATTAGGTATCAGAAATTGTATCATTTTGTTAGGTGTGGAAATTTTCAGTATTCCTATAAACACTCTTAAACTTGTTTTCAGATGTAGATAAGTTACTTGGAAAGCATTTGATACATTCATGTCTTGCTTTCAAGATTTATTAAGTCGGACTGCAGCAATGTTTGGTTTAGGACTAATTATTCCCTGCTACTGAGATGAGTCCCTTTTGTGTACCCTACCTATTGCCTCATTAATCTTAAAGTTCTCAAGTCTGGCTGGTGGGAACAGGCAGCGTTCCCAGCCTTGTGTGAGTATTAGACACTGTCATGCTTTTTCTAATCCTTTAGAGTGGTTCTTTCCCCTGTCTTGGGCAGTTTCCTTGCCCACATGGACTGACCAGTACTCAACTGAATGCTCCCAGGGGAGGCTTCTGCACATCTCCAAGCTTCTCTCTCTGTGCAACCTTCTCCTCTCCAGTACTCTGTCCTGACAACTCCACCTGCCTTGGTCTCCCCGGACCCTCAGCTCCCTCTCCCTCTGTCCTGACAACTCCACCTGCCTTGGTCTCCCCGGACTCTCGGCTCCCTCTCCTCCACTCAGGACTCTGCATGGGCTCTGCTTCCCCTTGCTGTGGCCTGGGAACTCTCTCAAGGCCGTCAGCTGGATCAACCACAGGGTTCACCTTCTTTGTTTCCCATCTCTCAAAGATCACAGTCCTTCATTGCCTGATGTCTAATATCTTTTTTAAAAATTTGTTTCTTACATTTTGGCAGCTATTTAGTTGTTTCATGTGGGAGGGTAAGTCTGGTTCCTCCCAAAATTTGAAAAAAGTTATAGAATTCCACAACATCTGCTCCTAGGATTTTGGATAAGGGTTTTGTGGACCTGTATATTATTAGAACCATCATCCTCACTGGTAGTAGATATAAATACAAACTCCAGAGTCTTCTTGATAGTTTTGCATTTTGTGGGGGCTGACTTCTGGTCAAGGTTGATTAGTTAGCTATGAGAGATACTGTAGACTGTTTCAGCCAGCCACACTCAAGATACTGTGTAGCATGATTTAGCCAAAATATCACAGGCCGGGAAGGGAAAGACTACAATTTCCAGACTCATGTCCAGTGTAGGTTCTACATGGGACTGAGTTTCATCCAAAGAGACAGCCCTGTGCAGGACGTGGACGATGGACATGAACACCATGAGGTGGAGATTCTGCCTCCACTCTATAAAACACCCTGAGGAGGGACTCTCCCTCACTCCATGGAACACCCTGAGGAGGTGCTTCCACTGCATTTCTTGCTTTTGCTGGCAAGCCTGGCTGTGGCAGTATTTGGTGTCAGCTGTAGCAGAAGGGGGCAGAAATCAGGGCTTAGTGTACCCATTTTGCTGGTGTGGATTTTGCCAGAGAGGATTGGTCATGGAGCTGGCAACTTTTGTGGCAGTTTCTCAGTTCCACAAATTCCTCACTGTGGCAGAGATTGGCTAGGTCTGCGGAGCCATTTTCTGAATTTTTCGTGGAAGGCAGTCTAAAGCCTGCTCCTCCAGCCCATTGAAGGAATTGTATAAAGCACCCATAACTGGCAGTATATTGCTTTCTGTTTAAACCAGCTAGAGAGGATTCTGCTGTCTGCAGTGGAACCTTAGCTGAGAGACGAACCATGGTACTTACAGTGTGGCTGAGGAAGAGGAGATGATCTGGCCCTGCCCTTTCCTGGTTCATGTGTGTCTGCTTTGCCAGGCTTTGCATTCTGTAGTTTCTTTTGAACAATCCGTTAAATGCTCATGTCAATTTTGTGGAGGGTTAGTTTAGTTAAAACCAGAACCAGATACACAAAAGCTGCAGTAGGTTCCAAAGTTAACTAATAAGGGCTGGGTGTGGTGGTAGTCCCAGCACTCTGGGAGGCTGAGGCAGGTGGATCATCTGAGATCAGGAGTTTGAGACCAGTCTGGGCAACATGGTGAAACCCCGTCTCTACTAAAAATACAAAAATTAGCAGGGTGTGGTAGCACATGCCTGCTACCCAGCTACTCAGGAGACTGAGGCAGGAGAATCACTTGAACCAGGGAGGTGGAGGTTGCAGTGAGCTGAGATTGTGTCATTGTGCTCCAGCCTGGGTGACAGAGCGAGACTCCATCTCAAAAAACAAAAACAAAAACAAAGTTAATTAATAAGGTTGACCCCTCCAAGCTGTGACACTGTCCCATTATGGTGTGTTGAGGCCATGTAGAATGCACAGCTGTCTTCCATCTGACCCAAGAGGGCACCCATGCGTGTGCTTTGAATACTAATAAAACATGATTTCTGTTTTTTTTTTAAAGATAAAATTATAAACAGAAGTTCTAATATTTTCTTCCTCCACACATGAATTATCCTGGGCATCTTCTGAGGTATTTTATCAGAGAGCAAAATTATTCTCCTGTCCCAAACATAATTTTTTTTTTGGCCAATCTTCTTATAATAGGTAAATGATGAGTCAAACACAACAACTGCTTTTACTAAAGAATGGTCATTGCATGATGGCAAACCTACTCCTATTTGTCCTGTATGAAGGAAACTTGACAGAAAGTCAGGAAACTCTGGTTCTGGTCCTATTGGTGCCACTGTCTTGGTTGTGGCACGTGGAAAGCCCGGCCACTCTGGTTCTCCCTTGCCTCACCTGTACGAGACAGGTGTGCGGGGCTGCAGTTAGGGTCTGCCTGGCACCCAGGAAGGAGAGCTGTGCTGTCTGCAAGCTTGCTGCAGGTCTTATTTCTAGGAGGAAATCGCAGTTCCCCTTCAATTCTTTTCATTTCATAGTGCAATCATCTAAAATAGGTTCTGGGTGGTGGGATTAGGTATAGATTTTATATTCTACTCGGCTTTTGAAATATTTTTCTGCATTTTCTGTAATAAACACATATTGCTTTTGGAGTGGAAATTTTTAAAAATTAAACAAATATGCTTAAATAACCCTCAAAAAGAAACCTATAAAGACTCAGGTGTAGGAGGGAAAGAAGGAGAATGCTGCACCTGTGAATCCCTACTGCCCAGGTGGCTTCAAAGCGTCTCTTTGCAATTGTTAGTTTGCCATAAAAAATTTAGGCAGGCAGGCCAGTTCCTTCTCGTGGCTCAGTAGAATGAGAACATGATTTCTGAAATGCATTTATTTTCACAGTTCCAACAACAGTAAAACAACTCCGTTGTTTCTTGGAGTTCGGCAAAGAGGTATTTATATTAAAGCAGCTTAGTAGCCTTAAAGATAACCACGGCTCATCAGCTATTATTTTAAACTCATAAGTAATAACCTTCAACCACATGCTGCCAGATGGGTATGTAATGAAATGGAGGAAGAAAATCTATAAAGGACTTTAACTCCTGCTGTACAAGTTTGAAAAGAACAGCGATTTTACGAAGATGTGCAGAGGGATGGAAGTCAGTTCTGAACCTACCAGTCAGCATTCCTAAACCCCAAATCAAGACTTGGGCTCTGACAACAAGACAGTATGTTAGTAATCAAGGTTGTCTTCATAACTCTGGCAGGGAAGTGCCAGGCTGCCTGGGGTTGGCCAGCTGAGCTTGAAACAAGTATAAGCATAGGGCAAGACAGAATTTTTATCTCACCCAGCAAGGCCGAGTGTCCCTTGCAAGGCCTGCAGAGTGACCAAGTGCCCCAGAAAGCTTACCTGCTCCGCCCCTTCCCCCACACCAGCCCCCTTCCCCCACACCAGCCCCCTTCCCCATCTGTACACCTTTGGCACAT
This sequence comes from Homo sapiens, assembly GCF_000001405.40. Classification (NCBI taxonomy): domain Eukaryota; kingdom Metazoa; phylum Chordata; class Mammalia; order Primates; family Hominidae; genus Homo; species Homo sapiens. The sequence goes on along the minus strand of NC_000020.11, from coordinate 20,308,410 downwards.
GATCTGGAGAGAATGTTTTCTAATTGACCCCACCAAAACAGGCACAGAGAGAAATCACTTCCTCTGTCTCCACTGGGCCTTCACTGAGCACGCATCTGATAGCTACATCGGCAGGTCAGAATGTCGGATCCAAATGGGGCTGGCAATTAGCATTTTAGGGAACGACTGTTCATAGATGCTACATCCAACACGCCCACTCCAAATTCCATGGATGCAACTGGCCTACAGCAGCACTGTCCAACACAGCTTTCCACAACAATGGAAATGCTCTATTCTCCGCTGTCTGATATGGTCGCCACTTGTCACGTGGGGCAGTTGACTCTCATAGTGGACAGTGCAGGTCTAGAGTATTAGTGATTATCGACAATGCATGAAACAATGTTCCAAAGCAACTTTTAAAACTATATGACATTAGATTCTAGACACACTTTACAACTCAAACAGCTCATAATTTTACATTTTAAATGATATTAAGAATGTATTTGGCTGCTTTGGGTGCCCAGTGGTTGGAAATGAAATCATTTTTAAGTGAAACTTATATGGAAGCATCTGATCCATCCCTTTTCTATAAAGTGCCCTGGGAGGTACATTATCGACTCTCATCTTAGTACATTTATTCTAAGTAAAGCACCAGATTTCTCACTTATTTAATTATTGATAATGACCTCTCTCTAAATAAATTTTTTTCTTAGAGCATGACTCTGAAAACAAGCATATTCAATATCATATGTAATCCCATACAATTTTAAAAATAAGATATAGCAAGCACATACACGAATGCAATTTTAAAACATCTGCTCATTTAAATTATTAAAAGAAGCACTGCATTTTCTTAAATTTGTATTAATTTGGGAGGGGGAGGGAATACTGTATAGAAGGCTGGAAGTGTTTCTGTCTCTCCATAAAGGATAATATTGATGTGTAGCGAACAGGAACACACGAGCTAAAGTCATTACAAAGCTCTGCCCTTGTATAGTACTTTACATACTTTTAAAAAACTTTTTGCACTTGTACTTTACTGTCCATCAACATATACTTCTATCCCATGATGTGGGAAGATTTATCATGGATTACATCTCCATTTTATGGGTGAGGAAACTGATGCTCAATGAGATTAAATGGCTTCTTCAAGTTCACAAAGCTGATAAGCAAGAACGCAGGAATTTGACCCCTCTGTTGGTCTTAGTCTAGTGTCCTTTCCATGTTAAGGAAAGGGAAGTGATGATTTGCTTTTACAGACTGTAGGAGTTTCAAACTAAATTCTCTTAGGATATATACCAAGTGTGCACAGGGGCACAGGACAAAGAGGGTGGTCGGGGTGGCAGCTAAGAAGACAAGGGCGGGGGCTATGGATAACTGAGAGGTGGCAGTGGTGGGCTCACCATAAGGTATTTCTTTGTTTTTGTAAAGCTTGGTGAAGAGTTCAGTTTTTATTCGTAATATTGCAGATATGAGTCAACAGACGTGTGCAAATTGTGTCTCACACTATATGATTTGTTTCATGTACGGTTCACATTTCAGCACGGTCTTCTGGGATGCAGGGCCATCCCTGTGCTGAAATTGTCTCCCCTTAGTATTAATATGTGATTTAAATATACACATTTCCTTTCAAATAATGAAAGCACTAGTTTTCTTGTATAGCCAGGGAGAATGCCAGCGCCTTCCTCTGCCTGCCTGGAAAGGGCAACGTAAGGACTGTGGGAGTGCACGTTGACTCAGTGGGTGGGGGGAATCCTGGTGGAGAGTTACCTGTTAATAGACATGGGCTCCCACCCTCACCCCAACTTCAGATTGATGTTAACTGGGGCTCAATTTCCTCCCTCATTTCTTACATTCTCATTAATAAAAGCCTTAAACATAAAACAAAATCTTGCCTGTTAGAGGGGGATACTCATGTTTCTTTCATTCATTGACGGGCACTATCCTTCAGGCAAAGATTCTTACTAACACTAGTGAGACTGAGGCACTTGAAATCAGAATTTATACATTCCTGATACCTCAAAACCATAAAAAATCTCAATCCGAGCCTTTCTAGTAAGTCCTAACTAACATGATATGCCAAGTGATATTTTCATGGTAAATGAGGTAAATGTTTCAAAGTTCATACTTCTTGCAGAACTCCATGTGTTCATTTCTCTGAACATTCATTTTGGACTATGCAAATGGGTGAGTCTGTTTTTCTTCCACACTATCATCTTTGGCATGAATATCTGAAAACAGACATGTGCTGGCTGTAATTTCAGGGCAGTTCAAACATGGTCTCACCTTTTACCCCAGGAAAGGTTACTTCCACACAAATGCCATAGTGGAAAGAGGTGGGAGGTGACATATGCTAAAAAAGACCCCTAGTTTTCATCAGAATAGGATCGCCAATAAGAACAGACACATATTGTGTCCAGTGGACTTTCGCCTCCTCCTTGGTCTACACTTCCAGATCTAAAGTTGACCATCTTGGGAACAAGTAAGGTTCAAAAATTTGAGTTTGGCCTCGTGGCCTCTGGAATAGTAGCAGAAACATCTCTAGGTAAGGATCTGCCTGTTGGAGTAAGAAGGCCAAGGCATGGTCAATGAGGAATCCCCAGAGTACGTGAGCAAACTGACCTCGATTGCCTTTTATGAGGGCAGATAAATAGCCTGTAATTGAATGAGTGGGAAGCAAAAGGAAGAGAATGGATTTTGATTTTTAGCAAATCATTTGGGAAAGGATTCTTTGCGAGGCTGGTCGCACAGGACTGGCACGATCTGAAGTGAAACAGAGGAGCAGGAACCCTTACAGAGTCTACAGAGAGCAGGTCAGTGGCCTGGCACACGGCCGCAGGGAAGCGTGTGAGGGATGAGGCGGATATTGGGAGAATTACCATCCACCACCTTTTAGGTATGGACCAAAAAATTGAGAAGCTGGAGTGGGCAGTCATCATTCAAGAAGATTTTGATAAATCCGGAAAAACAGGCACCTGGAATGTAGTATGCAATTTACCACTGAACACAGCAAAAGGCTGCTGACTACAGAGGCGCAGAAAAACATTTTAAAGTCATGATTAAATTATTCCAACGGGAGTCAAATCAATAAATTAGGGGGCCACGTGGGCTGGCAGCATCCTGCTTTGCAGTTCCAAAGACAGATAACACAAGGTGGCTTTCCTGAGGGAAGAACTTCTGGAGCCTCACAGTTCAAAATGGTAATGGCAGCCTTGTAAAGGGCTGCTCAAATCCCATTTAGAACACTGTGCACAGCAACACTCAGCCAGTAAATGTAGGCCACCGGCGTGTGCGGGGAAGTGTGGAGGCGGTGGTGGCGCGGGCGCGAGGGCCGGGCTGTCTGAGGGCAGTCTTTGAGAGCTGAGCATGTTAAGATGTGAAAAGAGGTTTAATCAAGGTTTATGAGTATCTGATGGGCTCATACAAAGAAGCTAGGGCAAGACCTATTTACACCACGAGGATAAAGGATGCACAGACTGCTAATTAAGGTGAAGAAGGGAGAGATTCTGTAGGCGAGACCTCTCTTTTGCAGGGTCATCGATAAGTGGGGGTGAAAGACGATGGAGTGGAGTCAGGAAAGCCGAGAAGACACGGGACAGGGGTGTTCGGGTACCTGACAGGCGGCATCTCAAGAAGCCGCCTCAGCCTCCCCTCTCCTCTCCACCCACAGCTCCCATTTCCCCACTTCTCCACACCCTCACTGAAGGTCCTTTCGCGCCCGGTGTCCTGAAGGGAGGAGCATTTTCAGCAGGGCAGAAGGTGCTGCCATTCTAAATACTGCCAAGGGAGTTGGCAGGCGGGGGCACTGTGAGGTTTTGGAGAGGCGGGTGCAGGTGTGTGTGAGCGTGTGACTGGGCGTGTGAGTGAGTGTACATTGTGAGTGCCGTGTGAGTGTGCATGAGTGTGTGCACACGTGTGAGTGAGGTGTGCATGAGCGAGGCCTGTGGGGGCACAAATGCTTTTAAGGGGAAGATTGGGGAAAGGAAGATTTTTAGTAACATATTTGTGTGACTTTAAATGCTGGTTGGTTCAGAAAGCAACAAACGATATAAAATTGGCTCTATTCTTTTTCCAAAGTAGTAAATCAATCCATTGATCAAATTCTCTCTCTCTCTCTCTCTCTCTCTCACACACACACACACACACACACACACACACAGTCACCGATGGTGGATTAGTTCTGTCTCTCTCTTCAGTGCCAATGGTTTGTACTGGTACTCAGAGGTAAAAACAGAGAATAAAATATAGGTGGAATCCAAGCCAGCCTGGGCCGCAGACACTTCGCTTACTGTGGTCCCGTGACAGCTGTCTGCCTGTGCATCATGGCGGCTGACAGCTCGGCCGCCACCTCGTGTCCCCATATGGTTCCAAGTGAGCCCCTTGCAGGCAGCCAGGGTCTGCCTGGGAGGCCTCGGCTACCACAGCAACATCTGACCCGCAGGGCTGCCACCGTTCCCATTGGCACAGCTAGTGCCTGCGCTGTTTTGGCCCTCGATGGAGTGAGAATAGATAGGGGGAAGTGGAGAGGAAGGATCCAAAGGATTTCTCTGAATGCGGAGAGGAACTGATACTGAAGTCATGCCTGACTTGCAGAACAACAATGCAGCTGGTTAACTGTCAGCCCTCCCGGCAGCAGCGGGCACTGAGGTAGGTGCCCCAGACGTGGTGGATGGAAGTGCGCAAATGAAACGTGCCTGGTCTGAACGAGGGACGTTGCTGATGCTGCCAAGGTCAGGAAATCAATCGGTAATCATATCGCGGCCAAAATCAGCTCAACCATTCACCCTGCTTGGAAAGAGCCTCGCCAGCCAGTCTGACAACAGACAGGGCAGGAGTGCTGGCGCAAAAATTAGCACTAGGACCTGGCAGCATTTCGTGGCACTTGAAAAGAATGTGGTCGCAGCTGCATGTACCCACTAACACACGCCTGGAGTAACTGACAAGGCACAGCGGTGCTCTCAGGACCTCACTTAGAAATGACTGGCGGCCATCTTCCTGTCCCTGCTCCTTTCTGACAGATGTCCATCGGCACCTCCTGATAGCCAGTGTCACCCCGTCTTGCCATCCCAAACACTCATCACAAATCAAATTAACTTTTGAAATTATTACTCTCATCAGTTAACAGCGGCACTCCCTGTAGTAGTCTCAAACTCACCGAGTCTGTTTCAGAATCACCTTCTATTTAGGGAGAAACAAACCAGGTAGGGCCCTGAATATGGTCAAATGTGAAAACATTTTTTTTCCGGAAAGTCTTAGCATATCATTCCCCACCAACCAAAATCTTTCTGTAACAAACAGCTAATTCTCCCTTAACTCAAATATTTTGGGTAAGGTTGACCAAGAAAATCCTATATATAAGTGAAGGAGCAAATGAATTCATTTTTTAAATACTTGCAGTTTTCATTATTTAAAATAAGTATTGGAGCCAAGCCTACAAAGATTTGAGGAGGGAAAGCTCATGATTTTAAATTTTGACACTTACCAAAACGTAGTTTATATTTGAAAGCATTAGGAAGACATCCTTACACATAAAAGGTTTCAGGGACTAAGTACTCTTTCCGAAAAATAAAAATAAAAATCCATTCATGGTAAGAATGCTTAGAAAACCAGTAATCAAAAGGAACTTTCTTAATCTGATAAAGGACATCTATAAAAATATACATATGGCAACTATTACACACTTAATTTTGAACACTTTCCCTTTCAAATTAAGAATGGGGCAAGGGCACTACCCCTCACTACCCCTACTTAACTTTTTATTTTTATTTTTGAGACACAGTCTCACTCTGTCGCCCAGGCTGGAGTGCAGTGGAGCCATCTCAGCTCACTGCAACCTCCGCCTCTCAGGTTCAAGTGATTCTCGTGCCTCAGCCTTTCAAAGAGCCAGGATTACAAGTGTGAGCCACCACACCCAGTTAATTTTCGTATTTTTAGTAGAGATGCGTTTTCCCCATGTTGGCCAGGCTGGTCCTGAACTCCCAATTTTAGGTGATCTGCCCGCCTCGGCCTCCCAAAGTGCTGGGATTACATGGGTGAGCCACCTCACCCAGCCAATCTTTTTATTACAAATCTTAGCCAGTGCAGTAAGGCAAGAAAAGGAAATAAACAGTATAAAAGTTGGAAAAGAAGAAACAAAGCTGTCACTATTTGCAGATGATATAATTTTTCTACTCGGAAAATCTAAAAATCTACAGGTAAATTATTCAAAACTTTCAGAATACAGAACCATACTAAAATTAGTTCATCTGTATACACAAGCATCAATTCATAAAAAATGACATTTAAAACAGAAAAAATAATATAAAGCATCTTGGATCATATCAAACAAAAGTTGTGCAAGCCATTCATGGATAAAATGATAAACCTTTATTGAAAGACATTAAAGAATACCTAAATTGAGAGCTATACTATGTTATGATATTGGACTCAATATCAAATATGTCAATTCTTGCCTAATTGATCTAAGATTTAATGCATTTCCTATCAAATCCAATGGGGTTTTCATGGATCTTGACAAGTTGATTATAAAACTATTAGAAGAATGAAAGGACAAAAATACCCAAGACCCTCTTGAAGAAGACAAACATTCTATTAAATTAAGAATATTGTTGACATCATAAAGAAAGTAAAAAGATAAGCCTCAAAGTTGGTTAAAAATATATAACCAACACAAGTTTGTGTCCAGTTTGTTTATAAATAACTTCTGTGAATTAGTAATGAGAAGACAGCCCTGCTCCGTGGACAAATATCATGAATTGGCATTTCACAGAAACTGCCACAAATGGCCCATGAACAAATGAAAAGGCATCATTAAGTGGGGAAAAGCACATTAAAGCCCTAGGAGGATACCTTTGTATGCCACTAGACTGGCCAAATTTAAAAGTCTAACAGTACCAAGGCTTGGCAGGTCTGTGGAGCAAGAGGAGCTCTCTCATTCACTGCTGGGGGAAATTTAAATAAATAACGACAGTCATGTGTCACTTAACGATGGGAATAGGTCCTGAGAAACACGTTGTTGGCAACCATCCTAGAGTGCACTTACACAAACCTAGATAGTCTAGTCTACTACTACACACCTGGCCTATATGCCCCTGTTGCTCCTAGGTTACAAACTTGTACAGGTTTCTATACTGAATACTGTAGGCAATTGTAACTCCATACTAAGTGTTGGTGTATCTAAACATAGAAAAGGTACAGTAAAAATATGGCATAAAAGATTTAAAAAGGGTATACCTGTATAGGGTACTTACCGTGAATGGAGCTTACAGGACTGGAAGTTGCTCTAGGGCAGTTAGTGAGCTAGTGGTGAGTGGGTGCGAAGGCCTCGGACATTATCATACAATACCGAAGATATTATAAACAGTATACTTAGTCTACACTAAATTTATAAAAACATGTTTCTCAATCTTTATTATTCTTTAATAATAAGTTAACCTGTGCTTACTCTTTTTACTTTATAATCTTATTTTGTTTCAACTTTTTGACTCTTTTGTAATAATAACATTTAGCTTAAAACACAAGCACAAGGCCAGGCACGGTGGCTCATGCCTGTAATCCCAGCATTTTGGGAGGCGGAGGCGGGTGGATCACCTGAGGTTGGTAATTCGAGACCAGCCTGGCCAACATGGTGAAACCCCGTCTCTACTAAAAATGCAAAAATAAGCTGGGTGTGGTAGCACGTGCCTGTAATCCCACCTACTTGGGAGGCTAAGGTAGGAGAATTGCTTGAACCCAGGGAGGCAGAGGCTTCAGTGAGCCGAGCTCATGCCACTATACTCCAGCCTGGGCAACAGAGTGAGACTCCATCTCAAAAAAAAAAAAAAACAAAAAAAACAAAAGAACCCCATAAGCACATTGTATAGCTATACACAAATATTCATCTATGTCCTTATTTACAAATTATTTTATTTTACTTTTTACTGTTTAAACTTTCTGTTACAAACCGAGGCACAAACACACACATTAGCCTAGGCCTGCAGGGTCAGGATCATCAATATCACTGTCTTCCACCTCTGCATCTTGTCCCACTGGAAGGGCTTCAGAGGCAATAACACACGTGGAGCTGCCATCTCCTGTGATAATAATGCCTTCTGAATACCCCCAAAGGACCTATCTGAGACTGTTTTAGAGTTAACTTTTTTTTCATAAGTAGAAGGCATACACTCGAAAATAATGATAAAATGTATAGTATAGTAAATACATAAGACAGTAACATGGTCATTTATTATCATCAGCAAGTGTTCTGCACTGGACATAACTGTGTGCTATGCTTTTATACCAACTGGGCAGCACAGTAGGTTTGTTGACCCAGCATCACCACAAACACGTGAGTCATGTGTTGTGCTAGGTGACAGGAATGTGGCCCTTGGAGATGGAAATTTTTCAGCTTCATTAATATCTTATGGGACTCCGATTATATGTGTGACCCATTGTTGACTGGAACGTGTTTATGTGGCACGTGACCATACTTGGGAAACATTTGGGCATCAACTAGTAAAGTTGAAGACGTGCATGTTCCGTGACCCAGCGGTTCTAGGGCTAGGATATCTTAGAGAGATTCTGCACATGAAGTACGTCCACAGTGTTCACAACGTCCGATTGTAATGGCCCTGAACTGGAACCAGTGTAAATACAGTCAACAGGAAAAGCCATGACTGAATCATGACCATTATATGATGGAATACCACACAGCAGGGAGAACAAACGAACCACAGCTACAGACATCATCCTGGATGGTTCTCACAAACACCGTGCTAAACAGAATGCTCGCTTTCTTTGGTAAGCCATAAACCTGAGTCAGAAGTAGGCAAGGCAAATTAATATATTATTTAGGAAATCACATGTGTCTAAGTACACATCTTTAAAACAAGGACTGACAAACTATGACTGGGGGCAAATCCAGCCCAATGCCCATTTTGGTGAATGAGGCTTTCTTGGGATATAGCTGTGTCTTTTTGTTTACACATCATCTACGGCTTCTTTCTCACTGCAAGGGCTGGGATGAGTACTTGCAACTGAGGCTATATCTGCCCCTTATAGAAGAAGTTCACTGATCCTTGCTTTATAGGCAACAGAATGACAAACTCAAACTTCAGGACAGTGGCTACCTCCACGAAGATGAGGGAGGGCTGTGATCAGAGAGGGACTTCCTGACTGCTAAGTTAAGGAATTATTTCTTAACATAGGCAGTGGGCCCATAGATTTCCAGTACTTTTAAGTGTCCATACATATTTCACATACTTTTTTGTTTGTATGATGCATTCTACAATTTAAAAAATTTTTAAGAGGCAAGAGAGATTGATGGCAATCCTGGCAGTTGCTTCTGTGGGTGTCGAGAACACTGGAACTGCATGGTTTTCATTCCACATCTGTCTCTGGTGCTGGGTCTGCATCACCTTGCTTTGTGAATAGGGAAAGTCTCCTAACTTTGCTAAGCAGCAAGCTACATTCAGAAGTAACTTTCCACTTGGAAATTCTATGCCTTCCTAATGGATAGGATGAAGTGTGTCTTAAGAGTTTGAAAAGACAAAGGTTTCAAGTCTAACCGACCTGTCAGTGTGGGAATTCCCTTACCAAAACGCTGGACAAATGACCACCCTGGGCCTGCCTGAACACATGCCATGAGGAGGAAGGCTGGGGTCACAAACACCCCGTCCCATGATCGCGGAGTCCCATCAGGATCAGACCCTTCCTCATGCTGTTCCCAAATTGACCTCCTACATTTCTGACCACTGCTCTTAGCAGCCCCGTGTGGAAAGGGACTTGAATATCATCTCCTCCAAGCCCGTCCATGGTAGGCTTGGTTGCACCTGGGGTCCAGGCCCTGGTGTGGCCATGGGGGCCAGGTGTGGACACATCCTGTGACTCTCTGCTCCCCAGCCCACATTAGCGTCAGGTGTTCTTCATTAGAACGAAATCTCTGCCACACAGCCTCTCTCTGGGATTCCCGTTTTGCTCTCGGGTGCATCACAACACATGTCCCTCATTCACAGACATTATATATATATTTGTATTTCCCTGTAGTCAAATGCAATGTCCAACTCACCTATAGAGATCTGTGATCAGGTTTTCATCGTACCGAGCACACAGGTTGTTGAGGAGTTGCTCGTGCTGGCCAAACAAGCGGATGTAGTTGGAGGCGGGGAAGGGCTCCCTAGAAAGGCACGTGATGGTTTCCACCATTTTATACTTGTTAATATGAATTCGGAAGTAAGTCCCATTTTTCGCACTGCCGGTTACTAGTTCTAAACCCTGGAGGAGGGATGTGGACAAGAAAAACAACATTAGAAACATTCCTGGATTTTGGGAACTTTATCATAGCAATTTATTTTTCAAATATAACAGACAGGTTATATCTTATCCCTCTTTGCAAATAACAGTAATAGATATTGACTAAACTCGGCAGAAGGTGACAGTGTGTCAGAAACCACATACTTGGACTCAGGGACTACAAGGATATTTAAAACTGTGATTGCCTTGTTCTGTGTTTCTAAACTAGTTGCTAGGTTACAACCAACCCTTTATTAATACTGCACACCCAGCTAATAAGTGGAACTGGGTTTATTCTCTCCTCTGAGGTGTTTTAACACTGTTAAATTTCTTTGCTTTCACAGCATCGTTTTGAGAAAAACCTCCTAGTCAAAACTGATCAGAAATAATTTCAGTTATTTTCAAGATTACTTGAACAAAAGAAAGAAGTAAAAGGCCAGGCCTGATGGCGGGGATTGGGCAAGGTCAGTCATTTGAAAAGGTCTGTTCCCAGGAAGAAGGTTCAAGGCTATGGGAGATGCACATACACATTCTGCAGGTGGTTTTCTGGTTTACAAATTGTTAAAAGTGTGGATTTGTGACTTTCTGCCCTGTAGAAACCACCTCCAATTGCCACATCAGCCCAAGTGACAAGGGTAGATGCTGCTCCAATTCCATGCCACAGTGACTTCTTCTATTTCAGCCGTGGATGGCTCCCCACTGGCTCAGGCAGTGGGAAGCTTCTGTAGACAAACATGAGTTTTGTGGGGGGTGACTGAACCTTCACTTTGGCCTTAGACTCTGACCTTAGTACACAGCAACGCTCAATAAATGTTCTTTGAGTGCATATAGATTTAAGCTTCTCTTCTGAGCTTGAATGTGGCATTTAGAAATCCAAGGCAATTTGAACTGCCTGGATCCCAAACATTTACTTAGTCCTGGACATCACCTGGGGATTTTGTCTAAACAAAAGGACACACGGTTTAACTTTTACATCAATACAGGCAACTGGTGGGTGTTGGGGTATCACATGGCAAAGCCCTCTGGGGGGACTCAGCCAACTGTAAAGTTACAAGGTGAGATATACAGGAGGCATGACAGGTGAGTCCTGGGCCACCCCCAGGTGCGTGTGTGAGAGATTGGGCATTTGGGGGTGAGGGAGGAGCAAGTGGGGTTGGGGGATGGTGCTTCAAGGGAGAGGAAATGGTCCTTTGTTTATAGAAATGGATGGATAGACGGGAAATCTACCACCATAACAAAGTGCTTAAAAAATCCAAACTTATTAAGATGTTATCCAAAAAACAATGGCCCACCGACAATGGGGGACAATGTATTCAAAAAAATTAGTGTTAAAATATATTTCATAACAGGGAGATATATTCACAGTACATTTTATGCTTTAGAAGTAGTTTACAAAAATGCACAGTATCATTTCATTTGTTTTGTATCAACATTTTCACAAAATGTTAACGGTCACTTTCTGTGGTTGGGAGACTGGGTCATTTTTATTGTTTATCCTTACAGTTATTTGACTATCTGCAGCTTCTAATTTTTAAAAAATGATCATTACTTCTAAAATGAGGAAAAGTTATTTTTAAATACTCAGGCTGTGGCATGGCAAGGAACTAGATTTTTTGATGAACAAATTGAGTGAGGGGAGGAAGGAAGGAAGGAAGGGAGTAAAGAAGGAAGGAGGGAGGGAGGAAAAAGAAAGGAAGGAAGGAAGGCAGGAAGGAGGGAAGGAAGGAGGGAGGGAGGAAGAAAGAAAAGAAAGAAAGAAGGAAGGCAGGAAGGAGGGAGGGAGGGAAGGAGGGATGAAGAAAGGAAAGAAGGAAGGAAGCAAGGAAGGAAGGAAGGGAAGGAAGGAGGGAAGGAAGGAAGGAAGGGAAGGAGGGAAGGGATGAGGGAAGGGGGAGGGGTGAAGAAAGGAAGGAAGAGGGAGGGAAGGAAGAAAGGAAGGAAGGGATGAAGGGAGGAGAGAAGGGAAGGAGGTGAAGGAAGGAAAGGAGGGAAGGAAGGAATGAAGGAGGGAAGGAGGGAGGGAGGGAGGAAGGAAGGAAGGAAGGGAAGGAGGGAGGGAAGGAAGGAAGGAAAGAAGGAAGAAAAGGAGGGAAGGAAGGGAAGGAAGGGAAGGAAGGGAGGGAGGAAGAAAAGAAAGAAGGAAGGAAAGGAGGGAAGGAAGGAAGGAAGGAGGGAAGCATGCAGGCGTTGGTGTGCAAGGGCGGGCTCCTCTGGAGAAGAGTTTGGAAAAAGCCAGGACTGAGCCTCTGGCTGCAGGGGCCTGGTCTCCTCTGCTCATCCCTTGCCCTCAGCTCCTGCCACAGGCATCTCTCTAGGCCTGGATGCCACATGGGCTTTGCTCATTCCCGTGTGTTTCCTCAAGTCCTGACTTCGTGGTCTGAGCAATGACTCACACCATTGCATGGGGTGGGGGTGGGGGCGCATGACCTCACAGAATAACCCCTGGTGTCAACTTTACCTGATGGCCCAGGATATTCAGCAGTATTTCAGAATTAAAATATATGTAGATATATACACAGTGAAGAATGTGACCGCCATGTGTATTTCTAAATTAAACACAAGACTTGAAAGACCATTTGAGTTTGGAAACAGCAGCTTTAGGTTTGGCTTCTGAACCCAGGGGTACATGTCCCCGTCACAGTAAGGGATGATTGGTGAAAAAGCTGGAAAACTGCAGGCGAGTTCTGAGGAGGGGTGGCTCCTGCACCACGGCAGTAAGGCTGCTGTCTGGGAGAGGACGCACCACAGACTCTGGCACAGTTTTATCTGCCAGGCTTCCCCAGGCCTCCTCCTCCTTTTAGGTTTCATTGTTGGAAGTGATTAAGAAAGGGAGCCCAGGTGTCAAGGGGGCACACCTTGAGATCCACCCATGTGGTTAACAAATCTTGACTTTGCCAAGAGTCTCACTAAATCCCCCACCTTCAGCTTACAAGGACTTCTTTGTGTTTAGGAGGGCTGACTTGGATTCCATGTACGTGGCCGAGGCTGTGCACCTCAAGACGAGGGTCACAGTCACTTAGTTGGTGGTGACTTGTCAAGTCCTTGAGGAGCCCTGCAGGCTGCAGGCTGAGAGCAGTGAGAGTCTGAGCGTTTTGTGGCCTTAAATGTCATCCTGTTCCTTGAGAGTCTGTCATCAGCATCACTTTTAGTGATTTTTTTTGTTATGGACTTGTTGCATTTTTTGGTATTATTATTATTATTATTATTATTATTATTATTATTATTTTTGAGACGGAGTCTCGCTCTGTCGCCCAGGCCGGACTGCGGACTGCAGTGGCGCAATCTCGGCTCACTGCAAGCTCCGCTTCCCGGGTTCACGCCATTCTCCTGCCTCAGCCTCCCGAGTAGCTGGGACTACAGGCGCCAGCCACCGCGCCCGGCTAATTTTTTGTATTTTTAGTAGAGACGGGGTTTCACCTTGTTAGCCAGGATGGTCTCGATCTCCTGACCTCATGATCCACCCGCCTCGGCCTCCCAAAGTGCTGGGATTACAGGCGTGAGCCACCGCGCCCGACCTTTTGGTATTATTTTTAAACGTAAAGACTGCATTATCATATTTTGGCCTCCTCTGTAAGTTTTGTCCGCATAATCCTGGCATACAGGGCCTTACAGAAATGAGGGCTTAGAGTCCAGAAGCAGCTACACTAGAGAAAGCGATGAGGAGGTTGCACTGATGGCTGATCTTAACTTTGGAAGGAGCAGTGTCCATTTGAAGGAGATTTGGCACCACATTAGCATCACTGGAGGGGTCCATCTGGGAACTGAGAGTGCATCAAAATATGTTGTATTCATGTTAAATACAATTCACTCAAACAGGGGTTTCTCAGACACAAATTACCCTTGTAGTGCAGGCCACTCCTATTCACAGTCGCTGACAGAACAGGATAACCCAGTGAAGCCCAGAACTCTTGCTGCAATTGCTCATAGAAAGCTGCTCCACTAAGTGATGCCGTAGGGCACCTCCCAGCCCTGCCCACATGGTGCAGGGTTCTGGGGTCAGGACGATTATTTTGCAACCTTCCGGTTTGGTAGGGTATATCTGGTGTCTTCCCCTATTTTAAGTATACGAGCAAATTGTTTAAAAATTTGGATATTAAATTTAAGATTTTGATGGAGTCACTGATTCTGATGTGGTTTTTCTTCTTCTTTTTTTCCCTGAATATAATTATCCTTTTGAGGTCCTTTATGATTTTGACAAAGGTTGGAAAATGGTTCTGGAATTCATGCCAAATGGAAGACACAGGATTCATCAGACTTGGTGTTCAAGAAATCAAGTTCCCAGCTCTCATGATGAACACACAATTTTAAATTTGATGGTATCCAAGGCAGAATTTGTTGTGACAAATTTCTTTCTTCCATGGTATATACGCCAACAAAGCATGTGGACTGGAATCTGTAAATTAGTTTATTATGTAGACGACTTGGGGTCCCCTTTCTTCCTTTTGTCAGGTTACCTCTCAAAGAGCTCATGAATTACTACAGTATCTTCCGACTTAAATATTCCAATTAGTGAGCACTATAAAAGTCTGATAAGATTTGTCTGTGCTATATCTAGTGTATGAATAGTAATTCAATTTCTCTGGCGAAATATTGTTCAATGGGCTCCATTCTTGATCAATTGGCTATATTTAGGTGACTGCCTGACCATTTTGGCAACGATTTCACTTAATCAAATTAATTCCAACCCCAAAAGATTGCCATGGAGCCATCCTACATTTTTCTTTCTTGGATAATAAAATGGAAAAAAAATCTGTTTAGATCTTCTGTACTAATTAAAAAGGAGGCCCACCTGGCAAAATGGTTAATTAAAGTCAGGGGTCCTGTTCACATACTGTCATAGCACCAGCCAAAGAATCTATTTAAGTTGCACTCTTATTAAAACTCTCATTATCTAAAAACCCCTTTTGGCTCCTCCTCTGACTTTATTTAGAGAGAGTCGGTGGCTCATAAATAAACGATGCCGCATGTAGGAAATCATGCACTGTCCTTGAAGAATCTGGTTCTGGCTGAAACCAAGTCCAATATGTTCTAGCTCTTGTGCATATTAGACTCGAGTTATTTATCTGTGATGATCAAAGTGCTTAGCCTGTGAATACTCTGGGCTTTATCCTATTTACCTCATGCCCCACCTCACTGGTGGCAGATTTACTTTCTAAAGATGGCCACGACAGTGTCCCTATCCCACACACCGTCCCGCAATATGACCCTGACACTCTCTGCCTTGAGAGATGGATTCTCTATTCCCCACCCCTTGAATCTCGGTGGTTGCTGTGACTGCTCCAACAGAGAGAGTGGGAGAAGTGATGCTGTGGGACTTTTGAGGGTGGGTCATAAAAGGCAACGCAGCTTCCAGCTTGCTAGTAACAACACTTGCACTTGGAGCCCAGAGCCACTGCGTGAGCAGTCTGGCTACTCTGAGGCCACCATACTGTGAGGAAGCCCAGGCACTTGAGGACAGCCCAGGTGGGGAGGCTGTGGTGAACACTTCCGGTCCTTGAGTCATCCCAGCCCAGCTGAGTAACAAGCTTTCGGATTTAGTAAACAAGCCTTCAGATGATCTGGACCATTGATCTAACCCTCTAGTCTTCCCATCTAAGGCTGTGAATAGTGTGGAGCAGAGACAATCTGTGCCCACTGTGCCCTGTCCAAATTCCTGACTCACAGGATCTGTAAGCAGGATCAAATGGCTGTTTTATGCCACTAGGTGTTTTTTATACAGCAATAGAAACTGGAACACTATGATGATCTTATGGTTTCCTTTATTATAAGAAAATGTTGCATCAGATCATGTGTACAGGGCAACTAAAAGAATCTGGGAAAGGGCTAAGGGAAATAAGTTTTAAACATACAGCATCTACCCTTTTCCTGGAAGAACTGGGTTTCATTATTTATCTGGAATAATGATTAAAACAGCCATCTTCACCACTTACTGGCTACCTGTTTTGTTCCTGACAATGTTACTTTATGTATGCTCCCCAGCAATCCCAGAAATGCAGATGCTGAAGAACTTGTTCAAGGTCCATGGGAAGGAAATGGAATAGGATTGAGATTTCCTGAAGGGTGAAGAACCCATAGCCTGTGCCATTTGAGTAGGCCCCCATTTAAGGATTTTTCCAAGAGCTTCTGCTTACATCTCATTGGCCAGAACCTGCCACATGGCTGACCCTGTCCTTGAGGAAATCTGGGAAATGTGTTTATTTTAGGTTGGTCATATTGTTTACCCTCAAAAATATTCAAGAGAAGAAAATGGGAATGGAAGTTAAGTAGACAGCTTCCAATCTGCCTCATTGATTAAAAATCAAACGTGACATATCCAAAAGGAAGCCCCCAGATGACAACACACACCGGGCTGGGACTATGGGTCAGAGAATCTTATTAGAGGAGCTCTTCAACTGACCAACCACCTGTGTCCTTTAAACAGCAGAATTCCCAACTGCACAGCTTCTGCTTTTCCTGGAGGGGAGGAAAACAGTGGGGTCTCCATGGCCATTCCAGATGCTAAGCAATCTACTTGCTCCATTGACATGAAAGTGGATATTTCAGTTATCTATCGATGCATCACAGGTTGCCTCAAAATGTAGAGGCTTAATGTCCTTCAGTAGGTGAATGGATAAATAAACCGATACAACCAGACAATAGAGGATCATTCAGTGCCAAAAAGAAATGAGCTATCAAGCCATGAAGAGATATAGAGGAAGCTTAAATGGATATTACTAAGTGAAAGAAGCCAACCTGAAAAGACGATAGGCTGTATGACTGCAACTATATCACATTCTGGAAAAGGCAAAGTGACTGAGACAGTATGAAGATCAGTAGTTGCTAGGCCTTAGGACAGAGGGAGGGACAAACAGGCAGTGCACAGAGGGTTCTTAGGGCAGTGAAGCTGCTCTGTATAATCCTGTAATGGTGGATATGTGTCATTATACATTTGTCCAAACCCACAGAATGTACACAACCAAGAATGAACGCTAATGTCAACTATGGGCTTTAGTTGATAATAATGTGTCAGTGTAGGTTTATTAATTGTAAGAAATATATCACTGGTGGGGGATGTTGATAGTGGGGGAGGCTATATGTCTTTTGAAGGGTTGGGGTTACATGGGAAATCTTTGTACCTCTGCTCAATTTTGTTATGAAACCAAAACAGCTCTAAAAAATAAAGTCTATTGAAAAAAGTAATGGCATAAAACAATAATAAATTTTTATTATCTCACGGTCTCTGGGAGTCAGAAGCTGAAAATGGCTTAGCTAGGGAGTTCTGGCTCAAGGCCTTTCATAAGTTTTCAGTCAAGATGTTGGCTGGGGCTGCAGTCACCTGAAGGCATGAAGGAGGCTGCAGGATCCACTTCAAGGTGGCACACTCGTCTGCCTGGCAAACTGATCATGACTGGTGCAGGAGTCCTCAATTCCTTGCCACATGGACCTCTCTAAAGGCGTCCCTACAGCATGGCAGCAAGTCATCTAGAAGTGTGCAAGCTGGAAGCTGTCGTATCTTTCTTGACCTGACCTGACCTTGGAAGTCACACAGTCATTTCCCCAATATCCTGTTGGCTACACAGGTCAGCCCTACTCAGTGTGGGAGGAGCCACACAAGGGCATGAAGACCAAGGTGCGAGAGTCACTAAGGGCCATCTTGGGGGACGATTACTCCAGTGGGCTTCTGATGTGTGAACCAACACATTACAGTAAAGACTCCAAGTAAAGAATTTCATCCTCTTATAAACAAAGTTTTGTATTTGAAAGTAAAATGAAATTCAGAAATAATACTTACATAATTAGGCTGTGCCATTTGTACCTCCAAGGGAGTTGGAATGGCAGGCTTGGCAATATGCAGATAATGGTAAGACCCAGGAAGAATGCCCCCTAGAAGAGATGGCAAGTTTTCCATTTAAAATTAATTGTTAATGAGGTGAGTAACAGAGCTCATATTTTCATCACAGGACAAACAGATGCCTGCAGTGGCGTATGCTCCTCAAACTTTCACACTAAAGTACCACTAACAACAAGGAACTCCCTGGGGTGGTTGACGTTTATTTAACCAAATTGATGTGAATGTGATATGATATCCCATAATGTAGCCGCCATTGCTCCAGGATGTGCCAAGCCGATCTTGTGTATCCTGTGATTATCCGGAGCTCCCCGCCCTTTAACCTGTATCTGCCAAAACCAGATCAAGACCTTTAGAAGCCTTAAATGTTGCAAACAGCATTCCTATTCCTCATCACTTCTCCAAAATGTAGCCAAAATATTAAAAAATTGAATTTAATTAGGACTATCAACAAAGTTCTTTGTTCAATGTTTTAGAAACTGTCATTATCGAATTCTTAATATTTTGGTTTGTTCCTGAGGTCTGGGCCTGTGCCAGCTCTGGCTTCTGACAGCCCTCCCTTCTCTTGCCTGCCTACGGCCACCACCTTTCCTCAGGTCTCACCCAGAGTGAGAAGCAGAGCAAGACCTTGTGGGGCTGCCTAGTTAGGAAGAGGAAGACAAGGATGGAATGTGGGGCTTTCGTCTCTGTAATCTGACATTCCATTGACTGGACTGGGCTTCATGGACACCCTGGGGGTCTATGTACAGCTTTGTGGGTTCATCTATAAACCTCCAGGAAGGGAACACGTAATTTTGTAAATATGTGCATTTTTCTGGTAAAAGGTCCACAACATTCAGAAACACCATTTTCAAAGGTATTTCTCATACCCTAAACGTGAAGGAACCCTGCATTACTCATGAAATCATCTCCTCCTTAGGGGTCAGAAGGGTTTATGGGATAAAAGTGCACTGCTTTACAGCTGCAAATGGTTAAGCTTATCCATCCCCAGAGCAGGCTGAGGCCTGGCTGCCTGGAAGGGTCTCCTTATCTCTGAACTTACAGAGAGAATGGAAGTTTTGGGTAAGATGTCAGGGCAAACCATCATTTTCCAGCTGTGAGACATCCAGACAAGTTAATAATCATTCCCTTGTCTGTTTTCTTATCTGTAAAGTGGGAACCCCATTTAGGATGTGGTCCATAGTAAATGCTCAAATGCAAAGAACCGTAATAACAATAATTCCAGGTTTGTAATAAATGCTTCAGAAATTATAGACCCTTTCTCTGTCTCTGTGGCAACCCATTGAGGTACGGAGGAGCCTTTTCCCCAAGCCTAAGAGAAACCTGGAGGACTGGCCTGACTGCTGAGCCATACCTAATCTGTGGCTTCATCAAGGAGAAGGAAGCCTACTCGTATACCTTGAATCTTGGCTCCCTTGTACATGGGGATGAGCCGGTCAAGATTAGCTGGTGGCTCGGTCACAGGCTCAAGGGTTGGATCAAAGAGATGTAGCATAGCTGCTGCCAGCTGAAAGCCAATTTCTTTGGAACTGAAGTTGCTGTGAGTCCACTCATTTGAGTAGTATCTATTGGAGAATTTGGTGAGGGAGCCAGCAGCTCTGATGGCTATGTCGTTGGTGTGGAAGTTGGTATCAATCACAAGTCGACTGTCATACACAAGACATGCATCATTGAGGGCTTTAAACGTTTCATAATCCACATTCTTCTCACAGAAGCTGAAGAACATCTACGAAGTGAACAATTACAGCAATATTCAGTTATCACTCTTCATTTTACCTTCCCAAAAGTGTGACTAGTCTCCAGGGCATTTTATTATTCGGGGCACAAAAATACACATACTAAAAGTTTGCTATCATGTTGTTTGTGTGCGTATGAGAGATAGATTGCCTTGGGCATGAAGAACCCATTAAGATCCCCAAATGTCACTCTTATTCACTCAATTCACTCATCCAGTGGAGAGAAGGATGCCAGGTGATGAAATATCTCCCACAAAAGTGTGAGTGGTTTTCGGCGGAAGAGGGTTTACATTTGTACAGACCCTGCCTTCCCCTCATGCTCCTACATTTTGAACAGCTCTAGCGCAGCCTCCATCCTCTTCCCCTTCCTGTGTCTGACACTCGGGTCTCTGCAGGTTCCTTCTTGGGTTGATCTCATCCAGTCTTCAGTTTTCAGACTGCCCATTGCTAGCTTTTAAAACTCAGTAAGCTTGTCCCTATATGATGCTCCAGAGAAGATGGATGCTTCATCAGTCTCTGTATCTACTAGGTCTGGGTTCCTGCCTTGTTGCTTCCTGCTCTCATACGACACAGAGTCATTCAAGAAATACTGATGGCATACCTACCATATGCCAGGCACTGTGTGAGGGTGCCATAAGCAGAGGGGCCACCAACCCCTTTGCATGCTCCTTAGAAATTATTTGTATGCCCTCTCCATTCTGTGCTCAAATTTCAATGCTTTCTCATGCTCATCTGGACATCGTCTTCCACACTGATGTTGAAAGTCACTGAAGCAGTGCAAGTTAGTTGTTTTTGTCTTTAGTTGTTGGACCAATTGAAACACGCTCAATTGATTTTATCTTTCCCTAAAATAGTCTGCCACTTTATTAAAAGCATGCTAAAAAATGAACATAAGACATGGGTCCCAACCATACTGATGGTCATCTCCCCACTTCCATCACATTCCTGCTTTACCCCCCTCAACTGTTTCATTCTGTATAGACATCAGCTGTCCTTGGGCAAGAGGTAGCCAGCCCCTTCAGTATTCCTGCCCCACACCCATGAATGGTTCAGGGAGCTTTCTGATTCTGTGGTAGCCACTAGTCATACAAGGCTATAAATATTTACATCTAAATTAATTTAAATTAAATACAATGAAAAATTCGGTTCCTCAGTTGCAATAGCCCATTTTAAGTGCTCAGTTAGCTATAGGTGGCTACTGGCTGCCATATTGGGCAGTGCAGATACAGCCTATTTCCATCTTGAAGAAGGTTCTATTGGACAGCAGCACTCAGATCCATCATCTCTATGATGTCCTTGGTCCTCCCTCAGGGAGATACACTCTGTGCCCTTGTCCTGTCTTTATTCACCTAGTTGTCTAATCCCATCCCAGGATGCTTCTTTCTTTCAAGTCTTTTTCTTTTTTTTTCTGTCTTATAACTCTTACCCAGTGGCCACAGGAAAATATATTTCTCTGAGTCTCTCTCTGATTCTGAATCTTTCTGTCTCCCTACACTCCTTTTTTGCTTTCTCATTCTCTTTCCCCATCTCTATAAAAAATAGATTTCCTACCCAGATAAATATATAGAAAGATATCTGATTTGAATTTAAATTATAAATAAAAACAGTGCTATCAACCTCTTGAGCCCTTGAAAATGTTTAGAAGTCTCCTTCAGCATCCTCACAGAAGTTCTTCTACCTACCCAATTTTCTTTCTCTAATTAAGCCTACTTTTTGTTAAGTAGTACATTAAATATACTAGTTCTTGTTTTTCTGGGTTTTAAAGGTTACCAGTATTGCAGTAATGTTTACTTATACACTTTTGGTGTAGGCATTCACAATTTTGGCTACATTTGGGGTTTCATAGGAGTTTGTAGACTGGAGTGAAAACTGAATAAGCAAATCCAACATTGTTAATAAGAACATGTGTTACAAGTTACAGACCTTGCAAATACAACCTATGTGCTTCTGTAACGCCAGTGGAATACTACATATTGGGTACAAATAGGAAGAGGTAATGGCTGGCCACACTGATGTTCTGAGTACATATTTCAAGACTACTTATATTGATAATTCTGATTAAGGAGAGCAAAACTCCTTGGTTAGCTAGGGAGAAGGGTGGGAGTCAGTAGTCTGATAAACTTCATTCATTCATGCATTCAGACAAACACTTCTTGTCCCAGGCACTGTGCAAGGTCTCCAGAACATCTTGGTGAAAAACATAAGCATGGAGCGCATGATCTAATTGGAAAGATGAATGCCAACAAGATGGGAAAGTCTGCCTTGAGAGCCAGTGTCACTGCATCCTAACCTGGCTGGAGGCTGGACCACCTGCTAAGAGCCCAGGAGGCGCCACTATCAGGCAGGATGTGGAGAGGCTTTGATGTGGGGACAAAACATCAATTTCAAGAGAGTTCTGCTTCTGCCTTGGTGGTATAACCTCCTGAGATGAATCCCACTGATAATAACTATAAACTCTGATATAAGAGGATTCTTATTAGTATTTAAAAGTTTGGGTAGCTTGTGTATTACAGTAAAAACTTGGAGAAATGACCAGGATGGGGATAATTTCCCTTATTTTAGAGGTGTTTTTTTTTTTTTTAAGTTTGCTTTTTCAATTACCTTTTCTCTCCATTTCCACATACAGGTATTCAATTTAGAGTCTTTTTGTTTGTTTGTTTTTGTTTTTTTTTTTTTTTGAGACAGGGTCTCACTTTGTCACCCAGGCTGGAGGGCAGTGGCAAGATCTCAGCTTACTGCAGCCTTGACCTCCCGGGTTCAAGGAATCCTTCTGCCTCAGCCCCCCCATGTAGCTGGAACTACAGGTGCTTGCCACCATACCCGGCTAATTTTTTGGTATTTTTTTGTAGAGATGGCCTTCACCATGTTGCCCAGGCTGGTCTTGAATTCCTGAGCTCAAGCCATCCACCTACCTTGGCCTCCCAAAGTGCTAGGTTTATAGGCGTGAGCCACTGTGTCTGGCCTCAATTTAGAGGTTTTTTATAAAAGGGTGAGCTGCAGTCATCTTATGCCCTAATAGAAAAATAGAGATGATAGAGGAAAGAGTCAGTGAACTTGAAGTTATATGAATAGAAACTGTCCAATTTGAAGAATAGTGAGAAAGAGAAAAAAGAGACTGAAAAAACAGAGCCTTAGAGCCCCAGGGAACAATATAAAAAACTCTTAACAGATATGTAATTGGAATCCCAGGAAGAGAAGAGAGAAGAATAGGGTAAGAAAGAATGGCCAATAACTTGTTAAAATTTAGTGAAAATCATAAATTTATGGATTCGAGAAGTTCAGTGAACGCCAAACAAGACAAATTAAAAACAAAAAAAACAAACCATGCTTAGAGACATAATAAACACAGAATACCCACAGCATCAAATTGCTAAAAACCAAGGATAAAGAGCAAACCTTGAAAGCAGCCAATGGAAAATGACATATAGAGGAATGTTTTAAATGATTGTAGATTTTTAAACAAAAATGCATGGATGTTGGAAGATGGTGGAAAAGCATCTTCAAAGTGCTGGGAAAAAATAACCTATAAGCCCAGAATTCTATATTCAGTGAAAATAAGCGTTAAGAATGAAAGCAACATATATT
The DNA here is from genome assembly GCF_000001405.40 of Homo sapiens. Lineage (NCBI taxonomy): Eukaryota > Metazoa > Chordata > Mammalia > Primates > Hominidae > Homo > Homo sapiens. The sequence goes on along the minus strand of NC_000020.11, from coordinate 20,285,013 downwards.
TTCAGATGGAGCAAAACTAAAGAATTACTTTTTAGCAGACCTACAATACAATAAATGCTCTGAAGCTCATTTAGGCTGAAGGAAGACTTGGATTTTCAAAAAGGAAGATAGAACAAGAAAATTAGTAAATATCTGAGTATCTATAAAAGACTATTCTTTTTAATTCTTCAAAATACATATGACCTTAAAACAAAGATTACAATATTGCCTTACTGATTTTGCAGTGTTTGTAGATGTAAGATATAGGATGGCTGTTAACAAAATAGACATCCAGAATATGGGGAGAAGGAACTGCATAGCTGCAAGGTTTTTACATTTTATGTGAAATGGTACAATATTAACTCTATTGAACATGAAAGATTGCTGATGTGTATTATAATCCATAGAGCAATTACTAAAAGATAAGATATAGTTAAAAAGCCAATTGAAGGCCGGGCGCGGTGGCTCATGCCTGTAATCCCAACACTTTGGGAGGCTGAGGCAGGCGGATCACGAAGTCAGGAGATCGAGACCATCCTGGATAACACGGTGAAACCCCGTCTCTACTAAAAATACAAAAAAATAGCCGGGTGTGGTGGCAGCCGCCTGTAGTCCCAGCTACTCGGGAAGCTGAGGCAGGAGAATGGCGTGAACCTGGGAGGAGGAGTTTGCAGTGAGCTGAGATCGAGCCACTGTACTCCAGCCTGGGCAACAAAGCGAGACTCCATCTCAAAATAAAATAAAATAAAATAAAATAAAATAAAATAAAATAAAATAAAATAAAGAGCCAATTGAAATAGACTACTAAAAAATACTCTAATAATCCTAAAGAAAGCAGGCAAGGGGGAACAGAAAAGAAAGAAGAGGGAACAAACAGTAAACAAATAATAAAATGGTAGACCTAAATCTAACCATATCAGTAATTACATTAAATATTAATGGTCTAAGTACTTTAAATAAAATGCAGAGATAGAAAGGATAAAAAGCATGTGGTAGGCAGAAGTCTAAGGTGGTTCCCAAGATTCCACCTCTTCCTTAAGTACAAGCATGAACTGTGAATGTGTAAGGTGATGTTATATGGCACATGTGACTTTAAGACAGGGAGATCATGCTCAGTGGGTCTGACCTGATCAGGTAAACCTTAAAAGGGACCAGGCTTTTTCTGAAGAAGGATTTGAAATATGAAGGGAATTTGACATGAGTAAGATTCTCTGTTGCTGGATTTAAGATGGAAGGGGCCATGAGGCAAGAAATATGAATGGCTTCTAGGAGCTGAGAGTAGCCCCTGGCTGGGCCAGCAAGGAAGTGGGGACCTCTGTCCTCAGCTGCAAGGAATTAACTTCTATTACTATCACACAAGTCTGGAAGAGGACTTCAAGCTCCAGATAGAATGCAGCCTGATTGGCACCTTGATTTTAGCCTTAAGAGTCCCTAAGCAGAGAAGCCAGCCACACCTTGCCTGCATTTCTGACTAGAGCTATAAACTAGTAAATGGATGTTATTTTAAGCTGCTAAATTTGTGGCAGTTTGTCATGCAGCACTAAAAACATTAATATAATCTTTATGATGCCTACAAGAGACACACTTTAGACACAAAGACACAGATAAGTAGAAAGTAAATGGATGGGAAATATATCATGTAAACAGTAAGCATAAGAAGAATGGAATGGTCATATTAGTATCAGATAATCTGGACCTTAAGATAAGGGATATTATTAAATATCAGAGATAAAGAGGAACATTTCATAATGATAAAAGGCACAATTCACAAGGCAGATATAACAACTATAAATGCTCATGGGCTTAATAACAGAGCCCCCAAAAAGATAAAGCAAAAATCAAAAGAATTAAAAGGAAAAACAGAGACTTCCACAATAATAGTAACAGATTTTAATACCCTTCTCTCAGCAATTAATAGAATGAGATAAAAATATCAGTAAAGACTTATGAGCGTCGAACATCACCGTCAACCATATTGAACTAACATTAAACTCAACAAGCACATAATACGTAATACATATTCCTTATATGTTCACAAAGTTAGTCCATATGCTTGGACATAAAACAAGTCTCAATAATTTTTTTTTTTTTTTTTTGAGACAGGGTCTTGCTCTGTCGCCCAGGCTAGAGTGCAATGGCGCCATCTGGGCTCACTGCAACCTCCACCTCCTAGGTTCAAGAGATTCTCCTGCTTCAGCCTCCCGAGTAACTGGGATTTCAGGCATGTACCACCATGCCTGGCTAATTTTCATATGTTTAGTGGAGACAGGGTTTCACCATGTTGGGCAGGTTGGTCTTGAACTCCTGACCTCAAGTGATCTGCCCACTTAGGTCTCCCAATGTGCTGGGATTACAGGTGTGAGTTACCGTCCCTGGCTCTAAATCTTAAAACACTGTTCTCTGATCACAACAGCATTACACTAGAAATCAATTAAAAATATAATATTTAGGAAAACCTTAAATATTTGAATATTAGAGAATCCAGTTCTAAATAATCCAAGGTTGAATAAAAAATCACAGGGAGATTAGAAAATATTTTGAATTAAGTGATAATTAAAAGTTAACATATGAGTTTATGGGATGCAGCTCAAACATAATGGAAAACTTATGCTGAAATGCTTATATAAATCAACGACTTAAGGCTCTACCTTAAGGAACTAGAAAAAAGAAGGGTAAAGTAAATCCAAAGCAAGAAGAAGGAAGAAAATAATTAAGAGCAGAAATCAATAGAGGAGAAAACTGACAGATAATAGAGAAAATTAACAAACTCAAAAGCTGGTTAATTGAAAAAGATCAATAAAATTGACAAACCCCTATCTACACTGGGAGAGAGAGAGAAAGAGAGAGAGTCAGAGACAGAGAGACTGGCAGCAAACAGAGAGAGGGTCAGAGAGACTGAACACAATTCACCAATATCAGAAATAAATGAGGGGTTATTACTACAGATCCTAGACATCAAATAGATAACAAAATAATATGTGAAAAACTTAATGCCAACAAATTTGACAAATGTAAATGAAATGGACAAATTTCTTAAAAATTACAACTTACAAAAATTTATAGAAGAAGCAGAAAATTTGAGTAGCCTTATATCTAGTTAAAAAAATGAATTTGTTATCAAAAGCCTTTCAACAATATAAACTCCATGCCCAGATTGTTTCACTGGTTAATTCTGTCAAACGTCCAAGAAAGAAAAAATACCAATCTTGCACAAACTTTTTCAGAAAATAAACAAGGAGGGAACATTGCCCGAATTTTTTTATAAGGCCAACACAGCTCGAACACCAAAACCTTACAAGGACATTACTGAAACAGAAAATTCTATATCAACATCCCTCATGAATATAGTTGCAAAATAGTTTCAAAAATTCTTAAAACATATTGGCAAATAAAATTTAGGAATATATAGAAAGATAACGCATTATGACCAATTAGGTTTCATTCCAGAGATATAAGGCTGGCTGAACATTTTCAAAAATCGATCAACGTAATTCACTGTATTAAAGAATTAAGAAGAAAATTTCCATATTTCTTTTTAAGAAATATGGAAAATTCACTTAACAAAATTCAACAGCCGTTCATGATAAAAACCTCTAAACAAACTAGGAATGGAAGGTTACTTCTTCAGTCTGATAAAAAGCACCAAAGAAAAATCCACAGCCAAATTATCTCATATTTAACAGTGAAAGCCTGAAAGTTCTCTCTGGGATATGGAACAAGGCAAGGATGTCTATTTCCCCCACTTTTATTAAACATTGCACTGTAGGTCCTAGTGAGTAGAATAAAGCAAGTAACTGAAATAAAAGACCTAAATATCAGAAAAGAAGTAGTAAAACTGCCTCTATTTGCATGACATGTTTATGGACCTAAAAAACAACTACAAAAGCTAATAAGAGAATTTAGCATTTTCAAGTTACAATGTTTATACAGAAAATAAATTGCATTTTGTAAACCTGCAGTGATCAACTGGAAATTTCAAAATTTTAAATACATTTATAATAGCTTGAACATTTCACAAAAAGGAGAAATACTAATGGCTACTAAAAAAACGAAAAGATACCAAACATAATTAATTGTCAGGAAAGCACAAATTAAAAAAAACACAATGACACACCATGCCACACCCACAAGAGTGACTAAAATTTGACAACACCAAGTGCTGACAAGAACGTGGAGTATCTGGAACTCTCATACATTGCTGATGGAAATGTAAAATGGTATAGCTACTTTGGAGAGCAACATGGCAACTTCTTAAAAAGGTCAACATTCACCTACCATATGACTTAGACAATCTCTAGGTTTATAGCTAAGAGAAATAAAAATATTATCCACACAAAGGCATGTACCAGAATGTGCATAGCAGGCAAATAAATAAACAAAATGAGATATATCCATACAATGGAATACTACTTAGCCATAAAAAAGAATGAACTATTGATACATGGAACTATATGGAATCTCAAAATCACCATGCTGAGTAAATGAAGCCAAATAGAAAAATAGTATATAATGTATGATTCTGGTTATCAACATCATAGTTTTAGTAGGTACATACACTGTGACATCATCTGCTTTCGTTTCCTAGGGCTGCTGTAATGAAGTACCACAAACTGGGTAGCTCAAGACAAGAGAAATTTATTCTCTCACAGTTCTGGAGAATCCAAGTATTGTCAGGAACATGCTCCCTCCAGAGGCTCTAGGGAAGAAGGCTTCCCTGCCTCTTCCTACTTCCTGACGGTTGCTAGCAATTCCTGCCATTCCATGACTTGCAGCTGCCATCACACCAACCTCTGCCTCCACTGTCGTGAGGTTTTCTTCATTGCGTGTCCCTGTATGCCATCAAATCTCTCTATTTAAGGACACCAGCCATTGGATTTAGGGCCAACCTTGATCCAGGATGACTTTCTCTTTACTTGCTTACATCGACAAAGGCTTTATTTCCAAATAAGGTCATGTTCACTGGTACTGGGGGTCAGGACATCAACATATCTTTCTAGGGGATGTAATTCAACTCATGACACCAAGACCATAGTGAAGAGGATGGACATATTCATCCCCACCAAAAAGTGCTTAATGCCCTGACAGATGCTGCCCAAAGCAGACAGTATGAGAGATACCTACCCTGACTCCCCGCTTCCCATGTTTAATCTCCCACAGGTACAAACTATTGTTCAAATAGAGATGAAAATCAGAGAATAATGGAACCTGGGAAATGTCATCTGCAGGGGCCATTCTTTGTGAGACCAAGCAGACCAGGGAAGGTAGGAGAAAGAATATAACAGCAAACAAGCCAATGTCTGACTCAGACGGTGTTAGGATGAAAATGTAGCAGGAAGGTGCCTTGGATCAAGACAGTTGAGGTTACAGCTGACCCTTGGGCAACATGGATTTGAACTGTGTGTCACTTATGCATAGATTTTTTTTCTGCCTCTGCCATCCCTGAGACAGCAAGACCCACCCCTCCTCTTCCTTCTCTTCCTCAGCCTACTCAACGTGAAGACAATGAGGACGAAGATCTTTATGATGATCCACTTCCACCTAATGAAGAATAAATATATTTTCTCTTCCTTATGATTGTCTTAATAACATTTTCTTTTCTCTAGTTTACTTTATGGTGAGGATAGAGTATACAATACATATAAAATACAAAATACATTTTCATATAATCAACTGTTTATGTGACCAGTTAGGCTTCTGGTCAACAGTAGGCTTTTAGTAGCTAAGTTTTTGGAGAGTCAAAAGCTCTATGTGGGTTTTCAACTTTGTGAGGAGGGTTGCTGCCCTTACTCCTCATGTGTTCAAGGGTCAATTTAATTTGCCAGATGTTTTTGTCAGGAGTTTGATTCTAATCTGAATAGGAAAGTGAAGGTCAGAAGAGCTGCTATCCAATGGGATGTTTGGGGAGGTTTTCTCAGGCCTCTGCTTCCTGAACAAGGCACACACTCACCTCTAGAGGTGCTCCAGAATAAACGTGGCAATCTTCCAGGTTTGCCATTTTTGAGGGAAAATTTGTGCAAAAATATTTTGATATTTCCTGTCTTAAATAGGTGTCATGACATACATGTATAGACAGTATCACTTTTTAAAATAAAGTGGACTTGTCCTGTCTTTTTCACTGTTACATCCCTAACATCGAGGACAGAGCCTGGGACCTAGCAGGTGTTCAATAAATATTTATGGAATGAATGAATAAATGAATGAACTACAGAGTAGAATACACAATTTCCATGGATCTCAGGATAAAATGAGAGATTCTAAAAAAAATCTTCCTTTTTAGTCTTTTTCAGTGGTCTGCTTTGAGCCCCTGTCCTTTGAGTTCTGGGTTGGGGTGGGGGTGAGAGCCACCATTCTCAATCCTTAGCAGCACCTGAGTGAGAAGCCCTGACTTAGGCTGATCACCCCCCACTCCTAGGTAAGGGCCTGCTGTGAATGCCTGCCCCTAAATGGCTTGCCCACTGGATGTTAGCAGGCATTCTTTATCACAACCGTTAACACACACCCTTGACCTACACAACCATTATCCTCATACCGACCTCAGCTTCCCTTTCGAGCAAGGTTCCCCTGCTTCTCAGTGAGATGGACCGGCCCCTTCCCTCCTTCCCTCCCTGAGGGCTTCTACTAACCTCCTAAGCTGTAAACTCTGAGGGTGCAGGCTGGAAGGTGGGGTGTCACCCACCTGGAAAGGAAAGTGCTCTCTCTATACACATTGCCAGAAGTTGTGTGTCATGGGGAAAGACTCACCACTGCTGTTGCCAGAATCTTAAGAGGTTAATGGCAGCATAGACCTTGGGCTGGGCAGGGAACCAGCAGTGCCACTGACTTAGAGCCACAGCGTTCTCTGTAAACTGGGGATACTTCCCTTTACAGAGCTGTCCTGATGAGTTGACAGAATGTCCTGGGGCATGGCAAGCTCTCCGTAAAGAGAAGCGCTCTCCATTCAAATCTTTGACCTCCATGAACAGGCAGGGTTTAATTTCCCACTCCTTGAATATGGGCTGGTCCTGGCAACTTGCCTCTAGCAAATAGAATGTGGTGGGAGGAATGCTGCTTGATTTCAGAGGCCAGGTCATCCAGGGTGACACAGCTGACACTGCCTCTCTCTCCACTCTACCCTCAGACCCAAACCACCATGTTGTGAGGAAGCCAGTCCCATGAAGGGGCCACTTCTAAGTGTTCTGGTGAAAATCTCAACTAAAGTTGATTCAGGATCAACAGCCAGACATGTGAGTGACTATGCTTTTGAGACAATTCCAGCCCACCCACTGCTGACTTCAGCCGCATGAGCGACCTCAAGTGAGAACTTCCCAGCTGAGTCTGGCCAAAGCCAGAAGAGATAAGGATAATAAAATAATAATAAAAAACCAGGAGAGATAAGAATAATAAACGGTTGTTGTTGCTTTATGCCACTGAGTCTGGGGTGGGTTGTTACCCAGCAAGAGGTAATCTGAACACACAGAAAACAAAATCCAACATCTGGTACTACAAATTCACTGCCCGCAATCTTCCAGACCCCCAAATCCCTTGGAGATGTCCTCTGTCCCTGGCTGGTGAGTGAGGTTTGCAGGGACCCACTTACAGAGCACTGGAGTCTGAAAGGCTTGGTGGGTGTGGTGAAGGAGGCGCTGTAGATGGGGTCTGGGTGCAGGCCGTCATTCCACTGGGCCAGGATCGCATCCCGGTACATAGTGACTCCGGCGGCTCCTAGCGCGTCCGCCACGGCGCTCTCCACCGAGTAGTTGTTGATGCAGGTGATGGTGGAGGCGGGCGGGGGCTGCACGAGGTGGATGCGGCTGCCGCTCACGCCAAGGTTTAAGAGCGTCTCCACGGTGGTGTAAGTATCAATTGTATTCCCATAGACAATGATATTCCCTAGGAAAGAAGGGAAAACGCTAAGATATACAGTTCAGAAAACCAAAAAACCTTAGTCAAATGCTAATAATGCCGAATTGCTCCGTATAACCCTCTCATTTTTCAGCTGCAGGAAGCCAGCGGTGTTACCTAGCAACGGCGACCAAGATCATTTAGTAAAGAATCAGCACAAAACATCCCACAAAGTAGTCAAGTACTTTTAATGCAGAAGTAGGACATTCATTTATGTTCCTCTAATTTGAAGTTGAAATTAGGCTGAAAGAAACTGTCTAGAAAAAAACCTTTTATCTTGCTTTTGTTCCCAATTTGCTATACTTATTAAGGAAACCAAATTACTAATGTTGGCAATGTATACTAGTTCTTCCTTACAGACAAAAAGGCAATGGTAAAAAATATTCATGCTCATGATGTTACTGATATTTTAATATTTAAATGTTGAACTGGATTGATTTCAAGGAAGTTTTCCCTTTTTTGAGAATTAAAGGCCAGAACATTCTGCTTTTCACCAGATAATTTTACAAAGATTCAACCCTGATTTTTAGAATATAATGTGTCAAGACCTAGCTAGAGGGACTGAAAGACAGTATTTTTGTTAGCAAAAATAAAATCACAAAATAATCTTGACAGATTTCCCTTGTGTAAGAGCATTTTGATGATAAATAGTCTATACTATTTACATTTCTCAAAAAGACTACAGAAGCAATTACATATGCTATTCTACTATTTTAGCAGTTTTAAGGTCAATGACACTATTAAATTAATGAAATGTAGTATATGCTATTTTTGACATTGAATTGGCATTTTCACATTTTCACAAATAAACTGCTGTAGACTCATTTTCCAGGTAAGATATACCAATTTTACCACAAAATGTACACTTCATTGAATGTCTCTCTGTTTTTCTCCTGTTCATGAAATAATATGAAAAGGAATTTTACAAGCCAAAATAAATGGCAAGTGTATTAATTTGATTTGGTTGAGGAAATCATGCCCAAATTGTTTTCAATCCAAAGTTGAAAGGAAGTGTGATGGCTTGTCTTGTTTGCTTAGGAAAAATAAACTACAGTAACTTTCAGATGGCTTCTTGGAAGCTAACAGCATCTAGAAAATTCTCCCATACTCCCTGCTCTTCATCTATGGAAAGCCAAGAAGGCACTGAAGTGAGGGAGTGGGGTCTCTCCATTCCTGCCCTCGCTAGGACGCTAGGAGAGTTTTATGGCTATGACCCCCACTCTGTTCAGATGCTACAATGCAACATTCCTTGGTGAGCTGCATTTTCCTTGGCTGAAAGAGGCAACATTTTGCTTAAATTATTGAGGCTCCCAGCTGCTACGAAACATGAATCTTGGCTGTCTGGCACAACAAAGAATCAGCCTGCAAGGAAAGGCAAAACTTGAACCGAAAACTATAAAAGGTTTTAGGTCTTCTGTCCTTTTGAAATAGGCAAGCCAAAACAATATTCATTTTCAGTTGAACGAATTTAAGTGTGTTTAGGTCTCACACAGCTAAGGATTTTGTATTTTCTGGTCTCTTTCATGATGGCTGTTAGCAGCTCTACTGTGAGCTGGGCTTATTCTTCACAGGCTCATGGAAAACTGGGCCTGTGGTGCTGCTGGGGTTTGGAGAGGTGTCTGATCCAGCAAGGGTGGTCCACGGACTGCAGGCAGCTGGAGAGGACGATACTTTTCAATTCCAAAGGTAATACATTTTGTAAAATATCTGATTTCAAAATTACAGGTTTATTTCTAGATAATGTGACTTCTAAACAGTTTTGGCTACCTTTATGTTTAACAAAAATATGAGACTTCGGTTATCTTAAGAGTCAGTTATCATCATAATAATGCTGCATAGCAAACCACGTCAAAACTCAATGTCAAACAAGAAGCACGTTGTGGGTGGTCTACACACCTGTGGGTGGACTGATGTCAGCTGATCTGGCTCTAGGTTGTGGCTGGGTTTGTTTGCACCATGTGTGTTTCATCCTGCTTGGATTGACAGCTACCTGAGGCATTTGCTATCTATGGGGAAATGCAGGTGCACAGAAAGGCAAGCACAAGGGCCCAGGCACATGTCAAGCCTCTGCCCACATCATATCCACTAACATCCCATTGACCAAAGCAAGTGTCATGGTCATGCCCATGAGCACGGGAGTGAGGACGTCCACTCTGCCCACACAGGAGGGAGAGAAGGATGAATATTTACTGACCAGCAGTGCAAACCAGCATGGTCATATGGGAGATGACTGCCTGAGTGATTTCATCTCAAACTTTTCATTTAAACAGGCTTTCTAAGACTAGTTATAGTTCTTTCATTTCCCATAAAATATAGTAGAATGCCGTGATAATATAATGTTATATTAAATAAATAAAACATGTTACAGGTCAAATCACATCCTTCCACAAATAGAATAAAACATGATAAAAACTAGTTATTAATATGTAAGATGGCCTACTATTCTTGACCAGGTCCACCTCTTGCCTTTTTTTTATTTTCATTTTTATTTTTCGAGACAGAGTCTCGCCTGTTGCCCAGGCTGGAGTGCAGTGGCGCGATCTCAGCTCAGTGAAACCTCCACCTTTCAGGTTCAAGCCATTCTCCCACCTCAGCCTCCTGAGTAGCTGGAATTACAGGCCCGCACCACTATGCCAGGCTAATTTTTGTATTTTTAGTAGAGACGAAGTTTTGACATGTTCACCAAGCTGGTCTTGAACTCTTGACCTCAAGTGATCTCCCCACCTTGGCTTCCCAAAGTGCTGGGATTATAGACGTGAGCCTCTGCATCTGGCCCAATTTCTTGCCTTTAAATGTCTCCATTCTGTGGGAGGTTATTCTTTTCATAATCTTTGTGCAGTTGTGAGTTCTTTCTGCAACACTGCTCACATTTACTTTGTAAAGGATTTTTAGATCCAGTTCATGTTTATCTCTGTACTCCTCTATGCCAGGCACAAAGTTAGGTACTTTTATACATAATCCCTCATATTGTTATCATTATTGATAACAATAGCATTTAGAACTGTGAACAATAACATGGGTTTCACTCAAATGCCCATATATAATGTTGTCATACAGCAAAATATAAGCATGGTGCTAACTCTTAGAATAACCAAAGTCTTATATTTTGGGGCCCCCTCCAGAAAAAAGCCTAGTAGACAAAAACTTTGATTATTCATTTTGGGACAAATCAAACTGGTTTAAAAATATGATTACTTACATTTATCAGAGTAATTTACTAATATGGATGAGCTGGAACCAGTGCTTCTGAAGAGCCCATGTCAAGGCCTCAGGCTGCCCACAGCTATATCTGGGCCCCACAGACTGTCCAGCCTCCAGGCAGGTGAGGCCCCAGCAGGCCTGTGGGCGGTCTCCACCTTTCCTTCCCAGCACTCACCATGGCCTACGCAGCCAGGCTACAGCCAGGCTTCGCAGCGAGATGACTTGTTTGGACTGTAAGGTCCATGTTTGCCCTACCCATCATGTTATCCCTGGAGCCTAGCACAGTGCCTGTGGCCTACACTAGATGTGACTGTAATTATCACCACAGTACTATTTCCTGACCAGATACATGGATATATGTCAGATATTTATTAGATTGCTGATCCTAAGACTTTCTTCCTGCTAGCTGGATCATACTTTTGGATCCTGTAAATATTTAGCACAAAATGACTCACTGTAGCCAGATTTTCCCAGCACATATTTCTGCTTGGTATTCACTACTAAGTTGGCACTATAAGAACTATCCAGTCACAGAATGGGCTATACACCTGAGATATGTAAGATAGAAATATGTTCCCCTTAACGATGTTAGATCTGGTTATTAGGTTTCCAGTGTAGGCTCATAAAATCCCACATAGTCCCTAATGTAACCAAAATTGTGTGTGCCTACAACAAATGATAGATATAAAATAATACTCCTGTCATATTGGTGGCATTTAAGCTCAGGGAAACAAGAAATTACGTCTTTAATGTGCTATTTAAAGAAAGACAGGGCTGAATGTAGTGGCTCATGCCTGTAATCCAAGCACTTTGGGAGGCCAAGACAGGAGGACTGCTTGAGGCCAGGAGTTCGAGGCCAGCCTGGGAAACACATCATAGCCCTGTCTCTACAAAAAAAAAAAAAAAAAAAATTAAGCATGGCACGCACCTCTAGTCCTAGTTACTCAGGAGGCTGATATAACTTCTGGGAATTTGTAGAAGTTTGAGAGATTTCCACCCCTGGTTTTCTTTTAGATGTAAACGTGACGTTGGATGACCAGGCTTTCTTATATTTTATATGGAAGTAGCAGTTGGGTAACTCATTTTGCAACGGTTAAGTCAATTTTGGGCTGAATCAAGAAGGAGATATGGGGAAGGAAGGAAATGGAGAGAGAAAGAAAGGGGGGCAGAGACACAGTCAAACAGTAGGTGCCTCAGAGAAACAGATCTTCCTGAATCCCTGGGTAAGAGCTGGAAGGAAGAAAGTGTTTAAAAGTATGTGAGAGAAAGCAGCTGCTGGGCGGGACAAACCGAGGGCAAGTGAATAATGACCGGAGCCGGGGGACACTCTGTTGGCTGTGCCTGAGGGAGGTGTTGGGGCTGACAGTTATGTGTCCCAGTATGTGCAGGGGGTGTCTGGGCCTCCACTGGCACAGAACAGCGTGATAGCTGTATAGACAGGTAAGATAGCCCCAGTTATGGGGGGCCTATGACATATGTTCTTTGATAGCATGCTTTTATTTTATAATTAATTAATTTATTTATTTCAAGACAGAGTCTCACTCTGTAGCCCAGGCTGGAGTGCAGTGGCACCATCTCGGCTCACTGCAACTTCTGCCTCCTGGCATGCTTCAGCCTCCTGAGTAGCTGGAACTACAGGCACCCACCACCACACACGGCTAATTTTTATATTTTTAATAGAGATGGGGTTTCACCATGTTGGCCAGGCTGGTAGTGAACTCTGGGCCTCAAGTGATCTGCCTATCTTGGCCTCCCAAAGTGCTAAGATTATAGGCATGAGCCACCACACTGGCCTACAGCATGCTTTTAATAAGCCGGAAAACTTCAGTTAATTAAATATGAATTTATTTATTTAAATTTTAATTTTCTGGATATATAGTATGTCCATATTAAAGATGAATTTAATTCATGTATACCTACCATTGTGTACTTTATAACTCATGGAACCTTCCTTCACATTACCGGAATATCACATACACTGTTTTTGAAGTTTCTAGACACATATAAAAGAAGTAGAGTGGAAAAACTGATGATTTCCCCTGGATATCAGTTTTATGCTAAAAGATTTAGTCACTGTTTCCTTCCCAGATCAGCTTACCTAACAGATGAGAAATGACCAGCTTTTGCTCTCGATTTAACAGGTGACAGAGGTAAAGGATGGGCTGCCCCACTTTCAAATGGCAAATAACAAATGATAAGAACACTCTGGGTGGATTCCCCATAAAGGATAAGGGAATATAACCATGGCAGTTTTCATGGAAGACCAATCTTTGTTGCTCCTTTTAGCGAATAAATCGTGCATTACTCTGATTGCAGATCTGAGACGGGCAGTAGGGTCCAGGCAGAGCACCCGTAAAAAGGCGACTGTGTGGAAGCTCCGAAAATTAAAGCTGGCAAGCAAGAAGGAGCCCGAAGTCATTCTCGCACTGCTAACCAGTGGCAGCCTTTGAAACAGAATGTGCAAGGGTGCTTCCTAGAGGAAGGAGGGTGTCAGCGTCAACAGCCCAACAGGGGAGAGAGAGACGGAAAGTGATGATGCAGTCAATATCTGAGTGAGCTGTCAATTCCCCACTTCAGACTGAAGGGAACTAGCACTTGCCAATTAAAATGTTGGTAGAAATGTAGAGATGACCTTTTTGTTTTTGTTTTTGTTTTGTTTTAAGATGGGGTCTTGCTGTCACTCAGGCTGGAGTGTAGTGCACAACCATAGCTCACTGCAGTCTCAAACTCCTGGGCTCCAGCAATCCTCCTGCCTCAGCCTCTTGAGTAGTTGGGACTACAGCCACGTGCCACTATGCCTGGCTAGTTTTTAAAAAAAACTTTTGTAGAGATGGGGTCTTGCTATGTTGACCAGGCTGGTTCCAAAATCCTGGCTTCAAGTGATCCTCTCACCTTGGCCTCTCAAGGTGTAAATGAACAAATCAGCAACTTTGACAGTGACCATGCACATAAAGCGATCACATTTTAAAGTTTCAACCTGGGGCTGGGTGCGGTGGCTCACGCCTCTAATCCCAGCAATTCGAAAGGTTGAGGCTGGCAGATCACTTGAGGTCAGGAGTTTGAAACCAGCCTGACCAAAATGGTGAAACCCCATCTCTACTAAAAACACACAAAAATTAGTTGGGCATAGTGGATCATGCCTGTAGTCCCAGCTACTCGGGAGGCTGAGGTAGGAGGATCATTTGAACCCAGGGCACAGAGGTTGCATGAGCCACAATTGTGCCACTGGGGGGTGACAGAGACAGGCTCTGTCTTAAAAAAAAAAAAAAAAAGAATAATGCACCAAGATGCAAGAAGTTCTTCAATTTATGTTAATCAAGGGGGAAAAATGCCAGTTTCATCATCCTGGTTCCTAAAGGCAGTATGTAAGAGTTTCAGGAGTTAGAAAACAAGTAATTAAAGGTAAAATGACTTCGCAGGAAAGGAAAACTAAGTTGATTTCCCTATTAAGTTCAAGAAGTAAAATAAAGTGCTAATTCTTTTAGTCATAGATGTACCCTAAAAGTAATGGGACAACTTTTAAAGAAATTATTTTTAGTAGATGCTAAAAAGTCATTTTATTCTTTTGAACTGAGTGCTTGACTTTAAAACATCTGGAAATTGTGCTCTGCTGTCATTTCATGGTCACGCTCAATGCTATAAAGATGAAGCTTCTCCATGGAGAGAATCGGGACTTGGAGGGAAAGATTTGCTGGTCTGGTGGTCTGGCCATGAAGTTAGATCTCAAGAGTATAAGAAATAAATTCAGGATTTATGCACACAATATTAACATGAAGTTTTCTTCATAGTTATTATATTTTTAAGGCCAGAGAAACAAGAATTATATGTTACATTTTATAGTTTATATATTTTAAATTATGTCTATGCATATTTACCTATTCTTTTGTATTTTAATGAATAATTATGTTTCCTTTTTCTGCTTCAAAACAGACATACAGTGGTTACATATGACTCATTCATCCTCACAACAGGCCTGTGAGACAGGGTTTATCATTTTATCCAGAAAATAAGGTACAGAGAGGTTAAATCTTGAGCTCAAGGTCAGGTCACATGGCAAGCAGGTGGGTCACCAGGACTCAAACCCTGTGAGTCTATTTCAAAATCAGGTCTCATAGCACTGCAGTACACTTGCAGATGGATATGTAACACGTTACTAAAATATACTCCAACTGGCATTTTATATGGGTAAATATCTTCAGCAAATAACTAGATAATGAAATATTTTTAAGTAGCAATCACAGATTATTAATAAATTGTGAAATAAACACTCATTAAAAAACAGGCCAGGAGTGGTGGCTCATGCCTGTAATCCCAGCACTTCGGGAGGCGAAGGCGGGAGGATCACTTGAGGTTAGGAGTTTGAGTCCAGCCTGGCCAACATGGTGAAACCCCATCTCTACTAAAAATACAAAAATTAGCCGGGTATGGTGGTGCATGCCTGTAATCTGAGCTTCTCAGGAGGCTGAGGCAGGAGAATCACTTGAGCCTGAGAGGCAGAGGTTGCAGTGAGCCTAGATTGCACCACTGCACTCCAGCCTGGATGGCAGAGCAAGATTCTGTCTATATATGTGTGTGTATATATATATATGTACACATATACATATATGTGTATGTTACATTTTATAGTTTATATATTTTAAATTATGTCTATGCATATTTACCTATTCTTTTGTATTTTAATGAAATATATATGTATATATGCACATATACGTGTATATATATACATATATGTATATATGTGTATATATACATATATGTATATATGTGTGTGTATATACATATATGTATGTGTGTGTGTGTGTGTGTATATATATATATATATATATATATATATAGCCCACGAATAGAACCAGACAATGCGCTTTTTACTTTTTAGAAGCCAAAGCATAAGATTTCTATGCCCAAAACGTGACCTGTCCCGTTCTGCTCTGCTGAATAAAAAGGGAAGAATATATTAGATATAACATAACAAAGCCTCTGTTCGATGATGCATGCAGTGGAATTTTAATGTTATACTTTTCCTACAAACATGCTTTTAATAAGGCAGTAAACTGTATTTAGCTAAAGATGAAAATAATTGATCCATTTTGAGCCATTAAGGTAGTTTATTTTTTTTACTTTACTTTCATCCTACTTTTCATTTTCATGGAAAGTACAGAGGTAATAGCAGATGAATTTCAATTAGTTTCAATTAGTGCCATAAATTGTTATAATGTATCGGGTTGCTGGGTTCTATCAGAAACCCCCCAGCAGAACACTCCAGGTTTTGTTTGCAGTTGAAAGCAGCATTTGAGCCTGTGATGTCAGCTCTTCTCCATGGCACTAGAGCAGTTCTAATAGTTTAGGGTAATTTACTTCTATAAATCCATCCAACTCTAGAGCCCGGAAAACCATGTCCTCTGGATGGACTAATTCCATCACAGAACCACTGTGTTCTCCTTTGGAAGCAGAAGATGTGAAATACAACAGTGACTGTGGGAAGGAGCTACTCTCTGGGGTGGTATCTGTGTGCGTCTGCAATGGGTAGAAGTTCAAAGGAGAGCCGACTTCCTCCTGGGAGTATCTCTTGTTCTTGATGCCCAATATCCACTGTTCTAGAACAATCCATCCACCATTCTCCCCTCACATCCCTGGGCTTCAGTAACATCAGCACTGGTGTTTGTTAGGATTCAGGGTGTGGTTCCCGGAGGGACATGTCACCCAACCACAGCCAGTGGGACACGATGAAACTATTTTTCACTGTCCTTGGCTCCCTTGCCCCAACTCACATGCTAAAGTATTTAAAAAAGGGGAAATTAGCACTGAGGGAGTAAAAATAAACTATGATGAAAACTGTCCACATTCCTCCTGGTGTTATTAGGGTGACATGAAGAAAAAGCAAGGACTGAAATGTCCAGGACGGTCACGGATGGCTCCATGCGACTTTTCAAACGTGCATAAGCACAGCCCTGCTCCTTGCTTTCCATCATGTGCCAGACTTCTAGCTTCTGGCTTCAAATGCCAATGAGACAGGCAGGTGGGAGGGAGTCCCTAGAAAAACTCCAACCAGCCTGCACATTGGGGTGGAGCCTCCGGAAATGCATGCCATCTGCAGTGGGGAGGAGCCTGGCCCCTCCTCTTCCTGTGTGGAACCTGGGAATCAAGTAGCCGGCTTGCCTTGCGGAGGATCCTGCTTCCCCCTCCTCCACCCCATTTTTTTCCTTTCACCCAGTAAAACCCTGTTTAACTCACCCTTCAAACCGTCTGCGAGGCTACGTTTTCGTGGCCACGGGACGGACAAGGACCCCATCTTTAGCTGAACTACGGAAAAGCCCTGCAACACCACCATCTCATCGCTGACTTGGAAATAAGCTAGCAGTGGCTGTGTCAGCAAGACCACCACATGCAGCAAGGGTGGCCACTTCCAGCTAGCTCCTGCATCCACAGCTGCCTCGCCCCTATTGGCTACTGCCATCCATGGTAAGCCATTCTCCCGTGGTCACCTTCTCTCTGCTGGCATGGGTACTACAGATGGAAAGGCCATTTTCCCAAAGTGCTATGTGTGTACAGCGGCACCCGCCTGGTCAGCTCCCATCCCTAAAAGGTAACCAGTTAAACTTGGACGTGGCTGGGTGCTTGCGGCCCGCCAGTGTCTGTCCCTGCCCATGCCTCTGGCTTCATCTCCTGCTGCTGCCCTTCACAGACTCTGCCCAGCCCACGTTGTTGGCCCAGTGTCTTTTGGACACAATCCAAACTCCCCCAGCCTCTCTCTCTTCTTATCCTGTCCCTCTTCAAGACTGAGCTCAAATCCTCCTTTCTCGGGGAGGCCTTCTCCAAACTTCACAGCCTCCAGGGCTCTCCTGAAGGCCACAGTGCCTCTATAGCTGACTGGCACCTGGTGTACACGGATCCCTGTCTTTAAATAGAGACTGATATCCTCAACTTCATCAGGGCCCTGGTGGCAAGGGCTGAGACTTCTACTCTAGGGTACCTTTAATTCCATCACACATAGAAGTAAGAGCAATGCTAATGGCAGCCTCTATGAAACTCTTTCTATGTATGAGAGACTGTCCTGAGTATGGCATGTAATCTCATTTATCTCTTTTCACCCTCTCAGCAACCCATGTGAGGTAGATATTATCTAGAATCTGAGACACAAAGCAGTTAAGTAACTTGCCCAGGGAAACGGCAGACCCAAGATTTGAACCCAAGTCACGTGACTCCAGAACCTGAGCTAGACTGACTTTATAAATGTCTGTTATTCGTGAGGAGGAGCTTAACTCATCCTGTGTAGCCAGCATGTTATTACTCTCATTACTAAGGATGAATTTTTAAAGAATAGCTTCAATTTCATTCAAGGGTTCTCTTGTCTTCATCTCAATTGACCATCTATTTCCAGGTAGGCCGAATGCAAAAAGTTTTGATAAAACTCACCATGTGGGAGGTAAGGAAAAGAGTTACATCCTGAACTGTCTTCACTTACATTCAGTAAAACATTTATTTTGCATTTACTATGTGCCAGGCACTATGCTGGATACAAGTGACACTGAGATAGAGTAGAGCTGAAATTATCAAAGAAATGGCTTGGAGCTTCAGCCAAGTATGGTACTGTAGATGTCTCAGAAGCAATGCTGCAACAGCTATATTCTTTTCAAAATGCAGTTCTGGAAAGATCACTAGGCTTTCTGCAGTATGAAAAGGGATTTGAAAGCCCAGCAATGAAACTCAAGTATCATATACCCAAAGTCTCAGTTAAGAAATAGAGGTCACAAGGTGACTGAAGTGATTTGGCATGAATTTGTATTTCTATATGGAATGCCCTCCCAGCTAAATGTATTTCAGCCTGCCAGAGAAGCCAATGGTTTATTTAGGAGGCTCTACCTCGAGGCCTCCTCTCACACTGGATCCTACTCTTTGCTGCATTTCCTGGGAGCCTCTGTGGGTATAATTCTGTCTGTGGTTGTTGGTTCTTGGCTCAGGTGGGGACGGGCTTTCTGTCCTAGGCCTCCTCTGCTCTGAGATTTGGACTGTGATCCAGTGATGCTGCAAGAATAATAATGGCAAGAATAAGGTCTGAATGGGACTAAAGTTATGTCTGAGTATGACCTGGATTACAGAAAAGATACAAAGAGGAGAAAGTTTTTTTAAGGCAAGATGTTAACATTTTTTCTTAACTTTTTTTACTTGAGAATTTACTTGAAAAGGGCCTCTACACAGAGTTAAATGAACTTGGCCAGGTCAGGTTTCCCTGAAGGCTCCCAGAGCTTGGTCCTAGCATTTCAGTGTTAAGAGCACCTACCTGAGAGGTGCCTGGGGGAGTCATTAAGCACCAGACCTGGAGAAAATCACCTACATGTAAGACAGGAAACTAATTTCCACATACTTCTTATCCTGGCTATTTGGTGGACAAAAGCAGGCACTCCAAATGGCTTTATGCACTGGCTGCTGGGAGTCAGTCTTAAATCTTGAAAAAACATTTCCCTTTAAGGGGGCACCACAGCATCACCATCCCTGACAACTGGGCAAGTCAGCAGAATAACACTGATGCTCTTCCTCCATCTGAGAACCAAGAGGACAATACAAAGGCACATGAAAGAGACTACAGCGCTTCTTGCTTTGGGGTTTCTAAATTCTCTGCTATCAATATTCCACCTTAAGACCTTGCAGTGCCACTTTCGAAGGCTCTTTTCTTGGTCAAATGCTCCCTAGCCCAAACAACCAAAACACACAAAGGTTCAAAGTTAAAGCACAGCACTGCAGGCTGACAGGATTGGGTGCAGTCTTAAAGATGAACTGTGCATTTTGTCTTGAACCACTGGCTTTTCTGCTTTTGGGGAACTTATGGTACATTTGGAGGTCTGGACTTCATGAAATGGTAATGATTTGTCAAAAATGTTATGGCTAAAAGCTGGTTACTACAAACTACAGCTCATGTCTGGTTTAATAAATAAATTTTATCAGAACACAAACCTGCCCATTCATTTACATATTGTCTATAGTTGCTTGCTCACTAAATGAGCAGAGTTGAAGAGTTGCAACAGAGACCATATGGCCTGCAAAGTCTAAAAGAAAAAAAATTTTTAAGATAAGGTCTTGCTCTGTCACCCAGGCTGGAGTGCAGTGGCATAATCATGCCTCTCTGCAGCCTTGACCTCCCAAGCTCAATTGATCCTCCCACCTCAGCCTCCCAGGTAGCTGGGACTACAGGTGTACACCACCATGCCCAGCTAATTTTTGTATTTTTTGTAGAGGTGGGGTTTTCCCGTGTTTCCCAGGCTGGTCTCAAACTCCTGGGCTCAAGTGATCCTCTCACCTTGGCCCCCCAGAGTGATATTTACTGGTATTTTACAGTAAAAATTCACCAACCCATGGATTAGAGAATTTTCCCTGATAAGAAAATACTCTGAGTCTACATAGATCATGGGGTGATTACTACAGAATGACTAAAAGGCTAAAACAGGTTTAAACATACATAGATGCAAAACTGAAAATAATTCCAAGCTTGGATGAAAGTATGAAATACTTTATGACATTTAAAAAATCTGGGTTGCCGGTATAATCTATCTATATATCCCACCTCTACCCAAAGGTTCCAGACTCAGTTGGTTTTATGGGTAATTTCTGTGCAACCCTTAAGTTACTTTGTATTTCAGATCCCCAAAGAATATGGGGAGCTTCCAAAAATGCTTTGTGAGACTAGCATACCCTTGATTCCAAAAACCTGACAAGCAATGCATAAAAGAGAGAACTACAGGTCAATCTCATTTATGAATTTAGAGGCAAATAGCCTATAAATAGTATCAGCAAATTGAATCCAGCAACGCACTGAATGCCCTTTGATACTCATTTTAAAATGTTGAATGTAGTAAATTAGTAACTTCTTAATGCAGTAAATGTTATAACTTGGCAAAAGTTAATACCTAAATGGTCCACCAAAAATCAGAATAAATTATATTTAATTTTAATGTATTAACAAATATAATTAGATTATATTTATATACATGTATTAAATAAATTAGCATGTTTAATTTTACACAGTGATGCTCACTTTCTGGGCACTTAGTGGTTTTACATCCCTGGACTGAACTCTAAACCACAGGTGGCTGTGGAACTCAACCAGGTCACTAACCATCTTCTCACTTTTAGGCAAAAGAAAGGGGCTGCTCTAAGTTATCTCCAAACCTTGACTCCTAGGTTTCAATTAAAGACACAAAGGTAGCCAGGCTCTCTTCTGGTTGTTTCACTAGCTGAATGATTTCAATGAAATTCAAGCAATAGAAAGATGCTTGAGAATACACTTTTGAGTGGCAGAGGCATTTGCACAAATGTTTCCCTTTTTCATTTCGATTTAAAAAGTGGCATGCAACTCGAGTCTGTGTATTTGTGGGAAGAACTGTTCAGGCAACACCAAGAAAGAGAACAATGGGTTGTGAAAAGAAGAAAAGGCCCTTCCAATACAGGCCTTTTTCTTCCTAGGTCTTTTCAGTTTCACAAAAGAAGACATATTTTCCATATAATTGCTAAACATGTTTGCTTATTAAATTATTCTTTAACTAGTTAATGATTTTAGCCATGCTTTGCTCTTCGGATATTCATTTTGTATAATAAAATAATTATAGATAATTAAACTATCTCAAGCTTTTTTCTTTCCCCCAGCAAACATGCTGGGTATCCAAAAATGACAACAAGTTGTAAATTAATCTGGAAAACAAAGCATGACAGATGAATGATTTGGTTGGAATTAATTAGGCACTAATTATATACTGGAACTAGATGAAGAATGAGACTCATTATAAAAATAAAACGCTATTCTGAAGAGATGCACAGTTACCGACATCCTTACCTTCTGTGGTGATGGAGTTATTCCTTATCCAAATCAGTGCCTTAAAGCAATCCTCTTCCTCGTTGAGAGTGAAATGGTTGCAAGGAACTTTCCCCGTGTACCGCCGCTGACTGCTGTTGGGAACCTCCCTGTTTGTCAGGTGTTGACTAATATCAGCCTCTGTAGGGCATGGGACCTGAAGCATGTTAGAGAAATGCTTATTTCAGTGATAATAGATAAAGTGGTGACAGTGGTTAAAAAAAAAAAAGTAGACATAGCAATATTCAGTATGTCTTTTTCTGTCCCGAGATACAATCAATCAGATTTTAATTGAAAAAAAAAAAAAACACAAAAACAGGTGGAAAGAGCACCTAGAAACAATTCTCAGAGGGAGTTGCTCTAGTTATGTAATGCTGTGTAACAAATTGTTTCAAAACTCAGTGGTAAAAATCAACCATTAGGCTCCCAGCTTATGCAGGACAGTAATTCAGACAGGGCAAGGTGGGGAATGACTTGTCTCTGTTCCACCATGTCTGGGGCCTCAGCTAGGAAGACTCAAAGGCTAGGGGTGACTCAGGGGCTGGGGGCTGAAATCATCTGAAGATAATTAAACTATCTCAATCCTTTTTCTTTCCCCTGGAAAATATGCTGGGTATTCAAATGTGACAACAAATTGTCATGATTTGCCTTGCAGTTGATGTTGGCTAAGGGCTGGATCTGAGCTGGGGTTGTTGGCCAGAACACCTACATGTGGCCTCTCCATGTAGCTTGGGCTTCCTCATAACGTGGTGGCTGGGTTCCAAGGGAAAGTGTTCTGAGAAAGAGAGAGCCAATAGAGAGAGGTCCATATTCTTTTCCAACCTAGTCTTGGAAGTTGAGCAGTGCCTCTTCCACCATATTCGATTCATGGAGATAGCCATAAAGGCCTGCCCAGGACCAGGGGAGGGAACCTAGACTCCACCTCTTCATGTAGGAGGGGCAAGGCTCTGGAAGAGGACATGGGAATGCATTGGATGTGGTGGCCATTTTTGGCAAAAATAATCTGCCACAGAAATTGTATCTGGGGTTGAAATTTAAGGATATAGAGGGGCTAGGCAGAAAAGAAAAGGAAAGAAACAGATTATTATTTACTTTTGAAAAGTATAGGATTATTCCTTGTCTTGTCAGAGAAATATTCTCCTTCTCTTTATTCCCCTCCATCTTTCTCTCATTTTTGATGCAGATGTGTGTGGGAACAGAAACTTTCCTCTACTGTAAGGAAAGTAACAGTAAAAACACAATAACGGATGATAGCTGATACTCGTCTTCTTTGTCAAGGATACTGTGGCAAACTGGAGGGTTTGTGCTTGGGCCAGAGATTTCAGCCATGACTGAGTTCCATCTAGTTGCTGCCAGTGTAGAGTATGGATCCAGTATGGCCAGATCTGACTTCCCAAGAAATGCCAGGCCCTTGGGTTTTCATGTAGACTCCTGATTTTTTATTATATTCGTTCAAATTAAAATCAGACAAAGAAGTGTCATTGCAAAAACCAAATAAAACAGCATAGTGACCTGAGGTTCCCCAAATGGGCCACCACTTGGTCCCTCTGACTTTTAATTGGCTGCCAGGTGGCAGTTATGAGGAGAAAAAGGGGGCAAGCAGAGGGGCAGCCTAGAGGGAGCCTGAGGCCTTTGGCAGATACCCACTGGCTTGCTGCACTCAGGGTCTAAGACCTCAGGGCTGTGAGGCAAGAATACTCCTAGAGTTATGACAGGCAATAAGTTTACTTGCAGTCAAGAGGGATGTTGGGGCAGAGGAAGTTCTTTCTCCTTTGACAAGCAGGCAAATGCTGGCTGGTGCTTAAACTCATGGGGCTTGACTAACCTCCAGCTGACAGGAAACTTTTGGTTATACACTTCCTCAATAGAAATTGTAAAGCCTTAGTACATTGCCGTGATGTATTTAATGCAATTTCAAACTAGATTAAATTAAAATGAAACAGCAAAACAGAACCAATGTTTAAAGCTGGATATTCTCTCTCCATTAAGAGGCTGCAGTGAAATTGTATTTAGCAAAAGGGAACAACTAAATAAATAATGGTCATTTACTGTAACCAAAATTGCAGAGGTAAAGTTTTCTTATTAGTAATATAGCTCGTTTAGTAATACCCCACTAAAATGTTGATAGCATTATATTCATAGTTATTATAAAGCAGCCCACTGAAGGCTTTGGCGAAAAGTCTGACGTGCACAATACTGAATACTGTGCTTCGGGCTTTTGAAACCTCACTGGAACTACAAGGAGCATTGTAGCATAAAAGAAAATAAAATCTGGGTAACATTACATCAGTTTAATAAGTCATGATTTAACAAGTGAAAAAGCCTTGGCGGAAAGTGGCAGTGCTAAAGAACAAATTGAGAGCTACTTCATTTATAAAAGTTTCAATGAGTTATCATTTCAAGTAGTGGTGTTTAGGCAAAAATAAAAAGGAAGAGGAGAAAAAAGAATAAGGTCCAAATTGAAAATTAGCTCACTACAATCTTGAAATGTAATTGCATTCTGATAATCCACATAATTCTTGTGTGCACTTAAATGTGTAGAGTTGTTTTGCATACTTCTCTACTATAAAGAATAAGAGCAATTAAAGAAAAACTAATGGGATTATGGCATTTTCACAAAGCAGGCAAAACTGAAGCTAGAATTATAAATTCCAAAGCCAAATAAATTTGTCTGCACAGAGTTTAGGAGACATCAATTAATTAGAAAACGATCTATGGAAAAAGAAGCTTGCTTTGTGATCAGTTCATCATTTACTGTGTTCTTTCATTGAATGGAAGCTTCTAGCAGAAAAAGAATTTGTATGGAGACATTGAGAAGAAGCCAGTACAAGAAATTTCCTTCTTCCATGTGTGCTTATGGGGACACAGAGCTATCCAGCCTGAAAAGTAAAAAGAAGCTTCCTTTCTGAATGGTTCATCACATACTGTTTTCTTTCATTGAACAGCAGATTTAAACACTAAGAGGAGTTTGTAGGCAGACATTTAGAAGAAGCTAGCAGAAGTTTCTTACACCCATACATTCCTGTTGGTCAAGAGAGGTCACTAGCCCTGAAAAGGTAAAAGAGGCAAGGGAGAGAACAGTCTTTAATATAAGGGCTTGGTTATATTTAATGAAGTGCCACAAGGACTGGTTATCCAAACTGAGGGTTCTCTGCCACTAACTAAAGTGCCACTAACTTCTGAGTGGAGAGCAGCAGATAACTTTTCAACCACACTGATTTGCCATAGCACAGTGCCACCATCACTCAGCAATAACTCACGGTGGCTAGGACTGCTGGCTGCCTAACCCAATATTCTGTCTTCCTTCCTTTCTTAGTAACAGACTCTTGGGAAATATGCTCGGCTGAAAAACTGCATTTCCCAACTCAAGACCTAAGAGGTGGTCAGGAGATACAAGCAGGAGTCCTTGGATGAGGTAATGAGAAAAGTCATCATGCTCTAGTCCTTCCTCTTTCTTGCCTCTTGCAAATGGAATGACTGGAACACAGCAGCCATCTTGAGATGCTGAGAATGGAAACCACACATTAAAAATAGAAAGAGGGCCAGGCATGGTGACTCACACCTGTAGTCCCAGCACTTTGGGAGGCTGAGGCAGGCGGATCCCTTGAGCCTAGAAGTTTGAGACCAGCCTGGGAAACATGGGAGATCTCATCTCTACTACAAATACAAATACAAAAAAAAAAAAAAAAATTAGCTGGGTTTGGCGGCATGTACCTGTATAGTCCCAGCTACTCGGGAGGCTGAAGTAGGAGAATCACCTGAGCCGGGGAGGTCAAGGTTGCAGTGAGCTGTGATTGCACCACTGCACTCCAGCCTGGGTGACAGGAGTCAGAACTTGTCAAAAAAAAAAAAAAAAAAAAAAAAAAAGATGGAAGGGCCTGGGTTCCTGTTGACATCAGGGAGCCACCTTACCGGGCCTGGGTTGCTTTTCTCCAGATATTTTTATTTTTAATGAGAGAAGGAAATAAACTTTTTCTTTTTGAACTGCTTATTTGACTGTAGCTGTAAATACAAAGCTCTAGAATCTCTGTGGTAATGACTTTTAAAAGCCATCAAGTATAAGCCCTGCACCATGTCAATGAGAGATAAAGGGAAGCAACAAGAAAGGGAAAGGAGAGGGAAAGAGAACGAAACAGAGACAGTGCTTGATCCAGGGCCAGACCACCTGAGTTTGGACCCTAGTCTATCACCTCCCTACTAACTGACCCTGGGCAAACTACCTAAGCTTCACAGCACCCTCGGTTCTCTAACCTACAACATGGGGATGCCAATGGCAGTGACCTCAGTGTATGGTGAGAGTTCCATCTGTTACCATGTGTCTGTCTCGCGGTAAACATTCAACGGCAGTCAGGTGCTCTCCCGCTTTGAGGCTGCCTGGCAGCAGGCTCCTGTCTCCTAGGGTTGACCGTTTTCTTTGGAGTAGACTTTCACTCTATCGGAAAGCTGTTCCTCGGGATGAATAAACACTGCATTCCCATCACTTTTGGGGCCTGTCTAGATCTGTTTCCCAGAGCCATCATGTGCAAGACTAATTTCGCTCTCCATATGAAAAGTCTTCAAGTATTTGAAGACTGGCTGGCCATCCTGCACACCCTGAATCTTCACTCCTCTGGCTGCGCATCTGGAGTGACGGAGCCCCTCCCTCGCTGTGCTTCAGCTTGTTCCTTCCCTTCTTCAGTGGGACTCCAAGGAACGAAGGTCATATTGCAAGTACACTTCTGTTTTTGTGGCCATCCTCTGATACAACCATGTTCGGCAGGTAAAAAGTTCATGACCTCTATATTCTCATCATGGATTTTACCCTTGATCAAGATTAATGCTTTTCTTTCTCCAATTCACTTTCTTGGGCACTAATATTATTGCTGTTTCTAATAGCTGTGTGAAATTTGCCTGACAGTCTTTTGCTGGTGCACTTTGAACCATCTTCTTATTTTTAAGCTTTTGTTGCCCTTTGATTGGGTATTTCTCTTATATTTTGAATTAAGTGTAAAAACAGAGTCTTGGTTCTTATAACAGGGTGGTTTGAAGCCCTAACCCTAATCCACCCATGACACTCACTGAATTTTTCTCCTTATGTCATTCTGGTTTACACCTTCACTTTTAACCATTGTGTCTGTTTTCCTTTGTTTTCTCCCTTTTATCTTCTGCAGTGTTGGGAAGGTGAATTCCTTCATGCTGTTTCAAAGGATTCTTTAATCTTATTTCTTCTAAATATAAGAGTCAACACTGAAATAGTACTCTTGGGTTTCTCCCCTTAAGACAATGCATATTCCTCCCTTGCCACCTCCCTCCCAATTTTCAACAACTTCTTGGTCTTTATTAGATTAATTTAGCTTAAGAGTCATTTTCTATTTTGCATTTATTCTCAGATTTACAACAATTATTTAGATTACATTTTTAAATTGTTTGTGGTGCTTGCCACCTGTCCTTTTGTACTACTATGAAATTCTATATTTTCTTTCTTTCTTTTTCTTTTTTTTTTTTGTTTTTTTGTTTTTTTTGAGACAGTCTTGCTCTGTTGCCCAGGCTGGAGTGCAGTGGCACAATCTCGGCTCACTGCAACCTCTGCCTCCTGGTTCAAGTGATTCTTTTGCCTCAGCCTTCCAAGTAGCTGGGATTACAAGACCCTGCCACCACACCTGGCTAATTTTTGTATTTTTAGTAGAGATGGGGTTTCACCATGTTGGTCAGGCTGGTCTCGAACTCCTGACCTCAAGTGATCCACCTGCCTTGGCCTCCCAAAATGCTGGGATTACAGATGTGAGCCACCACGCCTGGCTGAAGTTCTAATTTTTCTTTTCTATCTCAATTATTTTGAGTGCACATTAAGCAAAGAACACGGAAGATAATTTTTTCTGAGGCCTTGTATATAAAAGAATGGCTACCTGCTATTTTCAAATATGAGAGATTTAGGTGGACACATAATTACTGAATCACCACTTTTCGTCAAAATTCTGTGGGATTAGTTTCATTTTCTTTTGCTATTTAATGCTGGAGATAAAAATTTTGATATCTGTTTTATTTTTATTCTTTTTTAGGGAGAAAGGTTGTAATCTGTTATTTTTCTTTTGAAGTTTGTTCAATTTTTTCCTGCCATTCTATGAGAAACTATTTATCATCCTCAATGCAATTTGATCACCCAGCCCCTGAAATGGCAGCTGAAGCATCGGAAGAGCAGAGGCTAAGCTAAGAAGGCCACAGGGTTAGACAAAAAGGGAGATGGGTGACTAAGAAAGAATTGAAATTCTGTCAGAACATAACTGAGAAAATTTTTCTTTGATTTTGCCTAGAATGTGGTCAGCTGGACAATATGTTTTTCGGGTAAAAAAGTTTTCTTCTAGAATATCTTCAATTATTGTCCCTTGAGTCTCTTCTTCAGGAAAACCAATTATTTCTATGCTGCCTCCATGCCTATCAGACCCTGTTTTCTCCTGAACCAAGCATATCCCTTTGTCCTCTGCTTCTGCCCTCCAGGAGTGCTTTGTCTTCAGCATCACTAACTGTTTAGCAGCAGTTCTGTCTCTGATGGAGATTTCATTTTAATTTTTTCTTATTCACCCATCTCCTTTTTTATGTGTGGCCTTCTCAGCTTTGCCTCTGCTCTTTCAATGGCTTCAGCTCCCATTTCAGAGGCCAGGTGATCAAATTGTATAAAGGATGATAAATAGTTGCCTACAATGTGTGTGTGTGTGTGTGTGTGTGTGTGTGTGTGGCCTAAATTTTTCAACATTTTCACAACTATGTTCTTCCTCTGATTTTTCCAAATATTGTATTGTTCTCTTTCTCTTACTGTGTTATCTTTTTATTCTAGTTGTCCTTTGCTGTTCAGCAAACTCACACTAAAACTTAGTAGCTTAAATACCTACTTTCTTAACTTTCCATGATTTTGTTGGTCAGAAATTTGGGTAGCATTTGGATGAGCAATTCTTTTATTCTGTGTGCTGTGGACAGGAGTCACTTGGCAACTTTCAGCTGGTGGATGGACTGATCTGGAGGATCTGAGATTGTTTCACTCACATGCCCAGTGCCTTGCAAGGCTGGCTGAAGGGCTGGGATCAGTGGGGCCTGGGAGGCAGAGAGCTCACCTACAGCGTCTCCAGCGTGGCAACCCCAGGGCATCAGAACTTCTCACGTGGCACCTCAGGACTCCAGGAGCGACTGCTGCCACAATCCAGGAGGCACTGTATGGCCTCTGTGACTTGGCCTCAGAAGTCACACCATGTCACAACCTTTGCACTTTGTTGGCCGAGGCAGTCACAAGGCTGCCCAGATTCAAGGAGAGGAGACATAGACTCTACCTCTTAGATGGAAGAGGCATCAAAGAATTTGCAGCCATTTTTAAAACAGCCAGTTTTCTTTGACTGCATGCTTTTATTTTCCCCTGTAATCATTCTCAGAGTGAGATCTCTATATAGTAGGTGCTGTCAAATGACACGGGGGAGTGTCTTTCTCAGGTCTCTTACTGGGAGGTACAGCACTGGTGTAGATGGGTCTTTCCTCCCTGCTGTGTGTAGAAGGCTGTCACCTGGGCTGCACCATTCTGGATGCCACACTATTACTGACCCAGTCTAAGACATGATTAACCCCTTTGGAGACAATGTAACATTGCCGACCCACATCAAGCTCACTGTATACTACAGTCTCAGCTCTTCTTCTTGCTTGCTTGGAAGTACCTGCCCTACCTGTCAGCTGCTAGTGACCCCCGACCCATGAACAGTCCATACCACAGTCTTCTCATGCTCAACACCAAGCTCATTTGATTTCAGTTGGTACATTTTTGTTCTTCCTCTTTATGAGGTTCCTCAAATCCAGGCCTGGGGAAGGCATCTCTCTGCTGCTCCATGACCGTCCATGAGTCATGGAGAGTGGCCCTGTGATCTCAGAGGGGTTTTCAAAACCAGAGTGTGTTTGCCAACAAAAATGATCAACATTGATTGGAGGGCTGGAGAAGGAGTTATAGAGTCTGGAAAGTGAGCCAGCTAAATCTTCATCTTCGAAAATGGAGAGGTTGTAGATAATGTCTGAAGTTGACAGAGCAAGGAAGGACATTCTATAAACATATTACTGTATTTGGAGTTATGCAGGTAGCCACTGAAAAACTAAGAACAGAAATGCTTCAAACTGGTTGCCTCTGGAAAGAGAGCTGGGAGGAAGAGTGGGCTGGGAGAGACCAGCTCTCCTCATGCTTAGCCGTGCAGTGCAATGTAGTATTTTACCTTGTGCATGGATTTTGTAATAAGAAATAGCGATGTGCATTTGGATATTAAAAACATTACACAACAATTTAGAGTGAGGCGTGCCATTTAAA
The DNA here is from genome assembly GCF_000001405.40 of Homo sapiens. Lineage (NCBI taxonomy): Eukaryota > Metazoa > Chordata > Mammalia > Primates > Hominidae > Homo > Homo sapiens. The sequence goes on along the minus strand of NC_000020.11, from coordinate 20,254,804 downwards.
AGGTCTGATTAGAGGTTGCGGTTTGTCATTACATTTTATAGAGGGTTGTCTTCTTGCTTTGGGTTTAAGCTCTGTTTTCATTATTTTAATTTGTTTTTTAGAAAATCACAAAATTGGGACAAAACCAGGAGAGAGTTGAAGACAATGGGGGAAGGGGGAGAAAAGCTCCCCAGTGAATTCAGCTGCCCTTTCTGTACCACTCTATGTACTTTGATTTTATGTCCTTCTGGAAAAATTAAATTGGAACTCCCTTTATCACTTCTTCATTTCATTTTTTTTCCGTTGTAAAAAGGGCAAGAGCTTAATGTGCCACAGAGTAAAGCTGCAGGGGCAGCTGGGCACACATGGGCAGATGCCCGAGGCTCTGGGCAGCTGGCTGGGTCTTCCACTCAGTTTCCAAAGTACGCAGTCGTGGCAGCAGCTGGAACCTGGCAGGCAGGTGACAGGAAGACAAGCTAAGGGGGTGCATATGGCATTTCTGTCGGGTTTAATGTTTTAACAAGTCAGAGGAATACTTAAATATCAAAACGAAGTATCCCTGCAGTAAATATTTATCCTTTAACCATAAAAATATCCTTTTATACCCTTTGAGAATTGAGAGGAGAGGAGAGGAGAGGAGAGGAGGGGAGGGGAGGGGAGGGGAGGGGAGAAGAATGGAGAGGAGGGGAGGGGATAGAAGAGGGGAGGGGAGGGGAGTGGAGGGGAGGAAAGGGGAGAGGAGGGGAGGGGAGTGGAGGGGAGGAAAGGGGAGAGGAGGGGAGGGGAGTGGAGGGGAGGAAAGGGGAGAGGAGGGAAGGGGAGAGGAATGGAGAGGAGAGGAGGGGAGGGGAGGGGAGGGGAGGGGAGGGGAGGAGAGAGATTCTTCAGAGGTTGATCCAAGCTACTGAAAGGGTTGTTCATTCACTGGCAGCACTGGCCTCACCCGGGAGCTTGTTAGAAATGTAACATCTTCCTGTTCCCCTAAGTGGCCTGACAATCTGTGGAAATGTGAACTCAGGCAAATCGAGAGGTTCAAATCTTCGTGTTCATTGAAGAACACCTGTGAAACTGCTCAGGCCGTCAGGGTATGCATATATCAAGAGCCACCCAGTATCTGAAAGATGTCACTTGACAGAGACAGTGTGTACCATTCTGACGTTACAAAGGTGGAGTTGGTAGGTGCGTCCAGGCCAAACAGTGGGACTGGACACAGGGTCAGTGGCCCAAAAAGAGTGCTGAATGTTTGCTGCACATGCTTAAAAATGCAGAGTCATGCTGAACGTAAGGGTTTACATGTAGATTCTCTGGTCATTGAGCATAGCCAGGTGAACAAAGTACCCAAGATGTGTGGCCAGACTCACAGAGCTCAGGGTCAGGTTAACCCATGTGTGAGCTCTGCCTGCCACAGTGAGATGAGCCTTATTGAAAAGGAACAAATTGTTCCTAAACCAGAAGAGGCTGCGCAGAAGAAAAAGATAGCCCAGAAGAAACTGAAGAAATGGAAACTTACGGCACAGGAATAGACTCATCCAACAATAAATGGAATTAAAAGTACAGGAAGGAAGGAAGGAAAGAAAGAAGGAAGGAAGGAAGGACAGAAAGAAGGAAGGAAGAAAGGACGGAAGGAAGGAAGGAAAAAAGAAGGAAGGAAGAAAAGGAAAGAAAAGAAAAGAAAAGAAAATGTAGCATCTCAGGCTCCCCATCCCATGGCCTCCTGCTCCTAATCTGCATTTTAACAAGAAGCTCAGGGGATTCATGTGCACAGCAGTTTGAGAGGTGCTATTCTAAGGTATAGATGAGGAATTCTTAGTCAAGAAAGTGCAAGCTTGTGGTTCTCAGCTTTAGCTTAGAAGCATGTGGGGCACCTGAAAAATACTGATGACTGGGTCCCACCCTAGAATAATTAAAACAACCTCTGGGGGCGGAGCCTAGGCATGGATGTGTTTTCAAAGCACCCAGGTCATCTCAATGTGCGGCCAAGGCAGAAAATATAGGGTAAGTGATGCTTAGAGCTGCTGAGCACATTCTGTGGCAACACCCAGGTGGAGACCCTGTCTCCTTCATGCGCTGCCTCCTCTGCGCTTGGCGACGTGAAGGAAAACTGTCATACACAGGCTCGCATCGAATCCCACAACTATTCACAAGATGGTCTAAGTGGGGTGTCTAATCTTTTGGCTTCCCTGAGCCACACTGAAACAAGAAGAATCATCTTGGACCACACATAAAATATACAAACACTAAAGATAGCTGATAAGCTGAAGAAAAAAAACTGCAAAAAAAAAAGTCATAATGTTTTAAGAAAGTTTACAAATTTGTGTTGAGCCACATTCAAAGCCACCTTGGGCCCATGGGCCATGGGTTTCACAAACTTGGTCTAAGACTTCATCCTTGAGTTAGAGTAAGCCTCTTGTCACTGGAGAAATACCTTACTGCTGTAAACTACATGAAACACTCATGCATATTACAAAGTGGAATATTAAAATCTGCTGCCCTAAGACATTGAACAGCTTCAGTGTTATCCAGCAATGCTTTACTCAAATGTGGATGGAGAGTTTAACTAAAAGGAAAGCATGGACACTGGGAAACCAATCAATCAGATTTCCTATTTTCATAACTGAGAGACAAAATAAAATAAGGGTCGACAGAAGGTGCACGTGTTTGCAATACTTTTGCGAGAGCCCATTGCCACAGCCAAATGTTAGCCTCTTGAGGCATAAATTAATTTACCACAAATGCATGCCTGGTTGCGTCTGGATTCTGCTAGGGCGAGCAGTATGTGTTAGACTTTTGGACAACAGCTTAAAGAATGACATTTCTCCAACTTGCTGTGATTTTTATCCTCGAGCAGAATGTTTTTCTTGGAATGGGTTTCTGGGAGGGTTTGCGGACATAATTCTGGTTATGTGTGCGGGCCCTGAAGGGTGCTTTTATGAATTTAGAGCAGCAGCTGTCCAGGCAGAGGGATGCTCTTTACCCAGAGTGTGTGTGCCCCAGTAAACATATGAATGGCTTTCATGGAGCTCTCCAGACACGTGGCTTGCGCCCCCTGTGCCCGGCCTTACCTGGTACTGCTGCCCGGTGCAGAGGATGAGGTGGTCGTAGGGCACGATCTCGTCCGTGGAAAGCACAACGTGCTTGGCTGCTCGGTCTATGCCGGTCATTCTACCCACCACGACATTAACCCAGGAGCACAGTGACATCAGTGCATAATCTTTATCATTAAAACAGTGGCTGCAAAGAGAGAAGCTCCGTAAGTGACATCTGAGCAGCTGACAGCGGGCATTAATTAGACATCTGGTGAGCTGGTTCAAGTCCCCTAGTGGGCTGAGTCCGTGCTCTTGCTGTGAGTTTACCAGGACTGATACTAGGAGATTTTTCGTTATGAAACACTTAGTTACAAATTGACATCTTCCCATTAAAGCTAAATTGTTCCACCTGGCTTAGGTCAGCCCACAACTGGGAGGGTGGGAGGGGTGTGTGTGTGTGTGTGTGTTTATCTGTATGTGTGTGTGTGTGAAATCACTCATACTATACCTTTCTTCTGCTTCTACTTCAGAGTGGTTGTAAATTTACTTTAGCTGTTAAATTGGTGTATTGACCACAGCCTCAATGGGAATGAGAAGGAAGAAAGTGACATTGTTGAGGATTCCCAAAGCCAGGGGTCAGAATCTTTGAATACCGAGAACCCTTCCTATTCGCTAATACTTTTCAGTAATCACTCATTCTGAGAATTAGCGTATGGCTTCCTGCCAAAACAACAAAACCCATTTTACTTCAAGAATATAGCAATTAGGGAGTTAGGTTCGCAGCAAGTACACTCCCTGGAGACTTTGGGATTCACCCTTCAGGGCAGAGGTGATTTTCTAGGAACGGAGACTTCGACCGCCAGCAGGCCCAGGGCGGCCATTCATGCCATGGCTTCAGCGTGCTGTGGCTGCACTGGCTTCCATTTTCTGGGCTCTCTTGGAGTTTGAGCGCTTTCACGTAGTATGATAAGAGTGGGTTTCTTGTGGCTTTGGGTTTATTTAAACAGTTTTGTGAGGGTTGTTTCCAGAATTTTCTGAAAGGATTGACCTCAGGTAAACCACCTTTTAGTGATTCTGTTCTGAATACTGAGAGTCTAAGGTAATAGGACATTAAGTGCTTCTTTTAATTTAGGCTGTATGATTCTTTTCTTCCTTTTTTCTCTTAACATAAAAACACTAACATTTTTATTTATTCATCTATTTATTATTTATTTTTAGAAACAGGATCTCACTATGTTGCCCAAGCTGGTCTCAAACTCCTGAGCTCAAGTGATCCTCCTGCCTCAGCCTCCTGAGTAGCTGGGACTGGAGGCACGCGCCACTTCTATGCTTGGCAGCACAGTCCTCTTCAAAAAGAACCCTGCCATGGTCTGTGCTGCTGACAAGCCTGGACTCTGCATCCTCCTGCTGTCTTCAGTTTCCTCACCTCTTAACACAGGGTAATGAGCTCTCCCTACGTTCCTCCACTGCTGACCGCTATAAGGAGTGACCGTGAGAATGTAAGACAGGCTGCTTTGTTAGGCAGGATGCGTATGTGAAGAGTATTATTCTAAATAATATTAATGAGACAGAACCCTGTTTACTCTCTTTGGAGGCAAACAAGATTCTGAAGTGGTAATGAGGGAACATTTCTTCCTTTTGATCTGCGCATAAGCCTGGTCTTACCACACAAAGAGAATTCTAGTCATGGGGGCATATTAGACCTTGTTACAGGACCTGTGAAAGGGCTCTGTGAAACAACTTAAAAACAAGAAAATTTCTTCTTAATAAGAAAAGAAAATCGGGGACTGGCCTATCACAGGAAAATAATGGATAGTGAGAGGAAATTCTCTTGTAAAAACCATTTCATTAGCTTTATAGGAATACAGGAAATGTCATGGCTTCCCACATTTGTGAGAGACCCATGAAAGATTGTTTTTTATCTGCTCCAGATCCCTACTCTAAGCCATCCACGATGAGGAAAAGTTAAATACAGTTAGTGCACAGGGATTCATTTTATGAGGCTGTGCCCAAAGATAAAGGCTCTCAGGGGAAATTTGTGGAAGGCAAAGACAATGATATTTTTAATGACAGCAGGACAGTAGCATTGATCACATCAGAATGCATATTTGAGAGTTAAAATGTGAAGCTCTGTCCAGTGGGAATGGCACTGGGGACCACTGATTTTTAGGAAACTTTACTAAGTCACAAAAGGAAGTGTTGAAGAATGTGGGGTGATTGCTGTTACAATATGTTACTACATTGAATGATTTTATTTACTTGAGACAAGATCTCACTCTGTCACCCAGCCTAGAGCACAGTGGTACAATCATGGCTCACTGTAGCCTTGACCTCCTGGGCCCAAGCTATCCTCCCCGCTCAGACTCTCGAGCAGCTGGGACCATAGGTGCAAGCTACCATACCTGGCTAATTTAATTTTTTTTTTTGTAGAAATGGGACTCTCCCTACGTTGCCCAGGCTGGTCTTCAACTCCTGGGCACAAGCAATCTTCTCACCTTGGCCTCCCAAAGTGCTGGGATTACCTGGCCATTTCTCAGTTTAAAATATCATTGTATAAGTGATTGCTACCCATTCTGGATATTACTATCCATTCTGGACCTTCCTTAATTTCCTCACCAGTTGAGTGAAACTATATATCGAAGACTGTAAGTGATATTTTTCCAAAATTATTTTTTAAGTAGAATGAATAAGCTTTAATATTCTAACATAGCAGGGCCTGACTCATGGCCTGGTGGTGAGAGAAATACCTCCACTAGGCTTCATCCGAAAACAGAGAAGGAACCAAAGGAGGCACATCAGTGAAACTTCCTGTTCCTCAAGTGAGCTTGACCGTGACTCAAAACTAATGTGAAAGACTGTCTTCATAGAAAGTTCTGAAGACAGATAATAAGGAGGAGAAAAACAAAAAGCAAAAATGGAGGACGGGGAAATTCCTGGAAGAGGGCATAGATGAGTAGCAGCTTGCTCTAGGTTATAGTGCCCCCAACCTTGTGGTCAAAAGCCTAGTCCAAAGCTCCAGGTGTGCAGTTAGAAGCAAGCTCTGGGGGCCACAGATGAGTCAGTGGAGACCTGCACCTCGTGGAATCATGACTCTTCCGAGCTGGAAAGAACCTTAGAAATTCTCATAAAAGATTAATTGTGACACTCCTAGAAAAAGGACTATCACAATTAACTTTCAATTAATCAGTGCTGATTGTCCAATTAGTGGATTTCTCCTGCCTCCTGTTCCTTCTCCTCTCCCACTGCCTTCCTTTCGGCTGCATCCCAGACATGCCATTAGCACCTCCACAAGAGGCTGGATGGGGGCGGTGGGAAAGAAGACAGAAATGGTTCAAAAATTCTAACAATAATAAATTAAAACAATGGTTAACGACAAGTTCAAAATTAGTATTTGGAATCAGGGATTTAAATTACTAAATTTATGAATGTCATTTGCACCTGTTATTTTGAAACCCCATGATCAGAGATAATTTCCTTTATTGGGGTTATGAGGACCATTTGAAAGACATCTCCTATTTATGGTTCAATCTTACTGAAATATGTGGTTTCTAAGAAATGTGATGACATGCAGTTACCCATGCAAAGGGGTCTGGCTGTGTTATTTAGACCCTAACACTTGCTTGAGAGGAGTTTTGCAGGTATTTCTGGAGGTAACTTTCCTCTGTTCCACATTATTTACTGGGCATCTGCTATGTGCCAAGGACTGACCCAGGTATTGAGTATACATCAATGAATCAATGAATAAAAAGGCAAAAATTTCCGCCCTTGTGGTGTTTATATTATAGTTGAAGGATTCTGGATATAAATATGAAGAATAAACATTATTTCAAAAGGCAAATAATACAATATTTAGGAGGATTTAAGTAGCAAGAAAAAAACAGAGCAGAGTATGAGGGACTGGAGTGTGTTGGGGTGTTGGCTTCAAATGAATGGTGTGGTCAGGATAGACCTCATAGAAAAGGTAACATTCAAGAGCAAAAAGCAGAGACCTCAAGGTGGGGACTTGCCCGTTGCATCTGAGGAACATCGAGGAGGCTGGTGTGGCTCAAATGGGGAGAAAAAGGGCAAAAATAATAAAAGGTGAGGCTGGAGAATTAAGTAGATGGAGACAGAGTTTAGGCTGGAGCATCACAGCACGTTCTACGATGATGAAAATGTTCTTATCTGTTCTATCCAATGTGGTAGCCACTGGCTACATGTGGCTAATGTGAGGAGCCGACTTTTTCATCTCATTTAATAATTTAAATGTAAATACACGTGGCTAGTGGCCACCATATTGGATAGTGCAGTTCTGGGCGGTGAGGAGGCGATGTGATCTGAGCCAGCTTTCCGCAGCCTTGCTCTGGCTGCTGTGCTGAGACTGTGGAGGCAGGGACAGCAGCAGGGACGCCAGTGGCTTCCACCCACTCAGTCTGCCCACGCAGCGTCACACCTGCAGAAAGCCCCCTCGGTAGCTGTTTTCTCCTGAAACACACGCAACATGGGATTGAGGGAAACTTTCACTACGCTGATGGAATTAAGTTCCTCTTAAGACATTTGCCAATAAAACCAGCATTTCCTGGGAATCGTGTAATTTAGAAAGAGGGAAATGGAGAGAATGTGTTCTTGGCCAGAAGTTGGTGTTATGTTAATTTTAACAAAAAATCCAGCAAGCTTGGCTTCTCGTGTACTGCTCGTGATCAAAAAAAGCAAAGCTCAGAGAAATGAAATTCCTTGCCCAGGCCCTTCGTGGCAGGGGCAGGATCTGAATCCACATCCTCCTGGCTCAAACCCATGCCCTTTTTTGTATCATAAGGACATCCTTCAAAAAAAAGTTTATAGTCTGATAAAATTATAAAGTGGAAACGAACCCGTTCTGCTGGCAAGGAAGTTGTGTTTTTTCTCATTGTTCGAAGGCAAAATGAGTCTTTTTCACAGAGGAAAGAGGGTCCCTTCATCATGGAATCTAAAATGAATCCCCTGGGAGGGAACAATTTCCTTCCTCCTTATTGGAAAAATTAGGAGCTTGTTTCTAGAGGCAGAGAAACTAATATTTCTTGTAGCCATGTTTTGCTACAGGAAATTAAAATGAATGAAAGCTATGTGATAAAGACATGGTATTTTCCAGAACAGATGTTGTCAAATAGTGATTCTACTGGGATGAAGACAATAAAGCTCACCCAGACTGGCATGGAAGTTCTTTGCCTGATCAGCTGCTGAGTACAAATGGCCAGGGTAGCTGTGGGACCCATATCCCAGCCAGGCGCCCTGTCAGATGCAAATGTAGTCACCAACCTTCATTGCCCTGTAGTGTCACTCAGAGCCCAAAGGCAGGGCTGGCTGGGTCCGTAGGCTCCACCCCAATTGTTTGGAACAGGGCAGATGTCTTCCCACGGATAGAAACTGGTGGCCCTGGCCTGCCACTCTTGGCCACTGGCTTGTGAACACACTGGTACTTGTATCTCCTAAGTGATGTCTGAACTCCAGTAGAAAAGCCCCACCACTTCTCCTTTTCCAATCTGAAATCTACTATTTAGCATTAAATAGACTGCACACAGAGTAGGACATTTAGGCCTCAGAATGAAAAAGCAAATACAATTCATACTCGCTGGCTAAAAATTTCCTTTGTTCAGTGTCCAGAAGTTTTTTTCCTGGGAGTCCATGAGTTGAAATCAGGGTAAGATTATTAAACTTCATGTGAGAGCTAAAGAAAAAGAAAAATGAAAAAGAACAAGCAGTTAAGTGCAATTTAGCAAAAGTTTATCATAATTCAATTTAACTTTATATCACGTGTCATCCAACTGTTGAATTGCTTTTGGAGCTACTAATTCTTTGCACGAACCTTCAGATAGAACCAACCATTTCAAGGAAAAAAGGAAGATGGCGCTGGAGCTGCTAACTATAGAATCTTCCAAAAAGCTACACATTAGTAATGAGACAGGTTTTTAAAATGTGCTTTTCAAAGTAAAACTAAAACAAATTGGGAGGGAGGTAAATTTAGTATGAAGTTTAAATTTTAGACTACTTCTATTAATAATAAACTGCTTGGAAGCATAACAATCGCAGCTTAACCCTGATGACTGCTTCCAGTCAAGCCTTTTGCATGGCTCATTACCCCATCTAGTCCTTACAGGAATCCAGTCAGGTCAGTAATACTATTATCCCTATTTTTTTTAGGTGGAACTGAAGCAAGTAATTTGCGAAGACCATTGATATAGTTTGGCTCTGTGTCCCCACTCAAATCTCATCGTGTAGCTCCCATAATTCCCACGTGTTGTGGGAGGGACCTGGTGAGAGGTAACCGAATCATGGGAACAGGTCTTTCCTATGCTGTTCTCATGATAGTGAGTAAGTCTCACCAGATCTGATGGTTTTAAAAATAGGAGTTTCCCTGCACAAGCTCTCTCTTTGCCTGCTGCCATCCATATAAGACGTGACTTGTTCCTCTTTGCCTTCCACCATGATTGTGAGGCCTCCCCAGCCACGTGGAACTGAAAGTCCATTAAACGTCTTTCTTTTGTAAATTGCCCAGTCTTGGGTATGCTTATGTTTATCAGCAGCATGAGAATGGACTAATACAGTAAATTGGTACCAGTAGAGTGGGGCGCTGCTGAAAAGATACCCAAAAATGCAGAAGCGACTTTGGAACTGGGTAACAGGCAGAGGTTGGAACAGTTTGGAGGGCTCAGAAGAAGATGAGAAAATGTGGGAAAGTTTGGAACTCCCTAGAGACTTGTTGAATGGCTTTGGCCAAAATGCTGATAGCGATATGGACAATAAAGTCCAGGCTGAGGTGGTCTCAGATGGAAATGAGGAACTTGTTGGGAACTGGAGTAAAGGTGGCACTTGTTATGTTTTAGCAAAGAGATTGGTGGCATTTTGCCCCTGCCCTAGAGATTTGTGGAACTTTGAACTTGAGAGAGATAATTTAGGGTATCTGGCAGAAGAAATTTCTAAGCAGCAAAGCATTCAAGAGGTGATGTGTGTGCTGTTAAAGGCATTCAGTTTTATAAGGGAAGCAGAGCATAAAAGTTTGGAAAATTTGCAGCTTGACAATGCAATAGAAAAGAAAATCCCATTTTCTGAGGAGAAGTTCAAGCCAGCTGCAGAAATGTGCATAAGTAACAAGGAGCCGAATGTTAATCCCCAAGACAATGGAAAAAATGTCTCCAGGGCATGTCAGAGACAGCAGCCCCTCCCATCATAGGCCTGGAGGCCCAGGAGGAAAAAGTGGTTTTGTGGGTTGAGCCCAGGGTCCCCATGCTGGGTGCAGTGTAGGGACTTGGTGCCCTGCATTCCAGACACTCCAGCCATGGCTGAAAGAGGCTAATGTAGAGCTCAGGCTATGGCTTCAGTGGATACAAGCCTCAAACCTTGGCAGCCTCCATGTGGTGTTGAACCTGTGAGTACACAGAAGTCAAGAATTGAGGTTTGAGAACCTCCACTTAGATGTCGGAGGATGTATGGATATGCCTGGATGTCCAGGCAGAAGTTTGCCGCAGGGGCAGGGCTCTCATGGAAAACTTCTGCTAGGGCAGTGTGGAAGGGAAATGTGGAGTCAGGGCGCCCACACAGAGTCCCTACTGGGGCACTTCTAGTGGAGCTGTGAGAAGAGGGCCACCCTCCTCCAGACCCCAGAATGGTAGATCTACCAGCAGCTTGCACTGTATGTCTGGAAAAGCCACAGTCACTCAATGCCAGCCCATGAAAACAGCCAGGAGGGAGGCTGTACCCTGCAAAGCCACAGGGGTGGAGCTGCCCAAGACCATAGGAACCCACCTCTTGCATCAGCATGACCTGGATATGAGACATGGAGCCAAAGGAGATCATTTTGAAGCTTTAGGATTTGACTGCCCCACTGGATTTCGGACTTGCATGGAGCCTGTAACCCCTTTGTTTTGGCCAATTTCTCCAATTTGGAATGGCTGTATTTACCCAATGCCTGTACCCCCACTGTATCTAGGAGGTAGCTAACTTGCTTTTGATTTTACATGGTCATAGGCAGAAGGGACTTGCCCTGTCTCAGATGAGACTTTAGGCTGTGGACTTTTGAGTTAATGCTATAATGATTTAAGACTTTGGGGGGCCAGGCATGGTGGCTCATACCTGTAATCCCAGCACTTTGGGAGGCCGAGGCAGGTGGATCACGTGAGGTCAGGAGTTTGAGACCAGCCTGACCAACATGGTGAAACCCTGTCTCCACTAAAAATACAAAATTAGCCAGGTGTGGTGGCACATGCCTGTAATCCCAGCTACTTGGCAGGCTGAGGCAGAAGAATCACTTGAACTGGGGAGGTGGAGGTTGCAGTGAGTCAAGATCACACCATTGCACTCCAGCCTGGGCAACAAGAGTGAAACTCCATCTCAAAAAAAAGAAAAAAAAAAAGACTTGGGGGACTGTTGAGAAGGCATGATGGGTTTTGAAATGTGAAGGCATAAGATTTGGGAGGGGCCAGGGGCAGAATGATATGGTTTGGCTCTGTGTCTCCACCCAAATCTCATCTTGTAGCTCCCATAATTCCCATGTGTTGTGGGAGGGACCTGTTGGGAGGTAATTGAATCATGGGAGCAGGTCTTTCCCATGCTGTTCTTGTGATAGTGAATTAGTCTCACGAGATCTGATGGTTTTAAAAATAGGAATTTCCCTGCACGAGCTCTCTCTTTGCCTGCTGCCGTCCATGTAAGACATGAGTTGTTCCTCCTTGCCTTCCACCATGATTGTGAGGCCTCCCCAGCCATGTGGAACTGTAAGTCCATTAAACCTCTTTCTTTTGTAAATGGCCCAGTCTCAGGTATGTCTTTATCAGCAGCGTGAGAACAGACTAATACAACCATATAGCTAGTAAGTCTGGAGGCAGGGTTTGAACCCAGGATGCCTGGCTCCAGCATCCTCTCACCTTACCTCTGCCTGTACTGTCCTGTAGATCTCAAATTGTTCAGAGGGATCCAAAGGTCATCTAATTCCCATTGGCTGACATTAGCTTTATTACATTCAGATACACACAGTTACTCAAATCAGGATACCAAAAAGTGTCATCTGCGAGGAAATTCTAGAGGATTCCTTTTTAAGAGCAAAACTGCTTTATATTTGCATCAGGCTTTCCAGAGCCCAAGGCACATTCATAGGCATTCACATAGAGATTAATCTTCTACACAATTTATGCTAGGGATAGGGAAGAGACCGGTTTTTCTGATCCACATTTCATAGGTAAGAAAATCAAGGTTGGAAATGGTAAGTAATTTGTTCAAGGTTACAAAGCTCATAAGCAGTGCCAGCTATGAAAGAAAGCCAGGCCTGCTGGCCCTAGGCAGCGCCCTGCTCCAGGCACCCACAATACTCCCTCTAACTAGTCCTACAGGTAAAGTGCACCTAAGTAGAGACTTCTGAAGAACTCACATGCTCAAGGCTCACTCCGTGTTTGCCCATCAGGATTTAAGATGCTCTTGCTGCAAATCCACCCCCTGGTTAAAGTCAGTAAAATTTCATGGGTGAGCTGATCTTTTCATAGGGTTCATGCTGATGAGATTTTTTTTTCTAAAATCTCTTCTTAGTTCACACCTCCCCTTCAATCAACCAAATGCCAAAAAAGAAGCCTTCACCAAGTCAGAGAGAAACACCTGCCCTCCTTTCCCATGAGAAGATTGGAAATGTTCCAAATGTGGAACTGCTATCAATTTACTGACAATCTGTTGAGTAGCACTAAAAGCAGGAGACTTTTGGTGATGGCGCAGGCCAGAAATGCAATAAACTCAACTGAACCTGACATTTAAAAATAGCTCAATATTATGAGAGGTTTTGCTCTAAAGTCTCTAAGGATGAGTGTCATTTAAGAATGAATATTCTTATTTGATAAGAAGAAAACTGAGCACATCTTATCCTCTAATAATAAGAATAAAAAATTTTAATATCTTCAAATAACATAAAGGTCACAATTAACCCAGCTACTTATGGCTGACAGTCTGCAAGTACACACTGATTACTTGTCTCTTATTTATTACCATTTAATGAAAAATGCTAATAATAATAATAATAATGTGTTTATACTCACAAGCAGTTAAAATTTACCCCAGCTTTGGGTGCTATATGATAGATATGTGGTTTATGTTACACCAATAATAGTTATATATAGGCCTTTTTTACATCTCTATGTAAGTAGAAGGCTTAATAATTATCCAGCTACATCTTTCACTACAAAGACTGTCCATTTGGTTTTGAATCATTTGAATTATCGAACAACATGGATCAGATGATTTATAAATTACCAAACTACCACATTGCATTATCCTAAATTATGCTGTTGTACAATTTAAAATTTCCCCAAAACAACAAAGTAGTTTTTTAAAAAACCTAACCTATAATGATATAGTACAAAGATTTTTTGGGGGATAGAGGCATTTTTTGAATTTTAATACATTAAAAAACAGGTTTCCACTCTTTTTCTTTAGCCCAAGTTGAAATCTTTTTACATTCTTCATTGTTGCTGTTCTGGGCCTTTCTCCAACCTTCAAGTTCTCTACTGTAACCCCTCTTGTTATCCTTACTATCCCCCTTCCTCATACTCGGGTGAGCACATCTCCTATGTCATAAAGAAAATGGGGACTGGTCACCAGGCATTTTTATGTTTCCTTCTTACCATGTCTAGAGCGTTCTTCCATTCCCCTGAGTCAGAAGAGACATGTCTCCCCATTAAACCTATCTTCTCTTCAAGTTCCTCTTTGATCTCTCTCAATCCCTCTGAGAGCAAATTTCTCTTAAAACTATACTTAAGACACCTGGACATCACCAGTTTCGTGCTGATAGGACGGATCCACAGAGTCAGCTAGGCAGCTGGGCCCATGACCTGCTTCTCTGCTTCTCCATGTGTGATTTCCATTTTCAGGGTCACCTCAGGTTCAAGGTAGCTCCTGGAGCTCCAGCCATCACAGCCACATTACAGGCAGAGGAAGGAGAAATGGGCAGAGAGTGCTGCCTATTAAGGAGACTTCCTGAAAGTCCCACATTTCTGCTTACCTAGCCAGAACTCAGTGACATGGCCAGGGAGAAGCAGGGAGTCTGGAAAATGTAGTTTTTCAAAGAAAACACAGTGATGTTTCAAAGAACCACAGTCCCCAGGGTTTTGTCACCAAGTGCAGAATGAATACTGGGAGGCAATTAGAAGTCTCTATTTTCATTGACTCATGGAGGAAGGATGAGCTGGGGATATGAGAAGATCCTTATTAATCAGGATCCAGGCAAAAAAAAAAAAGATGGCGGACTCCACAAGGTCTTACTGAATGAAGGCAGCTGTGTATGCAGGGTTACAGGGACAAAGAGGGAAGGAGAGTACCCAGGGTCTAGCAGCAGTGGGTGCCATCACTGATCCTGGGCCTAAAGGAGCAGGGGTGGAGGAAACACTGAGAGCTGGGGCCATGCAGGAGGCCTCCCCCAGGAGCTGTTGCCACAGAACCTCCTGTCTGGGACAACACTGTCTTGAGGCTGTCTTTCATGACTGTTTTACCAGCTCCTCCTCCTTTGTCCATTTCTCCCTAGCCAAGCTTCCCAAGCTGCATGCCTATTTCCCTGGGTGATGTTATCCACCACCAGGACTTCCTCTTGCACATTTACTACAATGTACTATACTACAGTGATTCTTCTGAGCTCTAAATCTAATTTCTAAATGCCTATCAGCCCTAACTGGCATGCTCCAGGGGGGTGTCAAATTTAATATGTGCCCAAACAAAGCTCTTGGTCGCCTCATCCCACTCCTCCTCTATCTCCATCAAAGCTTTGGCCAACTAACCACCTCTAGAGCTAGGAATTTGGCAGCCAGTCTCAGGCTCCTTCCCACTACACACTTTGGCCACCATGTCCAATCACTTTGACCTTGTCCACATCTCTTGAATGCCCCCACAACCCTCCCCTCCTATAACACACTGCCTTAGTTCACCATCTTGTCTAGAGGGTTTGTCTCTCTGGCTTGAGTCTCTCTCTTCTGCCCATCTTCCACACAGCTACTGGAAACCTCTTTTTAAATTAAATAAAATCTCAACGGTTTCCGGTTTTAAAATCCCTACCTTTGTTCTTGGTAGAGATTTTACCAAGGTAGCTGCAGATCAGACTCATTAAGATCCCGGTCTCAGAAGTCGGACTGCCTCAGTGCCACTCCCAGCTCTAGCACTTCTAGCTTTTTGACCTTTGCAAGTTATTTGACCTCTCTGTGGCTCTAGAACCTAATGCTTCTTAGGAGTTCTGTGAAGATTAAATGCATCATTGTCTGTAAAATGCTTAAAATATCGCCTCTGCATAGTACATTTTCAATAAATGGTAAGTGTTTTTATTACCAAACTGTTCAGCCCAAATTCCCTAGTGTGGCATAAAGGTCCTTCTGGCTGGGCCTAAGCAAACTTCCCCGACATTCTTTGTAACATCAACCTCCTTGCTATTCAGAGAAGGTTCCCTGCCCTTTCATGACTTTATATGAAAATATCACCAGCATTTTCATTTCTTTCTCCAACCTCATATTTTTGCTGTGATGGTTCTCTCTATAATCCGATTTAGCAGTGTCTAAATATTTAATTTCTTAAATCTATAACTATGTAAGAGTATTGGTCTAAAGTCATGAAGTTTATAATACATAAGTCTAATAGACTGATTTTTAATTTGATTGCCTATGAATATTCAAAAAGTTCCTTCAAATAGAACAGTGGGTCACGGAGTACAGCTTGCATTTGGGCATGCATTTGATGAAATGGCAGGAACAGCAGAACCACAGATAAAGCTCAGATCTAATGGTGTTGGCTTAATGTATATAAACAATATCTAACATCACCGTGAGCCCTCAGCTCCAAAATCAAAGGTCACCATATCATGAAAAAAAAAAAAAGTTTCAAGTTAAGTGCTCAAGCCAATGAAACATTAAACAAGGGCACCTGCATTTTCACAGCAAATAATTCCAGTGGGGATTTCACGTTGCTGTGGATACAAAGGGAGGAACAGCTCAAAGATACTTGTAAAGCAGGGAGGGATTAGGGTATCCAGGGAAATAAGTAAAAGGTATTGTGTTTCATTCCATGCTTCAGGAGGACAGCTACAAAATTAGGTCTAAACATCCTTATCCTTCAAATAAAGAGGGTCACATTGCCCATTTATTGTGAACATGATAAAAGAAACATAAAACTTTTCATGGTGCTTACCCTTCTGGGCAGTAGATACATGTCGGCCTGCTAGGCGATCGCTAGTTATTTTCTAGCTGATTTTGTGTGTGCTGTGCGTGTCTGCAGGGTGCAGGCATAGCAAACGCAACCAAAGCAAGTGATTTAATTAACTGCTTTAATTAATGCTGTTATTTGAACAAATAGATAATGTAGAGAAAAAATTATTATCCCACATCGATCTAAATGTTTCAATTTAATTTACTAAAACCTCTGCTTTCTGAATGGTTCAAAACAGTGACAAAAATATTTGCCAATGAAAATAAATCCTAGCTCGTGATAGATATTTAACCTATCTACATATTCTACTAGTTAAAAAATAACTCAGATTTAATTCAGTCTTAACAACAACACATGCCATAAAATACTATAGGTGGAGTTTAGAAGTTGGGAGCTCTGTGAACTTCCAATATCAGAGGCAAAACAAATCCACACAAAATATTTATTGTTAAGTACACAGCAGAGTAAGAGAATCTACCAGTTTTTCCCTGAAAAAAATTTAACTTTCTTTAGCAATATTTTTTTCTGTTTAAATCATAAGAGACTTTTGGACAAGGTCCTGAGCCATTAATTTAATTTGTTTATTTTAAAAAAATTTTTATTTTGGAGGATTTTAAATATACACGAGGTGAAAAAAGCTTAGCAATGACTAATATTGTGCTGCTTTGAAAATACTCACCAACACTGTAGTGGTTGGAGTAAACACCACACATTGTATTATTTCATCTTAAATTCTCTAACATGCAAGAACCTAACAAGAAAATGAATTTCAGAAAACGGGGAAGGTGCAGGAAACTGTTAAGTATTAAAGAGATTTCAGGGGCACATTAACCAAATGCAGTAGTTGGACCTGGTTTGCATCCTTATCCAAACCAACTAACTGTAAAAGAACAATTTTAAGACCACTGGGAAAACTGAGCACGGACTGGTATTAGATGATATTAAGGAGTTATGGGGTATTTGTTCGAGTGTGTTAATAGTACTCAATCCATTTTTGTTGTTAGTAAAAATTAAACGGCAGCTGCATCCATGGCCACAAAGTTGTTGGTCATGACACACTCTGACCTCCAGGGGGAGACCGAAGAGAGAGATCCACAGAGGAGGTGTGGGATGGAGGATTCTGAACACATCTAGAAGGGAGTGGGCAGTTCGTGGGGTGAGACAGAGGTTACAAGCTCTCTCCCTGACCCTACTTCTCTCTTCTCTTGGGTGCCATCTTGCCCAGCTCCACCTTGGGTGGCTCAGAGCTCCCTGGTCCTGGAGCTCCTGTAGGAATGAGGATGCGACCTGGAGAAACGGGGCAAGGAGCAAGTCTCGTAAGGTACCCTGAGTCTGGGTGTGACTCAACCCTGGACCCGACACTAAGGTAGAAGTGTCTGCCTGGAGGGCCCTGGGTGCTCTCTGGAGTCCTCGGGGACCTGGCAGGGGAGGGGCATGGTGGCCAGGATAAGGGGCTAGGTAGAAGTTCAGGATCTCAGATAAAAAACTTATGTATCACAAAATAAACACATAAATCCTTACTGAAAAAATGAAAATGCATGCCATTCTTGAAATGTCAATTGAAAAGATAAGAATAAAATTTGGGAGTTCTGGCAAAACAGATGAAAATGAAATTGAGCTTTCCTTTATAATTTAGGGGAAATGATTAATGATGTTTTTATCTATGTCTAGGAAGTAAAAACATTATACATTTATACTTTAAGCATATGTTTATATATACTGAGCACATACCAGATGTAAATACCAAGATGGTAGCTATCAAAGACAAGCCAGAAAGCCCTTGCACATGAGAGATGGCAAAATACAAGACACAAATCAATTTGTTCCTTAAGGATGGAATCATGGAACATTATGGGAATTCAAAATCCAGTGGGATCACTTCTGGTTGGGGAGGATGAAGAAGAGCTTTGTGTTTTGGGCAAATGCTGGCTATTAGCAAGGCTTTAATAACACCACATGGGCAGGTTTTTTCTTGGGCCTTCCTTCTTAATGGTGATAGTTTAAGCATGAGACTTCGTGAAATGCTTTCTGCTAGGTCCAATTTAGCATGTTAATACTATGAATATGGGTTCAGCTATATAATGTTAATAATAACTTAAAAATTAGGCCTGGTAAGCCCCAAAGTAATGATGTGACTTAGAAGTTATATGATTCACTAAGAATTAGAAAATGTGGTTTGGAAAACAAGCCCATAAAAATGAGTTAGTTACAATGAGCAATTACAGGGGGAAATAGGTTTCCTTATAGATGAGACTGCCAATTTTGAGCAAATGTCTATAAAAATGGCTCCTAAACCCACCTGCATGTTGGAATTACCTGGGGATTCTATTAAAAATACTGTACATATTCCTGAAACCCACCCCAGGCCTACTGAATTGTAACTCCAGGAACAGGGTCCCAGGACACTGTATTTGTACAACCCTCCCCATCCCTATCCAAGTGGCTGTGATGTGCAGAATTGTAGAGCCTGGAACTTTTGCAATCTGTTGCTTATAGAAACAGTTACTTAATATTAACCCTAAAATCTCAAAAGGTGATTCACAACATTTTCCTCCACCACAAGTTCTTAAAATAAAAAGGAGAATTCAAACCATTTTTTTCAAGCCTATGTCTTACTATACTGGTAAGTGTTGGATTATCTGTTTGAAAGGCATTATCTTCAGAGAAGTACACTTAGAGAGAAACCTGGTCTCCAGAAGCCATCTGCTGCATAGATGGCTTTGCCTGCTCTGGGTCTCACACAGAGGCTCACGGTCTTCCCACTCCCCAGCAACGAGGACCACCTGTCACCTCTACTGGAGGGCCCTCATGCCTGTGTTTTCAGGCGGGGCTGTTTCTGGGCTTCCCTTCCAAATTTCCACCCAACATCAAATGCTGTAAGTTGGGGGGCAGTTTGATATGTCCTTATTCCCTCAATCCTCTTGTGCATCATTTTATGTGCGCCAAGATAAAAGAATTATGGCCCTAATCCTCCCTCCGCAGGGAGGAAATAAAGTGGCTGGCAGGTGCAGAGCTGAGGAAGTGGGAAAGGGTGCACAGCTGAGGGTGTATGATGCCTTTGCTTTTTTGGGAGTGAGGCTGCCCATGAGAAAAGTGGGGATGGGAGGATGGTGCAGGAAGGGTAAACACCACATCGGCCTGGTGGCATTGGCCGAGTGTGTCCCTGCAGGTCTCGTGAAGACACACATTGCTGGGCCTGATTCCCAGAGTGTTTCTGATGCAGGAGGTCTGGGTGGGGCCTGAAAATCTGCATTTCTAACAGTTCCCAAGTGATGTCCATACTGCTGGGCCAGGGACGGCACTTTGAGAGCCTCTGTTCAAGGAGGAGAGAAAACTGAGAGGCTCCTGAGAGTTTGGGAGTCTCAAGAAAGGAGGGGAGAGTTTAATGTAAGTTTCTATGAAGGAAGTTTATGATCCCATTAAATATCTGAGAGACATGAGTCTCTTAGGAGGATGTTCTGCAGACTCCAGGGAACGTCTCACCAGGAGTCAGATGCAGCTGCGGGTGGGAAGCACCTCCGGCTCCCCCAGTCCTCGGGGAAGAGGGCATCCTCCACGTGGAGGAGACTCCAGCTCCCCAGCCACTTCCCGCCTTTGAAAGTCAATGCAGGCTTCCATGGGGATCTAGACATGCAAATTTAATTAGTGGGGAGGTGTCCGTCTAACAAGTGTCAGCACTAGGCCTTTGGACAGATGCTTGACATTTGCTACCTGACTGTATGCTCAGGCTGGTGTGTGAGGAGGGATTCTGGGTGCCTTCCCTGCAGCACAGGTGAGGAGACTGAAGTTCTGCGTTTTGGAATCACTCTCCTGGGCCCTCTCCACTCCACCGTCGCTTCTGACTTCCTTGACCTGCCGCCTTCCCTGGAGGGCTGGGAAAGCAGAGCCTGGCCCTACCCCCAGGTTTCAGATTCAGTCCCTGGAGAGTGGGGCCTAAGTATCCCCACCTCTGACAGCTTCCCAGGTAATGCTGATGGTGCTGGGCCACAGACTATGTTTCGAAAACTACTGATTCTAACCTTATCTCCATCCCAAAGTAGAAATAAAGTATTTGCTAAGACAAGGTCCTTAAATGCCATCTCTTTTCCAGCAAAACTTTCTGATAGTACACCTGTGTCCTCTTCAGAACTGCAAGAAACCCACAAAATCCTCTCCCCACAGCCTTCTTACCTAACCCTTGCTTCTTCTCCATCATCGTCTATGCCAAAGTTTCAGTAAAAGGCAACTTCAAGAATATTAACAAGGAAGAACAGAACAAACTAAGCAAACTAAGGGACCATAAGGGCACTCCAGAGATAGTGCTGGGGCCTACTCACCTCACCCTGACCCACCTGCTCACCTGCAAGGGGTCTCCTGTCTGCCTCTCTCTGCCCACGGCCATTCTCTGACCTCAGATGTCCACAGTGGGGACCCACTGACAAGGGTGTCTTTTGGCTTTGTGGCTATCCTCACTTCCCTGTCACACGGCCCTGCTCTCAGGCAGTTCCCTAGGATCACTCCCAAATAAACTACTTGTATCCAAATGCTTTGTTTTCAGCTTGGTTTGAAAGAATGCAAACCAAGACAGGTACCAATGTCATTATTTGAAAATCATCCAATAACAAATGATGAAGACTGAGGAGGCGGGTGTACGACTCAGATCCGGGTACATGGTTTGTGCTTTGTGTGATCATGAAAAATGCATTTCCTACTTACCTTTAATGCCAAAGAATCACAAAGCACCCACAAAAAAAGGACAATAAGCTGATCTTCCCCCGTCGAAAAGGCCTAATGTTGCTCAAAGTGGATTGCTTTGCTTTTGTTCTGGGAGTCTCTAATGTGGGTATGAGGAGATAAGTTATACTGAAACGAGCAGGGGTGAATAATTTCAGTAAATGAAGGTGCTTTTATTTAACATTAATTACATTTAAATATTGGAGTCGAATAGGAAACCCCATTGTGATTAGTGACACCAGGGTGAGTTCTGGATCCTTATTCTCTGGTGGCAGAATGTCAACTCTTGCTGCCTGGGGAGACTGAGACTCTGAGCCTGGCAGGTAAAGCTCCTTCCACCGTCCCCTCTGCTCTGGCCACCAGACCAGCCTCTGCACCAGAACTGATGTCCCGTATGCCCTGTGGATGTCCATCTCCCATATGCCCCCCTGTGGATGTCCGTGCTGCCTGCTGCTTGGGCACATCGGAGGACGGCCCTGCACATGCCCTGGGCCTCGCTCCCATGCCGTTTTTGCACAGCGCAATGAACAGGGCAATTGCGAGGCGCACACGTGCAGAGACCGACAGGACGGGGAGTCACAATCACAAACCTGTCCATTGCGGTTGAGCTCTGAGATCAGCAAGGAAGCACTGACTATTTAATTAGTCACCTAATTAGTGACAGGCCACACTGAAGGTTTCAGATGTCCTCAGACAAATGTAAAGATAAAAAGCCTAATTAAGCCGCCAGCGCTAGGCTGGCTGCTGCCAGAGCCCACAGCTGTGCCGGATATTGTGCGGAACTGCACGGCCCGATAACAGGAGTTGTGGTCATTGCCACAATTGCAGCTTTAGAAACATGCCCTGCTTGGTCCAAGCTATTCTTAGTTACCTCGACACATTCAACCAGATGAGGGGATCAGTGTCTAGGCTGAAAGTCTGAGGCTGCATCTTTTGCTGGATGATTTGGTCAGTTTTCGAGAAAACTCTTCTGAGTGGTGGAAGTGGAAGACAAGGGGAACCCGGGCTTTCCAGTGCCCACCGGTGCTTCCTATGAATCAGTGTTTCTCTCTAGTCACACGGAGGGTCGCGGGGACACCAGCTGGGCTGCTTTCAGTCACTGTCATCCATGACTCCAGTAAGCATTTTTCTAGTGCCATTACAGGCTCTTCAAAAGATTCTTTACGTCGGGATTAAATTAGGAAAGAGTTAAAAATAATGGATTAAAAAGGAACTTTCCCATAATTAGGAGTAAATACTATAAAACACTGAAGCATAGAGACTCGTGCTGAAACAGAAGGGGACAGCAACTGCCTCAGCTCTATGAACGCAGGCCCAGGAGACAGTCAAGATGCTGTTCTGCATAATTCTGGAAAAAAACCTGTTTGGGACACTGGGGCAGGGCCTGAGGTTGTGCATTTCTAACGAACTCACAGGTGATATCAATGCTGCTGGTCCACGCGCCACACCAGGAGTGAAAGGATGCAGAAACAGAAGAGAGGTGCATACACCTGGTTCCGGCTCCTTCTCTTCTTCTTCTTCTTCTTTTTTTTTTCTATTTTGCTATAGCATTTATATAATTAAAAAAAAAGGATTCTGGAATATCTTTGTGGAAACCTGAAAGAGTCAAAGCACTGCAGTTGAGGAGTTCAGCAATGCTAGACTTGGTGGGAGTTCACTTTATAGTGAGTTCACTTTACAGATCTCACCCTGAGAGGGTTTGTGGAGTTTCTACCGTGGTGGCGCCTTCAGGCTGGCAGGACCTGGGGGCCCCTGCTGGGACTCTCCTTCAGCACAGATGAGGACAGTTCCTCCCTCAGGGCTGCAACACTGCTTGGCAGCAGAGGTGGGCTAACGGCTGAGGCCAAGCTCTTTCTGCTTTCTCCAGTGGTTGGAGGTTTTAAATAGTCTTATTAATGGAAGCACCGAGAAGGAAAATGCACATGTGACATCATAGTGTCCGAGCCAGGAACTTTCAGTCCCAAAGAACGGGGTGGCCAAATGAACACAACCCACCAATCACAAGAACAGTCATTTAAAAATAATCCAAATCTATCACTTAAATGTCTTGGGCATTATGAAGAACACACAGTCTTAAGATCTGTTCTTTCCCCTCCAATTCACGGCCCTCTACCCCATAGTACAAGCTGGTGTTTTCTTCCTCAATGCCCTGCAATGCAAGAGCACCACCCCACAGCCCTAGCCTTGCCCTGCCCAGCTCCTGATCCTTGCCACAAACACGCATGCTCCTGCGCTGGCTGGGCAGGTGACAGGAAAGAAGGCTGGGTCCTTTCCTCCTGGGCTCCCCTCAGAGGCCAAGTGCACCAGACAAGGGGGGAGGGAACCAATTAGCTGAGCCCACCCCACCCTGGATGACGCTACGCCCCTGCCCATCTCCACCCCTGGAGGTCTCCCGCAGGGCTGAGGGAGACTGTAGAAGCCTCTGAGAGCAGGGCCACTGGCTCCTCGGCTCTGCTGGGGATCACCAGGGCCAGGAGCAGGAGGGCACGGAGGACAGCAGGGGAAGTAAAAGACTGGGATCCTGGGACACCCCAGGAAAATGCCTGCCATGCATGTCTCCCGGTGCTGGAGGGCCCAACAGGCTCCTCCTAGGAAGGACAAGACGCAGGACTCAGGCCTGACAACCACAGACAAGGAGATGTGTCTGTGCAGATTAACTGCACACAGCTAGCAGATAAAATAGCATACTTAAAAAAATAAAAAGTCAGAACACCACCACAGTATTGCCTCATCACATGGAGCTTACATCCTAGGGAATATCAGGGAGTGAGTTTGGGCAAAGCACTTCAGCTCTCCCAGTAGCACCTCAGCACTTGGGGAAGAAAGGATAGGAATTTACACAAACTGCTTTTGGTGTCCTTTGAAGAGGAGACCAAATGTGTTTTATAATTTCTTGCATGGAAATAATACAAGAACAAAGTTGTGTTTGTTTTGTTGTCAGATGACAGAATTACCAGATTTTCTGGAGAAAGAGGTTACTGTCCTGAGCCTCGAGTGGATTTTCCAGGAATGATGATGCCCCTGCTGAGTCTGACAATGCAGCTCAAGACTACAAGGAGGCAGCAGGGCGCTGTGGCCCCTGCCCGTAATCCTAGCACTTTGGGAGGCCAAGGCGGGCAGGTCACTTGAGGCCAGGAGTTCGAGACCAGCCCGGCCAACATGGTGAAACCCAATCTCTACTGAAAATACAAAAATGAGTCGGGCATGGTGGCTTGCACCTGTAGTACCAGCTACTTGGGAGGCTGAGGCAAGAGAATCGCTTGAACCTGGGGGGAGGCGGAGGTTGTAGTGAACCGAGATTGCTCCATACACTCCAGCCTGGGCAACAGAGTGAGACTCTGTCTCAAAACAAAAACAAAAACAAACCAAAAAAGACTACAAGGAGGCTGATTCTCCTAAATTTTGCTTCCAAAATGTAGATTCAATCCTCATTGGTGGTCAGTGTTGGGTGAAAACTGTATTTCTTCATTTCAGCTCAAATCATGTATAAAATTAAGTTCAAATGGCAGTTAAACTGGGAAAGTAAAATACGCAGTAGGTTACCATGGTGATTGCTGACTTAAAATAATTAGAGAAAATAATGAGAAAACTATTTCCTCTCTTAAGGATTAGAGATCTGTAAACTGATACCAGTCTATTTTTAGTGTACGTAATCTGTGTAATGATGATAGAGAATTATGAGTATTTTAGAATGCTTTAAAAAGCTCTGTTTGATTGGGAAATTTAATCGACCCAATACTTACATCAAAATTTATACTTGTCTTTATTAGATCTAAGTTGACTCCACAAAAAGAAAATTACTTGTATATGTCTCAATGTAATCATTTAAATAAAACATTATGACTAAGTATATAGCTGAATTAAGATTTAAGACCTGTTTATAACTTCTTAACTGCTATAATTTCACAGCTCCACCTTAATAATTCATCATTCGAAAATGGTTGCATAAAACTTGCTGTTCAAAAGTTTTCGAGGAAGAGACCCATCAGAACAAGTAAAGCACTCAGACTATAACGTGGCATACCCTGGGAATGGAATATTCCTAGGTGCTTCTCATCATTTCATGCTTGCAGTGAAATATTGCTGCAGACTGACCACATTATTCAAAGCACATGAACTCTGTTACTAACTTCAGTAATGACTCATAATTTATTTCTAGTTACCTAAGAGTATGTTCTGGAGAACTGAACAAACTGGCTAGAAAGTGAAAAAATCAATTCTTTTTTTATCTGGTTAATGTGATGTTAAATGAGCAAAATAACCACTTGGGATTAGCTCGTCTCCACGTTAACCAGGCACATACACCTTTTGAGGGTCATTTCCTCCATCCATTTGCTTACCCAGCCCTTCACAAGGCCCCACCTGTCCTGAGCTAAGAACTCTGCTGGCTTCCAGAAGAGTGATGGTAGGCTGCATTTTCCCATCTCCTGCTTACCTCTCAGCACCTGTAGTTTTGAATGGTAGCTAAAGTTTTTCATGTGATCCTGAGCAAAAGATTTGGAAAAACTGGACTCTTAATTCAGGGTTCTGTGGTTCCCAAAGTCAGGGTTTTAAAACATCTATGAAACTTTTTAAAAAATAAATGAAGATAGCGAGTTTGAGAGAAGCTAGACAATACACTGAGGGCTCCATGTTAGGTGCTGATGATGCCAGGCCATGATCCCGAGCTCTCAGACCCTAATCCAGGGTGTTTTCTATTAAAGAGGTGCTCAAGTGAGCACATGGAGAGAGAGACTGGGGATGCTGGAAATCCCTGAGCATCACCCATCAGAAAAATGGGCTCTGAAAGGAAACCTTGTTTAGTGCTTTGAGGGGGATGAGAAAACAGCATCAGAAGAGATGCACAGGCCTCCATATTCCCTGAAGGGTTTTACCTGTTCCAGGGGATCCAAAATTCAAGGGCTGGAAGAAAGGTCCTGGCCCACATGCCATTTCTGAAAGTGTATTTGTAATGTATGAAGTCAAAACTCATTGCCAAACCTGCCTGATTATGTGGAGTGTCTATTGACATACAGATTCCTAGACCATTCCCCAGGAGTCCAGATTCTGTAAGTTGGGTGCAGGATCTTGGAATCTACATCTTTAACAAATGCTGCAGGTGGTTTTTGTGATCGGGCCAGTAAGGAAAACATTCCTTTAGAAAAGGGGTCAGTAGGCTGTTTCTGGGAAGGGTGAGACTGTACATATTTTAGGCACTGAAGGCCATATGGTCTCTGTTCCAACTACTCAGCAGAGGAGTCTGCCATCTAATCTGCTATTGTAGCACAAAAATGGCCACAGACAACACATAAATGAGTGTGGCTGTGTTCCAATAAAGCTTTATTTACAAAAGCAGTTGGCAAGCCAGGCCTGGCCTCAGGGCTATAGTTTGCTAACCCCTGATCTAGAATATTCTTCTACTGATTCATCCATCCACATAGGCAGGGTGTGTGGAGTACCAAACAATCTCAGGTCTGTTCTCTGATGGTGTTCTCTTCAGATGTAGGAAGATAATTTTTATTATTTAAAAACCAATCAATCAATAGAGTGAAACAACTCACCAAAATACCAATGTCTCTAGGAAGGAAATTCCAACACTGGATGCACCAACCACAATGATCTTGGCATTGACAGTAATTTTAGGTTCCAATGTTAGTTTTCTGTTTGTATGGTTTAAAGCATAACTCATCTGGAAAAAAAATACGAAGACAAAGAAGGAGTCAAAGAAAACGTAGCAGTGTTCATACCCTCAAATTTGCAACTATGTAGAATTATCTAACCAGGACATTACCACCAAAACAAACCTAATAGTGCCCATGTACAGCCACCATAAAATGCATGGGAAGATGTTTTTAAGAAATTAATGTAAGAACATGTGGATATGCCTGACATCCCAGCTAGGTCACATCAAAATGCTGGTTTTCAAGATGTTGTCTTAATGCTGACAGATGTTTCATACAGAACTGAGATCCTTAATGATTAGAGACAACTAGTAAGTAACACTACAAGGAGACAGGCAAGCTACTCCCTGAGAATCTGTAGTTCCATGAAAGGTCCCAAGTCTTTTCTTCTGTCCACAGTTTCCCTGAAACCTTGAGTGACAAATTATATTAGTTGGGTACTTGAAGACAAGTTTTAGCTCATGTTCAATTCTCTGTCCCTCACGTTACTTAACGCGGTGTCTTGTGGACAGTAGATGCTCAATAATATTTGTAAAATGGCAAACATTTATTAAATGGCAAAAATGCATTCAATTATTAGGGTTGTTCAACCTTTCAGATACTTCAGAGTCAGGAGGCCTCTCAGAAGCACAGAAAGTAACTGGTGATCATGTTAATGTCCATGTTTACAAAAATTACCTGAATTAGTCATTGATTTCATTTACTTCCCTGCAGAAGCTGCAAGGGGTACATTAAATGTGCAAAGTAAAGTTTTACAAAGAAGTGATAGAGTAGTCTTGGAAGAACATTGGGATATGTGCCAAAAGATCTTGGTTCTATTTTTAATCCATTGATTCAACACACATTTTTTGGTGCTTACTATGTGTCTGGACAGTGACAAAGATTACAGCTGACTTCTCATTGGAAACAATGGTGACCAGAAGTCAGTGGAAAGATATTCTTATCACCTCATCCCATGCTGTTAATTACATCAGCATTAACTTCATCCTCTACATCAGAAATCTCCGCATTCTGATAGGTCAAACCTGCTTTGGATTTTCTTAAAACCCTGGGATACCAGGAGTTGGAAGTCTGACAGAATAATGGTAAAGTCTTATTTGGGTTCCCACCCACTTTCCAGTACTGTAGGGGTATGGGTGTGGCCATGCGCTTTGCCATTTAAAGGTAACATCTCAGATCTAGAGCTTAAATCCCATTTCTCTGTCTCTAGATAGCCTAGCAACATGGAGGAAGGAAAATGGCTTGAGCCAAACAATATATTGATAGAAATTTAAAACAAAAGTGGGAGATTCAGACTCCATAATTAACATTGCTTGTACCTCTCAACATCTGTTCCACCCTACAACTCCCACCTTTAATTTGGCACAACACAGATTTCGGAAGAGATTGGACTCACTCCCATTTTCAAGAGGGACTCTGATTCACGTAAACCACGTGGCATACTCCCACTCTCTTTCCTCAGTGACTGGGTCAGGATACACATGTGACCTAAGTTGACCTCATCAGAGTGAAGCCCAGGACTTTTGCATGATAGTTGAAGAAGAGAAGCCTTCTTGTTTTCTAGATGGCACGTGGTGTAAACGTGAAACCTGAAATGGCTATGGTCATCATGCCAAGAGGGAAACCATCCCAGGTTGAAGCCCCAAGAGAATCACACAGAAATAGAACAGGAATTCTTTTCAAACCCTACCCGAAACCCATACTACCTTTGGACTCTTCAGTTATATAAGCAATACATATCAGTCAGATATTGCCACAATAGGGCTGTGAAACCACTTCAAAATGCATTGGCTTAAAACAACTGTCACTTATTCTGGCTCATGCAATTCTAGGTCAGCTGGAAGTAGGCTGATCTAGGTTGGACTCAGGTGGGTCTGGCTCCAATTTGCAGATTCCAAACCTGCCTCACATTTCTCTTATTTGATGCAAGAGAGCCAGAGCATGTTCTTCTCACGGCAATGGCAGAAAAGTGAAAGGTAAGTGAAAATAGGAATACTTTTAAAATCTGGCCAAAGCAAGTCATGTAGCTGAGCCTAACATCCATGAGTTAGGGAAATATACTCACCTTTAGAAGGAGGAACCTCAAAATCACACAGCAAATGACACAGCCCAGGGAGGGATGAAGGCTGGGAAGAACCACACAGCCCACTGCACTTCCTTGATTGTTTAGGCCAGTTTGTTTTTTATATGCTACTGAAAACTTCCTAGATTGATATAGTTTCTAAATGAAAATAATAAATATACCATTTGGGTGAAAAAGTGCATGTTCTTCAAATAAACGTCAGTTCTGATTTGCTCTATGAGAATTTCCTAGCACAGATCCATGAGGAATTGTGCGAGAAATCTAGTTCCTACTGGTTCACCTGGGTGCCAGTGTGTACTGTACTCTGCTTAATTTCCAAGACAGGCAGGCTGACAGCAAATACACTCTAGCCAGCCTTAGGTTGGGTGGTCTAGAGCAAGGAAGGTGGGAAGCATATGTGTTGTAATGATGGCATCTAATCGCAGGTCTAGTTAACAGATTTAAAATGCAAGCATCTTGACAGAGGTCAGAAGCCAAGATTCTTTTCAAAAGGAGATATGTTCAGACATTCCCCTCTGCTGTTGGAAGTGTAAGCTAACATTGAAACATGGGCAGTAATGAAATTCTCCAGTAAAGAATTATACCTCATTTATGAAACAGCTCCTCTATCCGTGATACAAAGGCAGGCTGGGGAACAGAACAGAATGGCTTTTGTTTCCCACACAATAGCTGTAACACCAACAGCTGCCGGGCCTCACACATCACCTTTCTAACTGCTAAGTACACAAAGTGGCCTCCGGTGTCAAGAGCAGGCAACCAGTACCAATGATGGTGGGTGTCTCAGGAGAGTGATCAGGCATCACAATGATTCACAGTCAACCCAATTTTGTGCCCAGGTTTTAATTAAAAACATATCCATCGCCAGGTATGATGAAGTCTTCTGACCTGAAAAAATCGTGTTTTTCTTTTATTAGTACAGACGGTTTTTAAATGCCTTGAAAAAAATTCTTCCCAGCCTGGAAACATCCTTCAGTGACAACTGTAAATGAAGATGGCTTCTGCTGCTTTATGAAGGGTTTATTTTGCACAGAAGCAGGAAGCACAGGTTATTTTTTAATGAAAGCAGAATATTTTCTTCCTTTATGTTCCTTCAAACTACAAGTTTTCATGGGAAAGAAAAACAGACATGCAAGATCCTATGAGTCAAGCCAGCTTTTCCTTTTCTCCCTCTGAACATCTGCCAAAAAATGTCCCATGCATTGGAGATTCTGTTTTGGGTCTTATTTCCTTCATAGAAAGTAAAAATAAAAGCCCTAGTTCTTGACTCACATTTTATAGACAGAATTAAATGATCCTCATAATGGAAAATTATTTCAAAGATTAAACAGGGCGAATTGTAAGCTATTTACCTACCTACCATACCAAGAATAATATGGATGGGAAATCCAATTCTTACCTCCACATCCTTTCAAGACATTTCTATTTTTCTAATGGCATTAGGTTAGCATTTTAGACAAAGAGATTATTATTATTATTTGTTTTTCGAGATGGAGTTTTACTCTTGTTGCCCAGGCTGGAGTGCAATGGCGCGATCTCAGCTACTGCAACCTCCGCCTCCCGGTTTCAAGTGATTCTTGACAAAGGGATGATTTTAAGTGTAGAGATCAACAGTAACCCAGCAAGATAAAACAAACCATACAGCATGGTGTATAAGCTAACCTTTTAAGGCTAAAAAAAAATTCCTTAAAGTTGATGTCAACTCTCATAATGACTTTAAAATACAAACCATAGATTCCATTGCTTAGGTAGGAAAGGAAGGAATGATAGTATTTGATACTCCTGTTAGGAAATTCTAGAGTTGAGCTTGGGGGTTGCGGGGCGGGGAGGAATGTGGAAGATTCGGAGGTCAGATGGGAGGGGAGACCGGCTGAGATGAGAAAATAGGGAAGAGAAATGAGCAAATGTTAATGTTTTAACCTCTTTACCTATAATTCCCTATGAGCTTCTGAAATAAGACTGTACATGTGAGTAGCTGAGTCACTACTGGAGGAGTTTGTGGTTGCTTTTATCCATTTATTTGGTTGCCTGCCACCCTACAACTAGACTATTAACTCCTAGAGGTCAGGAACTATGTCTTTGCGTTTTGAGCATTTGCTGTATTTTAGCTGAACAATTTCTGCCATGCATTTTGGGGCACTTGGTAAGTGGTAAAAGAATAGATACATCAACTTTGTGTTTCATGGACCCTTTTTAAAGGGTGTTGACATAATTTCTGTATTGCAAATTATTTTAGTTGGTTCATTTCCATTTGCTTAAATGGCCAAATGAATAATCTGGATGTAATTATAACTACTTAGGATTAAATTTGATCTTTTTAGTAAAGATGATGTTGATGTGCACACTCAGTTGAGTTTATGTCATGATTCAGATACATTTGTCAAGAGAACTGAAATACACAGTTTTGAGTTTTAGGCACATTTGTTAACTGTTCTGTGTGTATAGAAAAAAATTGGTCAAAATATAATTTCATTGGATATACATAGACCCAAGTTCCGTGTTTCCGCATGTGGTTTGGTTTCTCTTCTGCACTTAGAATGAATTAGAATGACTACAAAAGCATTACTGAAACTCAATTTCAATGTTAGATTCAAAATCGGGAGTTACTAAAACAATAAATAGGCTGATACACTAGAGAGCAATAAAAATAAATACAAATGATCCTACATAATACATACAAGGTTCATACTAAAATGGATCATGATGCTGTCTATCTATGGTGAATTTTTTCTTATTATAGCATTTCTTTTGGAGGTTACATTCAACCTTTGGGATCATTAGCCTGGGTGTCATTAGCTTGGTGGCAAGGTTTAGGCTTGTTTTCTTAATTTTGCCACTGGTTGAAATTCTGAGCCTCTTTTTCCTAAATATCAGTTTCCTCGGGTATAAAATGGTAGTAAATTACATGAACCTCTGCTTTCCTCAGCAGGCAAACATGGGAACCAGTCTTTTAAAAATGTCTGCAAATACTTTGAGCTTTTCAGGCAAAGATGTTACACAAGGTAAAATTGCAGATCCTCTCTCCCATCTGCAATATGAAAGGCAAATCTTTGAAAAACACGTTTGAAAAGGGCAAAACAATGAGCTCAATTTTCAGCTCACACCCATGTGTATATATATCTTTTCTTACAGAAAGCTTCCAAACACTTCAAAGGGAGCTCTGTCCATACAAGGAAATGAAAGATGGAAAGATTCAAACCCATTAGGAATAAAATTTCTGAAATCCGTAATAAGCCTACTTTTGCTTTATAAATGTAATTTTTCTGATGCTTCTCTATCTCTCTTTTCTCCTTGAGAAACTCTCGTTTTCCCAATTTGAGCAAAACAAATTATGACAGATTTACAGTGGTGCGGCTCAAAGTTCAAGTTGACCTCTTTGAGGCAAAGTATTGCAATATTACAAATAAATAAAGGGTAGGGGGGTATAGACATTTTAAATAGAACCAATCAGTTGGAATCTCTTCCACAGGCATAAAATGCAATTCAAAAAGCCTTTCTACTAAAATAATTAAAAAGTTTCAAAAGTATGATATGAATACCAACACCTCTGTCCCGCAGAGCATAAGTCTGTTGAGGTCATGCTGTGGTTTTGAGACTTGCTTTATGAAGGATTCACTTAACTTTCCTCTCGGTTGGGGGTACTGGGAAGCTCAGAACAATTTGGTAGCTCCAGCACTTCGGAAAAAGTGTAAACTGTTGTGTCTGTGGTATCCACTGAGGGTAACGGTGATTCTAGGACACTGGCTTTTTTCTTAACACTGGATAGAGCATACTCAAAATCATGTAGCAGGGGTCAAAGAGTGGGCCATGGTAGCCTCTATGATTCAATGAGTAAATTTCTTTCACTTCCATTTTTCTTATATTTCTCTTTTCAACTCCATCTGTCTCAATCCCTCATATACCCATATTCCCTATTTGGGCATTATCATTATTTTGCATGTTTTTAAAAGCTAAAATTATTGCCACCCTATGACATTCACTTGTGGCCATTCTTAAACATTTATATTAGAAAAATGATTTGGAAGCTAAGTTGAGGGATTTTACCGGATTTCATCAATTCTAGTGTGCACATTTTTTTAAGCTGGTATTCCTGAAATCAGCCTTACAGTCAACAGCATTTCAACAGTAGCAGTCAGCCAGGCAGTAGCAGTGGCATAGTTGTCCTTACCTGTGCATGGGTGCTTGGCCATGGCTGTTCATTGTCATCACTTCAAGAGAGTCATGTGCATTATACGCACAATATGTGTTGAGTTTAAGTGCTTCTGACAATGTCTTCAAAAAGATTACAGCATGATTTGGCATTGAAATGAATGCTTATTGTTGTGTTCCCATAAAGGCCCAGAAACTGAGCAGCAAGGTGCAAATTTGATATTAGTGAAGCAAATATTAGTCATTGGAGGAATGGATGTAATTCCATGTTTTCTTGCAATGCAACGATTGAGTGCCTTTCAGGAGCAAATAAAAGATGACAAGGAGATGAAGCTGTGTTACATTTTGTTACTGAGACACATGCAAAAAAATTTTTCCACATCACCCAGCAAATAATGCAATTGAAGGGCACGTAAATTGCCTCCCCTCTCTGAATAGATGAAAGAAATTTCAAAGCACTAAGACTTATATGACTGATTCACATGCTGTTCAGGACTCTCATTTAGACGTTGTGTTACAATTTAATTGGCTGCATTTTTTTTCTTAATAGTACATAAAATAAAGGTACATCTTATAATTGATAGCAACTTAGATTTGATGAATTAGGTGGTTAATTCACTTGTTTCCAATTAAATAATAGCCCCCAAACAAGTAGCTCATATGATCATTAAAATATGATTGCCTTTATGCAATACACAAACATCGGCAAGGGAGATCCACTGTTGGCTTCTCTGAGACACTGAAATTCATTAATTCTTAATATAAGGCACATTAGCACATGAACCAAGATAACCTCAAATGGCTCCATGTCTCTCCTTTGCCACCTTGAGTAGTGTAAAGTGTTCAGAAATGGCCTCCGGGTTTCTGCAACATTCTACTCGAATCCTATCTGACATGTGTCAGCTAGCTGGCACTCCAGGTATCATTCTCAATACAGGGTCAGCCACAAACTGGAGAAATGACTTCTCTGGGGGTGAACACACAAGGAAAGGCAGGAATAAAGTAAATCCATGGCAGAAAAATGATGTACAGAACCAATTACCTGACTTGCATTGTTCTACAAGTAATAATTAGTACTACCTTACAGATATATGTCTTTAACAAACTACTTAACATCCAGCTACCTAATCATTCTCAAGCTCTATATCCCCATGAAAGAACTACTTGTACTGGAATAAAATGAGGACATGAGCTGAAAGGTTCGGGAAACACATTCAAAAGTGATGGAAGGCATTCTTCCTATTAAACAGTACCCTTCTGAAATGATGGATAGTTCTTAGAGAACAAAAATTGTCTTCCATGTATTAAACTACATTAAAAGGAAAACCAAACAAACCCTTACTTCTTTTACATTCTCTCAGAACACTTGTGATGCCAAATGTGTGAGTTTTTTTCCCACACTGACCAATTCTCTGACACCAGCAGGGTGTCTGTCCTATGATTCAATTCCATTCTGACACTGTCTACCTAGGCTTAGTCCCACAAGGCTGCTCCCTGTACCCCCACTTCACATGCCAATCGCAAGTCCATGTTGCCACCTGTACTTCTGACCGGCTGGCTATCAACTGGAGGTTCCCATGACCCCTGCTTAGGTTCGATAATTTGCTAGGATGGCTCACAGAACTTGGAGAAACAGTTTGCTAACTGTATTACTGGCCATTATAAAAGGGTGGGGCTCAGAAATAGCCAGCTGCACAGGGCATGGCAGGGGGAAAAGCACAGAGCTTCCATGTGCTTTCCAGACATGCCACCCTCCCAGCACCTCCAGTGTTTACCACCCAGAAGTTCTCCTAACCGCTTTGGTTAGGGTTTTATGGAGGCTTCATCGTGTAGGCATGGTTGATGAAATCATTGGCCACTGGTGGTTGAACTCAACTTCTGGCTCCTCTCCTCTCCGCGGAGGCTGGGGGGTAGGCCTGAAAGTTCCAACCCTCTAATGACATGGTTGGTTCTCCTGGCAACCAGCCCCCTTCCTTAGAGACTTTCCAAAAATCATTTTGTCAATATACAGACTCAGGTGTTGTTGTAAGGAGCTTGTAATCAATAACAAAAGATGCTCCTCTCACCTTTATTGCACCAGAGTTTTGTCAGGGGTGGGGAATGAAAACAAAATATGGTAACAAAAGATGTTTCTGTTGCTTTTATCATTTAGGAAGGTACAAGTGTTTCAGGAGCTCTGACCAGGAGCTGGGGACAGAGACCAAATGTATATTTATTTTATCACAATATCATAGCATATATAAGTTTATAATACACATTTTGATTATGAATGTCTTAATAATGAGTTAAGAAATCAAAGAAATATATGAACTAATCTGTGGTAAATTTATTCTCAGATTTTTGTGAAATGAAAAAAATTTATATTGTTGGTTGTTTTCCCATCCTAAAAACAGTAAGGGGAAGGTTTTTGGAGAATGTATGGGGCATCATCTAAGTACTATTTGCTTAAAGGAAAGAGAATTTCAGGTCATTTTTCTCTTTCCAATCCATATCATAAATGGTGGGACATATGATATATCAGAGATGCATTAACAGTTGCTATTTAGCCATAGACTTTAAAATATTTTGTACTTACTATCCTGGAAGTAGGCTGGAATCTGCCCTTATTCCTATAGAAACAACTTAAACTATACAGCAAAGAGTTACTATGCCAAAGAGTCATTTCTCCAACTAGAAAAGCAACTCTGGAAAAAAAATTTTGGGATAAAATCAATATTCTAGAGTCAAAGAACAAAATTTCAACAAATTGAGTTTCACAGATCTGATTGACTTTTATTAGCAATTCATGAACTGGGCAGCATCCAACCTACAAAACAGAAAGGAGCTCTGATGAGCTAGACAGAGTGGGTAAGTTTTATCGGCAGTAAAAAAGTGAAGGAATACAGGAACAATGAACAAGTAGTGGATTGGTCATTTCGATATTACTTTCCTTAGAGAGATGTAAGCAAAATCTTGTTGGCTTAATGGGATTTGAATATCACCTCTCTCCTGGTTTCTCAGAAGGTCAGATATTTCAAGCAAATAACCTAGTTTCAGATTGGTAAAGTGGAACTTTAGCACAAGTGACTCCATCTGGGGCCCACTATCTTTAACACTAGCAACAAGGACAGTCTAACTTGTTAGTGGGGAAGGCAACTGAATGTGTGAAGCAATTCTGAGGGCATTGAGATAACCTATTCAGTATCCTGATGTCTGAAATTCTACCACCAAAACTTTAGCAGAGCTTAATTCAACAATTTCAATTTGACAGATACATATCAAGGATCTACCAGATGCCAACAATTGGTCTAAATGCTGAGGTGTGAATGAGGCATGGTTCTTGTCTTTAAGGAATTCTCATTAGGTTGGGGGACAGACAAGTAAACAAATAAAATGCAGTACATGTGACAATGGTAGTGTATCAGGAAGCTACTGTTGTGTAACAAACCAAGCCAAAATACAGTGGGTTAAAAGAGTACGTATTCATTTGGCTCATGGTTCTGTAGGTCAGTAGTTTAGGCTGTGCTCACCTAGGAAGTTTTTCTGGACTCAGCTGGTGTATTAATCTGTTTTCATGCTGCTGATAAAGACATACCCGAGACTGGGTAACTTATAAAAGAAAGAGGTTTAATTGGACTTACAGTTCCACGTGGCTGGGGAAGGTCTCACAATCATGGTGGAGGGTGAAAGGCACTTCTTACATGGTGGTGGCAAGACAAAATGAGGAAGAAGCAAAAGTAGAAACCCCTGATAAGCTCATGAGATCTCGTGAGACTTATTCATTACCACGAGAATAGCACAGGAAAGACCAGTCCCCATGATTCAATTACCTCTCCCTGGGTCCCTCCCACAAGATGTGGGAATTCTGGGAGACATAATTCAAGTTGAGATTTGGGTGGGGACACAGCCAAACCATATCAGCTGGGAAGCCATGGAATCAGCTGAAGTTTAACTGTTCTAGGACAGCAGGAAAAGTCACATAAGGCAGCTTGGAGAAAGTGACAGTGGAGCTAAATTTAGCAGAATCAATGGGATATTTCCAGGTGAACAAGAGGGAACAAGTTTCTGGATGAGAGGGAAAAGCCAGGGCAAGGATTTGGAAGGATGACACACCCACTGACCCATAGGTCAGTCTACATGAATGGATTTGCAGATTATGTTCTGAGAGCAACCTTTGAAAGGAGAAGGCTGCATGGTCATGCAGAGGCAATACAAGAAGCAGACACAGAGGGAGACACAAAGGGAGGAGAAGGAGTTGGGACAAAAGGCTGGGAGGGAAAGCTGATGGCCAATTGTGTCCACACCACGACCTCCCTTCAGGCAACATTATTTGGTAAATCTCTGCACACAGAATAAGATGAGAACTTCTGTTCCCCCAGGGAATATGCTGTTTGCTCAGGCCCAGTAACTTAAGTGGCTATTTGCTCTGCTGGCTTAGGCCTCTGGTTCATTTGCTAGAACAACGATAGCAGTGGCAGAAAACTCATTTTTCTGAGAAGTTTGGTCCAAGTGAGTGCTGTTCCACAGATACAACTTTTCAATCTTGCTATCTTGCCACCATTTTCACTCCTGGATATTTATTTCATATTTATTTTCACTCCTGGATATTTTCAACACACATGTGTCCTGTGAGCAAGCTAACATGCGCGACTCTATTTTAAATTTCTAATGTGTGCCTCCATGCACAATTTTAGTCTTTCAGCTAGGCTCACTATTTCTGTTGACATCCAATTGTATCTCTGACTTAGTCTGAAGAAATTAAGCATATCTCTTTCATCTCAATGCAAACAATGGTTTGTATTCTCTTTCACATGACTTGAAAATTCTGTACACCAAAAGGCTCGCTGGGCTTTTGTAAAAGCAATGCACAATGATTGTTTTGAAAGAATAAGCCTTTCTGAAAATTCCTACAGAGTATGCTAAGGCTACAAAGTTCAAAGGAATTTGGTCAGATTCAATGGAATAGCCTCTTGGTTCAAGTGAAGGACTTGGAGGGAGGAATAAAACAAATCCACCTTCTTTTTAAATAGAAATGAAAAGAGAGCTAAGCAGAAACGTCAACAGGAAGGAAGCTGAAATACAATAAATGGGAGTGGCCACTGCTGAACACAAGTTAGAGAAACATTTTAATAAAACACACAAGGCTAATTTCAGTCACTCAGATACTTCACATCAGATCAGGGAAAATAAAGATCTAAGTCTTTACCGCTAATTCTTAGGAAATGAAGATCCCATCCCATGAAAAAAAAAAAATTGGTATAGAAAATTTCCACTGTTTTTCTTCTCATTCTTTGAATCAATTCCTGATGATTTTGACAGCAGTTTAAAAAAATGTTAATTCCATGCTCTCAATGGAAACTTTTCCAAAACAGTATTCAAAATATCTGAAGTAGTTACGAAAATAAAAATAAAACCCCCAACCAAGCAAACAGCAATAACAATACTGCTGTAATTAATCAGCACAAAAGGCTTCCCCATGCCCAGAAGTCCTGGCAGGGATGTGGGTTGCTGCTCATGAGAGTGACACCTATGTGATGACAGCTGTGACTTGCAGGGTGTCTGAGACTCCAAATACAAAACCAAACAGGAGTCCTCGGGAAATTCTCCCTTTTGCTCACTCTGTGTATATTCAAACACAAACTATTTTCAAAAAATTCCCTAAAACCCCTCTGAGTGGGATGGAAGGGACTAGGCAAGCATATTGCACTGTAATTAACACCCGTTCACCACTGACATCACACGTCAGTGTAAAGATAGGTCACGTACTTTTAATTTCTCACACGCACGTCAGCGGTAAACAGTCCCAGTGTTCGTGTTAATGACACCATCTGGCGCCTCCCATAACTGTGTAGCATTCAGCTTCCAAACAAGATGTAATGGCAGCAACACATGAAACCCACTGACATTTACAGTAAGGAAATTTATTATCAGTCATCGGTTTGGTATAAATGTGTTTGCATGACTGCTGGGGCTATAAAATCGTCACCTTTGCCAGGCAAGCAAAGGTGCAATAAATAATGGATTTTAAGCCATGCATGTACTACCAAATCATTAAACATTTATCAAACAGGCACAATAGCATCTTAAGCAACAGTTACCACTTGAAAAATTAATGCCACTTTTGAGGGTTAAATGAAAACCATATAGTCTAAGCCTTAATGATTTTTAATGTGGTTCAGTACAGAATATGAAGTTTTTTTATTTTTATTTTTAGTTGAATATGATATATATATATATAAATAGGTCTTCTATAATAATTTCCTCTTGAGGAAGAATCACTCTATGTTCTTTGGTTAAATACTAAAAAATACAATTGAAATGTTTCTTGAAAAAGAAATCATGGTTAAAACCTTTCAAAACTAGAAATGGCAAACAAAAGGGTCTTTAGGAGTCACGTGGTATTATTTTCTTTAAAATCCTTAATGGATTAGTCAGTGATGATTGCAATTAAACTATTTTAACTTTGGATTTAAGGAAACATAAAGTCAAAACCAACAAAATCCCCTGAGTATCCCAGCCATGTTTGTCCCTACTACTTATTCCTTCCAAATACTCTCCCCATGGCATGCCAGTGATTTCTCCAATATGCTTGTTCTATGGGTATCCGTTGTTTTAAGAACAAAATCCTTAGCAATAACAATTCAAAATACAGATAGATTAGAGGAAGGTTTCGTGGAGGATTAGAGGAAGGCTTTATGGAGGACTTATCAAAGAATAATTTTTGACTCAAAGAAACAAAGAGAAACCTGCGTGGGAACTAATTATTTATTTGCTTGCTGGACATGGAACAATGAAGGCAGAGAAGCCAGTGGCTGCTTTGACATGAGGCTTCCCGTGTGGGAGGTGAACCAGAAGCCAAGCCTGGACGGAGACTGTGCCATCAAGAGGCTCTGTCACGAGATGCCAAGATGAGCACGCGTCTCCAAAACAACACAATCTCAACATGCAAAATGATCACCAAGCAAGAGGAAACAGAGTGAGCCCTAGAGTAAGTGAGTGGCACTGTTTGAAGAAAAAAAAGTTAAGAAGTGACTGAATAAGAGATTTCTCTGTCAGTGTCTGAGTGGGGTTTAATTCCTTGGTGAGAGCTATTGCTTAGAAAGCCCCTGTAGTTTTATGAGTCTGCTCCCTGTGGATGCTTCTCTCTCTCCACTCTCCTTCTGCCTGCCCTGCGCCCTAAACAGGAAGCAGGTGCAGCGCTCTGCAGGCAAGATCCCTGTTGGGACAGAGGGCAGGATGTCTGCAGAATACTGAGGAGGCCAGGAGGGGAGCCCTGCTCCCAAATTTTCCATCAGTGGAAAGAAGTGTTGAGATTTTAGGCCTTCATCTCTAATAGTGACTGCTGTTTACAGCGGTCCAGGGGGCTGTGAGTCTTCTTTGTGTGACTTGGGGTTGAAATTCAAGGTTTTGTCAAGACCATGCATCTTCAGGGATGGCTTCCTCCATTGTTGGGGAGAATCCCTGTGGACAGTGTTCATCTTTGGAGAACTGAATTTAGGACTCAACAGAAGGGCTTGGGGTGGGGGGTCACAGAAACTAAGAGATCACTGCGATGCCCCTCCCTGAATACATACGTATTGCTCGTTCCAAGTCATGGAGGGAGAATTTTGGAGCCTGGCCTGGTCAGACTGAGGAGGGGGTGACCATTCTCCTGCCATTTCTGTTTGCAGGGTGAGGAAGTTGCCTGAATTCCATCTGTGTGCCCACATACACAAAGCTCTGTTACACAAAGGAGCTACTCCAGCGACTAACTTAAGTGGGATTATGTGGAAACGAACACAATCCACTGGGATGGTGGTACTGTTATGGAACAACACAGATTGCCTGAGCCTGGATATCAAAACAAAAGCACCGAGTATGGGAATTTTTCTCAAACAGCTTCTCTGTCCAGTATCCTGAGAGGGCCCCACACTGCCCTGTCCTTCCATCTGTCACTAATTAATTCAAATATTTCCTAGGGTTCTAGCTGCTACCTTACATCTTCTGGAAGTGACTATCAGGGCCCTCACAGAGGTAAAGAATCAATGAATAACTCCAAGAAGCCTTTGCTCATTTCTTTCAAAGTTGTGTCGCTTCCATAATACCTGATGAAACACTCTGCCTTCATATGAGGGGGCGGGGAGGGGGTGGAGAGAGAGAGAGAGAGAGATTGCACACCATGGCGAAAACAGCTCTCCTGAAGGGTGTGAAAAAACAGTTAACAACGAAGGGGAGAGAAACAAAAAGCTATTCAACAGATGCATGTCATTTTTACTCTTCAGTGTGGATCAGTTTTTCTTGTTAATTATATCACCTATTCTTTCCTTATATTGATAAT
The DNA here is from genome assembly GCF_000001405.40 of Homo sapiens. Classification (NCBI taxonomy): domain Eukaryota; kingdom Metazoa; phylum Chordata; class Mammalia; order Primates; family Hominidae; genus Homo; species Homo sapiens. The sequence continues at coordinate 20,213,731 of NC_000020.11, read as the reverse complement.
TACATAATTACATGAAACAGATGGGTGACAGAATGCACCCAGATGGTGAGAACGTAAACAGGCTTACAAATTGCTTATTCTTGAGCATATTAAAAAGAATTATTTAATAATACATAGATTTCTATACTCTACACATCTGTTGAGTAGAGCCTTCAAAATGGGTTACTTTGTCATTTTTTTTTTTTTCTTAAACAGATACAGTGTCCTCCCTGGGAATTCCTGGGAGGCCAACTGCCATGGAGGTAAAATATTTCACCTTTTCCAAAATTTGGATTCCTGAAATTCTAAATTCATGTTCTGAGCCCACTGGCTTGCTTTTCCCCTCCCGTTTTGAGAAATAGCAACGGTGGTTTCAAGGGGAGTTACAATCACATGTAGCACTGGTTATACTTTCACAAGCTGGACAAGGTTAAAAATGGGAGGGTTTGCCTTGAGAACATATTTGACATGTTTTAATTGCATCTGATGGGCTTCTTGCATGAAATTCTTTCAAAATAATTATGAAACTAAGTCAAAAGCACCAAAGCTGCACGGGCTGAGTGTGTGTGGAGGCGTGTCTTTCAGAGGAGGGGCTCACAGGCAGCAGAGCCTTCTGGAGGGTCTGAGGGAAGAAGTGGCATTAGCTGCTTCCTTGTGGCCCACATGCCACCTCTGTGTTCTATGGAGTCAGGGCTCTGCTTAAATGATCCTGATCAGAGGAGTTGTACCTGCCCTGTTCCCACCCTCCCCTCCCGGGCTCTCCTCCTGATGGCACTTGCTGCCACCGGACACGGTGCCTCCTGGTCTGTTTGTGTACTGTCTGCTGCTCCAACTAGAACACAAGTGCTATGTGGCAGGGATGTGCCTATTTATGGCTGTCCCCACAGAGCACAGAGCTGGGCCCACCACATGATCAGTACACAACAATACTGACTGAATGAATGACATCAATTAACTCTCCACCACCAAGCCTCCTAACCAGCGAAGCAGAACAGGCCCTGTGCTTGCGGTTTCAACAGAAAAGCCTATCCAGGCAGGAGCAGGGAGTGACCAACAAGGGGACTTCTCAGTGGCAGGTGGGGGTGGAGGATAGCAGGGGTTCCTCTCTCAGTTGAAAAGCAGGTACAAAAGCCATGGTGTTTATCGGGCTCATGGACAAAAAGCAGGACACCTAGAAACATGGTTTGGTGGGGGTAGAGAAACAGGCTCAGGGAGAGACAAACCCACCTGGCTTCTGGTGCACACCTGGCTCTTGGTGAGGCAGGGGTGGGTCACAGAACTCCAGAATCAGGCTGTTGTCTCCCACCGCACCAGGAAGTGACGACATGTAGACGTGCTTGGAATTGGAAGTTTAAGCACTTCCCCGGGGCCAAACTTGGATGAGGATTGTGTGTACTCTGTGTGTATGTATTTACGTATGCCTGGTGTGTGTGTGAGAGAGATGGCTGGAGGGAGAGAGGGACAGAGAGAGAGAGTCATGAGAAGCATCTGAGTCCTCAGGGGCCTGGAGATCGTTTTGGAATTTGGGCTCTGTGAACTATGGCCGCCTTCCGCTCTTGAATGGGGTGGTGGAAGTACTGAGCTGTTAGAAGTCACATGGTCTGAAAGGGGCCTGCCAGCCTCGGTCCTACCAACACACGGTGACCAAAGACCCAGTGTGTGGGGATCGATGTTGTCTGCAAACAAATCAAAAGACTTGTGATATATAATTCTATGGGACATTGTCAGCCCATCTTTGGGACCTGCTCAACTGTGATTTGTGACAGATAATACTCAAATCCATTTTTTAAATCAACCGTCAACTCCAGTTTCATGAAAAGTGCTGTCCCCACAGATCCGTGAAGGGCGGTGGGAGGGGTGGTTTGCATGAGAGAGGAGCTCTGCTAAGGTGACTGGAAAGTGCTGCCTGAGACCTGTTCCCTGGAAGCACAGCTCTTTTTGGTTAAATACATAAACTACCATAAAAACCACAATTACAGTGACTACCATGGTGATAATTTCAATGCACTGAATTATATGAAAAAATAAAACAAACAAAACCTGGGACACAATTGAACAGCACAAGAAGTAGGAATGTGGCACAGTCTGTAATTTATGTTTATTGCCATGGGTTTCGACGGACCAAATGGCTCATGCCTGCCTGCACTGTAGCTGAGTCATGTTTGATATCTCAAAGTGGCAGTAAAAAAAATCTTTATGGCTCCCATGCTATTTTCATACCTTATTTATTCTGTTTTTTTCCCCTGTTTTTAAGTCATCTTTTGTATTTTCTTCTTGCTTATTAAGTTGGTTACTATGGAGATCATGACATCAGTCATCTTGACTAAGCTTAATGGTCTTGAGGCAACATTCAGACTAAAAGTTTTGATACTTAAAGTGGCTCAACCCTGGAGAATGAGAGCAGATTGAGAACTGAGGACTGTGGGCTTCAAGCTGCTTCTCTAATGGAACACAGAGGTGAAAGGCAGTCCCTGCCCACTCGACCAAGGCCACGTGGGGCAGCCCTTTGGGAGGACCGCGCCCCCGGCTAACCAGGTACTGCACTTTCCAAGGCCCATTTAATCCTCTGCCTCTGATGAACTCAAATGCCATTTTCCCTCTGGATTTGATGAGTGTGCAAATAAAGATAACCAAACTCAAATTGCTTTAGGAAAATTACTAAACTGTGGAAGGCTTTTAATCCATCTCAGTTTAATTTGAATGTAAAACCTCTCTAGGTTCTCGGTTGTTTTTCCTGATCTTTCACATCTTCCAGGAAGGCAAAACCCATTTTTTAAATAGTTTATTTTTTGTAGAGGTAGGGGTCTCACTGTGTTACTAGGCTGGTCTCAAACTCCTGGCTTCAAGTGATCCTCCTATTTCAGCCTCCCAAAGTGTGGGATGACAGGTATGAGCCACTGTGCCTGGCCCATATCCCATTTGTAAAACTAGAATTTATTAACGGGATGTAACAAGTGAAAGTTTTAATAAAAAGGCCTGAAAGTTAGGCTTATGACACTGTACTTTATTCTATATGCATCTACTGACCTCCAATCACTTCATAATGAATGGAATCACATTTTTATAATTCTTCCATGAGCCAGAGGGAGTCGGCCAGCCCCAGAGGGGCATTCGTGGTCTGTGTTTCATGTGTCTGTCGCTGCTGTCATCCTAGTGGGGTGTTGTTTTTGTACTAGCAGATGTGTTTCATTTCTGCCAATCCCTGCTGACTCATGACCCCTCCTGATGCTGCAGGCAACAGCCAGGGGACACCAGGCCTTTGGGCAGACCCAGCCCCAGAGAACAAATGCGTCAATTCTGTGCTGTTTTGTTTCCAGGCAGATAACGGGTTGCAAGAAGGTTTTTTGAGTCTGAAAAGCCTGACTGTTATGCATCAAAAGTCAAAGTTGATGCTTCCAATGACAGATGCAGAAGAACACATGGGGACAGCGAGCCCACTGTCTGAGGACCAGGAGGAGGAAAGCCAGAGGGGAAGAAGGAGAAATCAGTGCAGCGCAGCCCTCTCCTTCCTCTGGCTAAGGCCAGGAAAGTGGAAGGAAGGGGGCAGGATCCCTACAAAGATTTTGGAGAATACAGGAAGGAGACTGCCTCACAAGGGAGACTCTACTGCCACCTTGTCCTGGGAAGAGTCCAGTGGAGATGGCTGAGGGAACTTCCTGGATGAGGAAGGAAATGAGGCAGCAATGAGCTTCTGAAAGCCCAAAGCAAGGAAAGCGGAGAGGAAGAGAGCACGTAGCTCCAGGGAACACAAGGCCACACTCAGACTGGCCTCAAGGCTGTGAGGATGGGATTCTTCTGCAGCAAGCAGTGAGGGCTGCGGGGGCCTGGATGCCAGGACAAGGGGTGACTTTGCCTGAGGACAAAAGCTGATGTTCTGAACTCAGGATTCCTGTGAGGACAGGCACTACCCAAGCAGCAGGTACCTCCCCTCCCAGCCTCCTCCCCGCCTGCCACGATGCCATGACATTCCATGTCCATGAGCTCCTGAGAACTTGGATGTCTTTCCTACCTGCCTAAAAACATGAAAGAAGAAATCTCCCAAATGGACTCAATGTAAACATTAAATGATTAAATTTACCCAGAATTGATGGAGGTTACTTTTACTCCCATCAGGTGGAATAAAGGCTCAAAGCAGAGACTCAGCTCAATTAGAAAAAAATAGGAAAATAAAAGATGTATCCTTTTGCACACCTGGTTACTTGTCTTAAAAATCTGTATCTGACATAAAAAAGAGGGTTTGTTGTATATCTCTGTACTCTGTATGTTGCTTAGATAAAGCAACATATTGCCAAGAGAAATCATCTTTTTCAATTCAGGAATCACAAGTTTTCATTTTCAAATTCTAAAACTTTATGCTTTTTGATTAAAGAGATAGTAACTTTACCTTTGACTGAGCAATACCATTTCCAGGAATTTGTTCAAAGGAAATCAAAACAAATGTGCTGAAAAATAATAAGGGCAGATATGGTAGCACTGTTCATCGTGATAAAAATTGGGATAAAAACTTAACCAACATGAGGGAACTGGCCTACACACAGCAATGGTGAATCGTGGGCTCTGACATCACACTGTTTAGTCCCCAAACCGTGACTTAGCAGCTGTGTGGCCTCGGCATGAAGAAAATAGATGCTACATTCCAAAGGAGCCCCCTTATAAAAATGCCAAAGTCAGTGGCAAGCACCGATTAAATGCCTTTTAACTCCTAACTTATAATGAAGACATGAAAGGGTTAGATGAGTACATGCAGAAGGGGCTTTTTTGAAGATTTCTTCCAGGAGAACTGTTGACGTGCTGTGAGTCCCATGCCCCCCCACCCCAAAGAGGACAGATGGAGGGGGTGCCTTGTCCTTTGCTTTAAGTCACAGAAAGGGTTTGGGAGCCCTCCAAGAGCTTCATGTGAGTCCCCTAGACACAGTGGATGGATGTGCTGGGTGAGCTGAAGGGCAGGTGGCCTGCACGGGCAGAACCTGCTGACCCACAGAGGCAAGAGCTCTTCTCGCAGGTCCTTCCTATGGGGCACCTCCAGGGGCAAATGAGACTCAGTGTCAAAGCTAGAGGATGGCATCTCCTGCATCATGGAGTTGCCTCCTCCTCCAACTGTTCCTCCCTGCCCTGACCCCAATTTCAGAAAGACTAGAAATTCAACTCAATAATAAGAAGACACTAATAGGCTAAAGAAAGAGAAAACACTAAATACTGAAAAGCTATATAGATGCTAAGTGGAAGGGGCACGAGAGTTAGGAAGAGACAAGAGGCCCTCCCCATCCTGCCTTCTCCAGCCACAGGCTTCCTATGTGCTGCAGGCTTCAGCAGCGGGTCAGGGGAGTCTAACCCTTGGAGGAAAATTGAATTTTGATTATTACATAAAATGAAATTGGACATTTTATGGAATTAAGATCATATATTGTGATTGGAAGTGACCCATACAGCTTTAATGACCTAGAATTGACCAGAAGGTCCCAGAACTTGCTCACTTTCCATCTGGGTGCAGGAGAAAACTCAGCCACATAGAACATATTTACAGGACGATGAGATACAGAACTCAAGTGGCTTTATGACTTCACACAAGTCCTACTGGCTTAACGCTCATTTGCATTACCAAACCTCTACTAACCTCAGTTTTCCCCACTGCAAAATGGAGACGATGACTCTGAAACATCTGTGAGAATGAAAGGAGATCATCCGGGACAGGATGTAATGCAGGGCCGGGCAGGAGGAAAGGACTCACTGAGCAGCGGGGCTTGCAGCTTAACAGAAAACTGTGTGGCCACGAAAATCACACTTTACAATACTTAGTAACAAGTAAATACAGTCATAACATATTAAGTGAAGAGGCATGTTTCAAACACTATAACCCCATATCTAATAGCATATATGCAGTCTTTTTCACAGAAAATAATCCAGAAGTTGAAACCCCAGAATATTAACAAAGGTAATCAAAAGATAGGAGGAGTGAAGGTTTTACTGATTTTCTCTATTGTTTTTTCCTAAAATTTCTACCAAAAACATAGATTGCTTTTGTAATAACATATTTATTTTTAATCAAGGGGAAAAGATGTCACTTCTCTAGTCAGTATCTGCAGCTCTAATTGTCCTCTTTGTCATTTTATATCCCCAGCTACTTTAAAATACACAAAGCAAAGCCTCACGTTGGAGCTGCCATTCCTTTCTTCCCTAAAGGCAGATTCTGAAGAAGCCACTTAGCTGCCACGGCCAGTTTCTGCCTGGGAGCTCAGCTCCACCCGGAGCCTTGCTAGGCTGCAGGCTTCCAGAGCTCTGCAGCAGGCAGCTGATGCGTCCGGAGGCACTTCTGGACCTCTGTGGCATTCATTACCCTGGCTCTGCAGGGAGGAGAATGCATTTTTTTTCCCCCTACTGGGTTGTGGCAAGAACCCGATCAGCATCCAGGAAATCCTTAGAATTTTTTCTTTTCTGTTGGAAGCAGTGGCAGCTCTTTTTAACAGCAATAATATTACTAAAGGTGGGTCAAACAAAGAACCTGCTGGTGGCTTTAAAAAAACAGAAAGTCCCCCATTTTCCTCCTGCATTTGGATGGGCATCTTGTTTGCTACCTGAGCTCTCTTAGATGTCCACACAGGACCACAAGAGGCTGCTGAGTTAGAGAGGGTGAAGCAGGAAAGCTAACAGAGGTTTTATTTTAGAAAAATCTCTGCTTTCAAAAGAACTGAAACAGTATTACCAGTGTAGTCTCAAATGTGTGTATGAAGCTCTCTTGGAGTGGTGGAAACTCTACTTCTGAAACTGAAAGAACAGTTGAGACATTGCCCTTCAATGGCCTTGATTTGACCAGCACTTCATCAATTATTAGCCAGAATGCCGAATCTGATCTAAGAATGAAAGAATGCAAAATAATGCAGTCACTTTGGAAAATAGTTTGGCAGTTCCTCAAAATATTAAACATAGAGTTACCATGTGACCCAGCAGTCCCACTTGTAGGTATAGACACCGCCCCCCAAATGAAAACATATATATATATATGGTATATATATATACCCAAAAACCTGTGTGCAAATTTTCATAGCAACATTTCCATCATAGCCAAATAGTGGAAATAACTCAAATGTCATCAACTCATGCATGAAAAAATAAAATATAGTATTATCCACACAATAGGATAGTCAACAATAAAAAAGAGATAAAGTACAGATACACACGCTACAACGTGGATGAAACATGCTAAGAAGCCAATTACAAAATACCGCATAGTATATGTTGCAACTTGTATGAAATGTCCAGAGTAGGTAAGTTCATAGAGAGATTAAGTAGACTACTGGTTGTCTAGGGCTGAGAGCAGAGGGCTGGGAAAGAGAGGAAGTGACTGCCAATGGGTACAGGTTCCTTTTGCAGGTGATGAAAATGTTCTAAAATTAGATAGTGGTGATGGTTGTTCAACTCTGAGAATATACTAAAAACCTTTGAATTGTATGGTTTAAGTGGGTGAATTGTATGGTGTATATGTATGATTTATATCTCAATGTGAAGCTGTTAAAGACATGGCTGTGGGAAGAGAGAGACTGTCCTATAAATATCTGTCCTAGAAAATGAGGATAAGATGTAGCATCGATTCCTGACAACACTAAGATGTTAAGAAGTTACTCTTCCCAGTTTCTTCTCTATCATATCCTTACAGCCTCATCTTGCCACCTGACCACTGCCCAGTTACTCAACAATTTCCACAGCTTGTTGATCATGCCAGTAATTCACATCCTGTCTCTTCCCTCCACCCAACCCCCACCCCAAAAAATAAACCTGTAGTTACTCATCTGATGGGCACTTACTTGGGTTCTGAAACCACATCCAACATGGAACTGAATCTTGGGAAATGTATAATGTAGCCTCCATATGGGATCATAATTTTTTTCTTCCTTTCCCAGCAGCTGCCACCATAATTTTGTAACAACAAAGGTTTTTTGTAACAACAAAAATTACAAAGGTTTGCAACAACAAACCCATACAGCAGAGAGCTAACTGCAGACAGCCTGAATCAGCAGGTGTCCAAAACCTGCCAGCACACCAACCTGGACCCATGTCTGTTCCTTCCTAGCCCAGGTCAGACAGGGTCAGGCTGGTACCAGATCAAACCCAAGAGTGGATGATTCAGCCAAGAGGAAAATTCAAACTGCACTGGGAGAAATGCAATCGTCTGTGGGTCACCTTTTTGTTAAGTACCTGGTGCCAAGGACTTGTGAGGTTCAACAAGATCTGTATCAAGCCATATTCCTTTTCTGTAGTTTGGTTTTCCTATCATGAGTCATATTAGTACTTCAGCCTTTAGGTAGGAAAGTATATCTGTAGTAGTTAAAGACAGGAGTTTTGGCAACCAACTGCCTGGGTTTGAAACTCTGTCAATTAATTTGCCTTTGGACAAGTTATTTACCTGCTCTCCTGGCAAGCCTGTTTGCTTTAGGTACACTGAGGATGGTAATTGCAGTAACTGTTTACATGTGCTGATGAGAGGACTAGATGAGAAACTCCATGGGAATTCTTTAAGCAAGAGCTCAGGAAGTAACAGTAATGCAACAGTAGTTGTTTTTATTACCTTGTAACCTTTCTAAGAGCGAAAAATTAGGACAGTAATGAGAATAAACACTGGTTTATAAGTCCTTCTGGTGAATATTTATATACTATTCATATAATAGACACTTATATAATATATAACATATTATATTAAACTAGACAATGTTCAGAGAATTGGAAAGAAATGGCCACAGAACTTGTATTGTAGAAAGAAGAAAGCCCATAAAGGAACTTATGTAAATGATCCCAAGAATCTGAGAGAAAAGAGTTCACTATAAGTAGAAGGAAATGCACTTCTCATAGATAGTGTAAACACATAGGAACTGGCTGGGAAGTGGCTTGAAGCAGCAAACTGGACTCATGGCGATGATTTAAAGTGGGTTAATTTCATTTCAAGAAAATATGCCTCCCATCGTCACATTAATAATGATTAGAGCATATATGATGCTGAAAAAATACAGGTCTGCCTTTTTAGAAACCTCTACCAAGGTGATGGCCAAAGAGCTAAAAACACACCACATACCCCGACCACAAATATAACCAAGGGAAGTCTAACCACTGGCGGTGAAAGTTACCAAGTTTAAGGAAGGGGCTGGGAAACAATAAAGCTGGGGAAAATCTAGCAGGTGCTGGGAGAATAATGCAATTTCCTAGGGCAGCAGATGCACAAGTGAAACAGTATCCAGTAACAGTCCATCAGATGGTAATTATAGCTGGACTGGGAAGAACAGCCAGATGAAAAGGGGCAATTCAAAGGGTAACTGAATGCCAGTGAGTGACATCTTCCTGAGAGATCACATACCAGGAAAAAGCAGGGCCATCACTTAGCTCTGAGGGGGAGGGGCTCCATAAGCCGTCATTTTTCTTTGTAGAAGGACAAAGAAAAAATGTGGAGAAATGAATGCACAGAATCCAAATGGAGGCCTCCAAAGAATTCATTAGTTGAGATTTAATCAGACCATCATTAATAAGCAACCAGAAAAAAACAAGATCACTCTGAAAGTATGATTGCTCAGGAAGGATGAAGGGTTGATTTAGTTCTGAAAATAACTGAGAGAGAGGTGAGTTCACGCTACAATTCTATGAACACAATAAACCAAGATGAAGAGCTGAAGTGACTGAAGTGGATGATGGGGAGCAACTATTGACATTGAGGCAATGGGAGGGGCTCTTTAAGTTCAAAGCAGGTTTTCTGGAGTGTAATATGACAAATAACAGTTGTGTAAACTCCCATTCCTGGAAAGGAAGCAGTGCCTTTTTCTCAAACACATTCCCTCTCCAGGAATTCTGCAGAAACAGGTCTGAGCCCAGTGTGGCTATTTCTCCTGAGTTTGGGCTCGTGTCACCTAGGAGGCCAGTACAAGCCCTCATCTACCCCCATTTAATACTGAAACTAGACTGGAAGCTCCATGCAGGCATGGATGGTGACACAGTCATATCTGAATCCCTATAAAAGGCAGAAAGGAAAGAAAACAGGTTTGTATGTAGACCCACCCTCAAAATAAGTGTAAGGCAGCTTGTTCGGCTGTCTTTAATCAATATAACCACTAAATTAATTCAGCCCAATTTTGAGTGTTTTCCTGATCATAATACTCATTCAGGATAAATACTTGAGGGGATGGATGGATACCCCATTTTACATGATGTGATTATTACTCATTGCATGCCTGTATCAAAATATCTCATGTACCCTATAAACATCGATACCTACTGTGTACCAACAAAAACTAAAAATTAAAGAAATAAAATAATTTTGTAAAAAATAATAATTCTTATGCAGGCAGGCCCTGACGAGTCATCTAATAAAAACTTCCATGAGAGTAACTCTCCTAATGTAAAAGCACAGGCCAAGATGGCTCATTCAAGCTCAGAAAAGAATCTTTCAGGTCTATGATGTCAATTACGGTCTTGGTCAGGAAAAAGCCCTCTCTCTTACCCATGCATTCACACTGGTTGACTGTGGAGACATTACTATGAATCTTTGAGGCCTGATTCTGAAATGTGTGATGAAAATCATTTATGTTTTCTAGGCTCTTTTTTATGACCTGCTGCGGGGTAGGCTGTCAATTAATAGAAACGACGGGGAAGGTGTTGTGGCCGGGACACTGATCGTCCAAACCAGGCAGGAATTAGGAAGGCCTTGGGGTGGGAGCGAGGGCATATTTCCCTGCCATGCAGTGATGAATTTCAATCACTGCTTCCTTGTGCCAGATTCAAATTGGCAACCTACCGAGATGAAATGCTTTCTATCCCATTACTCATGCCTGGAGTGATCTGTTCCCTTGAAGATTGGCTTCCTAGGTGAAAGGTAGGGACTGGATGGTCACTCTAAGATGCTTTAAATAGGATAAAAGGTATGAAAGACGAGTGGCCAGCAAGAGAAATGATATGGACATGGTGAGGGAGCTGAGGGTCTCATATAAAGCTTGATGCACTGGGAGGGGTTGTGGCGGGGGGGCGGTGGGAGATGTGAAACCTAAAGGGAAAATTCATTCATTTGGTAATGACAGTTGCTCAGCCTTGCACAGTTTGCTACTGCAATGCTATTGCTCTACTAAGAAAACAATGTCTTGAGGGCTATACTGAGATTCCTCCTAAAAATATTCTACTTGGCTCAACTTGTGTCAGATAATCACTCTAAAACATTAAAACTGTCTAAAATGTTAAAAAGAGAAAAATAATTTTAATAATATAATTTAGCATTTTAACTTTTTAATACCGAGGCCCATTCCATGGGGATTATGGTCTCGATAAATAATCCTGTGATTAAACTTTTAATATGTCTAAAATTTTTCACTGAATCTTGTTTACTAAATCTAAATCTCCATTACAATTTTCTGAAGCTTGAGTACAATGAGTAGCAATAAAAGTGCTTCTTAAACAGTCAGAATTCACCTGTGAAATAAGCACAATAGCACGAGCAGCAGGTAGCAGGCATCTGTGTTAGAATCCTCCCACCCATTTGCTAAGTGGCTGTCTTCCTGGACCCTGGGTTTCAACAATACATCTTGGCTTTGTGCTGAAATACACCAGGGCTCAGGGGTGAGGGGCACAGCATACTGAGATAAACATGGAAAAGGTTACTCAATGTAAGCAATGGTTTCGGATCATAGCAACCTGGGAAGCAGTAATAAGATAATTTTAAATGAAATAAAATGTTCTCTCTGGCTTTCTCCCCACCTAGAGCTCCAACTCACCTCAAAGTCACCTAACTGAAAATTCTCACAGTAGGGTGGGAGGGAGGGGGCAGGTGTGGAACTGCTTCATATTCATAAAAACGATGCTTCCTGATATCCACGCAGCAGCTCTGGACTCCTCCCTCCAGCTCCAGCCAGGCCACCCACGCTGCCAGAGGGCTGGCTGAAGGTGCAGGAGCCGTGGGCTGCCACTGAAGTATAAGTGTCAGCACTGACTGCAGAAGGTCAGCATCTCTCATCCTGACCCTGATCTGATACGGAAGCTGCAAGGTTGTACGCCTGGCACATCCATGTACTTCTATGCCCAGCGCCTTCTCCAGAGATCAGTTTGCCTCTGTGGAAACTGTGTTTCAGTGGTGGAGACAGCATGTAGCCACTGTCTCTGACCCCAAGACACTGTCTTTGCACCAAACTTCTGGGTGTTGGCTCTCTTTCCAAAGCAGTCTGTTCCCAGGATCTTCACATGCAAACAGACCACATGGTGGCCCATCCCAAATGTCTTCCAGGTGGGCTAGGCACGTCTCATCTCCAGTGCTGTGGACCCTGCTACTTAAGAATATGCCTGTGACCTTCAGATAAAATGATATGAATCTGGAGTTTGCTTCAAAATGATATAGGAGAAAGGGGAAGTGGTGGGGGCACAGATCATCCAAAATTAGCTAAGGAGTTGCAAATCATTGCAGCTGGGTGCTGAGTGCGTGGGCATTCCAGTGCCACTCAATCTGTGTTCTGGAACAGGTGCCCATGTGCAAACTATTACAAGTCTATGAAGATATGAGTAAGAGAGACCGAGAGAAGCATTCAGAAGCTTTTATAGCAAACCAGCAGAGTAATGCTATGTCTGTTAAATCTAATAATAAAAGAATTTTGTCTGTCTTTGCTTTCTAATCTTGTTTTCCCAGGAATTCACTTTTTACAAAACTATCAGTCCATGACTAATTGCACATTAATTAAAAAAAGGACAGATAGATTGAGAAGTCCTGCTTTATATGAACAGTCTCTACTCACATATAAATTTACAATGATATAAATTTTTTGTTATTTTACAAATATAAAGATGAATGTAAGACACAAAGCTGCCTCTGAGTTGGTCTGATGGAGGTGCCCTCCCCATCCCTCAGTGCACCCGCAAAGCTGCCTCTGAGTTGGTCTGATGGAGGTACGCCCCATCCCTCAGTGCACGCACAAGTAAGACAGGCTCTGGGTCGGGTGATGTCCTTCCTGCAGCGCCGAGCGTATTGCGAGGTGTTTATTTCAGCATCGTCTCCAGCTCTGAGGGGCAGCTCCTTGGGTAAGTGTTTGGAGAGTTTAAACTTACACTTTCCTTTTTTCCTGTCTCACAAAGGACAAATGTTAGCCCACTGAGGGATTTTTTTTTTTTTTACTTACTTAAGTGAAAGAGTATACAAACACTACAAGCCCATATCAGTCAACATGAGAAAATTATGTTTTCCAATTAAGTTATTGAAAAAACTGTGTGTATGTATACAGGTACATTTCCATTTATAAAGAATATCTAGGTTTGATTTCAGTCCTTTTTCCTGTTCTCCCAATAAAAGTGGCCCCTGGCCATTCATTTTAAGGTCAGAAACTCCTGCTGCCCCAGGGCAGCTCATATGCTTCTGTTAATCATCTTGATTCAAATGGAGGAGGGAGTTAAACAAACCAGCTTAGGACCCGGGGCCCAAACATCTCGAATGCAGCCAGCTCTGTTTTCTCTGTCAGCTTTGTCCTAACAGCGAATGACCACTTAATGCATTGAAAGCAAAACATCATTGAAAGGGGGAATCTGCTTTTGAGGACAGGGAAAGAAAATGAAAATATGCTGGAGGATGACTCTAGGCCTTTTGTCCTGGGACACAGCAGCCTGAGAGGTATCCTCATGGCATGACCCTGCAGGGTCCTGTGGCTACTGCTTTAGGCTTCCCGGGAAATAACGACTTGAGGGAAAGGGCTGCAGGGGAGCCTTCGCGGGGCTCCGCCTGTAAGGGTATGAGCACCAGGTTCCCTGTAATTAAGAAGCAGCCTGCTCCTGTGAAGACAGCACTGCCACCCCATCTGCCAGGCCCGCGGGAGCTGGCACCGCGCCGCCCTGCCTGCCGCCCTGCTACCCACCGGATCCTTGGAGACCGCCTTTGATGGAGCGTTTATGCCAAGCTTTTCCAGAGGATAGACAATCTGTCGTCGTGGTCGCACGGGAACCAAGTAATGAAGGGCAGATGTCAGGGAGTGGGCGTAGGGGTTCTGGAACTGAAAGACAGCAATCTATATTTTAGGGGAGAGAATGTCAGAGAGGCTCAGCACAGATGTCTGCGTACAGCTTTACAAATACAAAACTCTTAACTCGGCCAAGTCAGAGAGGAAAAAAAAAAATCAGCAAATAAACAAACATACTCTTCGAGCAGAGGAATGAATTGTAGATAATGCCTGACACTAATGAAGATAATTACGAGAGTAATTACATTACTATCTCTGTGGGAATGACAGATAAACAAGTGGTTTGGTTTATGGGATTTTTCAGTACAAGTATTTTCCCCGGGAGGATATTCTTCTCCATAGTGATCATGCATCAGCTTGATCTGACCCCATTAAGCTGTGTTATCTGCATCCTGTTAACCTTTGCATGTTTGGCACAAGCTGCTTTAAGAAGACACATAGATAAAAATGTCATCCAAGGGGTAACTTAGCAGGGATGTGAAAATCCTCCTGTTTGTAAGTCACTCACAGTGACTTCAACCAGACCTTTGTTCAACAACAACAACAACAACAACAACAACAAAAACTGTTTTAGAACAAAAAGATAAAACTAGGAAGTGGGGGTGGGTGTGGGAGAAGTAGATCATATTATTTACATCTAGACTAATACTAAATTATGAGTTGGATTTATACTTATTGAAATGAACTATGATAAATCATGTCTTAGGGGAATGCTTTAAATATTGATTTTATCCAGTTTTAAAAACTTAGCAGAGAAAACCAAACATGGTGATCTTTATTTCTGTCACATTTATGAAATCTTAGGGGTTTTGGTGAAATGAACTAAGGACATCGTAACCATTTAAATCTGAAGAGTTAGACTGTAAAATCAAAACTTTTAATGATACATTTATTGAATTTAGACTGGAAAGCAAAGACAGAAAAACAACTGTAGATGCATTTTAATAAATAGATGGTTTACCTATGACTTTTTTGCAGTTCTAAAAATAGCCCCGGCCCTTCTAAGAGCTTCTAAAATGGTTTTCTAAAATCCTTCACCACTGGACTTCAGACCGTGACTTCGCAAACTGAAAAACAGAACCCTAGCCAGCACCCTGTTTTTATGCCTGGAAGAGCTCTTAATACATGCCCTGACCAGAGGGATACAGAGAAAACCATCCCCATAATGTGAGCCAAAAAGCTCAACTTTACTGTAGTCAACTGGAGATTTATAGCAGAATTTGGGAATTCTTACCCAAATTATTTGGAACTGCTTCATACACTTGTTTTAAATGAATATGTGAAATCAACTGGAAGGGCAGACTGAGAAGAAATCTGTTTCCAAGCATGTTTTTAGAGGCTACATACAACAGTGTGGAACATATTCCTAATTTCATACTATTGAGGTAAATGTATAAACATTTAATGAAATGCCCAAGGTATTATTTTTATTATGGATGCAAATGGACTTTCTCTAACCCAGAACATCCAGGCAACTTCATGAATAAAAACAAGAATTTAATATCACATCCTGAAGGTCACAAAACTGGCATTTGGCCAAGTGCAAAGTAAAAGAAAACTGTGCAGGACCAGGATTTTCCAGCAGAACTGTTACCTTCCCATCTCAGTGAGTTCAAAGCTGGGCCATTTCATTGCCATGGTGCTGCATTTTGACAGGAAAAAACAAAAACTAAAAAAAACTAGAGCAGAGTCTACATCTCACTCAAAACCTTTTCTGTTTTTCTTCTTTCTTCCCCATTCCCTCTGGACTTCTCCAAAAGGTTTTCTGGACTTCTCCAAAAGGTTTTCGTTAAATAAAATACACTGGCAAAATTATTGTTATGTGTATATGTACTAACACACTTTAGATTGTTTAATAAATAGACATATTAATAATAAGGCATTTTAAGATCCCTTAGCTCCCTTGTGCTGATGAGACAATGTCAAAGACTCTAGGCAGAACATGGGAAAGTTTGAGTTCATGAGTGGAATCTTACGGGACAACTTCTACCTGTTCTAGTGGTTGAATCCCTTCACCCCCAAGTCTACATCAAGTTGAGGACCAATGTTGTCAGTGACTGAGAGACCAATTTTCAGGAAAAAAAACCCTTGGGAATCTATCTTGAATAGGCCTTTTCCTGTGGAACAACCAGACACCTTATATGAGTGTGTGAGTGTGTGCGTGTGGGGGAGGGGGGTGAGTATATGTGTGAACTCATGAGTGTGTGTGAGAGTGTGGTATATGTGCATGAATGCATGAGAGTGTGTGGGGTGTCTCTGTGTGTGTGTGTGTTTGTGACTCTTCTAGGCAATGGGGATACAGCTTTGAACAAGACAGATAAAAGCATGGCTGCGTTCATGGTAAAATAGATAACTTCAGTTGGTGGTGAGTGCTATGAGGAACACTAAAGTGGGATGGGAGGTATGCAAGTAAGATGGAGGACTTGCTATCTGTGCATGCACATACACACCATGTATACACATCAGATTCGCGTCTATTACCACAGTATTACTCCATGCAAATGTGGCAAGTGTTACATGGGGTTACATCGGCATCAGGCATCTCCGCACTTTCTCTCCATCACCTAGTAGGGGTGTGTATAGTGCTTATTTGGAATGCTGGGATAGCATGCCAGTCTTCTAAAATAGAATTAATTTATTCTATGGATTCATCACTGAAATGTTCTTGGCTTGAAGGAACAGAATAGGATCATGTTGGCATTGTACTCACGTATCATAAGAAATTATTAGATCTTCATGCTCTTAGAGCATTTCTGCACAGTTTTCAGTCTCTATTTTGTCAATATAGAAAAGCCAACATATTGTACTACCAATTATATTAGTTGTGATTGTGTCAGAAATTCGAAGCCTACAGAATGTCACTGTAGTTTATGAAAAAGGCCAAACTAAATATGGCCATTGGAAATTCAGACCCATGTTATCATCAAAACCCATCATGAGAGGAATGAATAGAATGCGGCGTACAACACCAACAACACTGTGAACGTTGACCTGCTGGGAAAGTGAATTGCACCATTCTCTTACCTTGCCTTCTCTGGATTTTGGGTAAACACGGTAGTAGAGACAGGATTTAAAGCCTAAACGCAGGATCTCCTTCAGAAAGAACTTGGTGTAGTGCCGGAAAATGGGGTTGAGGGCAAAGTGATGCATGTGCCCGTGTTCTTCGCGCTGGTGGTGACTGAAGTAGATGAAATCTTCAATGTTGTAATGGGACCGTATGTACTCAATGTCCTACAGAAGAGACAGAAGGGATGGTTTCTACAAGCATTTTAAACAAACGGCATGCATTTTGTGATAAATATCTTTTAAAAATTACTTTAGGTATGATAGTAAGAAACGTATTTTTCTCTTCCATATTTGCCACCTCATCTCCATGGTAAATTCTTTAAATTAGAAATTACGTTTCCTGAGTGCTAGTTGTTCTGATGGATTGTCTTTGGGGGATGGCAGCACAGCTTGTAATGTGCTCCTTCCATACCCATGGCTGCTATCAACTCAGAGAGCCCCGAGTCTGTGCCATTGGCCAAGCGGCAGGACAGCAGCTCCGTGACACTGCCAGGCGATGTGAGCACAAGCCAGTCAGCACAAGAGACGGAGCCTGTGGGAAATTCAGGAGTCGGGCAAACAGAGCCACTGGTGTTCTCTGATGCATTACTATTCACCTGTTAGTGTGGAAATGTGTCACCCCCAAGTTACACACTTTGTTTTGTTTTGTTTAGTTTGAGACAGTATCACTCTGTCACCCAGGCTGGAATACACTGGCGCGATCTTCGCTCACTGCAACCTTCACCTCCTGGGTTCAAGAGATCCTCCCACCTCAGCCTCCCAAGTAGCTGGGATTTCAGGCGCCCACCATCACGCCTGGCTAATTTTTTTGTAATTCTAGTAGAGATAGGGTTTCACCATGTTGGCCAGGCAGGTCTTGAACTCCTGGCCTCAAGTGATCTGCCTGTCTCGGCCTCCCAAATGATGGAATTACAGGTGTGAGCCACCATGCCTGGCCCCATATCATACATTTTGATTACATGTATGGCTGGCTGGCCTGCTATAAAACTGCGTAATTGGGCCTTATCCCTGTGCACTTCTTAAACCTTCTATCCCCCTTGATGTGTAATATTTTTACAGAGGAAGGTAATTTAAAGGACTGATGAGTGTCTTCCCATGTAAAGGAAATATCAGGCACACTGCTCGTTTCCACAGGCCCAGTTCTGGTCCCCCCTCTGTCCCCACACTGCACTGGGATCCCAGGTCTCCATGCTAACTGTGCCCTGGGCCAGCCTGTCCTGTGTCACCTCCCAGCAGTGTATGCTGTCAGGAGCGTGGGGGGAGGGGAGCACTCCAAGGTGAGTGTGACTCTCTGATGACAGCAGCAGTAAACGCACCCAAAATGCAGGAAAAATCAAATCATATATGCAGGTTGCAAAACACCAACTTATATTTCTCCTTGTTTTCCACAGTAAAATTGTTTTAAAAGCCTACTTTCAAGAACAGAAATTGGAGAATGCAAGGCCCCTGATGTGTTCTGTGATCAGCAAGGCTGGCACCAGCAAATCCATGAAAACTGTGGCATCTGTGGCCAAGCTCCTCGAGGTCCCCTGCCTTTCCAGCTTCTGTCACAAAGCACAGAGGAAACAGAGCTCAGGGTAACCGGGCCAGTGGCGGAACCCTAGGGCAGTTCTGGCAACCTTTCAATCTGCATTGACCCTGTAATGGCCTTTATACTATAAGACTTTTCTTTAATTACCAAGGAGGCATCTCTCATTATAAAATAAAATGAGTGATAAGTATAGGGCTGAGAAATCACTGAAAAACAAAAAGCAAAGAGCCAACAGAGGTTATTAGCTCAAAACAGCAGATGGGCCATGTGCATCTAATTTTCTTCCCATCCCAAATCCCTTAAAATAACAACAACAAAAATTATTTTTGGTGTAATGAGAGCATAATGGAGGACAAAAAAGTAAGGCAGTTTTACACTGGAAGGAAACCCTACCACTAGGTGAAACCTTCTTACCTTGGGTCACCTGGAGTCCCTGCCTGCCGGCTGGTACTCCATTCAAGCACACAAGGGGAAGCCAGATACTGCCATCCCTCCCAATCAAAAAGAGGGGCGGTGGCATTACCAGTGACAGGGGAGATGCCATGGAGAAACATACAAGCACAACTGTCAAGGATACCCATGCCAGCCACCCAAATTGATCATTTAATCTTTCACTCATGACATGGACAGACTTTTGAGGAAAACTGACAAATAAAAAAAGACCAGCATAGAGAAACATACAACTTACTGCAGAGAAGACAAATTATTAAGGAAATAGCAGAGAATTTTTAAAAAAATTCTACAGAGTATACTCAGAGAGATCAAAAAGGATCTTACATGTAATAAACAAGCTGATACCAAAAAGGAACAATAAGAGAACAAGAAAGAGACTCGGAAGTTAAATAGGTGAACTCTGAAATAAAGATTCCAATAGAATACTTGGGTAATAGAATAAACACAACTGAAGAATTAGAGATTTGGAAGACAAAATTGAGGAAATCTAAAATGATGAGTAAAATGTAACATATATATGTTTAGAGACACTGAAGAATCAATTCAAAAGATCTAATATCCATCTAAAAAAGAATTTAAGAAAAGAAGAATGGAGAAAATGGAGGAGAAGAAATAATTAATGAAATCATAGAAGACAAACTGCCAAAAGAGACATGATATTTCTTGGCAAAATTTCAGAATTCCAGATACAAAAAGAAAATTTAATTCTCAAGAAGGAGAGCAAAGAAACACACATTTATTCATAAAGGATCAAGAATCAGGTTGGTATCAGATTATATTTTATCAATGACATTGGATACTGGAAGACAACATTCTGATGAGAAATAATTAGAATGAGGCTGGCGCAGGGGGCTGATGCCTGTAATCCCAGCACTTTGGGAGGTTGAGGGGGGCAGATCATCTGAAGTCAGGAGTTCAAGACCAGACTGGCCAACATGGTGAAACCCCATCTCTACTAAAAATACAAAAATTAGCCGTGCGTGGTGGTGCACACCTGTAATTCCAGCTACTCAGGAGGCTGAGGCAGGAGAATCGCTTGAACCCGGGAGGCAGAGGCTGCAGTGAGCCAAGATCACATCACTGAACTCCAGCCTAGGGGATAGAGCAAGACTCCATTTCCAAAATAATAATAATAATTATTATAATAATTTGAATAGAATTCTACACACAGCCAAATGAGTATACAAGTATGAGGACCAATGAAAACTTATCATATTTGTGTAGACTCAGGGACCTTACTACCCAACACCATCTCTAAAAGATTAACTAACTCCAAGAAATATTGGATCAAAAAGTGCAATAAATCTAAGAAAGAGAAAAGTGTGTAATATATTAAAGAAATAAAGCCATGTGAACATCTCGATGTCAAAAACACATTTGATAAAATTCAACACTCATTCATAATAAAAACTTTTAATAAGATAGAAAGAGAAGAAAATTTCCCTTACTTGATAAGGGATATCTATCAGAAACCTACAGCCA
Source organism: Homo sapiens (assembly GCF_000001405.40). Lineage (NCBI taxonomy): Eukaryota > Metazoa > Chordata > Mammalia > Primates > Hominidae > Homo > Homo sapiens. The sequence continues at coordinate 20,193,268 of NC_000020.11, read as the reverse complement.
CGATTACACTAAATGAAGGAAAGTGTAGAATCATTCCATTAAAATCAGGAACACCAGAAAGCCAGCTATTATTAACACTACTACTCAATGTTGTTCTATCCATACACTAAAACTGGAAAAAGACTAAAGGTATAAATAGTGAAAAGGAAGGTGTAGCAGGTTCTCTTATCCAAAGAATCCTAAGATGACCACCAGGACAGTACCTGTCATCCCACATCCCTCATGCTCTTCTGCAAAGTGACTCTGCCACACCCCCATCGAGAGAAGTCTGCCTCCACCCCTTGTGTCTGAGCGTGCCCTCTAACTGGTCTGACCAGTAGAATAGGGTGGAGGTGATGGCTGTGGCAGAAAAGAGAATCAGCTGAAAAACTCTCCAAGCTCAAAGATATTTCATAAAGGTGATTGAATACAAGATCAAAATACAAACACTAGTAGCTTTTCCATACACAAGACAAACATTTAGAAAATATGAGAAAAAGTGTATACTCAGAATACCAAGAGAAATCACAAAACACGTAGAAATAAGTGATCAACGTCTAGAACTGTGTCAGGTCAGGGTCTCATCAGGAAACAGTATGATCAGATTAGGATAATTGGAGGGCGGTTTAACAAAGGTAATATTTACAAGGATGGGGCAGGTGTAAGGAGATAAGTAGGGACTGTGCAGCAGCAACTACAAGCTACTCCCACTCTAAGAGGGTGGCGCGGGAGGAGGGCTGGTTACAGGAATCCAAAAGAGTATCATGAAGAGGCTGCCTTGAAATGTCAGGGAACTCAGTGGCAATCAGCCTGCTGAGGCACCTGACATCACTGACCCCTCCTCCTTCTGTCAGGGCTCTCCATCCACCAAACCCAACGGGCAGCCAAAAGGCAAAGGTACCCATAATGCTGTGCCCATCAGTCAGGCTCCCTGAGACAGAACAGGGTGGAGAAAGGTGGAGAGTGGACCCACAGGACAAACAAAAACTCATATGGCACAAAATACGATGCAAAGAAAACCACATGAAAGAAGCCACAAGACGTTTTTGAAGAACCCAAAAAGTTCAACAACAACAACAACATAGAAAGCCATGATCCATGATCCTAATAGGGAAGTCTCTATATTTTAATGTCAATTCTCCCTAAATTGTTCTATAGAATCCACGTAGGTACAATTATATTAATAATAAATATTACAAGGTTTGGGAGAGGAAATAACCAAGAACAAAAAACAAGAAAATTTAGAAGACACCAAATGAGAGAACACTCCCCTATTAGATATAAAAGCACATGATAATGCAATAGGTATCAACAGATAAATCCACGGAACAGAACAGAGTTTAAAAATAGACATAGGCATATAGAAACTTAATAAATGTAAAAGCAGCATTTTAAAATCAAAAGGGAACGAATGGATTATTCAGTAATAAATGCTTTGAAATAGCTGGCTGTGCACTGGGAAAAAATAAAATGGCATTTCCATTTGACACACACACACACACGATATATGTAATAAAGTGCAAAGAAGAATGCTGGAAGGTATAAATGCATCACTACAGTAGTAATACTTAGAACATATTAATATATGGAATATATTAATATATGTATAGGTGGTGGAAAGCTATCTGAGTTTTTAGGGTGAGAATGTTTTCATGTGGTCTTTGTAATATATTAAATATTCTGAACTGCAAAAAAATGGAGAATTGCAAGTCCTTCAAGTGGGATAGAGGCAGATGATGATGATATCCATCAGAAAAAGGAGGCATTCACATTAAATAAGTAAAAGTACAACTCCAAAAGGGGCACTGTGGGCTAATTCATGATATAGCAAGGCACAATCAAAGAAATTTATATCCACTTCACAATTTACCATTTCATTTCTGATCACTGCAATACCAACTATTTGTTCTGCAACTTCAGCTACAAATGCCTGCAGCAGTGTTCCATCCTGAAAAGATAAGCATATATTTTAAGACCCTTAAAAATATGGCTATGAATGTTTTTGTAAGCAGGCAACAGTGGGTCTTAACCACGTTCACATAACAACAGAACAAACATCTATCAACACCTACTTTTGGCCAGGTAGTAAGTTAAACGCCTTCCCTATGTCCACCGGATCCTCACACCAACCCTATGAGATATTATTATTATTATTGTTATTATTATTATTTTTTTTGAGATGGAGTTTTGCTCTTGTTGCCCAGGCTGGAGTGCAATGGCATGATCTCGGCTCACTGCAGCCTCCTGGGTTCAAGGAATTCTTGCGCCTCAGCCTCCCAAGCAACTGGGACTACAGGCGTGCCCCATCATGCTCAGCTAATTTTTGTATTTTTAGTAGAGATGAGGTTACACCATGTTGCCCAGGATGGTCTTGAACTCCTGGCCTCAAGGAATCCACCTGCCTTGGGCTCCCAGAGTGCTAGGATTGCACGCGTGAGCCACCATACCTGGCCTCAGGGTTGAGACTTAATAAACTTAATAATTTTACTGCTTCATCAAGGATATTCCTTAGTGAAACTGGCTTTTCCTTTTCTTTCTCTTTAATTGACATACTTGTAGATTTACATGCAGTGTAAGAAATAAAACAGAAATTTCTTGTACACTTTGTTCAGTATCCCTTAATAATAACATTTTGCAAAACCATAGTCTAATACTACAAGCAGGAAACCAACATTGATACAATTGTGGGGGTGTGTGTGTGTGTGGTGTATGAAGTTTCACATGATTTCATCACCTCTATAGGTTTATGTATCCACCACTATAGTCAGAATATTGAACAGTTCTAATACCACAACATCCCTTGAGTTGCCCCCTCTGTCCCCACCCTCCCCGCATCCTTAACCTCTGGCATCAGATAACCTGTTCTCCATTTCTAAAATCTTGTCACTTCAAAGTATCATACAAATGGAACGCTAGAGGATACAACCTGTAGGGGTTGGCTTTTTTCCCCACTCAGTATAATACTCTGGAGATTTATCCAAGCCAAGGCATGTATCAAGAGTTCATTCCTTTCACTGCTGAGTAGTATTCCATGACATGATGTGCCACAGTGTGTTTAACCATTCATCTGTTGAAGGATATCTTTGCTGACAATAGCTGCTATGAACATTAGTGTAAACTCTTCATTTCTCTGGATCAAATGCCCACAAGTGCAAATGTTAGGCCATAAGATAGTTGCAGTTTTAGTTTTTAAATAAACAGTCAATGCTGGGCACGGTGGCTCACGCCTGTAATCCCAGCACTTTGAGAGGCTGAGGCAGGCAGATCACCTGAGGCCAGGAGTTCGAGACCAGCCTGGCCAATATGGTGAAACCCCATCTCTACTAAAAATTCAAAAATTACAGGCAGGCACGTGTAATCCCAGCTACTCAGGAGGCTGAGGCAGGAGAATCCCTTGAACCCGGGAGGCGGAGGTTGCAGTGAGCCAAGGTCGCGCCATCGCACTCCAGCCTGGGCAACAAGAGTGAGACTCTGTCTCAAAATAAACAAATAAATAAATAAAAATAAAAAAATAAACAGCCAAAATATTTTCCAGAGTGGCCACACCATTCTACTTTCCCACCAGCAACACTAGAGATCCAGTTTCCCCACATCCTTGCCAGCATTTAGCGGCTAGTGGCATCGCTATTTTGTTTTAGTCATTCTGATAGGTGTGCAGGGATATTCCACTGTGGTTTGCTCTTTCTGCAGTTACTGGGATGACGGTGAAGAACACCAGGACCACTAGGACGTTTGCTGACACTTCCGTGACCTACTCTGAGGTGGCATTGGTTTCACCCAATGCCATAAGTACATAAGTACAGATCATAAGTACATATGTACTTATGCGTCGTAAGTACAGATCTCAACACAGTGGAAAAGGAATAAAACAGTTTTTACCTTGCAGACTCCCAGAAAATTCATGTTTCAGAGACCCCCAAGGTTCCTTAGACCATACTTTGAGAACCAGGACTTGACCTCATACCACTTAGAGGGCCAGGAGGGAAGGAGCAAAAAATGAAGAACTAAAAGAGTGCAAGACAAACCAAAGCAAACCATGTGCTGAAGGGAAGTTTTATTTCAATTTACTCTGATGCCTTTATAAATAGTAAACATTTGTGTATATGACATTATGTTTAGGTGTTTGGCGTCTCCCTCCTGATGACTTAAAAATTAACTAAAAGGTTTTTTTCCAAAAGAGCAAATAACTGGAACTCCCTGAAAGACCTCAACAGTAGAATGAAGAAATAAATGGTGGTATATTCATGCCATGAAATACCTCATGCTATAATATGGATGACTCTTACAAACATTGCTGAGCAAAAGAAACTTGATATCAGAAAACAAACGGTGTGATTCCATTTATGTAGAGTTCAAAAACAGGCATAGCCAATCTCTGATCTTAGAAGCAAGGTGGTATTAACTTAGGGAAAGGCCTGAGTAGAGGCATCAGGGGACTTCCAGCAGGCTGTGGTTAAGTCTGTTTCTTAAAACATGTGCTGGTTACATGGTGTATGCAAATTGTGAAATCCATCACACTGTTTATTGGTTATACCTCAATAAATTTTTTTTCAAAATAAAATGTATCAAAAAAGTGACTATGCACAATATTCTTTCATCTTTCCATGTGTAGTCAGATTAACTGTCATGGCCCTAAGACAGCAGTATTAATTTACAGACTGCCACAAGCCTGACTTTTGCCATAGCACATACATGCATTACTACACTAGAAAGAGAACCCAACATTTATCATGCAGGATCTTTCCCAGCCCATGTAATCCTGGGGGATGCAGCCAGCTCAACAAAAGGGTCTGGTCAGACTCATCATCTCATAGGCTCAAACAGGGTCCCACTACCCTCAATCTGGTACCCAGTGCTGCTGAGGTGGGCACCAGATACCCATGGATTCCTAAGCTACCCTTCCCTAACCATGGTCATACTGTATCTACCTATCCCAAAGACTAGGATCCATCTCATTTTGATATGATTGTTTGGATCAAGTCCAAATTTTCTATCTTCCTGAGAAGGATTTTGGGTATCTGATCCCTCTGGGGGATCCCCACTGAGAATGGTCTCACTTCCTCAAGCCCCAGTCTCCACAGTTTTCTCTTCTTGCTCCCATCTTCTAACTCTACCTCCACTGCCCCCTGCCATATGATTTTCCAACTCAGATCCAAGGAAGTTTCAGGGCTGAATCTACATGGGTCATCATAATGGTCCCATATCCTGAGGTCTGGTCACAACAGGTACTTACAGGGTCTTTGCGAGCCTTGTTGTAACGGTCTAAGTCCTCCAATATGCTTTTATTCAACATGAGGGTGCTGACAAGATTTTCCACACCAGGAGTATCCAAGAGAGTGGCAAATCTTATATTAATGGACCTGGGTAAGGAGAGGAATATATTTTTAAGTTAAAGTACTAAATATGTATTCCCCCCAAATGGAGACAGAATTGTAATATATCACACTTATATAAAATAATATCCAGTAAAGTATGTTTATATAACACTGGGGTTTGAGTAATTATAAAAGTAACTCATTTCATTATAGAAAACCTGAAACACAAAAAAGTGTGAAGAATAAGGTAAATATCACTGATAATGCCATTAACCAAAGACAACACAGAGATACTTTAAATACATTTAATTTAAAATAGCACTATGATTTATTTCATAAACAGAGTCAAAATCCTTCCAATTTTTAAATTATGTTACAAAGAAGTCACATTGCACCAGGGCTGGCTTCATGAGTGTGGGACCCAGGGAGCAGCACAGTGCTGTGTGCTTTTTAGAGCCTCACACTCAGAGTTTATTGCTCTGAGGCCACCGTTCAAAAATTCTTAATAATTTTATCTTTGACTTCATGCTTTTAAGTGAAGTTAAGTGACACAATGGAGCACGTCAGGGGCCTTGGAGCCTCTGCTCACGTGTGATCCCCACAGTCTCTCCATGATGGTTTTCTCCTACCTGCTCCCTGCCCCTGGCACCCTGGGCCCTAGACAGCCTCCCCATTCCTGCCTCATGACAGCTGCCTCCTCCTTCTGCCAGGAGCGACATTGGTTGCTTTGGTTGGGGGAAGCCCGTGTTCAGCCAACACCCAGTGGGGTTCCTGGACAAGGGTATAGAGAGGCTCATGAGTCAGCTACATGACACATGGAGTCTCTGGTCAGACCAAGGGGGTGGCTGTCCCCACCTTGGGCAGGCAGTGCCATGGCGTGTTCGGCTAGCAACTCAGTGTGGACCTCCTACCCATCCCCCACCCAGGTGTTCAGTGCATCCTGGTGCAGAGGTTGCAAGCCCTTAGTTGGATGCCTGTTTGCCATGGGTTGGAGCCCATGGGAAGGAGAGACTGACTGCCCCACACCAGGCCAGAGCCTCACATTTTCATTTTGTAATGGGTCCTGTATATTATGTAGCTAGCCTTGCAGTGAATTCTCTGCAGTTACTAGGGTATTATTACTCAATGGGACAATGCCATTCCTCCTCGTGCTGATACAATAAAATATCCTAATCTATTTAACTTTTAACTGTAGGGAACATCTGTGCTTAAATTTTAATACATGCTTCCATATTATGAACAAAGTATCATATTTGCAAAGAACAATATCTGTATCTATAATTAACTAATAAAAAGATGAACAATTAATACCATCTTAATGTTTATGAGCAATTTTAAGTGAAAGATAAGAACTTGGTTGTTATATGACCACCTTACACCAAAATCTAGTTCAGTGGATTACAGATGTAAATGTAACAAACAAGACCACAAAAGCACTAGAAAAATACTCAAGCGAATTAAAAACATATGTCCACACAAAACCTGTACATGAATTTTCATAGCAGCATTATTCACAATAGCCCAAGAAAAAACAACCCAAATGCCCATCAATTGATGAATGGATAAACAGAGTATGATTGATACATACAACAGAACACTATTCAGCCATAAAAGAAAATAAAGTACTGATGCATACTCCAACATGCATGAACTTTAAAAACATTGTGCGAAGTGAGAGAAACCATATACAAAAGGCCACGTGTTGTGTAATTCCATTTATATGAAATGTCCAGAATAGGCAAATTTACAATGATAGAAAGTGGGTTAGTGATTGTTGGGGGCTGAGGGGAGAAGAGAATGGGAGTGACAGCTTGACAGGTACAGGGTGTCCTCTGGGTGATGCAAATGTTTTAGAACCAGATAGACGTGGTAACTGCACAATGCTGTAACTCTACTACAAACCATTGAATTGTACACTTGAAGTGGACAAATTGTATGGCATGTGAATTACATCTCAATAAAGCTGTTACAAAAATATATGTAATGCCAAAATAATTGAAAGGAAAAGGGAATGGCAACTAATAGCAAAAAAATAAGCTGGCATAGCTATATAAATATCAGCTAAACCAGATCTTAAGGCAAAAATCATGAGAAAAAGGTCTTTATTTGATAATAAAAGTTCACTAGGAAGATATAACAATACCATATGTATAGGTGTCTAACAATAAAGCTCCAGGATACTGAAGTAAAAATGGACAGGGTTATGAGAAGAGTTTGAAATTCACCATCATATTGGTAGAGTTTAATATGCCTCTCTCAGAAACTGGTGTCAGACAACACATTTAAGATACTGTGGAAGATATGGATAAACTTAAGCTAAAGTACACTACATCCCCCAAATGAAAAAGACATGGCCATCTAAGAGTCGTCTCACTGTTTCCATTCCAAAGCCCTCCACCCAGCTGTCTTTCCTGTCTTAGGTAATGGCAACTCCATCCTTCCAGTGGTTCAGGCCCAGACCTTTGGCCTCATCTGTTTTCTTGCACACCTCTCTTTCAGCCTAACTTTGGGCTGGCTCTGCTTTCAAAATGCATCTAAGAATGGAACGACTTCTCAAGACCTCCAGTGCTAGTCCAGCCTCCACCACCTCTCTCCTGGGTTGCTGGAACAGCATACTAGTGTCTCTCCACATTTCTGCCATTGTTCCTGACAAGCCATCCTCCACCAATTTGCCAGAGCAATGCTTATCAAATGTTAAGTCAGATCACAAGACTCTTATACTCAAATTCCCAGTAATAGAGGTGTTCTTAACCTCTTTTATGTGTATGGCCCCTCTCAGAATATTTTTAAATGCATAAAGTAAGATACATAAGATTACAATATACGAGCTTCATTAAACAAACATGATTCAGCAGGGAGTCTAATAATTACCATAATTTTGCTACATTTACGAGCATAAGCTTGCACTCCCAGTAAAAGCCAAAGTTCTACAGTGGCTGAGAGCCCCCTCTCCAACTCTCCATGACCACAGCCTCCTTCCCCGTGCCCTCCCTCTGGGATTGCTGCTTGCTCTGACTCATCTCCAAATAGTTGGCTTCTTGGTTTCCCTGCTCTGCTGCACAGGCCACTATGCTGTTCCTCAAACATGCCAGACATAGTCCCTCATCAGAGGTTCCCACTTGAGGAAGTTCCTACCTCATCAGAAGGTCCTACTTCATCAGAAGTTCTTATGTCATCAGAAGTTCCTATCTCATCAGAAGGTGCTACCTTATCAGAATTCCCTACCTGAGGAAGTTCCTACCTCATCAGAAGTTCCTGCCTCATCAGAAGTTCTTACCTCATCAGAAGTTCCTACCTGAGGAAGTTCCTACCTCATCAGAAGTTACCTCATCAGAAGTTCCTACCTGTAATTCTCCTCCAGCAAATCTATGAGCCTGTTCCATCACCTCAACATTGAGTCTTTGCTGAAACTTCACCCTCTCAGTGACGCCCTCCCTGACCCTGACCCCCTATTTAAAATTTGGACCCTGACCTTCCATCCTCATTCCCTGTTCTATTTTTCTCCACAGCACTTCCTACTTTCTCTTTATTTTGTTTTTCACTGTTTGTCTCCTCCCACTAGAATAAAATTTGACAAAGATGGCAGTGTTGGTCTATTTGCTCACTGCTGCCACCTCATGGCTAGAGCAATGCCTGGCACATGGTAGATGCTCAATAAACAGCTGTCAAGTGAACTAATCATGAAGCTTGCATGGAGATAGCCAGAGAGCTTCCCCATGCTTATTACATGTTTTTTTACATATAATAAATACTACAACTGAGTTATAAAGAGTGTTGTTGGATACTGGACTGGAAAGTGAGAATAAGTGGACATCTTCCCCCAGCAAGGCTTGAAGCTCAGACCATATCATGGTCCACTCTAAAAGACCAGGGCTTTTTGTAGCCTACAGTGGTGCCCAATAAATGTTCAGTAGGACATGGGGTTATCTTCCTGCAAAGTAGCACAAAACTGCAAACATCGTTTCACCAGTCTGTCCATGGAAATCTACTGTTGATCAGGGGTCACAACCATTTTGCATTCATCTCTGCTATTCATATTCACCAAAGAGGAATATTTCAGAGCTTTCCTTTGTTCCTAGAATTTCAGGGGGAGGAACGGGCTATGGCTGTATGTTTGTGCCCTCCTCTAAAATGACACTGTCCAGTACAAGAGCCTGTACACTTGAAATGTGGTACTCAGAATTGAGATGTGCTGTAAGAATAAAATATCCACTGAATTGTGGACTTGGTACAAAAAAGTAACATAAAGTATCTCATTCGTGCTTTTTAAATATTGATTACACGCTGAAACAATAATATTTTGGATATAATGGGTTAAATAAGAAATAAATGTTACAATTAATTTCACCTACTTTTTGATTTTTAAATTAATGTGGCTATTCAAAAATCTAAAATTACACATGTGGCTCACAGCGTATTCCTACTGAATGGGGCTGCTCTCTATGTCTGTATTTGCCTCTGAGAACTATTTCCCAAAAGGTTTTTACTCAGCTCAAAAAGCAGAATGTAGGCTGGCTGGGTGAGGTGGCTCACACCTGTAATCCCAGCACTTTGGGAGGCCAAGGCAGGAGGATCACTTGAGACCAGGAGTTCAAGACCAGCCCAGCTGACATGGTGAAACTCCATCTCTACTAAAAATACAAAAATTAGCCGTGCATGGTGGCTCATGCCTGTAATCCCAGCTACTTGGTTGGCCAAGGCACTAGAATCACTTGAACCCAGAACCCAGGAGGCAGAGGTTGCAGTGAGTCGAAGTCGTGCCACTGCACTCCAGCCTGGGCAAAACAGTGAGACTCTATCTAAAAAAAAAAAAAAAGAAAAGAAAAGAAAAAAAAATCAGAAGGTAAGTCTTATTCCACATGTGACCTTTTTTTGGCAGACTCTGAGGCAAGGTGGCTCTATATATACTATTCCTTCCACACTGGGTGCTGAGAACAGCAGCCTGTTTGTTTTCGCTTTAACTAGAATGAGATGTGGGGAACCTGAGGAGGAGGTGATCTAGCTCCTTCCTTTTCTGGATAAAGGGTGGAAGAGGTGTGGATTCTTTACTTAGTGTGTTCTGATAGCCATGTGTCACTATGCACTTGTTCTTTGTGTCTTCACATCTCCTCCTGTTGCATTTTAAAGCATTTTCACAGTATGTGGTTTTGCCTAATAAAGCATTCTCATAGCAAACAAACAAACAAACAAAAATGGGACACATACTTGTTGCTACAAGGGTATTTCCTTTACAAAGGAAATTGCTTTTAATTGCTTCTACATAGCAATTGGCAGGAAAAAGTGAAAAATGAATAAATGTAAGAAATAAACTCTCAATTAAGACATATTTCCTTAAAATCAATGATTAAAATGGATTAAGAATCATTCATTCACTCCATCACAAATATTTATTAAACATCTGCTGTGTGCCCGTGTTTTGGGTGCTGGGGATACATCAGGGAACCAGACAGTCCACAATTTCTGCTCTCGTGAAGCTGAACTGCTATTGACTCCAGACCATATTTTGAGAAATAATTCTGCAATTCTTTAAAATTTTAAATAAGGCACATGAGGTTAGAAGCGGACCAATTGTTATGGAGACCTTCATCTGTGTTTTTGCTAGAGAAAGCCCCTTGAAAAATACAATGACTTTAAGACAAAGTTGTAAGGATGCATACTATTTTATTCTCAACAAAAAACACTAATTAAAATCCTTAATTAAAATGACATGGATCTAAAAATATATATTATGTCATCCGTACCAACAGAATACTGTTGTCAAATTATCAAGCAGCTATCTTTATTTCTTACCCTATTCTCAGATAAATCATAGAGATTTAGAGTATTCATTGAGGGTTTATAAAATGATACCAAGACCTTCTGTGGAATGAACTTTAAATCTGCTAAATAAATATCCAATAAAACAAAGTCCGCTTCAATGATTATGTACCGACTTAGGCCTGGCAGGACTTCAGAAGATGGTGGCTCATTGGATGCACCTAAACGTGGCCCTACTTTCATCTCTCTGCAAGTTTTCAATAGGAAGTTGCTTCTTTCATTTTAGCCATTATGGTGGCTCCCATCTTTCAGTCCCATGGCCTATAGCCAGGAAGGAGAACATTCCCACCTCCCTCTACCTGTTCCACATATCACCTTGCCTGATCTTCCCAGAAGTGAATGTGTACTCAGTAACCAGAAGGGTTTAGTGTTCTTTTCCCAAGGGTGCAAGCATAGTTCTAAAGCTACCTTGAATCAGTGAGGGAGATTAGCTATGTTTTTCATTACCCATCCACATGGCTTCTTCCATCCACAGAAAAAGCAAGGTCTCCGGAGGGCTTCCCAAGGCTTTACCTCTCCAGGTCACCTCTCTCTTATGCTTTCTCTCTCTGATGTACTTGAATGCCCGAATCTATTAGTCCTCAGGAAATGACACCTCTCGGTGAAGAAGTGATGAAGCCCCACCCAAAGTGGCCCCTTCTTGAGTCCTCAGAGTCTTGCAGTCTGGGTCACCTGCTTCACAAGAGGTTTGCTTCTTCCTGTTTTTGGCTGACTTTGACCTCAAGGATCAGGGTTTCTAGTATTTAATCAGGTCACACACACAATAAAGTAGAATATCATATATGAAAGTGGAAGGAAAAAGATTGGGATTTTCAATCCCAAATTGAGTGGATGAATTGTTTTAGACACAAGGTTATGTGTGTGTGTGTGTGTGTGTGTGTATACATACACATACATATAAAAGTTATATATATACACATAAAAGTTATATATATACACATATGTATATATACATATATATACATATATATGCATATATATGTGTATATATATAACTTTTACTTTAAATTCAGGGGTACGCGTGAAGGTTGGTTATATAGACAAACTTGTGTCATTGGGGTTTGTTGTAGAGATTATTTATCACCCAGGTATTGAGCCTAGTATCCATTAATTATGTTTCCTGATCCTCTCCCTCCTCCCACCCTCCACCCTCTGATTTGCCCCAGTGTCTGTTTTTCCCCTCTATGTGTCCATGTGTTCTCATAATTTAGCTCCCACCTATAAGTGAGAATGTGTGGTATTTGGTTTTCTGTTCCTGCATTAGTATGCTAAGGATAATGGCCTCCAGCTCCATCCATGTTCCTGCAAAGGACAAGATCTCATTCTTTTTTATGGCTGCATAGTATTCCATGGTGTATCTGTACCACATTTTCTTTATCCACTTTAACACTGACGGGCATTTAGATTGATTCCATGTCTTTGCTATTGTGAATAGTGCTGCAATGAACATGTGTGTGTATGTGTCCTTAGAATGATTTATATTCCTTTGGATATATACTCAGTAGTGGGGTTGCTGGGTGGAATGTTATTTCTGCTTTTACGTCTTTGAGGAGTCGTCACACTGTCTTCCACAATGGTTGAACTAATTTACACTCCCACAAATAGAGTATAAGCATTCCTGCTTTTCTGCAACCTCTCCATCTGTTATTGACTTTTTTGTAATAGCCATTCTGACTGGTGTGAGATGGTATCTCTTGGTGGTTTTGATCTGCATTTCTCTAATGATCAGTGAGGTAGAGCTTTTTTTCTTATGATTGTTGGCTGCATGTATGTCTTCTTTTGAAAAGTGTCTATTCACGTTCTGTGCCCAGTTTTTTTTTTTTCTTTTTGAGACAGAGTCTCACTCTGTTGCCCAGGCTGGAGTGCAGTGGCGTGATCTCGGCTCACTGCAAGCTCCACCTTGCGGGTTCACGCCATTCTCCTGCCTCAGCCTCCTCAGTAGCTGGGACTACAGGTGCCCAGTTTTTAATGGGGTTGTTTTTCCCTTGTAAATTTGTTTAAGTTCCCTATAGATGCTGGATATTAGACCTTTGTCAGATGCATAGTTTGCAAAACTTTTCTTCCATTCTATAGGTTGTCTGTTCACTCTGTGGACAGTTTCCTTTGCTGTGCAGAAGCTCTTTAATTAGATACCATGTGTCAATTTTTTCTTTTGTTGTAATTGCTTTTGGCATCTTCATCATGACACCTTTGCCCATTCCTATGTCCAGAATGGTACTGCCTAGGTTGTCTTCCAGGGTTTTTATAGTTTTGTGTTTTACATTTAAGTCTTTAATCCTTGAGTTAATTTTTGTATATGGTGTAAGTAAGGTGTCCAGTTTCAGTCTTCTGCACATGGCTACCCAGTTATCCCAGCACGATTTATTGAATAGGGAATCCTTTTTCCACTGCTTTATCAGGTCTGCTGAAGATTAGATAGTTGTAGGTGTACAGGCTTATTTCTGGGTTCTCTATTCTCTTCCATTGGTCTATGTGTCTGTTTTTGTACCAGTACCATGCTGTTTTGGTTACTGTAGCACTGCAGTATAGTTTGAAGTCAGGTAGGGTGATGCCTCCAGCTTTGTTCTTTTTGCTTAGGATTGCCTTGGCTATTCTGGCTCTTTCTCGGGTCCATATGAATATCAAAACAGTTTTTTCTAGTTCTGTGAAGAATGTCAATAGTAGTTTAACAGGAATAGTATTGAATCTATAAATTGCTTTGGGCAGTATGGTCATTTTAATGATATTGATTCTTTCTATCCATGACCATGGAATGTTTTTCATTTGTCTGGGTCATCTCTGATTTCTTTGAGCAGTGTTTTGTAGTTCTCCTTGTAGAGATCTTTCATCTCTCACTGGTTAGGTGTATTCCTAGGTATATTATTTATTTTTTGTGGCAATTGTGAATGGGATTGCACTCTTGATTTGACTCTAGGCTTGACTGTGGTTGGTGTATAGGAATATTAGTGATTTTTGCACATTGATTTTGTATCCTGAGACTTTGCTGAAGTTGTTTCTCAGCTTAAGGAGCTTCGGGGCAGAGACTATGAGATTTTCAAGACATGGGATCATGTCATCTGCAAACAGGAATAGTTTGACTTCCTCTCTTCCTATCTGGATGCCCTTTATGTCTTGCAGAAAATAGGGAAATTTTTTAATACCAGTAAATAAAAATGAAATAACAGGGAGAAGAAAAAGTGATCTGAGTCTTTCTGGATTCCAAAGAAGTGATCTTTGTAATAGAATCATGAAACAATTTGATAGCCATTAGTATTTCAGTTTAAATCAAAAATAAATAAAGAAAGAAAATAAAACCCACAAAATTAAAAATGAAGTTTCTATCGGGTTCTGTTCAAGGAGGCTGATTAAAAGCAGAAGGGGCCAAGGACTGACGATGTTAAAACACTCTCCACAATAACACGGGCCTGAAATAGGAACAATGGTAATTTTCTGTGTGAGCCACTCACAGAAAAGCAAAGAAAACAGAAATGGTGGGGGGGAGAATCGATTAAAGGACAACTAGCTAAATGCATTTTATTTACTGAGCCAAGTTAATGGCTGTATGATCTAACTCAGCAGTAAATATTTATTTATAAAAAATAATTCCTAGCACAATAAATATTGGTTAGCCAAATACATCTGAAACGTTTCCCCACATTTAAAATGTCAAATTTCAGAAAAGCATCATGTGAAAGGGTGGCAAGATGGAGTGGGCAACCAGTTCACCTGAATATGTTCTCTGCTAATGAATAAACAAGAGGACAGAAAAGCCAGTGGGTAGGTCAAGAATGAGCAAGCAGCGGAAATAGAAGAATCATCTATAGCACACACTCATCCCATATTAAGTTTGGAAGTGTCTTAGAGGTTAATATATGAAGAAAATGTATCATAAAGGAAGCATTTAATTTATCCACAATTAAAGTGCAAGTTAACATAAACATTAGGAAATGTTCTCATCTCAAAGGCCTGTAGTCACTAAACAAAAGGAGAGGGAACCTGGGTGTGGAATGTGTTGACAGAAGAGGTAGCCATCACTAATGACAGAATGAATAATTTGTCCCAGTGCTCACCAGCACAGCCAGAGGGCAGATGACAGACACAAATATAATTTCCCAAGGGAAGAAGAATGAAATTAGGTGGAGGACCAGAACACAAGGTCATGAAATTTAAAGTAACCAAACTTAAGAGCAGAAACAATTCATCCCAAATGTAAAGAGAAGTGAAGCAAAAAATAGAAGAACATGATACATTTTTAAAGAGTAGGTGTGGAGGACCTGTGCCCTCACCATGCCCAAGTGGCTCCTCCTCACCTCCTTCAGGTCTTTACTCATGGCCACCCTTCCTGTCACCCTAGGCAATAAATGGCAGCCCCTCTCCCACTCAGCAGTTCCTATCCCCTCTCCACACCTGCTATACTCTTCACGTTCGCCCTTAGTGCCTATATACTGTGCATTTGATCTCTTTCCTTTACATCTTTCTCCACCATCTAGAATGCAGGCCCCCCGTGAGGGCAAGAATTTCTATCTGTTTGCATCATTTCTGTTTCCCCAGCACCTGGGATAAAGCTGGCACATGTATGCAGTCAGTGCTGTGGATTTTACTGGATGAATGAGGGGGCTTTGCTGGGGTCTCTGGGAAGGAAAACAAGACATCAGCCAGCACTCTCCTCCTGCACCCCGGAACCCAGTGGCCATTTTGTCAATGTGATCGACGTCAATTTCAGGATGGAGGGAGGGTGGAAGAAAGGAAAGAAACCAAGACCCTGGAGATACAAACCCTAAAGCCCTGCCTATCTCCAGACCTCCTGCTTATGTGAGCCAGTACATGTCCTACAGTGGAAGCCATTCTGAGTTGGTTTTTCTTTCCTTTCCAAATGAAAGCATTCTCATCGTTAACCTAAATTTTGAAATGCAAAAAATGGTTTTAGAAAACCACAGGTGGAAAGTGTGTATGAAAAAAGAAAGGGCCAGGAACTAGAAACAAGCAAGAGAAATTAAAGCATTACTTGGTATAAATAGAAAAAAAATATGTAAAACTGTTATAGTCCACATATTCGTACAAATCTAACCAAAAGGTTATATTTATATACAGAAGAAATGAATAACTCAGCAGTACCAAAAAATTACTAGATCATAAAAGGTTTAAAGTAGGTGTGGCCTTTAAACTTCTAAAATTGTCTAGAAAAAGAAATAAATATAAAATAAAATAAAATAATAAAAAGTGAAGTAGGTATGGCTTATATGTTTTATAGAAAATCTGTATTTGGAAGACAGATAATCACAGTTCTTTTTAAAAAATTAATTTAATTCTATTTTAAGTTCTGGGATACATGTGCAGGACAAATATACGTTACATAGTGTGCCACGGTGGTTTGTTGCACCTGTCAACCCATCACCTAGGTATTAAGCCCAGCATGCATTAGCTACTTATCCTGATGCTCTCTCTCCCCTCGGACCCCCACTGACAGGCCCCAATGTGTGTTGTTCCCCGCTCCCGGCCCCCGCATGTGTTCATGTGTTCTCATCATTCAGCTCCCACTTATAAGTGAGAACGTGCGGTGTTTGGTTTTCTGTTCCTGTGTTAGTTTGCTGAGGATAATGGCTTCCAGCTCCATCCATGTCCCTGCAAAGGACATGATCTTATTTCTTTCTATGGCTACATAGTATTCCATGGTATCATAGTATTCTATGGTATCACATTTTCTTTATCCAGTCTATCAGTGATGGGCATTTGGGTTAATTCCATGTCTTTGCAAGTATGAACGGTGCGCAATGAACATATGCGTGCATGTAAAATAGAATGATTTATATTCCTTTGGGTATATACCCAGAAATGGAATTGCTGGGTCAAATGGTATCTCTGGTTCTAGGTTTTTGAGGAATCAGCACACTGTCTTCCACAATGGTTGGACTAATTTACACACCCACCAACAGTGTAAAATTGTTCCTATTTCTCCATAGTCTCGCCAGCATCTGTTGTTGCTTGACTTTTTAATAATCGCCATTCTGATTGGCATGAGATGCTATTTCTTTGTGGTTTTTGATTTGCATTTCACTAATGATCAGTGATTTTGAGCTTTTTTTCATGTTTGTTGGCTGCATGAATGTCTTCTTTTGAGAAGTGTCTGTTCATGGTCCTTTGCCCACTTTTTAATGGGGTTGTTTTTTTCTTGCAAATTTGTTTAAGTTCCTCATAGATTCTGGATATCAGACCTTTGTCAGATGGATAGATTGCAAAAATTTTCTCGCATTCTGTAGGTTGTCTGCTCACTCTGATGATAGTTTCTTTTGTAATAAATCACAATTATTTTCTACCAGATGACGTACCCATTAAAAAAGCAGAAGCCCCAGCCAGGCGCAGTGGCTCACGCCTGTAATCCCAGCATTTTGGGAGGCCGAGGTGAGTGGATCATGAGGTCAGGAGATTGAGACCATCCTGGCTAACACGGTGAAACCCTGTCTCTACTAAAAATAAAAAAAAAAAATTTAGTCAGGTGTCATGGTGGGCACCTGTAGTCCCAGCTACTCGGGAGGCTGAGGCAGGAGAATGGCGTGAAACCTGGGAGTCAGAGCTTGCAGTGAGCCAAGACTGCACCACTGCACTCCAGCCTGGGTGACAGAGTGAGACTCTGTCTCAAAACAAAACAAAACAAAACAAAACAAAACAAAACAAAACAAAACAAAACAAAAACAAAAAAAAAACCAGAAGCCCCTACAGTGCTTCTTAAACTTTTAACGTGCATGAAAGTCAACTGGTGCACTTGTTAGCAACACAGATTCAGAAAACCTGGGGCAGGGCCTTGGATTCTGTATTTTAGCAAAGTCTCAGCAGATGCTGCTGCTGCCGATCCCTGGACCACACTTGCAGTGGAACTGAAGAGCATATGAAGAAAGAACTGTCCTTGAGTAAAATGAGGTAAACTTGAGAAGGGAAGCCAGGTGCTAAGGAGCAAGAAGGAGGAATATTCCACGGTCCATGGTGGCCGTACATCCAGCCCACCCTGATGGCCTTCTTTAAGGGACAAACAAGCTCTTGTAAAGCCTCACTTTCTAAAAGCCAGGTGTGAGTCCTCACAGATACAAAGGGTGCAATGTCACTGAGCATCACTGGATAGTGCCCTGACTTACAAAGGACCCTGGCTGTTGCACCTGGACTCCTCTTGCACCCCTGGCTGACTTGCAGGTGCAGGGGACTGACTGGAAACATCTCGGCACTTAAAGAGAATGCCATGGGGACGCGGGGACAGAAAGGGAAGGCCCTGTGCAGGCACTGCCACCTCGGGCTAACTGATGCCAGGAACCCAGCAAGGTGATGGAGTCTTCTTTAAGGTCACTCCCACTCTCACATTTCCGAACTGCATTTTGTGTGACATGAAATTCCATCAAATTCATTTGTTAGCACACTCATTTTTTTTTAATACAAACATTGCTGGGGTGTAAGGGTGGGGGTTGCTCTCCCTTCTCATCTGTGTAGAAGCCTCTTCAGGTTGGCCACCCTCCTTTCTCTCCTCCACTCCTGCAGCCACGATCAGCTGCCTGAAGAGGGTGCAGGAGTGCGGACTTTAAAAGAGCAAAGGGAAGAACAATATTGTCCTCCCTACAGGAACTGAGCAATATTGACAGGTAAAGCTACCATTTTTAACATTAAATGTGTGGTTTCACTAAAAAGCTTTTTATGCTTATAATAAGGTTTAAAGAATTAAAGAGGAGATCTATGCTTTCTGTTGAAAACAACTGCCCACTGCATGTGCACCCCTAATGGTGATAAGCATGTGGGTTTCGAGGGATGTCTTCCCCTATGGGACCGTGCATGGCTTCTTGAATGGAAAAAGGCGATGGACACAACCATGGCACTCAGAGAAGCTACAGAGGTGCACAGGCAGGGAAACTGGTGTGGGCTGGCGGGTGCGCTGGCGACAAACTGGAGGAGGCTGTGAAGGAGGGTTCCTGATGAGGGCTCAGGTGGCAACTGCGACAACACATGACTTGTTAAAGACACAAAAACTAGTTCAGCTTCTGAGTCTTTAATATTTCAGAAAAGAACCCAGGTATACATCATGTGCTCCAATTTTAAATGCAAGTGATTCAAGAAAATGAAGCTGGCACTGAAAAAGGTTACGAAGAAAAGCCAGGGCCCCACTGCAACCAAACTAATTCCCAGACAAGTGTGGAAAGACTCATCATTTAAAAGATTTAGATTTTATTATTAAGAAAAGTAGTGCATGGACACAGTAAAAGAGTGTGAAAGAAAAGAATATGAATGTAAATTATGTAATTAAAGCTACTAAGAACAAGGCCGCTACTACAGTCAGATCGATGTCTCCTTCCTAGATCCGTATCATCTCATTGCTCTCCATCTCCAGTGTCTTTATTCAATTGTATTTATTCAGAGTGAAAACTCCAAGAAAAAAAGTCACCAATGCATTTAGGAATGCGGAGTATAAAGTACATTTTTAAAAATTCTACTTGAATCATAATACTATTTAAAATCTCAGTGTAGAAAAAATTAACTACATTTTTCTATCACAAAAGTACTGCACACCCACTGATTTTTAAAAATTCAACAGAAATAACCCATTTAAAAATAGGCAAAAGACCTAAACAGACACCTCACCAAAGAAGATATACAGTTGGCAAATAAGCATATGAAGACATGCTCAACACCACATGTCATTAAAACAGTGAGGTAACACTAACATACTGATTAGAATGGCCAAAATCCAAAACACTGATGACACCAAATGCTGGCAAGGGTGTGTAGCAGCGGGAACTCTCATTCACTGCTGGTGGGAATGCAAAATGGCTCAGCCACTCTGTCAGATAGTTTGACAGTTTCTTGTAAAACTAAACATATTCTGGTCATAGGATCCAGCAATTGCACTCTTTGGTAGTTATCTAAATGAGCTGAAAACTTTCACCCACATAAAAACCTACACATGAATGTTTATAGCAGCTTTATTCATAACTGCTCAAACTTGAAAGCAAACAAGAGGTTTTTCAAGTAGGTAAATGGGTAGACACACTGTGGTACATCCAGAGAACAGAATATTATCCAGGGCTACAAAGAAATGAGCTAGCCAGTCATGAAAAGACATGGAAAAACATACTAATCCGTGAAAAAAAAGCAAATTTGAAAAGGCTACTAACAGGATTCCAACTTTGTGACATTCTGTAAATGTAAAATTATGGCGACAGTAAAAAGATCAGTGGTTGACAGTGTTGTGGGAAACGAGGGACGAACAGACAGAGCACAGAGGATGTTCAGCAGAGTAAAACTATTCTGTGTGCTATCATAACAGTGGATACATGTCATTATACGTTTGTCCAAAGCCATAGGATGTACAACACCAACAGCGAACCCTAATGTGAACTATGGACATTGGGTGATAATGATATGTCAGTGGTGGTTCACTGATTACAACAAATGTTCCAATCTAGTGCTGGATGTTCATGATGCGAGAGTCTGTGTATGGTGGTGGAGAAGGGGCTTGTGAGAACTCTCTGCACTTTCTGCTCAATTTTGCTGTAAACCTAAAACTACTTTTTGGAAAAAAAGTTTATTGGCCAGGTGTGGTGCCTCACACCTGTAATTGCAACACTGGGAGGCCAAGGTGGGTGAACTGCTTGAGCCCAGGAGAGTTCAAGATAAGCCTGGGCAACATGATGAAACCCTGTCTGTACAAAAAAATACAAAAATTAGCCAGGTGTTGTGGCATATGCCTGTAGTCCCAGCTACTTGGGAGGCTGAGATGGGAGGATCACCTGAGCTTGGGAGGTTGAGGCTCCAGCGAGCCATGATTGTGCCATTGCATTCCAGCCTGGGCAACAGAGTGAGATGCCGTCTCAAAAAAAAAAAAGTTTATTAATTAAAACAAAAAAATCAAACATAACAGATAGACATAATGCAAAGTCAGTCACCATCTTCACCTACAATTCCCAGTCCTGTTTCCCAGAGGCATATAAGGTTACTGAAATCCTGTGTAACTTTTTAGAACTTCTATACATACACAAGATAAAAACTAGATATAATGTTCCCATAGTATCCTTTTTCCTCTTCTTTTTAATTAAGGAATCAACTGAGTTTTTTACTGGACACATGCCCAACCTACCAGCAACATATCTTCCAGGCTCCCTTGCAGCTAAGTAGGGCCATGCAACCAAGTTCCTGATCACATAATATGAACAGAGGTGATTCATGTCCCCTAAGAGGAAAGTGCTTCCCCTCTTCCATTTCTCATTCCACCCTTCCCTGTGGGCTGCAATGTGGCTACGGTGCTCCGAGCTAGCTCTGAGCACAAGGAAGAAAAGTCCACTCTGGCCGTGGGTCTGAAACTCTTGCATGCCACAGAGCCCTTTGACACTCTGGTGATGCTATGAACTCCTTCCCAGACAAATGTTTCTACATTCATTAAATAAAACACAAAGGATTATAAATTATATTGAAACACAGTTAGCAAAATGTTTTTAAAAATGTGTTACAGTAATGCCTGTGCCTCTTTGTTAATGCATTACATAATAAATTATGGTCAAGAATAAAATTACTGAAATTTCAAAGTAGGGTAAATATTATGTGATATTTTTGAGACATCGGCAACAACAAAAACATGAACGAAAATATCTGTCATTTCTACTGGCTATGAAGTCATGGTTTCTGCTAACACTATGAGACCTGCTAGCTCCAGTCACAATGGAAGGACACATTAAACTTCACTTACAGGTTAGTGGAATAAAGATGTAGCTTTCCTTTCCATCCAAATTCACACACCTCATGCTTCTCTCTGGATATGTTAGGTAACCCTTGCTCTATGGAATGGAGGGGCAATAAGAGAAGGAACTTCGGTTCCTGGACAACTTCATGGAGAAAAAGCTGGTATTCTCCTTAGACCACGTGCTCTTGTCTGGACTACTGCAGGACAGAGACAGAACTGGCTCAAGGCAGTTGTGTTTAGGGGTCACTCTGATACAACAGTTTAGTATTAGTGCTGACTGCTACCTGTGAACACTTCACAACAATCAAATGGGATTACACTGACCACACCATGTCGAGAAACAATATGTGGGGTGGTCATGAGTTGGCTCTGTAAGCTAACAGCCTGGGTTCCGATTTCAGTTCTGCCACTTTCTGCTGTGTGGACTGTGGACTAGTTACTCAACCTCTCTGTGTCTCAGTTTTCTTACCTGTGAAATGAGGATAATAATGATACCTAACTAATTAGGTCACTGTGAGTGTTGACACATGGAAAGTGATTATTAAGAAAGCGCCTGGCACACTATAAACCCTCAATAAATGTTAATTATCCTTACTATTAGTACTTGTACTATTATTGTTTGACTGCTTTTCTCACCATCCTAGCTATCTTTCCACATAGGATATAGAAATCTGGTTTTATTTCTTCAAGTCGTCATCATAATGTACTAAATTCATTTGCTAAAATTCATTTAACCAGTCCCTAATTATGAAGTGAACATCTAGGATGTTTCTCAAAGTTTCACTCAAAAGGTTAACACAGCAATTATAGAGTGAGCTCTCTGACACTCCTCCACCAAACTTTTCATCAGAAGATTGTGCATCAACTTTATTGAGGTCTAATTTACATACAATGAAATGCACTCATTTCAAGGGTGCAGTTTGATGAGCCTCAGAACATTTTGTAAAAATAAGATAGAAGGTATTAAATATACACTGATTTTTGTTTTTTGTTTTTTCCTGTAGAAACAGTCTGGTCATGCCTTTTATTAATTTTTCTATTTAGGTATTAAGTGATTTTTTTTATTGATTCATTAAAGCTCTTTATATATTAAATACATCCACCTTTTGTCTGCCATATTTGTTTAAAACATCCTTCTGTTGGTCAGTTACATTTTAATAAAATCAGGTGGTTCAAAAAACTTGGTATAGTATAAGACACCTTAATCTTTTTCTTTCATGTTTTAAAAAGAACTTTCCCATTCTGAGACAGGATAAAGGTCAATCTTCACTCACTTTCCTCATCCAGCACTCCGTATTACTTTCTCAAGAAAGCTTCCTCTGGCTGGGCCAACTCTCCCAATGTTCCATGCTCAGTACCACATGCCCAGGACTGGTTACTCCCATCACAGTTGCAGTTTTACACTCTGTGTGTCCATAAGCCTTGAAAAGGCAGGGACCATGTCTACATGTTGTTCACCATTGTGTTCCCAGAACTTGGCACAGAACTTAGCACTGTAAATATATTTTCTAATTTTTATGTTTTCAATACTTACATTTAACTCTTTAATCACCTGAGAATCTATTTTATGATAGAGTATAAAAAAAGTTTCTACCTCCATTTTGTCTCATGATTTACAGAAGAATCCTTCCTTTTCCCACTGTTGTGACACACACTTTGTCGTGAATGTATTATATACACACACTCACATACAAAGATCTGCACAATCTGAGTTCCTACTATACTGGATCTGTTTCTTGT
This sequence comes from Homo sapiens, assembly GCF_000001405.40. Lineage (NCBI taxonomy): Eukaryota > Metazoa > Chordata > Mammalia > Primates > Hominidae > Homo > Homo sapiens. Next base: position 20,169,730 of record NC_000020.11, on the reverse strand, counting down.
GTTACATTGTTCTGCCTACAGAATCTGTCAACATGGCATTGTCTTGATTATTGTGGAGCTATATTATGTTTTAATATCTGACAGGACAAATCTCTTCTCAAGTGCCATTCTTTCTCTAAATGTATTAGTTAAAATCACTTACTCAAGACCTCTTCTAATAAAAGATGATATTTAAAATAAATTATTAAATTATAATAGCAGGGAGTTCCTTGTTCCCTTCTCTTCTGTAATTTCATGGATTGTTGTGTGGCCAAACATGTGTCTACTCACTTGAGCAATCCAGCCCGGTGGAAGACGTAGAGGTCCTGCTCGAGGGTGCAGGTGTTGAAAGGGACCATTTTCACGAAGTTCTGGATGAGGAAGAACTCGGGGGTGAGATGGGGCAGAGAAATTACACAGAAGTTCTTATCCTAACATCATCAAAAACCAGGACACAGAGAAAGAATAAAAAAAATTAATCAAAAAACAAATTCCTCTAAAAAACACCAAGAAAAATAGAAGCAAAATGTGTTGATTAAGGAGAGGATATTCAAATTACCTTTCCTATAATTTGGAAAATAATCACATAAAATTCAGGAAATAAGCAACTACAAGAGCAGGGAAAAGGTATCTTTGTTTCTCACTGAAACCTGAATAAATGAATCTTATAAACAATGGCAGTCATTCAGCATAACTCTTCTGTGGAAGTAGTTTTTAAACCAAGACAATTCATACAGGTAAGTTCACTTGTGTCACCAAGTCAATGAGGTAGCATGGTGTCCTAGCAAAGGCCCCTTGCTTACTAAGTGACCTTACACCAGTGGTCCCTTCCTCTTGCGAGATGGGAGGATGATACTTCAGGCATTTTTTGGCTCTAAAATTCTGTGATTATCCATAAACCAATGTGTACGTATTTTATCATGACGTGATCCCAGTTGGGTGAACAGATCCATGAGCATGATTAAACCCAGGCAGTGGGTTTAGTTAGCAGACATAAGAGGTCTTGCATGTCCTGAGGGCTGCCATTCATTCTATTCTAGGCCTGCCCTGTCAGTACAGTAGACAATGAAATGTGGCTAGTATTGGCGGAGGAACTAAATTTTAAATTTTATTTCATTTAAATTCATTTAAATTAAAAAAATGGATACTTAATTCCATTACTGGAAAAGTTTTATGTGTGCTTGGATTATGTGAATCTACGTATCCAACTGTAAATTTTATAACATACAAATACAGATGAACTATTTCTGATGAAAATTTAGTACTTGTATTGTGATGTACTATAAATGTGAAATATATATTAGATTTCAAAGACTCAGTACGAGAAAAAGATTGTAAATAGCTCATTAATAAGTTTTCATATTGATTATATGTTGAAATGATTAAATTTGCCCAGGCACAGTTCTCACTTCTGTAATCCCAGTACTTTGGGAGGCCGAGATGGGAGGATCACTTGAGCCCAGGAGTTCGAGCCCAGCCTGGGCAAGATGACAAGACCCCATTTCTACAATTTTTTTTTTAATTAGCTGGGCATGGTGGCATGTCCCAGCTATTTGGGAGGCTGAGGCAGGAAGATCCCTTGGGCCAAGGAGTTTGAGGCAGCAGTGAGCTATGATTGTGACATTGCATGCAACAAAGTGAGACCCTATCTCTTTAAAAAAAGGATTGGGCATATTAAGTTAAATAAAAGATATTATCATATAAACTTCATCTGTTCCTTTTTCTTTTTTTTCCTTGTGGCTCTTGGAACATTCAGAATTACCAATGTGGCTCACACTCCATGTCTGGACAGTGCTGCTCTAGGCTATCTGAGCTTCACGCAGCTGCCTGATCCTCTGCCAGGTCCCTGCAGAAGCAGCCTGCTCTTCCCGAAGCTAATTTGTCCCTTTGGGATCTCGCCTCCTCTTGAACCCTGTGAAGGCATTACTTGTGCTAATCCAAAACCCTGGGGACATTTGTGCAACTCAAAGGAGTGAACCATTGTCTGACCTTACCTTCCTTCTTTTTAGCAAATTAGTAGGACTCCTTTTGGGGAACCTGAGAGTCAAGTTGCTGAAATACTCAAGTTGAAAATAAGGACTGGGTGCCAAGTCTGGGTGGGCTTCCTCTGGGAGGGAGAGACTAACTATAATGAGTTGCTTCATCTTGGATTTGAAGGATTAAGGATGAAGCAACCAAGGTTATTTTTTTTCCTGTCGTCCATGTTCCGAAGTCAAATAGAATTGAAATGTAAACAGCTCTTTTACCTTTTTAAAGCCAGCATTACTTTTATAATGTTAAATATTTACGTTTACATGGACGTTAAAGTAGAAAATAATTAAAATTAGTGAAATTTATTTGAGGAGTTTTTGAGGGAAACCGACTTTGTAAATCCTATGTTCAGGGTAATCTACATTGTTTGGAAAGTGCCTTAATAAGTAATTTTTAAAAATTATGATGGAGAACATATTGCCTTATTATAAAGCTTCATTATAATAACAAATGAGGAAATAAAACCTAACATCACATAGTTGTAAGACAAAATAATTAAACTATACTTGTTTTTGCCTCATTAGAAACAGTATCCAGGAAAAGTAAAGCAATAGATACTTTTCTTGAAATCAGTCAACTGGAGAAGTACAGTTGTTGACTTTACTTAATTAACAGGCCTGTCTTTATAAAAATGCATTTTGTCCCTCAAAACTTCCTTCCTCATTTTCTTTCCTTCAATAAAGAAGTGTAAGAGTTTGGTTAGATCTTCATCCCTAGAAAATAATGAGACAAGAATGTAGGCAGAAGCCCGGGACACCCTGGCATGGAGAATCTTATTTGTACTTGGATATTAGCCTGCAGGCCCATTCATCAATGTGGGTTGAGCCCCCTCTACCAGCCAGGCATGAAGTCAGGCCTGAGGAACTAGTAGGGAAAGAAATGCCAACCTCAAAATCAACAAGTCCCTACTTTGCTACCCTCAGAAAAGCAATATGATGGTTTCAGAATACTTGGAGCCAACATAATCTATAAAATAACAGTGTCATTCACTTTAATTTCCAACATTTTCATGTATTACTATGAATGATTTGATTCTGATAAAACACTGGTAAAGCTATGTGTAACAGAAATTTTGCATTTAAAGAGAACTGCTAAAATAGCATGACTTAAAAATTCTTGAAAATGACAATATTTTGTATTTTTATGAGCTCATGACATGCCATTTGACCTTATTCTCCGAACACAAACCTCAACATTCACAGCATAATAAATTTATGGCATTTTACTTTTCTATAAGTTCTCTAAGCTTACAAAATCAGTTCTCAAAATTCAGCATGTACTTACAGAAAAAAGACTGAAAACAAAATTCATAAAATCCAGCGACCTGTAAACAAGACAGTAAGCACTGTCAGTGCCCTGCAAGCAAATGCAACATCAGTGGACGTTTACAGAGATTTACAGCTCCCTCCCCTCGGGCAGCGATTAGCCAACCACTAGTCAGAATGTGTGTCTAGGTGAACACTAATGGGGTGCATAAGTCGCAAGCTTCGTATGTCAGTAATAAAGTATTCTGCAGAACTGAAGGCACTTTCACATCAATTAACAATCTCTGTGCATTTGAAAAGCCAACACAAAATTGGTCATTCTGTGCCTCCGATCCTTCCCTTCTGTTTTGGAAGAGTTAAGAGGAGAGGTGGGAAATATTATAGGTTGCTTCTGATCTGTTTCCCTTTTATCTGTTGAAGATTTTCTGACTAGCTGTAGATGTACATTCATAGGCAAACCACACTGGGTCATCAAATTCCTGTTTCAAAATTCAAAAAGTATACTCTAAGCACAATCATATTTAAATGTACAGATAAAAGAAATATAAAGCAACAAATATAGAAAGGCTTTACAAGGTTTTATATGTCTACAACATAATTAGAATAAAAAGAATTTCTTTTCAATGTCCCAGATCTCCATAGAAGCTAAAAACTCGAGATGAAAAAAGTTAAAGTACAACAGGGGATGCTGGGAGACTGGGAACATGTTTAAACAGATCCTCTGAAGAGGAACTGTCCAGCTATTCTTGCTCATCTAAAAGACACCCTAGAGCCTTCCACTCCATCAAAATGGGCCAATTATTTCCTCTTCGAGATGGTTCTGTGAACAGATGAGGGGTGGGTGCTAAGGAGATGTGGAATCCAGGCACTGAGGGCAGCGTCCAGTGTCCAGACCACAGGAGAACAGCAAGCACTGAACATGTGGGTGTTCTGGAGGGGCAGGGTGGGTGGCTGTGAGGTCTGGTGGGCGCCGGGGCTTTAGACAAAGCCCAGCACCATGCATGCCTCCTCTTTGCTGTAGCCCTGGATTGCTGTTGGGTGTCAACTTATCCCCTGCTCAGATATTCCATGTAGCTGAGACTCCAGCTGCAGATTTGGCATGGAGCATGAGCTAAGGGATGGAGCCCATCTTCTCCATCTCCTTGTGGCATGGGCTTGTCACAGCCGTTGGCTCAGGAATGAACACACAGTCCTGTCAGGCCTCATGAGACTTTGGCTGGAAAAAGCTGGGCCCATCCCGGCAAGTCCTTCTCACTGGATTCTGATGCAGACCTGAGACCTGAGAATGTCAGTGGTCTTAGGCCCAGGATGGGGCACTCCTCTGAGAAGGGGTCCAACAGCAGGGAAGTAGGGTGATATGGTTTGGCTGTGTCCCCACCCAAATCTCATCTTGAATTGTAGCTCCCATAATTCCCACGTGTTGTGGGAGGGACCCTGTGGGAGATAACTGAATCATGGGGGTGGTTCCCCCATACTGTTCTTGTGGTATTGAATAAGTCTCATGAAATCTCATGGTTTTATAAGGGGAAACCCCTTTCACTTGGCTCTCATTGTCTCTTTGCCTGCCGCCATGTAAGACATGGCTTTCATCTTCCCCTATGATCGTGAGGCCTCCCCAGCCACGTGGAACTGTGAGTTCATTAAACCTCTTTTTCTTTATAAATCACCCAGTCTTGAGTATGTCTTTATCACCAGCATGAAAACAGACTAACACACAGGGTGAAGAGGTAGAGAGAGAAACTTGGTCCTTGATTTGGTAATCTAAATAAATCCTAGATCAAGCCATATTTAAAACAGTCTCACCACCAGAGTTATCCTTAGTTATGTGAGGCAATTATTCAATTTTTTTTTCAAAGCCAGTTTGGTTGGATTTCCTGTTACTTGCAACCAAAGACTCTAGACAACCAGTAACCCAAATTCAAATTATCCAAGAGATGCAAACTTTACAGAATGGGAGCAGCATGTGGTTATGTAAGTGATAATTTTCCAGATTCCCAATTGTTACATAGGTAGGCCAGATTTCTAGCCCACTTCTGTAGGCCTTGTTAAAATTTGATGGACTAGAATCTCTGGATGGGGCTTAGGAATTTGTGTTTTAAAAAATTCCCCAGGAGATTAGGATGTGGGCCAGGTTTGGAAATTACTGGCTCTGTAAAGTTAAAATGTTGGGCCACCAATGCCAGAAAAGATTCTCACTGTGACAGCCAGCCAGAAGGTCAGTACTTGCCTTGCTTCATATTTCTCATCAATACAAAACAGCTGAATACAAAAAGCAGCTGAGGCTCCCCTGTAGATGGGGCGGAAGTGGACGGGCTCTTCAGGCAGTACGAGCGATGCCAAGCTCCTACTGCTGACATGGTGATACTGTGCATATCCAGTGGAGATGTCACTGAGTTTTTCTATGTCCTAGAGCAAGGAGACAGGAGGAGCCAATGAGAATCCTGTCAATGCCCTGTAATTTAGTGGGCTGGTGGCTGCATTATCTCTACATGACACCGTTCTGAGGACAGGTGTGACTGTCACCCGAAACAACTCATCCTGGGCCAGGCCTGGTTTTAAGGAGAGGTTCTTAATGAGATACTCAAAATTCATAAAATGTTTTTAAAAACTAGTTCTCCAATGAGAACACATGGACACAGGGAGGGGAACAACACACACTGGGGCCTGTCAGGGGGGTCGGGGGGAAAGGGAGGGAGAGCATTAAGACAAACACCTAATGCAGGCAGGGCTTAAAACCTAGATGACGGGTTGATAGGTGCCGCAAACCACCATGGCACATGTATACCTAGGTAACAAACCTGCACGTTCTGCACACATATCCCAGAACGTAAAATAAAATTTAAAAAATAATAATAATAAAGAAAAAAAAAACTAGTTCTCACATGAAGGTCTCACACAAGACAAATAGTTTCAGTTGGCCTTTGACATAGGGTCCATATTTTAACTGCATCCCAGGGTAGAGATTAGAGCGTGATAGTATTATATACATATTATAATAACTCCAGAAGCAAAATCCCTCTGTCCCCAAAGCTGTTTTCATTGTGATACAAGAATTTTTGAATCTTGGGACTGCTCAGGTGGTCCTGGGAGTAACTATCGTGGGGAGGTGGAGCCCAGGAAGGTCCAGTGGACCACAGCCACCTGGAAAGTCAGGGCTGAGGCTGTTCTGTCTTGGTTTAGGTGCACCTAAAAAGGTGTCATAACTCAGAAGATGATTCCCTTTGAGATCCCTCATGGAGTTCTTTTAAATCAAAGTAATACATGCATATGGAAAAATTTAAAATAATATTAGCACCAAACATTTATTAAGAAAATCAGCAGTTCTCTGTCCTTCCAAGTCTCTACCCCCATTGAACAGAACTTTCAACGTTTTCATTTATTTGGGTATATATTTACCTCTATATTTCTGAACAATATGCTTATGGTGCTGTTTCTAAATTCATTAGTTTTTAGAATTTCCTATTCAATATTGATGCAGTGGCTAGATTAATCCCTCTCATACTACCCTCTTCCCCACATCTTATCCCCCAGGAAAATTACATCACAATTCAGGGTTAAATCCGTAAGTATTTACACTAATATGAATGTGTAAGTTCTGTTGTTGCTGAGCAAAGTAGTGTAATATGACAATGTTTTCATCTGTGTGCTTAGTTTTTATTCACTTGGTTTGCTAAGTTTTTCACTTCCTTTATCAGATTTGCCAAGTGTTGGTCACTATTATTTTCCAAATGATCAGGCGTTTGAGATAATATATGAGCTTCCTTTTTTCTCCCCTCTAATCTGGACTTGCAGCTCTGCCGTCCTGCCTGTATTGCAGCTCCTATTTTGTAAGTTCCAGGTCTTTTCTTTGTCTTTTTTGTTCATCATTTAGGCCCTCATATCGTTAGAGCACATTTTTAGCTTCCTAAAAGCAACATGCTTGAGAGGCAAAACTCCACAGACACTGGCTAACTGGGGCACTTCATGGGGTGATCAGGCAGAGATCTGGCATTATTACTGGGTGGCCACCTTCAGTGACATCATCTGAAGGCATTTTCCTTGGGCCTGTCAGTTTTTTGGGACTTAAGTTCTCCAATATTCTGTATTGAGGACTGTGGTCCCCAAAGATGTTACAGGTACTAGTCCCTGCAACCTGTAAATATGTTATCTTTCAGGGCACAGGGATTTCGCAGATGTCATCACATGAAGGGTTCTATGATGAGGAGATGCTCCTAGATGATCCGGGTGGGCCCAGAGGAATCATAGGGATCTGCTAAGAGGGAGGCAGCAGGTCTGAGTCAGAGGGAGGAAGATGCTGCGCTGCCAGCTCTGAAGATGGAGGAAGGGGACACAGGGCATGGAATGCAAGTGGCTTCTAGAAGCTGGCAAAGGCAAGGGAACAGATTCTCCCCTAGAGTCTCCAGAAGGAACACGCCCCTGTCTACACCTGAAGCTCAGCACACTCAAACCCATTTTGGAATGCTAACCTCCAGAACTGCACAATAATAAATTTGTGTTGTTATAAGCCACCAAGTTTGGGGTAATGTGTAACAGCAGCAATAGAAACTTAATACAAGGCCTGGCTCCTGGCATTGAGAGGGCGTGGCTGGAGGAGGGGCTGTGGATTCCTCTGTTCGAAGTGGAGAATTCCACTTACTTGTCTGTTCTCTATTCCTCACCGTTACAACGCCCATGCAGCACAGGCTAAATCTGAATTAGCAGCAGCCTCTGTTCAATTTCTCTAGAGAATAGTCATTTTATCCTCTCACTTGGGGTGTGGCTGACAACCTAACTGGAGTCTGCAGGGATCCAGTGTTCCAGTCACTCCACATCAGACTGCCCAGCTTTTCAGCCCAATTCCTCACCCCACCTTCTGCAAACCTCCAGTCTTCAGCCTTGTGCAGAATTCACACACTTTTCACCAGTCTCTCCTCCCATAAAGATGCCTGAGTTTCACCTTCCTCAGCTGTGCTAAGCCAATGTAAACTCTTCCATTGATTTTTTTATTCTCAATATTTTTAAAGTGCTTATCTTCCAATATCTCCTCTCCATCTCACCTTTGTGGATTTGTGCCCTTTTTATCCCTTTACTGTCATTTCAGTGTTTTTCTCCGGTAGGGAGAGGAGATAAAAATAGGAGATCAATCCACCTTGTTGACTCAGGTGTCTTCTGGGGTTCCAACCATGTTTGATGCAGTGGTGGGGGCAGGCATCCTGTCCCTCCAACCACATCCTTGCTTGGGTTCATAACGGAACGGCTACCCTCTTAGGAATATTAGAGAGAAAACTGCTGTCCTCTTCTACACCCTGACTTTCCTCCCTAGGGCACAGGGAGTGACCAACTGGTCAGTGAGTCTCCTAGTGTGGGTTGCCCCAGAAACACACCCTGAATTAAGTGTCTGAGAGTCAGTAGTTTACTTGGGGAGCAAAGCCAGGAAATTCTGTAAGAGGAGTGGCATGCGAGGTGAGGAAGGGGAGGCTGCCAGCATGGGGTGTTTCAAGATGTGGGTGACTATGGTGAATCAACCCCACCTGGATCTCCGAAAGCCTAGAGAACACAGTGCAGAGTGGTCCCACCTAAGAGGTGAAGGAGCTGGCAAATTGATTCTCCAATCCCTTCAGTCACTGGCTGATGGCTGCTTCCCCAAACAGCCTGCCCTGCTGCAAACATGGCATGGAAGAAAGACCAGGCACTTGCAGTCCTTGTCTTCACAGAGTGCTCAGGAAGAATACGTGCTAGAGGATATGGGTGGGGCTCCAACAGCATATGCTAATGTGAGATTCAAAAACTGGACCCTGTGCCTACATCGTGCTTTCTCTTTCTGACAGCACATCCTGCTCCCAGGTTGTGTGTTTTCTCCTCCCCTCCATGCAATTAGCTGGGAGTGGGGAGACCCTGCCCCACAGGTGAGGCCTGCCTACAACCACATGGGGGCACTTAATTCAGTAAGGAGAAATGGGAAGCCCATTTGTGTTCTCGGTCCAAGCTTTGTTCTCTGGTTCAGTGTTAGCCATGAGAAAGGGGTACTTCAATCCCTAGCTGACTTCTGGGTAGACTCCTTCACTGGTCAGAATCTGGAGAGGAGACAGGTTGGAGAACCTGGTCCTCTGGCAGAACTTCAGTGTCTGGGCTTAGTGTTCAGTGAATCTGTCCCAGTGCCTCTATGGATATGACCAAGCCCCATGTTCCATTCCCTTCTCAAGGGTTCTCTAGGCTTCTGTTGCTGAGTCAGTCCATCCATCACCAAGAGGCTCTTGGGAAACTACTGAAATTCCAGGACTATGCTCATCATCAGGGAATGAAAATGCTTTATTGTACCAACCTCCCACTCAAAAGCCTACAACACCCTCCTCTGCTTCTTAGGAAAAGTCTGAGATCCTGAGCAGGGTTCACAGGACCCTGCCAATCTCTTCCTGAACCACCAGGCTTCTGGCAGGGAACAGAAGGGACACTCCAATGGAGTGGTCAACGGACCACCTGCAAAGGCATGGGTGGGGTGAAGGGAAACCAACAAAGGATGGTGAAGTCCCCAGGGATAGCCACTGCACTGGTGGAAGATGCTATGCCCCTTGGCCTGAATTTGTAACAGGAGGGAGGACTTCCAAAATCCTGAGATGAATGTAAATGACATATATTAATAACACACCTAGACACGGACAGAAGTGTATGTATGTGCATATGATACAGAGAAAACTCTTACAAATGTTTTGCCTCTCCAAAATGTTTTCTTTTTGGGCAATGGGAAGGAGAGATAAGCTGTATTTACTAAAATTTTTGCAAATAATTTATGTAGAAAATGCAACTTACAGTCCAGGCCATGCAGAGGATACAGAAGAAAAGATTAATCACAGCAGGGGAAGAGGTAAGGAGGTGAGGCTTGGTGCAGCAAGTCCTAAAGGAGGTGGTAGGTGTGAACTGGTGGAGACAGGCAGGGAGATTGGGAGGAGGAAAGGGCACAAATCCTCTGAGGTAGAAAGGTGTGAAACCCATGGGGTGGCTAGAAGGCACGCAAAGGCCCTCGTCAAACCCTACCTCCGGTTCACTAACATTTCCACTTTGGACTGCTGTTAAAGCTTCCTCGGATGCAGCTTCTCTGGCAATATTTCCCTGGAAATGATGACAGCAAAACATGAAAATTAATCGACACCTACAGTGGTTTAGAGTCCAAGCTCTGGAGCAAACTGCCAGGGTTCAGACCCTGGCTCTACAGCTTACTGGCCTTGTGGCATTGGGAAAATTATGTAACCTCAGTTTCCTCCTCTGTGAAAAGGGGATGAGAAGAGCATCTATTTCATAAGGCTGTTATGAGGATAAAATAAAGACAGACAGATAGAGAAACAGATGCTTTGCATAGTGCAGGTGCCTCCTGATTCTCTGGAGATGTTAGTTATTACTCCATTATTCCTATTCTTCTGTTTAACTTGAAAGGTGCACTAAGTTTTTTCTTTAAAAAACTACTGTATTGAGGTATTATGATGGTGCAAAAGTAATTATATCAAAAGTAATTGCATTAAAGTAATGGCAAAAACTGCAATTATTTGTGCACCAAAAGTAATTTGTGCCAACCTAATAGAATTGACATACAATAAGCTACATATATTTGAAGTATCCTTTTTGAAAAGCTTTGATTTATGTGTACACCCATAAAAATATCACTGTGATCAAGATAATGAACATGACACATCGCCCCCCAAGCTTCCATGTTCCCATGTGCCTCTCACTCCCACCCTTTCTACTCTGCCAACCACAGGCAAATACTGATATGATTTTTGTCATTATAGTTTGTACTTTCTGTAATTTTATATTACTGAAATCAAATAGTATTTATTCTTTTTTGATCTGGCTTCTTTCACTCAGCATGTTTACTTTGAAATTCATCCATGCTGTTGCACGCATCAGTGGTTTAGTCCTCTTTGTTGCTGAATAGTATCCTGGTGTGGATGCACTTACACATCCTCACCAACACTTGGAATGCTTAATCTTTCTAGTTTTGGTCATTCTAATAGACGTGTAGTTGTATTTGATTGTGGTTTTAATTTGCATTTCTCTAATGACTAATGAGATTGAGTGTCATTTCATGTGATGTCTTATTTTGGAAAGTTCAAATCTTTTTTTTTTTTTTTTTTTCAAAGGTCCACTTGGTGTAATTTAATGCCAGATTCAGGCTTCTCCACAATAACAGTATTTGGCCACATTTTTTTTTTCATTTGATATTTGTTTTAATCTATTTTTTTTAATATACTTTAAGTTTTAGGGTACATGTGCACATTGTGCAGATTAGTTACATATGTATACATGTGCCATGGTGGTGCGCTGCACCCACTAACTCGTCATCTAGCATTAGGTATATCTCCCAATGCTATCCCTCCCCCCTCCCCCCACCCCACCACAGTCCCCAGAGTGTGATATTCCCCTTCCTGTGTCCATGTGATCTCATTGTTCAATTCCCACCTATGAGTGAGAATATGCGGTGTTTGGTTTTTTGTTCTTGCGATAGTTTACTGAGAATGATGATCTTTTGCCTATTTTTAATTAGCTTTTTTACTTTGTATTATTGTGTTTTGAGAGTTTTAAAAAATATGTTGTAGAAACAAGTCCTCTGTCAGATATGTAATTTGCAAATATTTTCTCCCAGTCTGTAGCTTGTCTTTTCATTCTCTTAAAGTACTTTTCAAAAAGAAAAGGTTTTAAATTTTGATGACATCTAATTGGTCAATTTCTTCTTTTATGTATTGTGCTTTTAATGTTGTTTCTAAGAAATCTTACCTAACCCAAGGTCACAAACATTTTCTCCTATGTTATGTTTTCTCTAGAGGTTATATTGGTTTGAATTCTACATTCAAGTCTATGATTCATTTGCAGCTAATTTTTGTATATGGTGTGAGGTATGGATTGAGTTTTTTAAAAGTTTGTATATGGATATAAAATTGTTTCAGAGAGAAAAGACTATTCTTTCTCCACTACATTGCCATGTGCCTTTGTCAAAAATCAGTTGTCTATATGTTGAGCCTATTTCTGAGTTGTTTAATTCTATTCCATTAACCTACTGTTGACCTTAGCACCTATATTACACTATCTTCATTACAATAATCTTATAATAATTAGGCCAGGCATAATGGCTCACACATGTAATTCCAGTACTTTGGGAGGCCAAGGTGGGCGGATCACTTGAGGCTGAAAGTTCAAGACCAGCCTGGCCAACATAGCAAACCCCCATCTCTACTAAAAATACATACAAAAAAATCTAGGTGTGGTGGTTCACACCTGTACCAGCTACTTGGAAGGCTGAGGCATGAGTATCACTTGAACCTGGGAGGCGGAGGTTGCACTGAGCTGAGATCATGCCACTGCACTCCAGCCTGGGCAATAGAGAGAGAGAAAAAAAAGAATCTTACAATAATTAATCTTGAAATCAGTTAGTGTTATCCTACAGCTTTGTTATTTTTCAAAGTTTCTCTGGCTGTTTTAGGTTATCTCCATTTTCATATAAATTTTGGAATCAATTAATTAAACTTCTATAAAAATTCCTGCTGAAAATGTGATTGGGATTTTACCAAATTTGCAAAGAACTGATTTAAAGATTCAATATCCCACGAACATAGAATATCTCTCCATGTATTTAGGTCTTCTTTAATTTCTCTCAGAAATGTTTTGTAGTTTTCACCATAGAAGTCTTGAATATCTTTCGTCAGATTTAATCTATAAGTATTTAACATATTTGTACTGTTGTAGATGGTATTTCAATCTGATTGTTCATTGCTATTATACAGAGATACAACTAAATTTTGCATATTAATTTTTTATATATTAGTTATAGTAGCTGTTTTGTAGATTCCATCAGATTTTTTTTTCATAGGTAGTCATGTTGTCTGTGAGTGAAAGATAGTCTTAATTATTCCTTTTTAATCTGGATGCCTTTCATTTCTTTTCCTATCTTTTTGCACTGGTTCAAATCTTCAGTACAGTTTTGATTAGAAGTGGTGAGAAAAGGCATTCTTAACTTGTTCCTGACTTTAAGGGTGAAACAATTAGTCCTTCACCATTATGTGTGACGTTTGCTGTAAGTTTTTCAAAAATAACCTTTGTCAAATTGAAAAAGTGCTAAGAGTCTTTATGAGGAATTAATGTTAGATTTTCAAATGTCTTTTATATATTTATGAGATAAACATATGGTTTTTTTTTAGTTTGTTAAAATGGTGAATTACACCGATTTTCTTATGTTAAACCAAACTTGCATTCCTAGAATAAACCCTACTCAGTCATGATTATCCTTTTTGTATATTGACTCAGTTTGCTAATTTTTAAATTTTTTTATTTCAATATTTTTGGGAGAACAGTTGGTGTTTGGTTGCATGGAAAAGTTCCTTAGTGATTTCTGAGATTTTAGTGCACCCATCATCCAAGCAGTGTATACTGTACCCAATGTGCAGATAAAAGACTCTATGTTGATGGCATTTAGTCTGGTTCCATATTTTTGCAATTGCAAATTGTGCTGTTATAAACATGCTTGTGCAAGTGTATTTTTCATATAATGACTTCTTTTCCACTCGGTAGACACCCAGTAGTGGGACTGCTGGATCAAATGGTAGTTCTACTTTTAATTCTTTAAGGAATCTCCATGCTGTTTTCGATAGTGCTTGTACTAGTTTACATTCCCACCAGCATTGAAAAACTCTTCCCTTTTCACCACATCCAAGCCAAGATCTGTTGTTTTTTTATTTTTAAATTATAGCCATTCTTGTAGGAGTAAGGTGACATTCCATTGTGGTTTTGATTTTCATTTCCCTGATAATTAGTGGTGTTGAGCATTTTTTCGTATGTTTGTTGGCTGTTTGTAAATCTTCTTTTGAGGATTCTCTATTCATGTCCTTTGCCCACTTTTTGATGGGATTATTTGTTTCTTTCTTGCTGATTCATTTGAGTTCTTTGTAGATTCTGGATACTAGTTCTTTGTCAGATACACAGTTTGCAAATATTTCCTCCCACTCTGTGGGCTGTCTGTTTACTCTGCTGGTTATTTCTTCTGCTGTGCAGAAGCTTTTTAGTTTAATTAGGTCCCATCTATTTATCTTTGTTTTTGTTGCATTTGCTTTTGGGTTCTTGGTCTTTGCCTAAGCCAATGTCTAGAAGAGTTTTTTCCAATGTTATCTTCTAGAATTTTTACGGCTTTACCTCTTAGATTTAAGTCTTTGATCCATCTTGAGTTGATCTTTGTATAAGGTGAGAGATGAGGATCCAGCTTCATTCTTCTACATGTGGCTCGCCAGTTTTCCCAGCACTATTTGTTGAATACGGTGTCCTTTTCCTACTTTATGTTTTTGTTTGCTTTGTTGAAGATTAGTTGGCTCTTAAGTATTTGGCTTTATTTCTGGGTTCTCTATTCTGTTCTGTTGGTCTACATGCCTATTTTATACCAGTACCATGCTTTTTTGGTAACTATAGCCTTATAGTACAGCTTGAAGTCACGTAATGTGATGCCTCCAGATTTCTTCTTTTTGCTTAGTCTTGCTTTGGCTATGCAGGCTCTTTTATGGCTCCATATGAATTTTTGGATTGTTTTTTCTAGTTCTGTGAAGAATGATGATGGTATTTTTATGGGAAGTGCATTGAATCTGTAGATTGCTTTTGGCAGTATAGTCATTTTCACAATATTGATTCTACCCATCCATGAGCATGGGATGTGTTTCCATTTGTTTGTGTCATCAGTGATGTCTTTCAGCAGTATTTTGTAGTTTTCCTTGTAGAGGTCTTTCACCTTCTTGGTTAAGTATATTCCTAGGTTTTTTGTTTGTTTTTTTAAGGTTTGTTGTTGTTGTTTTGGGATTTTTTTGTTTGTGTGTTGTTGTTGTTGCTGTTTTGTTTTGTTTGGCAGCTGTTGTAAAAGGGATTGAGTTCTGTATATGATTCTCAGCTTGGTCACTGTTGGTGTATAGCAGTGCTACTGATTTGTATACATTGATTTTGTAACCTGAGACTTTACTGAATATATCAGATCTAGGAGCTTTTTGGATGAGTCCTTAGGGTTTTCTAGGTATACAATCACATTATCAGTGAATAGCGACAGTTGGCCTCTTCTTTATCAATTTGGATGGCTTTTGTTGCTTTCTTTTGTCTAATTGCTCTGGCTAGGACATTAAGTACTATGTTGAATAAAAGTGGTGAAAATGTGCATCCTCGTCTTGTTCCAGTTCTCAGGGGGAATGATTTCAACTTTTCCTTGTTCAGTATAATGTTAGCTGTGGGTGTCTCATAGATGGCTTTTATTACTTGAGGTATGTCCTTTTTATGCCAATTTTGCTGAGGGTTTTAATCCTACAGGAATGCTGGATTTTATCAAATGCTTTCTCTGTGTCTTTTGAGATGATAATATGATTTTTGTTTTTAAATCTGTTTATGTCACATATCACATTTATTAACTTGTATATGTTAAACCCTGCATCCCTGGTATGAAACCCACTTGATCATGGTGTATTATCTTTTTGATATGATGTTGGATATGGTTAGCTAGCATTTTGTTGAGGATTTTTGCAACTATGTTCATCAGGATTATTAGTCTATAGTTTTCTTTTTTGGTTATGTCCTTTCCCGGTTTTGGTTTTAGTGTGATACTGGCTTCATAAAATGATTTAAGGAGGATTACCTCTTTCTTTATCTTCTGGAACAGTATCAGTAAGATTGGTACCAATTCTTCTTTGAATGCCTGATAGAATTCAGCTGTGAATTCATCTGGTCCTGGACTTTTTTTGTTGGCAATTTTAAAATTATTGTTTCAATCTCACTACCTGTTATTGGTCTGTTCAGAGTTTCTATTTCTTCCTGATTAATCTAGGAGGGTTGTATATTTCCAGGAATTTATCTATCTCCTCAAGATTTTCTAGTTTGTGCACCTAAAGGTGTTCACAGCAGTCTTGAATGTTGCTGTGGTATTGGTTGTAATATCAATTAGAAATTTCATTTCTAATTGAGGCTATTTGGATCTTCTCTCTTCTTTTCTTGGTTAATCTTGGTAATGGTCTATCAATTTTGTTTATCTTTTCAAAGAACCAGCTTTTTGTTTCGTTTATCTTTTGAATTTTTTTGTTACCGTTTCATTTAGTCCTGTTCTGATCTTTTTATTTCTTTTCTTCTGTTGGGTTTGGGTTTGATTTGTTCTTGTTTCTCTAGTTCCTTGAGGTGTGACCTTAGACTGTCTATCTGTGCTCTTTCAGACTTTTCGATGTAGGCATTTAATGCCATGAACTTTCCTCTTAGCACCACTTTTGCTGTGTCCCAGAGGTTTTGATAAATTGTGTCACTATTATCAGTCAGTTCAAATAATTTTTTATTTCCATCTTGATTTCACTGTTGACCCAAAGATCATTCAAGTTCAGATTATTTAATTTCCATGTATTTGTATAGTTTTGAGGGTTCCTTTTGGAGTTAATTTCCAATTTTATTCTACTGTGGTCTGAGAGGGTACTTGATATAATTTCAATTTTCTTAAGTTTATTGAGACTTGTTTTGTGGCCCATCATATGGCATATCTTGGAGAATGTTCCATGTGCTGATGAAAAGAATGTATATTCTGCAGTTGTTGGGTATTGAATGTTCTATAAATATCTGTTAAGTCCATTAGTTCTAGGGTATAGTTTAAGTGCATTTTTTTTGTTGACTTTCTGTCATGATGTCCTGTCTCAGGCTGTCAATGGAGTATTGAAGTCCCCCACTATTATTGTGTTGCCATCTATCTCATTTCTTATGTCTAGTAATAATTGTTTTATAAATTTGGGAGCTACCATGTTAGGTGCATATATATTTAGGATTGGGGTATTTTCCTGTAGGACTGATTTTTTAAAAATCATTTTATAATGTCCCACTTTTTTTAACTGTTGTTGCTTTAAAGTATGTTTTCTCTGACATAAAAATAGTTACTCTTCCTCATTTTTGGTTTCCATTTGCATGAAATAACTTTTTCCACCCATTGACTGCAAGTTTATAGGAATCCTTATGCATTAGGTGAGTCTCTTCAAGACAGCAGATACTTGATTGGTGAATGTTTATCCATTCTGCCATTCTGTGTCTTTTAAGTGGAACATTTACACCATTTACATTCAATGTTAGTACTGAGATATGAGGTACTGTTTTATTCAACATGCTAGTTGTTGCCTGAATACTTTGGTGTTTTTTTTTTCATTGTGTTATTGTTTTATAGGCCCTGTGAGATTTATGCTTATGGAGGTTCTATTTTCATGTATTTTGAAGTTTTGTTTCAAGATTTAGAACTTTTTTTAGTATTTCTTGTAGTGCTGGCTTGGTAGTGGCAAATTCTCTTAGCATTTGTTTGTCTGAAAAACACTTTCTCTCTCCTTCATTTATGAAGCTAGTTTTGCTGGATACAAAATTCTTGGCTGGCAATTATTTTGTTTGAGGAGCTAAAGATAGGACCCAATCCCTTCTGGCTTGTAGTGTTTCTGCTGAGAAACCTGCTGTAAATCTGATACGTTTTCCTTTATAGGTCGCCTGATGTTTCCGCCTTACAGGTCTTAATTTTCTTTCCTTTGTCTTGACTTTGACTTTAGATAACCTGATGACTATGTGCCTGGGTGATGATCTTTTTCCAGTGAATTTCCCAGATGTTCTTTGAGCTTCTTTTTTTTTTTTTTTTTTTGAGACGGAGTCTTGCTCTGTCGCCCAGACAGGAGTGCAGTGGCGCCATCTCAGCTCACTGCAGGCTCCACCTCCTGGGTTCACGCCATTCTCCCACCACGGCCTCCCGAGTAACTGGGACTACAGGTGCCCACCACCACACTTGGCTAATTTTGTTTTTGTATTTTTAGTAGAGACGGGGTTTCACTGTGTTAGTCAGGATGGTCTCAATCTCCTGACCTCGTGATCCGCTCACCTCGGCCTCCCAAAGTGCTGGGATTACAGGTATGAGCCACTGAACCTGGCCCTTTGAGCTTCTTATATTTGGATGTCTAGATCTCTAGTGAGGCCAGGGAAGTTTTCCTTGATTATTCCCTCATATATGTTTTCCAAACTTAGATTTCTCTTCTTCCTCAGGAATACCAGTTATCCTTAGGTTTGGCCGTTTAACATAATCCCAAATTTCTTGGAGGCTTTGTTCATTTTTTAATAATTCTTTTTTTTTTGTCTAATTGGGTTAATTTGAAAGCCTTGTCTTTAAGCTCTGAAGTTCTTTCTTCTACTTGTTCTAGTCTACTGTTGAAACTTTCAAGTGCATTTTGTATTTCTCTAAGTGTGTCTTGCATTTCCAGAAGCTATATTTCTTTCTTTATGACATCTATTTCTCTGGAGTATTTTTCATAAATATCTTGTATTTTTTTAAAAAATTTCTTTAAGTTGGTTTTCACCTTTCTCTGGTATCTCCTTGAGGAGCTTTATAACTTTCTGAATTCTTTATCTGGCAATTCAGAGATTTCTTCTTGGTTTGGATCCATTGCTGGGGAGCTAGTGTGGTCTTTTGGGGGTGTTACAGAACCTTGTTTTGTCATATTACCAGAATTTCTTTTCTGGTTCCTTCTCATTTGGGTAGACTATGTCAGTGGAAAAATCTGGAACTCAAGGGCTGCTGTTCAGATTCTTTTGTCCCACAAAGTAATCCCTTGATGTGGTGCCTTCCCTCTTCCCCTACAGATGGGACTTCCTGAGAGCCAAATTGCAGTGATTGTTATTTCTCTTCTGGGTCTGGTAACCCAGTGGGGCTACCAGGCTCTGGGTTATTGCTGTGGAATGTCTGCAAGGAGTCCTGTGATACAATCTATCTTCAGGTCTCCCAACCATGAATACCAGCACCTGCTCTGGTGGAGGTGGCAGGGGAGTGAAGTAGGCTCTGTGAGAGTCCTTGGTTGTAGATATGCTTAGTGTGCTGGCTTTCTCAAATGCTAGTTATGCTAGCAGTGAAGCTGTCATGTGGACAGACTCAGGACCACTGGTTATCCAGGATGTTTCAGGCAGTGGAATTGGTTTTTGTTTTCTCCTTTCTTGGAGCAGGGTTGTTCTGTCATGAGTTGCTGTAATGTCCTGAGTTGGTTGGCCTCAAGCCAGGAGGTGGCACTTTCGAGAGAGCACCAGCTGCAATAGTAGAAGGGGGATATAAGCTTGCCCTGTGTTGGCCAGGATAAGAATTTGGGTTTCTCAGGTGATGGGCAGGGCCATAAAGATCCCAAGCTTTTACGTCTTTTGTGATTGGCTACTGGGGTGGGTAGAGAAATACTATCAGGTGTGGGTAGGAATAGGCAGGTCTGAGCTCAGACCCTCCTTGAGCAGGGCTTACTGAAGCCACTTTGGAGTGTAGGGGGGTGGTGGGCGCATGGGGTTATGTTCCAGAGGGAATCATGGCTGCCTCTGTCACCAGGGAAGTGGGGGAAAGCCAGTAACAATAGGTTTCACCCCACTCCCATGGAGTTGGTGAGGCCAGTCTCGCTCTTGCCATGCTCTGCTAAGAGCGACAAGTTTATCTACAGGCAGCCTGTGTGTAGGACTCAGACCCAGCCCCATGCTATAAGTTTCTCCACTGAAGAAGCAAGTATGGCTTTCAGGCCATGCCCCTCCTCATCTCCCCACACTGCTGGCTGTGACTCCTGCACTCCTTTCTGCAGTGGTTCCCATTCATCCCCAGGATTCTGCTCAAGAGGGTTTGTGGCCAGTCAAAATTATTACAAAGTTCAGTTGGAAGTTTCTTTCACCCTGTGACCCCTTCCAAAATCTGGACTGCCTTCCCCGAGGATGTCTGTGAGATATAGTCAGGGATGGCTTCCCTGGGCTTGAGCTGGAGAATGGGAGTGCCTAGAAGGTTCTTCCTACTGCTGCTTCTACTTTTATATTTCACACTAAATCCATTTCAGTGGCAGGTAAGGTTAAATCTTTCTCCTGTAATCTGGATTTTCAGATTCGCCAGTGGGGATGTGTGTTCAGAAGCAAGTTTCCCCCCTCACACTTTGGGAATTCACAGGTTTTCGCCTGTCTTGTGGCAATTGCAGCAGTCTGCTGCTTCTTACAAAGGATCTGTGGTTTCTTTTGGTTTTCCTGGCATGCTCCTGTGATGGTTTCCGAAGCAAAAGTTCATGGTGTGAATCTCCACATGCTGTTTTGTCCATCCAAGTGGGAGCTGCATGTCAGCCCTGTTTCCTATCTGCCATCTTCCAGTTTGCTAAGTTTTTATTAGAATTTCCTCATCAATGTTCATGAGAAATACTGATCTGCAGTTTTATTTTCTTGTTAAGTCTTTTGTCATGAGAGACCATATCTCAGATGACTTGAATCCTAAATTTATTGAGTCTTGTTTTATAGCCCATAATATGGTCTATCTTGGTAAACTGTCCATGTTCTATGTATACTTGAAAAGAATGTATATTCTGCTGTTGTTGAGTGAAGTATTTTATATATGTCAATTACGCCAAATCGGTCAGTAGTGGTTTTGTCTGCATGTTTTTTCATGAGTAATGAAGTTGTTTTATTACTATATTGTTTCTTATTCTACTGCCAAGCTTTTGCTTCACTGTATATAAATAGCACCAGCAAATTCAGTGTATTGCAAAATTAAGAAAGTATTGTCAACATCATATTGAATGAGGAAAAGTTGAAAGCATTCCTTCTGAGAACTGGAATAAGACAAGGATGCCCACTTTCACCACTTCTATTCAACATAGTGCTGGAAGTCATAGCCAGAGAAATCAAACAAGAGAAAGAAATAAAGGGCATCCAAATTGGAAAAGAGAAAGTCAAATTGTTGCTGTTTCCTGATGATATGATCACATACCTAGAAAACACAAAACATCCAAAACACTAAAACATCCAAAAAGCTCTTAGATCTGATAAGCAAATTCAGTAAAGTCTCAGGTTACAAAATTAATGTACACAAATCAGTAGCACTACAATATACCAACAATGACCAAGCTGAGAATCAAATAGAGAACTCAATCCCTTTTACAACAGACACAAACAAAACCCACAAATACAAAAACAAAAAACAAAACAAAAAAACCCTAGGAATATACTTAACCAAGGAGGTGAAAGATCTACAAGGAAAATTACAAAACACTGCTGAAAGAAATCACTGATGACACAAACAAATGGAAATACATCCCATGCTCATGGATGGGTAGAATCAACATTGTGAAAATGACCATACTGCCAAAAGCAATCTACAGATTCAATGCAATTCCCATGAAAATACTATCGTCATTCTTCACAGAACTAGAAAAAACAATCTGAAAATTCATACGGAGCCATAAAAGAGCCTGCATAGCCAAAGCAAGACTAAGCAAAAAGAACAAATCTGGAGGCATCTCATTACCTGACTTCAAACTATACTACAAGGTTATAGTTGCCAAAGCAGCATAATACTGGTATAAAAATAGGCATGTAGACCAACAGAACAGAACAGAGAACCCAGAAATAAAGCCAAATACTTAACAGCCAACTAGTCTTTGACAAAGCAAAGAAAAATATAAAGTGGGAAAAGGACACCATATTCAACAAATAGTGCTGAGAAAACTGGCAAGTCACATGTAGAAGAATGAAACTGGATACTCATCTCTCACCTTATGCAAAAATCAACATAATATGGATTAAAGACTTAAATCTAAGACCTGAAACCATAAAAATTCTAGAAGATAACATTAAAAAAATCTCTTCTGGACATTTGCTTAGGCAAAGAATTCATGACTAAGACCCCAAAAGCAAATGCAAAAAAAAAAACAAAAAACCAACAAATAAATTGGACCTAACTAAACTAAAAAGTTTCTGCACAGCAAAAGAAATAATCAGCAAAGTAAACAGACAACCCACAGAGTGGGAGAAAATATTTGCAAACTATGTACCCAACAAAGGACTAGTATCCAGAATCTACAAGGAATTCGAACAGATCAGCAAGAAAAAAACAAATAATCCCATCATAAAGTGGTCAAAGGGCATGAATAGATATTTTTCAAAAGATGTACAAACAGCCAACAAACATGAAAAAATGTTTAACATCACTAATCATCAAGAAAATGCAAATTAAAACCACAATGAAATACCACCTTACTCCTGCAAGAATGGCCACAATTAAAACATCAAAAACAATAGATGTTGGTGTGGATGTGGTGAAAAGGGAACACTTTTACACTGCCAGTGGGAATGTAAATTAGTACAACCACTATGGACAACAGTTTGGAGATTCCTTAAAGAGGTAAAGTAGAACTACCATTTGATCCAGTAATCCCACTACTAGGTGTCTACCCAAAGGAAAAGAAGTCATTATATGAAAAAGACACATGCACATGCATGTTTACAGCAGGACAATCTGCAATTGCAAAGATATGTAGCCAAACTAAGTGTCCATCAACCAATAAGTAGATAAAGAAAATATGGTATATACAGTATGAAATACTATTCAACCATAGAAAGGAATGAAATAATGTCTTTTGCAGCAACTTGGATAGAGCTGGAGGCCATTATTCTAAGTGAAGTAACTCAGGTATGGAAAAGCAAATATCATATGTTCTCATTCATAAGTGGGAGATAAGCTATGAGGATGCAAAGGCGTAAGAGTGATATAATGGACTTTGGGGACTTGGCCGGTAGGGGTGAGGGATAAAAGACTGCATATTGGGTACAGTGTACACTGCACAGGTGACGGATGCACTAAAATCTCAGAAATCACCACTAAAGAACTTATCCAGGTAACCAAAAACCACTTTAGCCCCAAAACTATTGAAACTTAAAAAGACAGTATTGTTCTTCATCTGACATTGTACAACTAACAAAAGTTTTCTCCACTCCCAAATTATTTTCAATGCAAAGATCATTAAGTATTTTGACTCAAATCCAGGAATGGATATAAGCAAGTTACAATATTATATAAAGCTGAAGACATAATGTTATCCTCAAGATATATAATTTTTACAGCTAGTTCTCACCACAGAAAACTTCATGAATTCTAAATATTATAACTAGAGCCTAGCCTAAAAATCATAGAGTATTGTGAAAAAGATGCATATTGTGTTTGTCTGAAATCTTTAGAAAAGGGGTATTTTCTTCCAGCAGCAGTGTTGGGAGTAGTTTCTTTATCCACTGGTAATACCAAAAGTTGCTATTTTATGTCTTCCATCTATTACTAATTTAAGACAACTATGCTGAATTAAGTTGTTTCATTCTAGTTTATTGAGAGGTCCCATTCTCACTCCTCAATGGATTTTACATATTTCTCATACTCTTCTTCACTCATTAGTTCATCCAGTTGTAGGGTGTTACCCAGTATCATCTTGACATTGATGCCCACTGTTCCATGCCATTTTCTATTATTATTCACTCATGTCTATCTGTGAATCTACACACTGAGAACACAGTGGTTCCATATGCAGCATCCAGAGAGCACTTCCCTCAGCCACCAGGGCTGCAGCCCACAAGATCCACATTGTTCACAGTGTGTCACATTTGATGGGATGCTGAGGGCCACTGTGCTGCACTTCAGCTACCCAGGCCAGGAGGTGGGGCAAGGCTGGTCAACACTGTCATTAAAATCTTCTTTATCCTTACTGATTTTCTGCCTACTTATTCTATCAATTATTGAGAGGAGCATATTGAAATCTCTAACTATAATTTTTATTGATTTATCTTTGCAGTTCTACAACTTTTTGCTTCGTATGTTTTGAAGCACTGTTATTGGGTGCATAAGTATTTAAGATTGTTACATTCTCTTGGCCTTTGTTATCTCTTATAGTATTCTGTGTTCTGGAATCTACTTTGTCTGAAATTAGTAAAGCCATTCCAGCTAACTTTTGATTAGTGTTGGCATGGTGTATCCTTTTCCATTCTTTAAATTTAGCCTATTGTATCTTTATATTTAAAGTGCATTTTTATAGTCTACATATAACTGAATTTTGCATTTTATCCACTCTATATCTGCCTTATATACATGATCTTTAATCGGGACATTTGGAACGTTTACATTTAATGTAATTATTGTATACTTAGGTTTAAGTCTGTCATCTTGTAATTTGTCCCATCTAGTCTTTGCTCCCTTTTTCCTCTCTTTTTGTCTTCTTTTGGTCTAATTTTGTATTTTTATGATGATATTTAATCTCAACTATAGGCTTATTAGATATAACTCTTTGAATCTGATTTATAACATTAGTGGTACATCTTTAACTGATCACAGACTGTCATTAGGTGATATTATAGCACTTTAGATATAAGAACCTTAAAATAGTATACTTTTCCCCTCTGGGTCTCCTCTCAAGCTCTTTGTGCTATTCTTGTCATACATTTTATTTTTACATATGTTATAAACCCGGCGCTATTTTTGTTTGTGAAGTCACTATCTTTTAAAAAGATATAAATATTAAGGATAAAATCTTATATATTTACCCACTTTGTTACCATTTCCAGTGCTCTTCAACTCTTTGTGTAGAGCCAAATTTCCATCTGATACCATTTTCCTTCTGCCTAAAGGGCTTTCTTTAACATTTCTCGTAATGTGGGTCTGCTGGTGATGCACCTTTCCACCTTTTCTGTGTAGGGCAAACTCTTTATTTCATATTTTATTTTGAATGAAAGATATTTACTGGGTATAAAATTCTAGGGTGGAGTTTATTTTCTTCTATTTCTTTAAAGATGTGATCCTACTATCTTTCTGCTTGTATTATTTCCAATAAGAAATCCCCTGTTATTCATATCTTTGTTTCTCTGTTCCTAACTTGACTTCCCCCAAATCTACTCCTGGCTGCTTTTAAGATTTTCTCTTTATCACTGGTTTTCCACTGGCTTTGGTATAGTTTTCTTTATGTTCTTGTGTTTGCTGAGCTTCTTGTATCTGTGAGTATATTGTTTTCATCAAATTTATCATTTTTCAGTCATTATTTCTTCGAATGTGTTTTTTTTTTCTGTCCTAGCGTCTCTCTCTCTTCATGTGGACTTCTATTACACATATATTAGGTCTCTGAAGTTGTCCCCAAACTCACTGATACGTATCTTGAAAAAACATCTCATTTATATTTGTTTCAAGTTCACTAATCTTTCATCTGCAATGCCTAACCTGGAGTTAATCCTTCTGGTGTATTTTTCATCTTGATTGATTGTAGTTTTTAATCTCTAGAAGTTTGATTTGGGGCATTTTTATATCTTTTATGTCTCTCCTTAACCTTTGGAACATACAGTTATGATAACTGTTCTAATGTTTTTGTCCATTAATTCTAACATGTTTTCATATGTATGTAGGTTTCAACTGATTGATTTATCTCCACCTTATGCATAATATATTACCAGTTTTGTGAGTGCTGGTAATTCTTTATTGGATTCCACACATTGTGAATTTCATCTTGGTGGGTGCCAAGTAATTCTGTATTCCTACAGATAGTCTTGTACTTTGTTCTGGGACTCAGTTAAGTTACTTTGATTCTTTTAGTTCTTGCTTTAAAGATTTGTTAAGCAGGACTGGAGCGGTGCCCTCTCTAGAACTAATTATTCTCCACAAGACTCTTTTGTGTACTCTCTTGCAAATCATAAGCTTTTCCAGTCTGGCTGGTGAGAACAGGCACTATTCCTAACTTTGTACAGGCATGGGCACTATTAATCCTCATCCTTTTCAGAGGTTCTTTTCTCAGCCTGGCCTTAAGGGGTTTCCTCACATGCCTGGTGTGATCAGCACTCAGCTGACTGCCTGACTGATCTGCTGATCAATGATGTCTCTCTCTGTGCACTCTGTCCTTTCTAGTACTCTGTCCTTCAGACTTTAGTCACTCTAGTCTGCATGGACTTAAAGACTCGGGAAGTCTTCTGGCTCTTCCTGCCCTGCGTTGTGACCTAGAAGGTCTGTCAAGGCAAACAACTGGGGCAGCCACAGGATTCGCTTGGCTTGTTTCCCATCTCCCAGGCATCGCTGGCCTTTGTTACAGTGATGAACAGTGTTTTCTATATTTTAGCCACACTTTGGTTATTTTAGGCAGGAGAGTAAATCCAGTCTCCGTTACTGCACCTTAGTGTAAAAAGAATGCTGCACTTAAAAAAAACTAATTCCATTAAATCAGCTTCATTTCCATCAATCTAATCCATGCCACATAATCTTCTTTAAAAGACTCACATCTCCCGAGTCCCCTCTTTGCTGGGAGGGGACTTTGCTGGGAGATGGGGCAAGTGTTTCCATGTCTGCAGGGACCAGTCAGGGCAGTAAGGAAAATGCTGTCCCATTGGAGTATGCAGATAGTGTGTCAGTCTCTTCAGAAAGCCTGTATTTCCCAGTGAGTTTAAATGAGCAGTTTTATCTGTCTCAGCCTCCTGAAGTCAGGGAGGAAGGTAGAGAAAGGCTGACACTCTGTTCTGACCTGAATTTTGGAGCACACCAGTGAGGCTTTGATTTGTCTGTTACAAACACAGAGGCCTCTGTTTCCCCCAGCTCGCGGTGTGCTTACTGCTAGTGAGGCCTTTTCTGCATCAGGCATTAGAACTTCTCCGTAGTGACGCCAGCACCAGAGATGCCCCTGATGTCACAGGTAGCCCCCAGGCCCATCCCCCCACCCTAGGCATGGAGGGATAGTCTCTCTCACCTGGATGTTTTCCATGGTATCTGGAGAGACAGGTTCCTGCAACTCCTCGACTATTTTTTGGGAACCTTGGCTGCTACTCCTGAGCTCAGCATCTTTGAGAGAAGGGATAGAATAATGACAGAAAATAGATGATAAATATCTGCAGAATCACAGGAAATTAGACAGCATGGTCACATGGTTTTAGACTACAATGGATCTAAAGAATTTTATTCTAGAGAGCAGTACCTTGAGGTGGGAAGAGCAGGTCTCCGCAGCCCCCCCGAATTTTGACACTGAGGAGGGATTCTGGGCTAGTTCCTCCCTCCCTCCACCTCTCTTTGCCCTCATTCACATGATGCTGCCCAGGGGAGTTGTGGAGATGGGAAGATGGGCAACGGACCTGGCCCAGGCCTGGGCCACAGGAGGCCCTCAACCTCTGCCAGTCCCTGGGCAATGGGTTCCTTTCATAGCAGCCCCTTTTGAAGTTTACAAACAATGGGTTATCAGCTTCCTCGATGGTGGGCTTTGAAATGATCTCCAGGCAGAAGGTGGAAAAGGCCACAGTGAGTTACATCAGTGTTACCTGAATGCCAAGGCTTAGCACAAGGGCTGCTTTCTCTTTGTGTGGAAATACTGTGAACTCATGCTCTGCCAGCGGTCACAATGCTCACTTTTCTATTTCGTAATAGAAATTATTTTCAAGAAGAACTGGAGCTGAGCATTGGTTTTTTAGTAAGTTCTGGAAAGTCAATAATCAGGGTAGCTTAGGCTTCATGTATTTAACCTTTACTAAAAATTTCCCATTTTGTCTACAAAGGTCTTTCACCCTCCTCCTCCCCTCCTTTTTTCTCTTTTGTAATCTCTCCATGCCTAAAGAGGGAGACCTGGGAGAAGACATCATTGGAGGATGTCCTCTCCTTTGTGCCTCACCCAGTGGTGTCCGCTCTGCTGGGAGTTCTCAGCCATGACATCTGCTCTCAGCCTTTGGGACTCAGCTCAGAGCAGCCCTAGGACACCCTGCTCATGGCTGCCCCTCCTCAGAAGCGCTGCCACAGATGTAGGAGGGACCCTGGGCCTGCTGAAGGCTCCAGAGACTGCTGCTGTCTCCGTGAGTGTGGGCATGCTGCTCTGCCTTCTTGTTTTCAAGCATCACATCAGACACTGCAGAGCCAGAGCAGCCAGGGTCCTCTGCTTCCTCCTCTCCCATGGTATTCTTCTAGTGCCAGTTACAACAATGGCCCCTGCAGATGCCTCTCAACCCCAAATATCTGGGTCACTAATGCATTATACTTACTTCTGGCAAAGATGTAGGTAAATGAATGAAATTCTAAGATAAAAATGAGATGCCTAGGGAGGTGTAAATGGCATAGTCGAAGAGGTACATAATGTTGAAGGCACAATGAGACAGAGAGTCACATTCTAGCATGAAAGGTAGCTCTTTTGGCATGAAGAGAAAATGTCCTGAGAAGAGAGGGTAAATCACTTAGAATCCCTCTTCTGAAGAAAGATGCTTTGAGGAAAATAAAAACTGTCATATCTCTAGCTCCCGATATGTCCTGCACCCTGCAGAATTTTCCAAATAAGACTATCTGGGGTTTCTAGCACTCTCATCATGACAAGAGCAGGATGCTTTTTAGGCTTATTGACCTTGTTGTTGAGATTAACACACATATGAAAAGTGTACAGCTCAGGGAATTTCTACATATGTCTGTTCCTGAACAACCAACGCCTATAAAAATATATAAAACTGGCTTGTCACAGTAGCTCACACCTGTAATCCCAGCACTTTGGGAGGCCAAGGGAGTTGGATCACCTGAGGTCAGGAGTTCAAGACCAGCCTGACCAACATGATGAAACTTCGTCTCTACTTAAAATACAAAAAACATAGCCGGGCATGGTGGTGCACACCTGTAATCCCAGCTACTCAGGAGAGGCAGGAGAATCACTTGAACCTGGGAGGCGGAGGTTGCAGTGAGTCAAGATTGTGCCACTGCACTATAGCCTAGATGACAGAGTGAGACTCCATCTCCAAAAACAAAAAAAAAAAAAGGAAAAAAAAAGAACATATAAAACATTTCCTTTTTTATGGCTGCATAGTATTCCATGGTGTATATGTGCCACATTTTCTTAATCCAGTCTATCATTGTTGGACATTTGGGTTGGTTCCAAGTCTTTGCTATTGTGAATAGTGCCGCAATAAGCATACGTGTGCATGTGTCTTTATAGCAGCATGATTATAGTCCTTTGGGTATATACCCAGTAATGGGATGGCTGGGTCAAATGGTATTTCTAGTTCTAGATCCCTGAGGAATTGCCACACTGACTTCCACAATGGTTGAACTAGTTTATAGTCCCATCAACAGTGTAAAAGTGTTCATATTTCTCCACATCCTCTCCAGCACCTGTTGTTTCCTGACTTTTTAATGATTGCCATAAAAAAGGATGAGTTCATGTCCTTTGTAGGGACATGGATGAAATTGGAAATCATCATTCTCAGTAAACTATCGCAAGGACAAAAAAACCAAACACCGCATGTTCTCACTCATAGGTGGGAAATGAACAATGAGAACACATGGACACAGGAAGGGGAACATCACACTCTGGGGACTGTTGTGGGGTGGGGGGAGGTGGGAGGGATAGCATTAGGAGATATACCTAATGCTAAATGACGAGTTAATGGGTGCAGCACACCAGCATGGCATATGTATACATATGTAACAAACCTGCACATTGTGCACATGTACCCTAAAACTTAAAGTATAATAATAATAAAATAAAAAATAAAAAATTTTTTAAAAAATGCAACAAGACAGCACTAAAAAAAAAAAAAAAAAAAAAAAATTTCCAGCACCCAGAGGTTCCCCTCATCTCCCCGTCCAGTCAATACTCCTCTCAAAGGTATCCACTCTTCCAACTTTTACTATCATTGATTACTTTTGATCAGCAGAAAACTTGTGAATTAAAAAAACCTCATTATCAGTAACTACCTATTTTAATGTATTACAAAGATATTTCTTTCCTATTTTAAGTTTGAAGAACTACAAAAAATGCAACTAAAAGTAGACATTCACTGTGCATGCTTCTTTTATAATTAGGAAAATATTACAAAAAAGTAAAAAGTCTTAAAGACTGGATTAGATTTTCAGTAAACTAATAATCCTGGTGACTTAACTGTCAATGGTCTAATGTTCATGAGACAGTTACCAACTACAAAGACTAATTGCTTGACTAAACTGTCGTGAGGTGTTGCAGTTTATTACTAAGCAGCTGCCACGTTCATCCCTAGAGGTGACTGCATTTCAGAACTGGGCAAGGTGAAGCTGGATCTCTCTCTCCAGTGTCTCTGGGGTCTTGCGAGGTTTAATTACTTAATGTTCATAATGTCCCCTGAGATCCTCAAATAAGAGGTGCTATCCTGGGGAAAGCTGAGGCAGTGGTATTGTGTAACACATGACTAAAAATACAACTGAAGCTGCGCGATTTAATTGTTATTTTATGGCTTATACCATCTAAGTAGTTTAGAAGTCATGAACTATTGGTTTACTCTAGTGGGAGTAAAGGCACAATTTGTCAGGACTTTCTCTCTAAGTGAGACTGCTTATCTGAAGCGGGTTTACCATGAAGCTAATAAAGCTTAGAGGTTCAGGCATCTTCCCAGCACAGGCTCCGCCAAGGCACAGCATCTAATGCCACATTCATCATTTTGCATTACTCTCCTTAAAAAGGGCTCTTGAATGGGTCAGACTTTAGGTCCCACAAGACTCTGGATCTACCCCGCTCTTTATCTAATAGGAATAATACATACGGAGTGCAAAATAATACATGTTGAGGGCTTCAGGAATAAATAATAATATAATTTTGTGCTTTTTACATTTATTTTAAATATCCATCAAAAATCTTAATTTTTGTGTGATGAAATAAATTGATTCTAAAAGAGCAAATATGGAGAAACAGTAAACAAAAATTTAAGAAAGATGAACAAAAAGAGAGCCAAATTCCCAACTGAATATTAAGACATTATAAAGACATAGTTATTAAAACAGAGAGTTACTGGGGCAAGAATAGAACAGAATGAAGGCCAGAAATAGACACAGACAGTTATGAAATGTTGATATATGATGAAGATGGCATTTCAAGTTAGGGGGAAAGAACAAACTGTACAATAAATAGTGCTAGAGGAAGTGAAGCAAAATGATCAAATAGAAGCTTCCACCAATCATCCTCCCCACAGGAACACAAAATTTAACAATTATGTACACAACAAAGCACCTTCATAAGAACCAAAAATCAGGGGAGTGATCACACTATCTGGTTTTAACTTCATATCACTGAAAGAGGCACTGAAGAGGGCAGGAAAGACAGTCTTGAATTGCCAACACTAACCTTTCCCCATTCCCCTGGCAGTAGCCACGTGGCGTGGAAAATCTGTACACTTGGGGAGAGAAAGTGCAGTGACTGTGGGACTTTGCAATGGAATGCAGTGCTGTCAACACCAGGCAGAACTCAGCTGGCACCCCAAGAGGGAGCATTTGCATCAGCCCTAGCCAGATGGGAATCACCCATCCTGCTGGTTGGAACCTGAGTTCTGGCAAGCCGTGCCACCACAGGCAAAAGTGCTCTGGGGTCCTAAATAAACTTGAAAGGCTGTCTAGGCCACGAGGACTGAGCTACCGGACTTAGGGGACATGCGAGCTAGTAAAACACCAGCTGGATCTGCTAAAAGAGTGCTTGCGTTACCCCTCCCCTAATCCCAGGCACCGCATCTCACAGCTCCAAAAGAGACTCCGACTCCTTCCTTCCACTTGAAAAGAGGAGAGGGGAGTGAAGAGGACTTTGTCTTGTAACTTGGATCCCAGCTCAGCCACAGTTGGATAGGGCACCTGGCAGAGTCACAAGGTCCCTATTCCAGGCCCTGGCTCCTGGATGACATTCCTAGACACACCCTGGACTGGAAGGGAAGCTGCTGCCTTGACATGAAGGACCCAGTCCTAGTAGGATTCATCATGTGGTGACTAAAGAGCCCCTGGGCCCTGAATAATCAGCAGCAGTAGCCAGGTAGTACTCGCCATGGGCCTTGGGTGAGACTAAGAGCTGTGCTGACTTCAGGTGTGACCGGCACATTCTCAGCTGTAGTGGCTACGAGAAGAGACCACTTCTGCTTCAGAAAAGCAGAGGAAAGAGTAAAGGGGACTTTGTCTTGAGCTTAGGTGTCAGCTTGGCCACAGTGGGGAAGAGCACCAAACAGGCTCTTAGGGTCCCCAGTTCCAGGCTTTGGCTCTTGAATGGCATCTCTGGACCTACTATAGGCCAGTGGAAGAGCCCACTGCCCTGAAGGATGAGTCCCAGGCCTGAAAGCATTCACCACAAGCTGACAGAAGAGCCCTTGGGCCTTTAGTGAACATCAGTAGTACCCTGGTAGTACTCCCTGTGGGCCTGTGGTGGTGGTGGACATGGGGAGAGACTCCTTTGCATGGGAAAAACGGAGGGAAGAGCGGAAAGTACTTTGCCTAGTGCTGTCACAGTCAGGCCAGCTGCAGTAGAACAGAGCACCAGATAGATTTCTAAGGTTTCCTACTCCTGGCTCTGGCTCCCAGACAGCATCTCTGGACCTCTGTAGGGCCAGGGGAACTTGTTGCCCTTAAGGGAAGGACATAGGCCTGGATGGCTTCATCACCTGCTGATTGCAGAGCCCTAGGGCCTTGAGAGAATGTAGGTAGTGGTTACAGTGGGCCTTGGGCAAGACCCATGGCTGTGCTGCCTTAAGGTTTGACCCTTTGCAGTCACAGTGGTGGTGGCCACAAGGGTGCTTTGTGTCACCCCTCCCCCAGCTTCAGGTGGCTCAACACAGAGAGAGAGACTTCATTTGTTTGACAGAAAGTAAAGGAAGAGAATAAGAGTCTCTGCCTGGTAATCCAGAGTATTCTTCTGGATCTTATCCAAGACCACCAAGGTGGCACCTCTACAAGTCTGCAAGAACCAAAATGTTACTGGGCTCTGTGTACCCACCTAATGCAGATATAGATGCAGTGACCAAAAACTTAGTTCACAACATCCAAGTTCCTTTGAATACCTGGAAAGCCTTCCCAAGAAGGAAAAGTACAAACAAGTCCAGATTGCAAAGACTACAATAAATATCTAACTCTTCAGTGCCCAGACACTGACAAACATCCACATGCATCAGATCCAACCAGAAAAACATGACTTCGCCAGACTAACTAAATAAGGCACCAGGGACCAATCCCAGAGAGACAGAGATGTAGGACCTTTCAGATGGAGAATTCAAAATAGCTGATTTGAGGAAAACTCAAAGAAATTCTAGATAGCATGGAGAAGGAATTCGAATCCTATCAGATAAACTTAACAAATAATTTGAAATAATTTTAAAAATAATGCAGAAATTCTGGAGTTGAAAAATGCAACTGACATAATGAAAAATGTATCAGTCTCTTAATAGCAGAATTGACTAAGCAAAAGAAAGAATTAGTGAGCTTGAAAACAGGCTATTTTAAAGTTAACAGTCAGAGGAGACAAAAGAAAAAAGAATAAAAAAGAATGAAGCATGCTTACAGGGTCTAGAAAATAGCCTCAAAGGGAAAAATCTAAGAGTTATTGCCCTTAAAGAAGAGGTGGAGAAAGAGATAGGGATACAAGTTTATTCAAGGGGATAGTAACAGAGAACGTCCCAAACCTAGAGAAAGATATCAATATTCAAGTCTAAGAAGTATAAACACCAAGTAGATTTAACCCAAAGAAGACTACCTCGAGGCATTTAATAATCAAACTCCCAAAGGTCAAGGGTAAAAAAAGGGACCCTAAAAGCAGCAAGAGAAAAAAAAACAAATAATACACAAAGCAGCTCCAATACGTCTGGCAGCAGACTTTTCAGTGGATACCTTGCAGGCCAGGAAAGAGTGGCATAACATATTTAAAGTGCTGAAGAAGAAAAACTCTTACCCTAGAATAGTATATCTGGCAAAAATATCCTTCAAACATGAAAGAGTAATAAAGACTTTCCTAGACAAACAAAAGGTATTTCATCAACACCAGACCAGTCCTACAAGAAATGTTAAAGGGAGTTCTTCAATCTGAGAGAAAAGGACATTAATAAGCAATAAGAAATCATCTGAAGATACAAAACTCATTGGTAACAGTAAATACACAGAAAAGCACAGACTATTATAACACTGTAATTATGGTATGTAAACTACTCATAAGTAGAAAGATGAAAAGATCAAAAATAATAACTATAATGTTTCAAGACATAGTACAGTAAGATATAAATAGAAACAACAAAAAAGCCAGGAGATAAAGTGTAGTTTTTTAGTTTTCTTTTTGCTTGTTAGTTGTTGTTTGTTTATGCAATCAGTGTTAAGTTGTCATCAGTTTAAAATAATGGGTTATATTATTTGCAAGCCTCATCCCTCAAATCTAAAAACATACAATGGATACACAAAAAAACAAAAAGCAAAAAATTAACATTGAGCACAGACAATTCTTTCAAGGAGTTCTTTCTGAAGAGTGAGTAAGTCCTTATTTCTTGACATGTTTTTGTGCCATGGTTGGCCTCATTTCCTTTTGTCTTCTTCATAATTGTGTTAGTTTCCTGTTGCTGCTGTAAAAAATTACCACTCACTTAGTGGCTTAAAACAACAGGAATTTATTCTCTCACAATTCTAGAGATAAGAAGTTGGAAATCAGTATCCCTGGGCTGAAATCAAGGTGTCAGCAGGCCTATGCTCACTCCAGAGGCTCTAGGGGAGAATCTGTTCCTTGTTTCTTCCAGTTTCTGTTGGCTTTGGCATTCCTTGGCTCGTTACATCATTCCAATCTGATTCCATAATCACATTGCCTTTTCCTTTTCTGTCTTTATAATCTCCCTCTGTCTCTCCCTTATCACAGGATGCCTGTGATAGCATTTAGGGCACCTTAGATAATCCAGGATAATCTCCTTATCTCAAGATCTTTAATCACAACTACAAAGACCTTTCAAAAAAAAAAAAGGTGACATTTACAGGTTCCAGAGATTATACAAGGGTGTCTTTAGTGAGGCCATTTTTCTGTCTACTTTAATAGGCACCTGTGGCTGACTGAATGCAGTGTATTTACCCAAATGCTTACTAGGAAAGTCAAACTCTCTACCTGTCCAAATCAGAAATGATTGTTACCATCTCAGCATCTTCATCAAATAATCCATTCACTCTTATTAATCTCACCTCACAAAATGGTTCCACCATCTACCCAGTTTCTGAAATCATCCTTGATAGTCCCCTTTTCCACAATCTCCTTTCCCCATATCCAATAAAATATCAAGTTCCATTAATTATCTAAAATACCTCCCAGATCTAATCCATAGTTATTGTTCTGGTTCAATCCCTCCTCATCTCCTTCCTGGACGCCATAGTGGCCTTTGTAAAGTCTTCCTGTGAACTAGAAACTGAGCATGTAATGCATTCTAATTAAATATTTCCAATGGTTCATCATCACATATGACCGATGTAATAGAATAGAATCCAAACTCTCTTGCAAGGCATGCAAGGTCTTGATTGCCTGGCCTCAGTTCTCCTGTCCTGCTTTGTCTCCTGCCACTCCCTCACCTGATGCTCCAGCAACACTGAACTTGTACTTTCCCCCAATAAGCCATGGTCTTGAATATCTCCTTATTCTACACTCTTTGATATCACTGCTAGGAAAATCTTTCTGCTTATTCACCTAGAAAGCTCCAATTTGCTTTGAAGTTTTACTCAAAAGCTTTGAGGTCTATGAAGTCTATGTGGAGGCTATGAAGTCTATGTGGATGCTCTCAAGATGACTTAGGTGTAATTCTGCTCTGGTCCCACCACACTCTTTTATCCTTCAAGACAATGATGTTATTGTAAAGTTGTTTGTCTTGCATGTTTATCTTGTCATTGGCTGGTACTGGACTCACTACATACTAGACTATGTTCCTAAAGTCTAGTATATGGGATGCACTCAGTATTTGTTTAATGACTGAATGAATGACAAGAGGTTGATAATAAAGTCCACAGTGATACAAAGAAAGATACTAGGCGGGTTGCATGAAAGGACAAAGGGCTTTTCTCAAAATTTTCAGTGAAACTCCTCCTACCTGGGATGTGGTGTAGACTCCAGGCCAACCAGTACAATAAACTTGAGCTTAATACGTTGACAATTCCCAAATCACCATCTTGAGATGAGACTTGGGATAAGGTCTTAGCCTCCTCCAGGAAAACAGATACCATTTCCCCATTCTCATTGTATCACAAATCAGGAGACCAATCTTAAGCTGAAGTTTGTGTCTCCTTAGGTCAGGAAAAAGAAGACCATGACAAAAGTCATCAGCATTCTTCTTTTTGTGTGTGAACATGGGTTGCAATGATGACTCTGATTCTTCATATTCCCTGTATTTAGGCCCTTTGCTTCATGTGGCCCCCTCTCACTCTGATTCTGGGTTTAATCATGTGACCTGCTTGGACAAGTGGCATGTGTTAGTTCAAAGCCTAAACCTTCTGAGGTCTTGCATGTTTCCATTTGCTCTCTTGTGCCTCTGCCCTCTCCATGAGAACCTGTACAAGATAGCCTCCTAAAGGATGAGAGGGACATGCAACAGAGCCAAAGCCTGACTAGATCACCTGTCAGCCAAAACACTCCAAGACATGTGAGTAGACTCAGCCAAGATCAGCAGAGCTGCCTAGTTGACACCAAATGCATGAACAATACATGCTTATTGTGGTATGCCACTGTAGTTTTGTAGCTGTTTGTTAGTAGCATTATTGTGGCAACGGATTATTGACGCAGTTGCAAGAAGTAATAGAATCAACAAAATCTTGAGGCTGATTCTTTGAAAATGCCAATTAAATTAACATATCACTGGTGATAGTAAGAAAGAATAAAACACCAATAAATAGTACCATAAATGAAACACAGGAATATAGAGGACATGTAGAAAGTAAGATGGTAGATAAAAACCCATAAGAACATTAAATGTAAATGGACTAAATACTCTAATTAAAAGACAATAATTATGACACTAGATTAAAAACAAAGCCTACCAAACTCAATGCTGTTTATGGGCAACACATCTAAAATATAAGAAAATAGAAAGGGTAAAAATAGAAGGACAGGAAAAAAATATGGCATGTAAGTAAAAATCAAAGAAAGCTGATGTGGCCATATTAAAATCAGAAAAAGTAGACTTCAAGACAAAAACATCACTAAAGAAGGAAACTTCATAACTGATCAAAATTTCAAGGAAGATAGAATAATTTAAAAATTATGCCTTAAATAACATAGACTTAAAATCTATAATGAAAAAAATGATAGACAGCCTATGAGTAGGAGTCAATAAATCCATAATCAAAGCAGGAGATTTTAACACACCTCTCATGAACTGCTCAAAAAAGTGATAATATTAATAAGGATAAAATATGACATTATTAGCAAATATGACTGATTTATACAGAACACTGAACCTAAAAATTATGGGATTCACACTATTTCCATGGACTCAAGGAATCCTTACAAAAATGGAACATATGCTTAACAAAGTTGGAAGAATTAAAAACACACAGAGTAGGTTCTCTGACTGCAATGCAATTAAACTAAAGCCTAGTAAAAAACAAAACAAAACAAAAAACGAGGATATCCTGGATGGATAAAGAAAATGTGGCATATATATATATACAACAGACTATTATTATTCAGCTTTTAAAAGGAAGGAAAATCTGCAATATATAACAATATGGATGAAATTTGAAGACACTATGTTATGTGAAATAAGCCAGGCACAGAACAAATAATACACAATTCCACTTTTATAAGGTATCTAAAATAGTGAAATTAATAGAAGCAGAGAGTAGAATGGTAGTTGCTAGGAGCCTGAGAAGAGGGGAAAATGGGGAGTTGCTATTAAATAGGTATAACCTTTCATTTACACAAGATAAGTTAGTTCTAGAGATCTGCTGTACAACATCTACCTATAGTTAACAATTTTGCATTGAACACTTAAAAATTTGTTGAAAGAGTACCACAATTAAAAATAAAAAAACAAGAACATTCCCATGTTAATAAATAAATAATATTTTAAATAACTCGTAAGTCAAAGAATATATAAAATGAAATTTCAAACATATTGATAATACATACATTAGTTACATACCAAAACTTGTGGGTTGCAGCTAAGACCAAGAATAGAAGGATATTTATAGTTTAAATACTTATATTAGTATGGAAGAAAAGCTGAAAAATCAATGAGTTAAGAGTCTACTTAAAATATATATATATTAAAAAAACATCAAATAAGCCCAGGAATACAAAAGGGGAACTAATAAAGGAAAGAAAAGAAATAAACTTGGTAACAAATTATAGAGAAGGATCAAACAAGCCAAAAGTTGATTTTTTGAAAAGACTAATAAAATTGATAAACCACCAGTAAGACTGTTTAAGAAGAGAAAATGAACACAAATACTCAATATCATGAAAACTGAAAAAGGCAACATTACTACTTTGAACATTAAAAGTTGAATAAGAGAAAAATGAAAATGGCTTCAACTTTATCCTAATGCGTTTGAAAATGTAAAGAAAATGTATATATTCATATAAAAATTATGAACTACCAAATATAACAAATAGGTATATAACAATTTAAATTATAAACTGCAATTAAAAACCTTCCCACAAAAACTTCAGGTTCCAAAATGGCAGTGTAGAAGCAAGCTGGCTTTACTCCCCCTCCCCATCCACAAAAAAACAAAAACAAATACACAGCACCCAGGTTATTACCAGCAATATCCCAGAACTCAAATATGAGAAAGAGACAGTTCCTAGAGCCACAGAGAAGTGTAAAAACTGAGTAGATGGTAAGAGAATCAGACTTCTGTATCTATGACACACTTTCCCCCAATCTGCCCAGTACAAGTGTATGGAAAATTTCCCTCAACTCACAGTTTCTACACAGCAAACTGATATTGAGGTGGACAACCAGCTTCCCTACTATCTTGGGTTCCCTGGCAGGAGATCGGTTCCTGCCTCAACTCATGGAAGGCATCAGGTATACTTGAAGAAAGAAATATCCCTAAACACAGCCAGAAACAAAGTGGGGAGGTGGGACTATCATCCTCAGCCATGGAAATTCTGCTCTGTAACTCAACCAAAGGAGACTCCAAATTAGCATGGCAGTTCAGCAGCACCACACTGTAGGAGATTTGTTCCACAGGTCCCCTGGGCATGAACCCCTAGCTAGCCTTCCCACACTACTGGGATATCCCTTTGGGACCTCCTCCATTCAGGATGGGTGGCACTCTGACTGTTTGCTAGAATTGATGCAAACCTGGGCTTAAAGTGCCATCTAGTGCCAAAAAGGAGGCAGCTACCTAGCAGGGGGAAAAAAAAGAAAGTCAGCAGGTAAATTACACAGAATCTATAAGCAAATATCCCAATAAAAAACAAGCCAGAGGGAGAATGGAACAAATAACTTCAACTGTCCTTCAATTGAACTGTCCTTCAATGCAAGACATAAACACACACCACAAGAAACATCAGGAAACATGGAACTATGGTCCTCTCAAATTGATAAAGCAAGGAGCCAGTGACTGACCCTAATAAGACGGCAATATGTGAGCTCTATGATCAAGAATTCAAAATAGCAGTTTTAAGGAAACTCAGTGATCTTTTTTTTTTATTTCTGAGACAGAGTCTCGCCCTGTCACCCAGGCTGAAGTACAATGGCATGATCTCAGCTCACTGCAACCTCTGCCTCCCAGGTTCAAGTGGTTCTCCTGCCTCAGCCTCCTGAGTAGCTGGGATTACAGGCACGTACCACCACACCCGGCTAATTTTTTGTATCTTTAGTAGAGACGGGGTTTCACCATGTTGGCCAGGCTGGTCTCAAACTCCTGACCTCATGATCTGCCCGCCTTGGCCTCCCAAAGTGTTGTGATTACAGGTGTAAGCCATCGCGCCCGGCTACTCAGTGATCTTTAAGATAACACAAAAGAGCAATTCATAAATTTATCAGATAAATTTAACAAAATAATTGAAATAACAATTTAAAAAATCAAGTGGCTATCTTGGAACTGACAAATACATTTGCTACTGAAAATGTAGCAAATAAACTGAAAAATTCACTGGAGGCCCTCAAGAGCAGAATGGATCAAGCAGAGGAAAGAATCAGTGAGCTCAAAGACAGGCTATTTGAAAATACATAATCAGAGGACAAAAAAGAGAAAAGAATGAAAACCAACAAAGACTGTCTATAAGATACAGAAAATTACCTGAAAAAAACAAATCTAAGAATTATTGGTGTTCAAGGAGTTGAGCAAGAATAGGGGTAGAAAGTTTATTAAAAAAAAAAAAAACTTTCCAAAATTTGAGAAAGAGATAAATATCCAGGTACAGGAAGATGAGAGAGCATCAAACAGATGTGACTCAAATAAGACTCCCCCAAGGCATATAATAAACTGATCAAAAGTCAAGAATAAAGAGAGGATCCTAAAAGCAGCAAGGGAAAAGAAGCAAGTACAGAGCTCCAATTCATCTGGCAACAGACTTCTTCACAGAAACCATACAGGGCAGGTGGGAGTGAGATGACATTTTCAAAATTGCTGAAATTAAAAAACTTCCTTTGGAGAATACTGTATCCAGCAAACTTGTCCTTTAAATATGAAGGAAAGATAAAAGGCTTTCCCAAATAAACAAAACTTGAGAGAATTCACGACAAACAGACCCATCTTACAAGAAATGTGAAAGGGAGTTCTTCAATCTGAAAGAAAATGAAACCAATGATTTGTACAAAAAGAAGACATCTGAAGGTATAAAACATACTGGTAAAATTAAGTACATGGACAAACCCAAAATATTCTAATACTGTCCTTGGGGAGTGCAATCTATTCATAACTCTAGTATGAAGTCCAAAAGAAAAATCTGTCAAAAACAATAATAGTTATAACTATTATAATAATAGTTATAACAATTATAATAATAGTTATAACAACTTGTTAAGAGATAGATAGTATAAAAATATGTAAATTGAGATAACCAAAAGTCAAAATCTTGGGGAATGGAGTTAAAGTATAGAGCTTTTTTCTAGATTTTTCTTTGATTTTATTTTTTGTGATCGAAGGTAAGCTGTCATCTTTTAAAAATAATGTGTTATTTCTGTAAGGTGTTTTTCATAGGCCTCATGGCAACTATAATGCAAAAACCTATCATAGATACACTAAAAATAAAAAGCAGAAAAGTAAGCAATAGTTTGGATCATCATGGCGGACGGGAGGCAGGACTAGATTGCAGCTTCAACTCGGATGGATAAAGCAGCGTGCAGAGGCTTGCATTGTGAATTTTAGCTCCAGATCAATGGCAAAAACAAACCAGCAATCTTGAAAGGACCCGCAGACCCTCTGAAGGAAGCAGACTGCCTCCTGCAGAACCCGGGAGACAGCCCAAATACTGTGAGTGCCCCAACTGTGAAAGTGGGAAAGGGAGATCCTCCTCTCCCAAATACATACCCCCACTGCAGAAACTGGAGGTCTGTTTGTGGGAGAAATTTCTGACCTTACCTGGAGCTGAGTCAATTTAGAGAGCTGAGCGAAATATAGGGGTAGAGGAAGCAGTGGGAAAGGCCCTGGGAACTCGCTGGGTTCCCAGGCAGGCCATTCCTGCCTGGCACCACAGGGATCCATCAGAAGGGCGGCCAGAGGAGTGGGGAAAAACACCACGGGGAGAAGGAAATCTTCAGCTGAAGTTTGTAACAATTTGAACTGGTGGTGAGAAGCCTCCTGGCCAGAACTCGGGCAGAGGGCATGAATCCAGTGTGCAGTCTCCACAGAAGGGGGAAGAACCAAGCCCTTTTCTTTCTCAGCTGGGAGGTGGGCAGCCTGGGGCAAGTTCTCAAGCCTAGCTCGCCCATCACATGGAAACAGACTACTGGGTGGGGCACAGTGGGAATGAGACTGGCCCTTTGGTTTGCATGGGAGCTGGGTGAGGCCTGTGACTGCCAGCTTTCCCCAACTTCCCTGACAACCTGCATGACTCACCAGAGGCAGCCATAATCCTCCTAGGTACACAACTCCACTTACCTGGGAACCTCACCCCCATCTCCCACAGCAGCTGCAGCAAGACCCACCCAAGGACAGTCTGAGCTCAGACATGCCTAGCCATGCCCCCTACCTGATGGTCCTTCCCTACCCACCCTGGTAGCTGAAGACAAAGAGCATATAATTTGGGGAGTTCTAGGGCCCCATCCACCACCTGGCAGGAGGCCAACCAACACAAAAATAGAGCATTAAACCACCAAAGCTAAAAACTCTCACAGAGTCCATTTCAACCCCCACCCCGACCCCACCACCAACCGTCACCTCCACCGGAACAGGCACTGGTATCCACGGCTGAGAGACCCACAGATGGTTCACATCATAGGACTCTATCCAGACAACCCCCCGTACCAGCCCAGAGCTGGGTAGACTTGCTGGGTGGCTAGACCCAGAAGAGAGAGAACAATCACTGTAGTTCAGCTCACAGGAAGCCACATCCATAGGAAAAGGGGGAGAGTACTATATCAAAGGAACACCCTGTGGGACAAGAGAATCTGAACAACAGCCTTCAGCCCTAGACTTTCCCTCTGACAGAGCCTACCCAAATAAGAAGGAACCAGAAAACCAACTCTGGTAATATGACAAAACAAGGCTCTTTAACAACCCCAAAAAATCACACTAGTTCACCAGCAATGGATCCAAACCAAGAAGAAATCCCTGATTTACCTGAAACAGATTTCAGGAGGTTAGTTATTAAGCTTATCAGGGAGGCACCAGAGAAAGGCGAAGCCCAATGCAAGGAAATCCAAAAAACGATACAAGAAGTGAAGGGAGAAATATTCAAGGAAATAGATAACATAAAGAAAAAACAATAAAACATTCAGGAAAAATTGGACACACTTATAGAAATGCAAAATGCTCTGGTAAGTCTCAGCAACATAATTGAACAAGCAGAAGAAAGAAATTCAGAGTTCAAAGACAACATCTTCGAATTAACCCAATCCAACAAAAACAAAGAAAAAAGAATAATAAAATATGAACAAAGCCTCCAAGAAGTCTGGGATTATGTTAAACGACCAAACCTAAGAATAATCAGTATTCCTGAGGAAGAAGAGAAATCTAAAAGTTTGGAAAACATATTTGGGGGAAAAATCGAGGAAAACTTCCCCAGCCTTGCTAGAGACCTGGACATCCAAATACAAGAAGCACAAAGAACACCTGAGAAATTCAACACAAAAAGATCATTGCCTAGGCAAACTGTCATCAGGTTATCTAGAGTTAAGATGAAGGAAAGAATCTTAAGAGCTGTGAGACAAAAGTACCAGATAGCCTATAAAGGAAAACCTATCAGACTAACAGCAGATTTCTCAGCAGAAACCCTATAAGCTAGAAGGGATTGGGGCCCTATCTTCAGCCTCCTCAAACAAAACAATTATCAGCCAAGGATTTCGTATCCAGAGAAACTAAGCATCAGATATGAAGGAAAGATACAGTCTTTTTCAGACAAACGAATGCTGAGAGAATTCGCCACTACTAAGCCTCCACTATAAGATCTGCTAAAAGGAGATCTAAATCTTAAAACAAATACTGGAAACACATCAAAACAGAACCTCTTTAAAGTATAAATCACACAGGACCTATACAAAAATACATGTTAAAAAGCAAAAACAAAAACAAGGAACACAGACAACAAATAACATTACGAATGTAATGGTACCTCACATCTCAACACTAACATTAAATGTAAATGGCCTAAATGTTCCGCTTAAAACATATAGAACTGGAGAATTGATAAGAACTCACCAACCACCTGCTACCTTCAGGAGACTCACACATAAGGACCCACATAAACCTAAAGTAAAGGGGTGGGAAAAGGCATTTCATGCAAATGGACACCAAAAGCAAGCAGGGGTAGCTACTCTTATATCAGACAAAACAAACTTTAAAGCAACAGCAGTTAAAAGAGACAAAGAGGGACATTATATAATGGTAAAAGGCCTTGTCCAGCAGGAAGATATCACAATCCTAAACATATATGCACTTAACACTGGAGGTCCCAAATTTACTAATTACTAATAGACCTAAGCAATGAGATAGA
This sequence comes from Homo sapiens, assembly GCF_000001405.40. Taxonomy (NCBI): domain Eukaryota; kingdom Metazoa; phylum Chordata; class Mammalia; order Primates; family Hominidae; genus Homo; species Homo sapiens. Next base: position 20,125,845 of record NC_000020.11, on the reverse strand, counting down.
CAGCAACACAATAATAGTGGGGGACTTCAGTTCTCCACTGACAGCACTGGACAGGTCATCAAGACAAAAAGTCAACAAAGAAGCAATGGATTTAACCTATATCTTAGAACAAATGGACTTAACAGATACATACAGAACATTTCATCCAACAACTACAGAATGCACATTCTATTCAATAGCACATGGACCTTTCTCCAAGATAGACCATGATAGGCCATAAAACAAGCTTCAATAAATTTAAGAAAATTAATATTACATCAAGCAGCCTCTCAGACCACAGTGGAATAAAACTGTAAATCAATTCCAAAAGGAACCTTCAAAACCATGCAAGTATGTGGAAATTAAATAAACTGCTCCTGAATGAGCATTGCATCAAAAATGAAATCAAGACGGAAATTTAAAAATTCTTTGAACTGAAAGACAATAATGATACAACCTATCAAAACCTCTGAGATACAGCAAAGGTGGTGCTAAGAGGAAGTTCATAGCCTTAAACACCTACATCAAAAAGACTGACAGAGCACAAACTGACATTCTAAGGTCACATCTCAAGGAACTAGAGAAAGAAGAACAAACCAAACCCAAACCCAGCAGAAGAAAGGAAATAACCAAGAACAGAGCAGAACTAAATGAAATTGAAACAAAAAAAATACAAAAGATAAATGAAACAATAAGATGGTTCTTTGAAAAGATAAATAAAATTGACAGACCATTAGCAAGATTAACCAAGAAAAGAAGAGAGAATATTCAAATAATCTCATTAAGAAATGAAACAGGAGATATTACAGCTGACACCAATGAAATACAAAAGATCATTCAAGGCTACTATGAACACCTTTATACACACAAACTAGAAAACCTAGAAGAGATAGATAAATTCCTGGAAAGATAAAACCCTCCTAGCTTAAATCAGGAAGAATTAGATACCCTAAATAGACCAATAATAAGCAGTGAGGTTGAAATGGTAATTTAAAAATTACCAACAAAAAAAAGTCCAGGACCAGACAGATTCACAGCAGAATTCTTCCAGACGTTCAAAGAAGAATTGGTACCAATCTTTCTGACACTATTCCACAAGATAGAGAAAGAAGGAACCCTCCCTAATTCATTCTATGGATGAACCAGGAAAGGACATAACCAAAAAAGAAAACTACAGACTGATATCCTTGATGAACATAGATGCCAAAATCCTTAACAAAAAACTAGCTAACTAAATCCAACAACATATGAAAAAGATAATCCACCATGATCCAGTGGGTTTCATACCAGGGATGCAGGGATGGCTTATCATATGCAAGTCAATAAATGTGATACACCACATAAACAGAATTAAAAACAAAAATCAAACAATCATCTCAATAGATGCAGAAAAAGCATTTGAAGAAATCCAGCATCGCTTTATGATTAAAACTGTCAGCAAAATCAGCATACAAGGAACATACCTCAATGTAATAAAAGCTATCTATGACAAACCCACAGCCAACATGATATTGAATGGGGAAAAGTTGAAAGCATTCCCTCTGAGAATTGGAACAAGACAAGGATGCCCACTCTCACCACTCCTCTTCAACATAGCACTGGAAGTCCTAACCAGAGCAATCAGACAAGAGAAAGAAATAAAGGGCATCCAAATCAGTAAAGAGGAAGTCAAACTGTCACTGTTTACCAATGAGATGATTGTTTACCTCGAAAACCCTAAAGACTCTTCCAAAAAGCTCCTAGAACTGATAAAAGAATTCAGCAAACCTTCTGGATACAAGATTAATGTACAAAATCAGTAGCTCTCCTATACACCAACAGCAACTAAGTGGAGAATCAAATTAAGAACTCAACCCCTTTTATAATAGCATGCAAAAAAAAAAAAAAAAAAAAAACTTAGGAATATACATAACCAAGAAGGCAAAAGGCCTCTACAAGGAAACTACAAAACACTGCTGAAAGAAATCACAGATGAAACAAACAAATGGAAACACATCCCATGCTCATGGATGGGTAGAATCAATATTTGTGAAAATGACCATGCTGCCAAAAGCAATCTACAGATTCAATGCAATCCCCATCAAAATACCACCATCATTCTTCACAGAATTAGAAAATACAATTCTAAAATTCATATGGAACCAAAAAAGAGCCCGCATAGCCAAAGCAAGACTAAGCAAAAAGAACAAGTCTGGAGGCATCACACCACCAAAACAGCATGAGAGTCACCAAAACAGCATGATACTGGTATAAAAATCGGCACATAGACCAATGGAACAGAATAGAGAACCCAGAAATAAACCCAAATACAGCCAACTGATCTTTGACAAAACAAAAACATAAAGTGGGGAAAGGACACCCTTATCAACAAATGGTGCTGGGATAATTGCCTGGCCACATGTAGGAGAATGAAACTGGATCCTCATCTCTCACCTTGGAAAAACCAACTCTTAAATCTAAGACCTGAAACCATAAAAATTCTAGAAGATAACACTGGAAAAACCCTTCTAGACATTGGCTTAGGCAAGGATTTCATCACCAAAAACCCAAAAACAAATGCAATAAAAACAAAGATAAATAGTTGGGACTTAATTAAACTAAAGAGCTTTTGCATGGCAAAAGGAACGGTTAGCAGAATAAACAGACAACCTACAGAGAGGGAGAAAGTCTTTACAATCTGTACATCTGACAAAGGACTAATATCCAGAATCTACAACGAACTCAAACAAATCAGTAAGAAAAAAAACAAACAATCCCATCAAAAAGTGAGCTAAGGACATGAATAGATAATTCTCAAAAGAAGATATACAATTGGCCAACAAACATGAAAAAATGCTCAACATCACTAATGATCAGGGAAATGCAAATCAAAACCACAATGCAACACCACCTTACTCCTGCAAGAATGGCCATAATAAAAAAATATATTAAAAAAAACAGTAGATGTTGGCGTGGATGTGGTGATCAGGGAACACTTCTACACTGCTGGTGGGAATGTAAACTAGTACAACCTCTATGGAAAACGGTGTGGACATTTCTTGAAGAACTAAAAGTAGAACTACCATTTGATCCAGCAATCCCACTACTGGGGATCTACCCAGAGGAAAATAGTCATTATACAAAAAAGACACTTGGACATACATGTTTATAGCAGCACAATTCGCAATTGCAAAATCATGGAACCAACCCAAATTGCCATCAATCAACGAGTGGAAAAAGAAACTGTGATATATATGATGGAATACTACTCAGCCATAAAGAGGAATGAATTAACAGCATTTGCAGCTACCTGGATGAGATTAGAGACTATTATTCTAAGTGAAGTAACTCAGGAATGGAAACCAGATATCATATGTTTTCACTGATATGTGGGAGCTAAGCTATGAGAACACAAAGGCATAAGAATGACACAAGCCAGGCATGATAGCTTATGCCTATAATCCCAGCACTTTGGGAGGCTGAGGCGGGAAGATCACGAGGTCAGCAGTTCAAGACCAGCCTGGCCAATATGGTGAAACCCCATCTCTGCTAAAAAATACAAAAATTAGCTGGGTGTGGTGGTGCACCCCTGTAGTCCCAGCTGCTCGGGAGAGGCTGAGGCAGGAGAATCACTTGAACCAGGGAGGCAGAGGTTGCAGTGAGCCAAGATTGTGCCACTGCGCTCCAGCCTGGGTGACAGAGTGAGACTCTGTCTCAACAACAACAACAACAACAACAAAAAAGAATGACACAATGGACTTTGGGGACTTGGGGGGAAAGCTGGGAGGGGGATGAGGGATAAAAGACTACAAATAGAGTACAATGTATACTGCCTGGGTGATGGGTGCAACAAAATCTCACAAATCACCACTAAAGAACTTACTCATGTAGCCAAATACCACCTGTACCCGAATAACTTACGGAAAAATTTTTAAAAAGTTAAAAAAAAAAAAGAAGCAATGAATTCAAACATGCTACCAGAGAAAACCACTTAGCCATAAAGGACAACAGTAAGAAAGGAAGAAAGGAAAAGAGGAGTCACAAAACCACCAGAAAATAAGCAACAAAATGGCAGTTGAAAGCCTGTACTTATCAGCTAGGTGCAGTGGCTTGTACCTATAATCCCAGCATTTTGGAAGGCTGAAGCAGGCAGATCACTTGAGGCCAGAAGTTCAAGACCAGCATGGCCAACATGGCGAAACACCATCTCAACTAAAATACAAAAATTAGCTGGGCACAGGGGCATGTGCCTGTAATTCCAGTTACTCGGGAGGCCGAGGCACGAGAATCACTTGAACCTGGCAGGTAGAGGTTGTGGTGTGCCAAGATTGAACCACTGCACTCCAGCCTGAGTGACAGAGCAAGACCCTGTCTCCAAAAATATATTTAAAAATTTTAAAAACTAAAAATAAAATCCTTACTTATCATTAATAACAATGAATTTAAATGAAGTCAATTCTCTAATTAAAAGACATAGAGTGTTGAGCACGGCAGCTCACACCTATAATCCCAGCACTTTGGGAGGCTGACTCAGGCAAATTGCTTGTGTTCAGGAGCTCAAGACCAGCCTGGACAATGTGGCAAAACCCCATCTCTACTAAAAATAAAAAAAAAATTAGCCAGTTGCAGTGGCATGTGCCTGTAGTCCCAGCTACTCAGGAGGTTGAGGTGGGAGGATTGCTTGAGCCTGAAAGGTCGAGCTACACTGAGCCGAGATGGTGCCACCGCACTCCAGCCTGGGTGACAGAGGGAGACCCTGTCTCAAAAAAAAAAAAAAAAAAAAAGTAAAAATAAAAGACATAGAGCAAATGAATAGATAAAGAAGCAAGACCCAACTATATGCTGCCTACAAGAAACCTATTTCACCTATTAAGACACACATAAACTGAAAATGGAAGTGGAAAAATATATTCCATGCAACTGAAAACCAAAAAAGAGCAGTAGTAGCTATATTAATATCAGATGAAATTGACTACAAAGACTTCTAAAAAAGACAAAGAAGATCACTATATACTGATAAAGGAGTCAATCCATCAACAGGATATAACAATTATAAATATCTATGAACTCAACACTAGAGTATTCGAGTATACAAAGCAAATATTAATAAATGTGAAGGGAGAGATAGACTGCAACGTAATAGTAGTAAGGGCTTCAACACTCCACTCTCAGTAGTAGACAGATTATCTAGACAGAAAATCAACAAAGACACAGCAGATTTAAACTACACACAAGACCAAACAGACCTAACTGACATTTACAGAACATTTCAACCAGCTGCTGCAGAATACACATTGTTTTCAACAGCACATGAAACATTCTCCAGAATAGATTCTCCAGAATCTTAGGCCACAAAAGAAGTCTCAACAAATTCAAAAAAGTAGAAATCATATCAAGTATTTCTTCTGACCACAATGGAATAAAACTAGAAATCAATAAAAAGAGAAACCTCAAAAAATACACAAAACATAGAAATTAAACAATCATTTTCAATGAGTCAATGAAGAAATTCAGATGGAAATTTAAAAATTTCTTGAAACAAATGAAAATGGAAATACAACATACCAAAATCCATGAGATACAGCAAAAGCAGTACTAACAGGAAAGTTCATAGCAATAAAAGCCCACATCAGAAAAGTAGGAAGTCTTCAAATAAACAACTTAACGATGTACCTCAAGAAACTAGAAAAGCAAGAGCAAACAAAACACAAAATTAGTGGAAGAAATGAAATAAAGATGGGAGCAAAAATCTCATTACTGAGTATTTAACCAAAGGAATATAAATTGTTCTATCATAAAGACACATGCACAGTATATTCACTGAAGCACTATTCATAAAAGCAAAGACATAAACTCAACCTAAATGCCCATCAATGGTAGACTGGATAAAGACAATGTGATACATATACACCATGGAATACTATGCAGCCTTTGCAGGAACATGGAGCTGGATGCCGTTATCCTTACCAAACAAACATAGGAACAGAAAACCAAATACTCCATGTTCTCACTCATAAGTGGGAGCTAAATGATGAGAACACATGGACACATACAGGGGAACAACAGACAGTGGGGCCTACTGGATGGTGGAGGGTAAAAGGAGGGAAGGGATCAGGAAAAATAACTCATGGGTACTGGCTTAATACCTGGGTGATGAAATAAGCTGTCCAACAAACCCCCATGACATGAGTTTACCTATGTAACAAACCTACACATGTACCCCTGAACTTAAAAGTTTAAAAAAAAATCATTTCTTCATAGCCAAAACAAAGATCAGAGTAGAAATAAATGAAATTGAGACCAAAAAATATAGAAGATAGACAAAATGAAAAATTGGTTTTTGAAAGGTACAAAAATAGACAAACCTTTAGCTAGACTAAGAAAAAGAGAGAAAAGACTCAAATAAAATCAGAAACATACAAGGAAATATAACAACTAAGACCACAAAAATACAAAGGATCATTCGAGAATATTATGAACAATTACACACCAACAAATTGGAAAACCTAGAGAAAATTGATAAATTCCTTGACTATACAACCTACCAAGATTGAACAACAAAGAAATAGAAAACTTCAACAAACCAATAATGAATAACAAAATCGAAGCCATAATAAAAAGTCTACGATCAAGGAAAAGCCCAGGACCTGATGGTTTCACTATGAATTCTACCAAACATTTAAAGAACGAATACTAATTTTACTGTAACTCTTCAAAAAAATTGAAGAGGAGGGAATACTTCTAAACTCATTGTATGAGGACAGCATTACTGTAATATCAAAACCAGATAAGAACAGAACAAAAAAAGAAAACTACAGGCCAATACCACTGAAGAACATAGACACAAAAATTTCAACAAAACACTAGCAAACCAAATTCCATAACACATTAAAGATATCATTCACCAGTCGGGCACAATGTTACATACCTACAGTATCAGCTACTGGGAGACTGAGCCAGGGGGATCACTTGAGCTCAAGAGTTCAAGACCAACCTGGGAAACATTGCAAAATTCTGTCTCAAAAAAAAAAAAATTATTCCCCAAGATCAAATGGGATTCATTTCAGGGATGCAAGGATGGTTCAATGTACACAAATCAATAAATGTGATACATCCCATTAACAAAACCAAGAACAAAAACTATGTGATCATTTCAAGAGATGCTGAAAAAGCATGCAATAAAAGTCAGCATCCCTTTATGATAAAAACCTTCAACAAAATGAGTACAGAAGGAACATACCTCAAAACACTGGGCACAGTGGTTCACACCTGTAATCCCAGCACTTTGGGAAGCCAAGGCGGGCAGATCACCTGAGGTCAGGAGTTCGAGACCAACCTGGCCAACATGGTGAAACCCCATCTCTACTAAAAATACAAAAATTAGCCAGGAGTGGTGGCAGGCACCTGTAATCCCAGCTACTTGGGAGGCTGAAGCAGGAGAACTGCTTGAACCTGGGAGGTGGAGGTGTTAGTGAACCGAGACCATGCCATTGCACTCCAGTCTGGGCAACAAGGGTGAAACCCTGTTTAAAAAAAAAAAAAAGAAGAAGAAAGACAGAGAGAGAGACAGAAAGAAAGAAAAGAAAGAAAGAAAGAAAGAAAGAAAGAAAGAAAGAAAGAAAGAAAGAAAGAAACATACCTCAAAATAATGAAGACCATATATGACAAACTCACAGCTAACATCATACTAAATGAAAAAAAGTTGCAAGACTTTCCTCTAAGATCTAGAACAAGACAAGGATGCACACTTTCATCACTTTTATTCAACATAATACTAGGAATTCTGGACAGAAGAATTAGGCAAGAGAAAGAAAGGGCATCCAAATTGAAAAGGAAGATGTCAAATTTGTTTTGTTCACAGACAACGTGATCTTATACTTAGAAAAACCTAAAGACCCCACCAAAAATCTGTCAGAACTAATAAATAAATTCAGTAAAGTTGCAGGATACAAAACTAAAATACAAAAATCAGTAGTATTTTATCACCAACAGTAAACAATCTGAAAAAGAGATCAAGAAAGCAATCCCATTTACAATAGCTATAAAAAATATAAAATACCTAGGAATCAATTTCACCAAAGAAATGAAAGACCTATATTAGGAAAACTAAAACACACTGATAAAAAAAATTGAAGAGGACACATACATACAAAAATGGAAAGATAATCCATGGTCATGCATTAGAAGAATATCGTTAAAACGACAGTAATACCCAAAGCAATTTATAGATTCAAAGAAAGGCTTATCAAAATACTAATGACATTCTTCATAGAAACAGAAAAAACAATGCTAAAATTTATACAAAACCACAAAGACCCTGAATACCCAAAGCAATCATAAGCAAAAAGAACAAAGCTAGAGGCATCACACTACCTGACTTTAAAATGTACTACAAAGAGATAGTAACCAAATTAGCATGGTACTGGTGTAAAAAGCAGACACATAGACCAATGGAACAGAATAGAGAACTCAGACATAAATCCATGCATTTATAGCCTATTTATTTATTTATTTATTTATTTTTAACTTATTAATTTATTTTTTGAGATGGAGTCTCACTCTGTTGCCCAGGCTGGAGTGCAGTGGCACGATCTCAACTCACTGCAATATCCACCCTCTGGTTTCAAGTGATTGTCCTGCCTCAGCCTCCCAAGTAGCTGGTACTACAGGCGTGTGCCACTATACCTGGCTAATTTTGTATTTTTAGTAGAACCATGTTCACCAGGCTGGTCTCGAACTCCTGAACTCAAGTGATCCACCCACCTCGGCCTCCAAAAGTGCTGGAATTACAGGTGTGAGCCACTGTGCCTGGCTACAGCCAATTTATTTTTGACGAAGGCATCAATAACAAAGCGGGGAAAGGAAAGTCTCATCAATAAATGGTGCTGGGAAAACTGGATACAAAAGTCCTCAGCAAAATACTAGCAAGCCAAATTCAACAACACATTAAAAATATTATTCACCATCTGGGCACAGTGTTACATACCTATATATCACTTCAGCCCAGGAGTATAACAAATGTGAAAAAAAACAAGTATCAAATGTTCTCACTCACATGTGGAAACTAAAAAAGTGGATCTCATGAAGATAGAGAATAGACTGCTGGTTACTAGAGGTCAGGAAGAGTAGAGGGGTGGGGGAGAGAAAGAGAAGTTGATTGATGGGTACAAACATACAGTTTAATAGAAGAAGTATGACCCAGTGTTTGATAGATCAGTAGGGTGACTACAGTTTACAACCATGTAGAAGAATGAAACTAGATCCCTACCTCTCACCATACACAAAAATAAAATAAAAATGGATGAAAATCTTAAATCTAAGACCTGACACAATGAAACTACTAGAAGAAAACATTGGGGAAACACTCCAGGACATTGGTCTGGACAAGGATTTTTTGTGTAAGACCTCAAAAGCACAGGCAACCAAAGCAAAAATAGACAAAAGCGGCATTACGTCGAGTTAAAAAGTTTCTGCGCGGCAAAGGAGACAATCAACAAAGTGAAAAGACAATCCACAGGATGGGAGAAATTATTTGCTAACTACCCATCTGACAAGGGTTTAATAACCAGAATATAAGGAGCTCAAATAATTCAATAGCAAAAAAACTCATTAAAAATGGACAAAAGATCTGAATAGACATTTCTCAAAAGAAGACATATGAATGGACAACAGGTACATGAAAAAATGCTCAACATCACTAATCATCACAGAGATGCAAATCAAAACCACAATGAGATAACATCTCATCCCAGTTAAAATGGTGCTTATCAAAAAAGTATCAGATGATGGTGAGAATGTAGAGAAGGGGAACCCAAACATATACATATGTTTGTAGGAATGTAAATTAGTACAATCACTATGGAAAACTATATGGAGTTTCCTCAAAAAACTAAAAAACTACAACTACCATATGATCCAGCAATCTCAGTGCTAGGTATATATTCAAAAGAAATCAAATCAGTACACTGAAGAGCTATCTGCACTTCCATGTTTATTGCAGCACTATTCGCAATAGCCAAAATATGGAATCAAGCTAAGTCTCCATCAATGGATGAATGGATAAAGCAAATGTGGTATATATACACAATCGAATATTGTTCAGCCATTAAAAAGTAAAATCCTGTCATTTGCAACAACATGGATAGAATTGGATGCCCCCATTATGCTAAGTGAAATAAGCTAAGCATAGAAAGACAAATATCACATATTCTCACTCATATATGGGAGCTAAAAAAATGGATCTATGAAGGTGGAGAGTAGATTGGTGGTTACCAGAGACCAGGAAGAACAGTGGAGTGGGGTGGGGAGGAGAGGAAAATTTGTAATGGGTAGAAATATATAATTTAATAGAAGAAATAAGACCTAGTGTTTGATAGCTCAATAGGGTGCCTATAGTTTATAATAATCTATTATATATTTCAAAATAGCTAGAAGAGAATAATTTCAATGTTTCCAGCACAAAGAAGAGACAAATATTTAAGGTGATGAATATCCCAATTACACTGATTTGATCTTTAGAAATTATATGAATATATTATCACATGTACTTTAAAAGTATTTCTCTTCTATTCTTTGGAAGTAATAAACTAACTTTTAAAATAAACTCAGTAATAAACTTGAAATGAATAGAAGAGAGAATACTCTTCAACTTGTTTTATGAGACCAGCATGACTTCATTTCCAAAGTCTGGCAAGGAAGGACATTTCAAGAAGTGAAAGTTGCAGGCCAATCTCACTCATGAATATAGGTGCAAAAATCCTAAACAAAACATTAGCAAACAAAATCCAGCACTGCATATAAAGAATTGTATATCAAGACTAAATTGAAATTAACAAAATAAATACATAAAAAAGTCAATCAATGTAATTCATCTCTTCAACAGAATAGAGAAGAATCATATGATCATTTCAGGAAACACAGAAAAAAACATTTTATAAAATTCAATTCAATTAAAACAAACAAACCATTCCTAATAAAACTCTTAGCAAATCAGAAATACAGACACTTCCTTGACCTGATAATGAGTATTCACAAAGTTATCCTTAATGATGAAATACTGAAAACTTTTCAGTTAATTCTGAGATCAACAAAAGGATGCCTGTTAATGCCATTTCTATTTAAGGTATTAGCCAGTAGATAAACAAATTTAAATTATAAAGTTTGGAAAGTAAAGAACAAAAATTTACATTATATAGAGAAATACAAAATAATATACAGATAAATCTTAGAATTAGTAAGTCTGTGTAGAAAGGTTGCCAGACATAAGGTCAATCAATATACAAAAGCCCATTCCACTACAACATAACAGCCATGAACAATTTGAAAAATGATTTTTAAAAGATATTTACAATAGTGTAAAAATATCAAATATCTAGGAATAAATCTAACAACAGATATGCGAAGCCTCTCTATAAAAATCTATAAAACATTATAGGAGGAAACTAAGACACTTAATTATCCTTCAATAAATAAATTGTGGGCTATACCACATTCAGAGATTAGGAGGCTTAATATATTATAAAAATGTCAGTTTCCCCACTAGCAAACTGATCTATAAATTTGAAGCAATCCCATTCAAGATCCCCAAAATGATTATTTTAAAATTTAATTTAATTTTAGAGACAGGGCCTCACTCTGCTGCTCAGGCTGGAGTGCAGTGGTGTGATCTTGGCTCACTGCAACCTCCACCTCCCAGGGTTAGGTGATCCTCCCACCTCAGCCTCCTGAGTAGCTGGGACCACAGGCACATGTCACCATGCCTGGCTAATTTTTTGCACTTTTTGTAGAGACAGGATTTCACCATGTTGCCCAGGGTGGTCTCGAACTCCTCAGCTCTAGCAATCTGCCTGCCTTGGCCTCCCAGAGTGCTGGAATTACAGGCATGAGCCATGGCACCCAGGCTTTTTTTTTTTTTTTTTTTTGAGCTCTCATGTTTATGTGGAAAAATTAGACAACTAAGAATAAAAAGGATAATCTTAAAAAACAAGGTGGAAAGACTTACTCTGCCAGTATCAAGATTTATCATAAGTCTATGGTAATTAAGACAGTGTATTGTTGACAAATAGAACAGAGAATCCCAAAACAAATGTACACATATATGGACATTTAATCTGTGACACAGGTGGTACTGCAATAGGGGGAAAGAATGACCTTTTCAATAAATGGTACTTAGTCAATTGGATATTCATATTTTTAAAAATAAAATGTGATTTCTATATCACACCATATGTGAAAATCGATTACGTGTGGGTGGTAGATCTAAATGTAAAAGGCAAAACAACATGGGGCAGGAGACTTGAGTAAAGTTGTCTAAGATCCATTCTTCATTGTCCCATGTCAAAATTATCTATGCCCAAGACTTGGAGGACATTGCTTAGAACACTTCACTATAAAATTTATTGTGGTACAGTGTGGGCCTAGGAATGGAAATATTATATCAGATTAAATGTAATTCAAAGCTAAACATATTAGATGGAGCGAAGATACTTATTTTGTATTGATAAAAGATATCCACAAGTATAACCTCATTGTCATGAAACTGCAGGTACCAAAGAGCACAGTATCTAAATACATAAAGCAAAAGTTTTACAAATGCAGTGATAAGTGGAGAAGATAAGACCACAGTGAACTGGGAAATTTTACTTTCTCAGAATAAGATAGACCATGTCAACAATAATGAAGTTATGGAAGATTTGAATATCATAGTAAGCTATATTTAACCACACTATACATAAGTTTGAGCCTTATAAACAGAGAATGCACATTCTCTTTGAAAGTCCATGGACATCTATGAAACTGATCCTATATGAGGCTGTAATAAAAGATCTTAATTTAAAACAAAAGTAGAAATTACACAGGTCATATTTTCTAACCACAATGCAAAAATTTAGAAATTAAAGACAAGAGGACAAGCACACACAATAATCACACCCAATGAAAATCAAACCACTTCCCTAAAAAATTTCAGATAAAAGAGAAGATTAAAATCACAACCACAGATATTCATAAAATAACTACAATGAGAATAAGGATGTTAATATCAATATCACTTGGTAATAGCTTATGGGATAAAGACAAGGCAATACTGAGTGGAAGATGCATGGCTTTAAATGTGAAGTGATGAACAGCCCACCAAAATGGTTGAAGATTATTTTAAACTGAAAACATTCGAACAATCAGCAGCCACAGAAAGAAACATTAAACTTAAGCAGAGCCTCCTGAAAATACGGCTTCCATTGACTCCCTCACCCCCACAAAGGAGTTTACAGTGTGGGAGAAGAATGATGACCCTTTTATCCTGGAAGTTCAAGTTCAGCTGCTATAAATTCCTGACTTTCCAGAAAGCCCCTGGAAAATCTCAAAGGATTTGTTATTTTACCTTATTAAAAAAAGAGATATCAAAAATTAATTAGGATAGGGAGTGATGGAAAAATGAAAAAATAAAATAAAATAAAATTAGATATGTTGAAATGCATGAAAAGCTTTGTCAAGTAAGAAGAGATAACTTTCCCAAGGTTATATTTTTACACATATTTTATGTAAATGTTATGAATATAAATATTTCAGGAAGTATATGAAGTTCCTAGAAATTTGTCAATGCCCACGCTATGATGTGTGCTGGTATTGCTTTGCCTGATATTAGACAACAATAGCATAATATTATAGTCATAATTCCAGTTTTTATTTTAGAAGTTCTATGCCACAGAAACAACCAAATTTCCTCATCAATTTTGCTATTTTTATAGTGAACTCTCATCAGATCATTAATCACACCATTTAAGTCTCTTCTTATCCTGGATAGTTATTGTTTTATTCTGAAGTTTTTCTAGAAGCTATAATAAGCTATAATACTTGTTTTCAACAAAAGGAAACCCATGGAAAAGGAATATGCCAAGTACTCTAGGGTGCAGGCTTCTGAAGGTATTGCATAAATAACTTTGAGATTATATCATATATTCCAAAACTCTAGTGGAGAAGCTGGGGGATTCATAAAAAACTACTAACCTTAGATCAAGCAGAACAAGAATTAATTACATTGGACTAAATGAACTGATGAATAAAATTATGGCTTTGTTTAAAATTTTATCCTGGATTTAAGGAACCCGTCTCTCTTTTCTTTGTGAGCTATCTATAACTTACAACAATTTCGTACATTATGCTTTTGTAAACAGAAATGAAATATCTTATTTTTCTCCCTGCCTGATCCCTCCAGAGTTCCAAAACTCTTATTGAGTGTCCCCATTTTCATGGCAATATAGTTGTTTGCATAGTTTCAATGAGAATCTGTCCTCCTTGTAACAAGACATAACTGGTTATGACCAAGGATTAGATTGGAATGTCATTTGAGAATGATAGCTTTAAGGAAATAAGGTTGACTTTATGGAGCCTATGCTTACAAAGCCCTCTTGGAAAAAGCATACTGGTGCCTGCATTCAGGGTTCCCAGCCTTGGAGGTGAGTTAGTAAGGCTACTTCCCGGCAGGCCCAGGAATCTTAGGATATTTGGGGGACCTTGAGAAAAGGAATCCATCCAAATCTATAGGCATTATAGGTGAAATCCGGTAGCAAGTTCTTGGCCTGACTTCCTAGTCCCAGCAGGCTTTTAAAAGTCCAGTTTGAGATTCCTAATCTCAGTTCAGCAAAGCAAACTTTAATGTGGTCTGTTACCATTTTTGAAGTATTCATATAAATAATCAAACCAAATTTAATGAAACTAGATTTATTTTACAAACAAAATAATATTAATTTTATTATCTTTGATCAAAATTGGGGTGATTATAAATTCTATATTTCAATGGAAAACTATAATCTGCTCATGTGAGTTATCAGATTCTAATCCTGCTCATTACCTCTGAGCCATTTCTACCTTTTTGTAAACTGAATCCTGCTATCTTACACATGTTGCCAGTAATTAATGTTTCCAAATTTTCTCCCATCCTCCTGACTTGGCATCACTGAAAAATCTGACTGCCCGGAACCTTGAGACTCTAGGTTGTCTTGTTTTGCCCCTTTCCCTCCAAGGTCTTAAGAAGCCCTGTGAGCTGAAGCTAGATGGCTTGACATGAACTTCAAAATAGTCATCATCACAATAGATCAAGTGTGAGTATGGGCCTCGTGCTTGGAGCTGCTGCTGTGTGGGCCACTCAGGAAGCTCACTATAACACTCATCTTCTATGCTGCGCTCCAGGAAACAGCCATGACCGTGGTTATAGTGATTTGCTATCTACGCCATCACCAACAACCTTCAAACTGCAAACTGGGAAATCTGTCAGTTTGCCAATACCATGCTCACTCCCCTGTCTAGAAACGCTTCAAACCCAATGTTTAAAAGTCTTTTTGACTGGATGCCCTTTGGTCTCAGAAACTAGGTTGATAGTTGCTCCAGATATTAATCTTGATTTTTATTTTTGTTTCCGCATTCTAATCTATGTTGCTGTCTCCTTTTGCAGATTTCTTTCCTTGGAACTTGTAGCCCTAGTCTTCTCTCCATAGCAATCAACCCTGCTCCTTGTTTGTGAATGTTTTTGAGAAGTTTCAAATGGGGGAAATGAAGAGCTTAACAACCACCAAACCAGTTTATACATAGTATTATATATTATTTTATATATAATACTTTTTTCTCCTGTTAATCTGTTGGTCAATTTGCAGGCCCCCACCCGCTTGGACCTAAGTTGGTAGAGCAAAACTTTGTCTTCCCAAGAAGTGCTTTTATTTTAAAACAAGGAAGCCTAGGCAAGTGGATCACCTGAGGTTAGGAGTTCGAGACCAGCCTGGCCAACACGGTGAAACCCCGTCTCTACTAAAAATACCAAAAATTAGCCAGGCATGGTAGTGCATGCCTGCGATCCCAGCTACTAGGGAGGCTGAGACAGGAGAATCACTTGAACCTGGGAGGCGGAGGTTGCAGTGAGCCGAGATTGCGCCATTGCACTCCAGCCTGGGCAACAAGAGCGAGACTCCGTCTCAAAAAAAAAAAAAAGAATGAATCAGGCAATTAGACAATTAGAATAGGAAGAACAAAACACATTCAAAGAAATCAGGAGAAAGAGGTCACAAAATGAAAGCAGATATTAATAAATTCAAAAAGAAACCCATAGACTTGATAGATTAAGAGCTAGCTCTTTGAAAAGACCAAACAGGAAAACCTAATTAAAAGACAAGACAGAGTAAAAAGCAAAGATGACTTTAAGAAGAAAGAGATATAATCACAGCTACAGGAGAGAATAAATTGTAGGTAAAGCTTTAGACCGAGCACTTGGGAGCTGGGTCCATGTCGTTTGTGAGCACCCTAGTTAGAGGGGGAAGGGAGTCTGCCTTGCTGAAGTCTATTCTGGCTACAAAGTAAGTCAGGAGCCATCTGCCTGAAATGGACCACGCACAGCAATTACCAGAGGCTGACACCAGCTCAAGCATAGAAGGACTGACGTATGGAACAACCAAGAGCATCATTTACCCAAGGAGAGCTCAACAGCCTCAAGTACCTGTGGTGGGATGCTGGGTGGTGCAAAGATGAAACCCCAAGCAAGGAGTAAAACAGGATCAGTTGATTCCAAGTGAAAATCAGGGTAGAGCTAATACAGAGTTCAGGAAGAAAGACATTATTACAGACTTCTGCACAGACTGGGATAAGTGAAAATAATTTTAATTTTTACCTAAAAGAGTCACTTTAGTCAAGTGATCAAAGTGACACACATCATCATCAGTAACAGGGCAGACTGAAAATGTATCACACCAGATAGGATGGACTGAGAGCCCAGAGTTCCACATGCATGACATGACTCTCACCATGAATAAACATCAAACAAACAAAAATAAATTACGTTCTACAAAATTATGGGCTAGGTCATAAAAAGCAGGGAAAGACTGAGCAACTGTTCCACATTGAAAGACAATATGACAAGTAACTGCAGTTTGTTATCCTGGACTGGATTCTTTTGCCACAAAGGACATCCTCAGGACAAATGAAGAAATGTAACTGGTGTCTTTGGATTGTGGATTAAATTGTAGTAACATATTCATGTTAATTTCCTGATATCAGTGGATGTTTGAGGTTGCAAAGGAGAATGTCCCTCTTTATAGCAAATACATACAAAAGTATTCCAAGGTGCTCCAACAACTTCATGTTGGCAACTTACGTTGACATGGATTAGGAAGAAAAAAACGTATCTGCAACTTTTCTGTAGATTTAATAGTTTCCACATTTTAAAAAATATAGGGAGGAAATAAAAGCGTTGCTCTATTGCCACTTCTATGACTCCAGCCCTTTTGTCATTTTAGTTCATTGCCTCCCTGTACTCTTCATAACATGTGTTTTATTAGGTGACTTTACTGATACTGCAATTCATTTTGCATTGATTTTTTTTTCACCTGAGATTATATCTGAACCATTTCCCCTCACTATTTGTAACCTTCTTCTTAAAGGCTTCTGCATATCTATCTAAGGGATATTCACAAGTTTAGCCATCTCCTTGTGGGAGACTTGGGGTTTTTACATTTGTTTATTTGGATATTTTTTGTTTGTTCATTTTTAGTATTATGATTAAGCTTAGTGAAATTCTTGCATATGGATCTTTTTATAGTATTAGTATTATTTCCTCAAATTTGCTATAGTTGAAGTCAAAGAACATGAACATCTAATGCATTCTGTGATAACCATGACTAAATTGTACTCCAGAATGTTATATCAGTCAACCTTCAGAGCATCAGAAAATCTGAGTGCTCATTACAGTGCTTCTTGCCCAGAGCTAAGTGTTTTAATTACAATGCATATTTACAATTTAGTAGGCAAAATGGGGGAGAAAAAGATCTTGGGTTTTAATGTGCATTTCAGTTTTAGGGAAGTTTAATATTTTCCCACATTTATTATGAATAATATTTTTATATAACTACTTTTGTGATTTGCTTTTCTCTTTATTTTAGAATATTTCATGTAGACTTAAATCAGTACTCAATAAAAAAGACAGGCTGGGTGTGGTTGCTCATCCCTGCAATTCCAGCACTTTGGGAGGCCAAGGCAGGAAGATTGCTTAAAGCCAGGAATTCAAGACCAGCCTGGCAACAAAACGAAACCCTGTCTCCAAAAAAATGTAAAAATTAGCAAGGTATGGTGGCACATACCTATAGTCCAGCTACTCAGGAAGCTGAAGTAGGAGGATCACTTGAGCCCAGAAAGAGTTCAAGGCTGCAGTGAGCCATACTTGCACCACTGTACCCCAGCCTGGGCAACAAAATGAGACCTTGTCTCTGAAAAAAAGAAAAAAAATTTTTTTAAGTATTTTTCCACAGAGTTGGATACATATATACACACATATATTATACATATACTCCTATATATATCTCCACTACTGTATGCTAATTTTTCATCTTCATATACTAAATTAAGCTTTTCTAGAATAATCTTATTTCCAAAATTGATTCAAAGGAAATAGAAAACCTGAATCTATTAACTACCTTGAGGAGAAATGGAAAAGTTGTCAAAGATGCTTCCAAGATGCCTCTACCAGGTCTTCTACTGAGTGAGCCTATCTGTCCATGGAGGTCTGAAAATACCGAAAGTCCAAGCAAAATGCAGTGGAGAGAAGGCCTCTGACCCAGTAGTCAAATAACTGGCTTCATGTTGAGCTTCAGAATTAATAAATTTTCCTTTGTTTGTTGCCATGTGCAAAAACTGTGCTTTTCAGTAATTGCTTCCTTAGCCGCTTGGCTCAGATTAAATTTGGTCCATGATATTTTAAGAATCATCAAAAACTCTTTGTAAACAGAACTCACAGTGACCTCAGTGCAATGGGTGTGACCCACTGATGGCCAATTTAATCAAGGGGGAATTCAAAGTATTCAGTGCAAGCAATTGATTTTCAAGAGAAAAGTCAGCAGGATCAAACACCCAGTTGGGATGAAAATCCCTTGAATCACCCCTATCACCGTGTTTTCTAGCAACTAACTGCTGACTCCATATAGCGTAATAGCCAAATTACTATAATTATCCTGCAACACAAGTGGCATATCAACATTATTTTAAACACGGATTTTTTTTGCATAATCTTTCGTTATTATCTTTCAGCCTTCCATCTGAAAATGGAAAACAACAACAAACTGTGATCTACCCCAACAGGAAAAAGGTCACCAGAGAGAACAAATAAAAGGGTTATTTACATGTGAATGTACTGAGATGTGTTTTACAGTCAAATACACTCTTGAACTTCATTAAATGCCTTCTCCCCTGCTTCATAAATATGGGCAAAAGAGACATCCCCTACTGAGAAAATAATCCCAGCACATAATGATCATAACGAATATAAATAAAGCCACTTTTCTTCTGAAGACCTCCAGGCCCCATACAAAAATGCGCTTGTATTTCCACCATTGTGAAATGAATCTGACTGTTGGAGAACAAGGCTGTGATATCACAGGTCGCTCCCAGGGCTGAAGAGGAAAGGAGGAATGCAGATCTCAGTCATGTTGCTGTCTGCAAAATAATAGATTCTTAAGTGGTTGCCATCCTTTGATGCTATGGTTGTTTTTGAAGACATTAGAAAAGGCTTAGAAATCAGCTTTGGAATTAAGATGGAGAATTGACAACAGGTTTTATGAAATAACCAAAAGGCTCACCAAGATGGCTTTGGGGTCATGTCCCTGACAACAAGTTCTGGGCTTCAGGTCTGGATTACAGTCTTCCTGGTATCCTACCAGTCCAGGGGCTCTGCCCTGAAAGCCCTGAAAGAGTCTAAACTCTCAACATTGGAGATGCCTGGGTATAGGTCTGGTATGATTTATTTGTTTTATCAACATCTCTTGCAAAGCTTTAGAATTAACAAAGTAGATTCTAGAAAATCAAATTTTATATATATATATATATATATATATATATATATATATATATATATATATAGGCAAGAGTAGCTAAAGCTTTCGAAGATGTTGCCTTCATATGCTAAAGACATTCAGTGGCTTAAAAAAATGAAATTCATCATGCCTGTAATCCCAGCACTTTGGGAGGCTGAGGTGGGCGGATCACAAGGTCAGGAGATCGAGACCATCCTGGCTAACACAGTGAAACCCCATCTCTACTAAAAAAAAAAAACTCAAAAAAATTAGCCGGGCATGGTGGCAGGCGCCTGTAGTCCCAGCTACTCGGGAGGCTGAGGCAGGAGAATGGTGTGAACCTGGGAGGCGGAGCTTTCAGTGAGCCGAGATTGCACCACTGCACTCCAGCCTGGGCGACAGAGCGAGACTCCGTCTCAAAACAATAAAAATAAATAAATAAATAATTCAAATTTTAACAAGTATAAGTTAGTATATTAGGGCTATGTATGAACATTAAGTAAAGCCGACTTTGCTGCCACTGTCTGCATTACTATCAGAGCCTTGAGTACAGGCATCAAAGAACCACACCACAGGATCTAGGAGAAGGAAAGAAAAGGGGAGGAGGGAGAACTGAGATGCTCAAAGCCCAGATCACAATGAGAAAATGGCAAATTTGGTGGCAACTGCTACCAAGTGAGTAATATTGCTGTGTGGCCACTGAGTGAGAGCTATAATGGGCCCCAGAACTCACCCTAGCCTCCTGGGAAGTGGAGGTGACCAGGGCACAGAAGCCTGTAAGAACAGAACTCCTCTCCTAGGGGGATCTGAAACCCATGCCAGGAACAATGAGAAGCCCATTGGTGGGACACAGGGACTTTCCTCGGGCACAGAAGGTTGGGTGGGTGCGGCTTACATCCAGCCAGGGGAAGAACATGGGCTTATGAGAGGATGTAGACATCCAAACATTCCCCACCCTGAACACATACCGCCCCCCTATTAGGGACCAGAGGAAGGCAGTACGATACCATAGAGCCTCTCCTGGGCTGTAGTGTGCCTCCTCCCACCCCCAAAACTCGTACACTGAAGGCTTAACCCCTAGTACCTCAGAATGGGACTGTATTTGCAGACAGTCTTTAAAGAGGTAACTGAGTTAAAGTTACAGGTGAGCCCTAATGCATTGTGACTGGTGTCCTTATAAAAAGAAAAACCAAAAACACTGATGGGCACAGAGGGAAGACCCTGTGAAGACATGGGGAGAAGATGGCCGTCTACAAGTCAAGGAGGGAGGCCTCAAAAGAAACTGACCCCTCCAACATCTTGACTTCTGGCCTCACAAATGTGAGAAAATCAATTTCTGTTTTTTAAGCCACCCAGTCTGTGGCACTTTGTTATGGCAGCCCTGGCAGACTAAGTCCTGGTGGGTCACTGGTTAACTACAGAATGAACTGACTGTTAAAAACAAGGTTCCGAGATCTGTAATGTAAAGACGGCAGCAGAAATCCTAACACACCCTGTAGATACGTGCTCCAGTCCTGTTTGGAATCCATGTTAAAAGAAGAATAAAGTAAAATAGAAGGGAATCCAGGAATATAAAATGGAACCTTAGGAAGAGAGGCGAAAAGACCTGGGATGATTTAATACACAATCAATAAGACTTAATGTAGCCATTGTTTTTTAGCTCCGACACAGGGAGAGTGGGTCTAGGTGTTTCCTAACCCAAGAGATGAGGGAATCTGAGATAAGAAGCAAATGTGAGTTCAATAAAACAAGACATAAAATTGAAATAAGACATATAAAGACATTTCCTGACAGCAGGAGTAATTTAAAAAAAAAAAGTTAAAGGCAATATTGCGATGTTTTACGTGGAGACATTACAAAAATTCTATTTTGAAGGGTCTTTTATATGTATAGTGAGCAACAGTTTTCCTGGATGACTTGGTGACAAGGGGCTACACTAGTTATTCTTTTGAATGCCCATAACTCTATTATGTAAAGTGAAATCTCTCCCTGCCAAGGAGCACATCAAGTTCTGCAGAGACTTTGTAAGGTGGGCCCTGGGTATATAATGAGATTTACAAATCGGAACCTTGCAGGAGTCTTTTAAAACAGAGATTCATGCTGCCCAGATCTCAACGGCCTACATGAGGAACAAAAGTTTTGTTTTTTGCTTGTTTTTATTTTTTTATTTTAACTATTAAATGCGGCAATGCCAGTACAGCTGTGGAAATGCAGGTTGTGCCCTATTTTGCCTTATGCATTATCAAGAAAATTGCCAGCTCAAGCTTGATTCCAAAATATTTATTGGGTGATGCAGCTAACAAAAGACACAGCTTGATTTGCAAACACCAGGCAGGGCCAGTGCTGCGGCCAACTGGAAAAAATATTGTTTTGAACCATTTTATTGTCACTGAAGGAAAATATTCATAAAGTGCCAGGCATATGGAACATCTTGATATGTATTCAATAAGTTTTTTTTAGCATTTAAGGGGATCTTACATCTCATTCAGTATAATCTTCCACACAAGCAGAAAGCCCTTTGTAAGTGTGTATGACTGTTTCTTTATGAATTCTTCCAATATTCTGGGAACTTGCTACTTCCACACTAGGTCCTCCATTAAATAAAAAAAATACACTTCTACTAGTTTTTCCTTATGCTTGGACAAAATTTACATCCTTAGAACCTATTCCCATTGGTCCCAGTTTACTCCCAATGTTTAGTACATAAAAACCAAAGTTTACAAGTATGTAATAGGTTATACATGCAAAATGGGTAGCTATGAAAACATACACAAATTATTCAGGTAAAACACAAATTGATTGTACACAGTTAAACATTTTAGATTCAGGGAAACTTTTTTTTTAAGGTAGAACCTAGCATTTTATTTAGATCTTCATTAAACTGTTGGAATTGAGAACATACTTAATAAACCTCCAAAAATAGATCCTGAAAAGCACTTTCTGCTCAGGACAAGCAGTCATGGAATAAGCACATAAACAAGCTGGCTTCTCTGCACCACACCAGCCAAGTCAGCTTTCTCCATGGTCAGCCACACCAGCTCTGCCCTCCTTTCTGTTAACACCAGCCAGACCTCCAGGGAAACTTTTGATAAGGCTGAGATGATGAAGGACAGTAAGCTAATTACCATGTGTATTAGGAGCTAGAAAAAGGAGGGCCTCTGGATTCATTTAAGAATGCTGAGTCTTGACATTATTCTGCTTGAAAGGGTTGAGGTTGGTGTGAAATTGCAAGTTTTCACAGCTGGCAGGGAAAGATCAGATCTTGAGAGAAGAGCTTGAGAATAAGCAGTTTATTTTGGAGGTGGTTCCAGGATGTACCAGTAGGAGAGTGAGGAAAGAGACAGGGAAGGAAAGGCAACTAATAAAATGTGTGTTGTCCATGGACACATAAAGGGGAACAACACACACTGGGGCCTTTTGAGGGTGGAGGGTGGGAGGAGGGAGAGGATCAGGAAAAGTAACTAATGGGTACTAGGCTTAATACCTGGGTGATGCCATAATCTGTACAACAAACCCACATGACACAAGTTTACCTATGTAACAAACCTTCTCATGTACCCCTGAACTTAAAAGTTAAAAAACAACAACACATGTGTTATCACCCAGATTACTATTATGGACAACTGAAACTTAATCCCTTGGGGGAACTCTGGGAAACCAGCCAATACTCACATATCTGAGTCCTCCCACCTGAGGAGTGAGGGAGCTGGGGTATTTATACTCTCACCCAAGTCAGCTGTGTATAAATAAATGCTTTCACAGCTGGTAGGAAAAGACCTAACTAGTAGTGTCTTGGTCTCACTTGCCTCAGAGGCAAATCTTAAGTTAAAGATTCAGTTACAACCATTTATTTGGGAGTCAATGGAGAAAGCACCAGCAGGGAAGCTGGGATGTGACATAGGGAAACAGAGTCTATTCCTTGAGTGATAATTTCCTGACACTTCCAGCCTGACCCCTGCATAGGTCAGAGTGGCCTTTCACAGTTTTAAAAAAGCCTGCAGACACAGAGGTGAAGATTCCAGCAGATAGGAGTTGTTTGGAGCACACACATACAAAATAAAAGTCGGAGGGATATGGGCAGGTCACTGATCACCCACTGAAGTGATCATTCATTAAATAACTTATTAAAGTGAAAAAACTGGCCGGGCATGGTGGCTTACTCCTGTAATCCCAGCACTTTGGGAAGCCGAGGTGGGCGGATCACCTGAGGCCCGGAGTTCAAGACCAGCCTGGCCAACATGATGAACTCTGTCTCTACTAAAAATACAAAAAAAATTAGCTGGGTGTGGTGGCACACACATGTAATCTCAGCTACTGGGGAGGCTGAGGCAGGAGACTCACCTGAACCCGGGAGGCAGAGGTTGCAATGAGCTGAGATTGCACCACTGTACTCCAACCTGGGTGACAGAGGGGGGCCTTCATCTCAAAAAAATAACAATAATAAAAATAAAAAATAAAAATAAAGTG
Organism: Homo sapiens; assembly: GCF_000001405.40. Lineage (NCBI taxonomy): Eukaryota > Metazoa > Chordata > Mammalia > Primates > Hominidae > Homo > Homo sapiens. The sequence continues at coordinate 20,101,600 of NC_000020.11, read as the reverse complement.
AAAAAACTCATCATGTATCTTGTGTAGCAGACCCGTCATTGGAGTTTTCTGTCAAAACCATCCAAGATAAGACGTTACCTTGCCAAGACTATCATCATGCACGAAAGCAGAGAGAGGCTGGGTCTGCCTTCTGGGTCAGCCACTGATGAGCTTTAAAAGCTTGGATGAGCTTTAGCAAGTAAAAAATGGAGAGAACCTCACCTTCCCTAGCTCTCCTACACCAAGTTATAGGATAACATGAGATTACATATATAAAAATCCTTTGAAATGGAAAAAAGCACTAAACAAAATACAAGATATGAGACACAGTGATGTGTGCTCATTTGAAACAAGAATTTTAGTTCATATTTTAGAGAAATTATATTTCCTTTAACTTGAGACTTTCATCAGGAAAGGAAAGTAACAGATCACAGTACATTTAGAATTTTCTCTGGAGCCTCATTCTTTGTTGTTGTTGATAGGAAGATGGCAGCAAAATGTGCTGATGACTCTTTTCTTAGATATAATGAGCTGTTGATGATTTGTGACTCAATCCCTGGAAGTTATGTGGAAGTCTACAATGCCAGCTCCCTGGTGAAAATTTCATAAGGAATCATCTTTGTGTCAATGAACATAAAGCTGACTTTCAAAAATAAACAAGGCACAGAAGATAAGTTTTCCTATTTCTTTTACTTACCATCTGTCCTAGATTGACTTATTTTAGGTAAAAATATTGAAGGAGGTAAACAGAAGTAGGACTTCTTTTAGTGCCCATATCTCTGTGGGCTCTTGCTAGAGATATACTAGCTTACGTATGTTTTTAAGTCCAGGGTTCAGTTTAAATTTTGAATTTCACTGCCCCATAAAGTTTCTAAGGAATTTTCCATTCATTCTATGTAGGAAACAGTAGCATCAGAGCCACTCAGAAACACACTGGAAGGGACTACATCTTTTCAACTTGTTCTTCATTACAACAGCCACAGGGGAAAAAATATTTTTAAATGTTCAGGACTTACTTTGTGTTTGGCGCTGAGCTAAGCACAACACATAGATTCTAACATTTAATTGTCCCCTCAATTCTTTGGGTTAGATACTATTTTTATCTCCATTTTACATGTGAGAATATTCAGCCATAAAAAGGCTATTTAGGGCCAAGTGCAGTGGCTCACACCTGTAATCCCAGCACTTTGGGAGGCTGAGGCAGGTAAATCACCTGAGGTCAGGAGTTCAAGACCAGCCTGGCCAACATGGTGAAACCCTGTGTCTACTAAAAATACAAAAATTAGCTGGGCGTGGTGGCGCACACCTGTAATCCCAGCTACTCCAGAGGCTGAGACAGGAGAATCACTTGAACCCTGGAGGCAGAGGTTGCAGTGAGCCAAGATCACACCATTGCACTCCAGCCTGGGTGACAAGAGTTAAATTCCATCTCAAAAAAAAAAAAAGGCCATTTAGTGCTGCTTTCAAAGAAGAATTTAAGCATTGGAAAATAACAATGACAACTTATGGTTCCAGACTGTCTCACACTGATAAGTTCCCTCAGAACTCTCCTATGGTAGAGTTCTTCTCTGGGAAGCATGGCAAGCAAGGCTTCACTATTAAACAATAAGGACCCCAAATCTCTTTTGGGGAGGGTGTTGTTATCATCAGCACAAAAGGGAAACTCCTCTATCTGTGGCTTTGCAGGTTCTCTGTGATAAGTGTGTATGTTCAGATGAGGTCTAGACACTGTGCACGGGGTTTATGCATTCAGGGGATAAGCTTAGCCAAGTCACTGCCTTCTGTTGTCTAGATTGGCAAGTCCTTTGCCACCAGCCAAGTGCTCCTTTCCCCATTTCTGAACAATCTTGGTGTAATCTTTCAGACAGGAGAAAGCATAGCAATTTGAAATACCCTGATTTTACCCTAGGAAGATTCAAGTTGGTGGAAGGCCGACACAAAGAAAAAATAATTGCTAACGGTGATGATCAACATTTATTGAGTGTTGACTGTGCAAAGCACTCTACATGGCTTATCTCAGTGAAACTTCACAACCCCCCCCCCGTGTGGGAGGTATTACTATTATGCCCATTTTACAAATGAAGAAATCCAGCTTTGGAGAAGTGAATTGATGTACCCATGGTAACTTGCCTGTCTGCATCTGTCTTCTGTAAGAACCCAAATATGTAACCGCAAAGATACCCATGGATACAGTAAGACCTCACTAAATTAAAACATCAAAGTTTGAGGTTACCTAATTGAACGTGGTGAAAATCTTGATACAGACAATATTTTAAAATTGATGGTATTATTTCATATAACTAGAAGTAACTTAAGCAAGTTAAAAATGACTACTTGCAACAGACCTATACTACATAATGATTTGTCAAAGACAAAAACAGAAGCACTGAAAGTTGGGATTAAAACTTAAAAGCATAAAAAATTTCCTGAGTTCTTGATTTGAAAAATTCACTTGTTGTATTTGGTTGTGTGTGTGTGTGTGTGTGTGTGTGTGAAACCTGAAACACCAGTAATTATTTCATCATAACTTACATGTACTCTAGCAATGAACATTCAAGAAGTGAGCATCCTGAATGTGGGAGCCCTAAGGCCCCAAGTCCACTATGTCTAACTCCACCCCTGCACTGTGACTATCTGTGCTTGTAGGTATTTCACAAGGATGTGACCAACCATGGGAACTACTCCTTAAGGGGAACTGGGGAAGGAAATATAAAGCATCCTATCTAGTTCCATCACTTAGCGAAGAGCGCAATGTGTATAAAGCATAGATTTAATTTCCCAGTGTGTCCCTGTGATAGCCACTGTACCTTGACTTCTTCGGACACTTAGGTCTTGTGGTGATTCCAGAACGTCATCAGGATGTGGGAAACAGAGTCCGTGGAAAGGGCCCAAGTCAAAGCACTCATGCAGCAGTTGCATGTTCACTCTTGAGCACACACTCATGAACCCAACAGCTGTGCCTTCCACCTGAAATATCCAAAACACCTCATTATTCTTTTTTTTTTTTTTTTTTTGAGACAAAGTCTCGCTCTGTCACCCAGGCTGGAGTGCAGTGGTGTATCTTGGCTCACCGCAACCTCCGCCTCCTCAGTTCAAGCAATTCTTCTCCCCAGCCTCCCGCAGAGCTGGGACTGCAGGCGCCCGCCACCACACCCAGCTAATTTTTGCATTTTTAGTAGAGACGGAGTTTCACCATGTTGGCCAGGCTGGTCTTGAACTCCTGACCTCAAGTGATCCACCCACCTCGGCCTCCCAAAGTGCTGGGATTACAGGCATGAGCCACCACACCCAGTCCAAAACACTTCATTACTTTATCAGAGGTCAAATGATTCTCATCAGGAAACCTCCAGAGCCCTCAGAATGTGGTCGGCTGGTGGTTTGGCAGTCACCTTGAGATTTAAGGGAGGAATAAGTGTCTTCCTTCAGTACATAAAACATGCTCAAAAAATGTCCCAATAAGTGACCACTGGGGACACACCTAGTGGTGCATAAGTAACAGGGAAATTGCCAGAGTTCTTGACCCTTCAACCATTGGAACACTTGCCCTCTGCTCAGACCATGCTCCTGCCTGCTCCATATCCTCTGCCATTTGGTGTCTTGTGTTTGTACCCCACCATAAGCCTGGCGCTCCTGTCTACTTTCTTTCCCTCTGCCATGCACACTTCTCAGGAATACAGGTCATTGTTCCAGTGCCCATCTGATCAGCCCCCAGTACAGAGAAAGTTCACGGTCCCTAGCTCCTTATCAGGTAGAAACTCTTCAATTTGTCTTGAAGTCACTTATTTATTAACTGGATAGTCTGATAGGGAGGAGATATGAGGGAAGGAAGTTTGGTGGAAAATGTTCCAGTGAAGTAAACTTGAGTCAGGCTAGGCTGGTTCACCAGGTGGGTCTGATCTGCAAATGTTGAACTTCCCATCACCCTGAAATGCCTGGTTCTGAAGCTCTTGCAGTCGTCCCCATGATTTTCAGTCTTTGATGAGTAATACATAGGCGAGAAGATGAGTAACTAGCTGATCTGAACCTTGGTTGGGTACCAGGTACCTGATTGGTACCAAAACATTAGAAATTAACAACAGACTTTAATTCTATCATATTCCACATGGAGAGACGGCTGTGACTGAAACTCCTTAATATATCCCTTAAGTAATTCTGTATTTCATTGTTTTCTGCAAGGAAAGTATTTAAAATTTAAAAAGAGAGAGAAAATACATAGTCCTTTAAATTTCACATAAAATAATTATTAGTAGATTTTAAGCAAATTCTGGTTGACTGATTAGACTCTGATAGCTCTTATTAGAAACCTGCATTTACTGGGTCCTATCTCTCAAGTGTTCAGACTTTTAGATAACCATTGCATTCAGAAAGTAGCAGAACTCAATAATCACAGGCATTCTCTATTCCCAAGAACGCAGCATCTTTCCATAAATGCCCAGTCAGAGAAAATGCTTTAATCTCCTAAAACAGAGAATCGGGCTACAATAATACTCAGTTTTTTAAATGACACCAAAAAAAAAAAAAAAAATAGGTATTAAACTACTATTTGTTCTCGAATATGTCTCCCAGTTAAAAATCATTTGTTCTCAAACGTGTTTGCAAAATAAAAGTGAGACCTCCTCTATTTTCTTCTCAATACTGAAATATGAGGGGAATTTTTAAAAATTAATTTTTTCATGTATATTCCTTTCTTTACAGGCCCCCTAAAATGATACTTGCTGAAAAAGCCTGGATTTACACAGCTGTTTTATAAAGCCATTGACACTTTAATAAAAGTCCAAAATAAACATTTTAATTTTTTTCCCAAATAACAAGTGATTGTTTGTCTTGTTTGCACTCGTGAACAAAGGCTGCATAGCCGCAGTTGTCTAGCTTCTCTGTAATTTCAGGCCCAAGACTCAGCAGACGCTGATTAACCAATCCATCTACCATATGTGCAGAAAGAGACGGCCAGCCTGACTCTCGGCAGGGAAAATTGGCATCCATCTTGGTTCACATGGAGATGTCCTTCTAATCTACAGCCGCGCTGGCGCAACAAAACTTCGATGGCCTGAAATACCTTTTGCTGGCTTCACAGCGAGCTGCATGTGTATGATAAGAATGTATTATTTATAAGACCGCTGTTAGTAATGAGCTATTACACTAATGGCTCATTGTGTTTGGAATTTGATTTCAAATGGCATGGATCACACATTCTGATGAAAATGAGAAAAACATGTTTTGCCATTAGGAACAAAGATTTAACGTTCTCCAATTCTACAACCTGTTATATTCCCATCATTCATCCAGGGTTGTAACAATTTACAAAAGTTCACAATTACAGACTACAACAGAGCAAGGACATATTGTGGAAGTGTCTGCTTTTTCCTTTGAGTTTCTTTCAAATAACCGATTTGAGAAACACTATTCTTAAATATGAATTTGCAGGAGTATCCAAATGTATTCTTGTGTATGCACTGAAAAAAAAATGGATTTAATGGACTTTTTAACTTGTACAACAGAAAGGCATTGATTGCTGGCTGTTATCTATCTTCCTGGTGACAGAAGTACTTTTCACCACAAGTGTCTTCAATTATCTTATACTGGAGAACAAAACTGAAGGTTTTGTTGTTCTTGCTTGTCCTGTAAATATCTACATCATGACACATAAGGTTTAGATTGCTAGAAAACTATGTGTACTGTGGCCTTGTCTTCCCAAACAGGTCCATTTACAGAAACGTGTGTATTTTCTCATTTATGCTTCCATCCAAAAAGCCCTACAGCCACCCATCCCTTTTGGGTGACAATATTCCACTGTGAGGGTTTTGCCCTCATTGTGACCACTGCTGGCTCTGATCCTCTCCTCCTGATGCCAAGCGCATGGCTGACCTGGCAGGCTTTCCCTGCCTGCAGGTCAGTGGTGCCTACTCGGACCACTGCTGCCCACACCCTGGATGATGCCAAAGCAGACGCTCTGCCCATCTGTCACTAGGAGCCGCCGCTGGCCTCCAACTACCCTTCCCTAAAACCTCAGCTTGGAGTAAACACCAGATGTCAAGGTAAGCCAGGGTACAGTTATGACAAGGAACTTGTATGAAGTGATGGCCCCAAACTCCTCCAAACTAGCTATCAAGCCAAAGAAAGTCCTTGTAACTAAAAACCCTTTCAGTAGTAAGGGTTTCCCACAGGGCACAGCCTTGCCCTCAGGCATGCTGCATGCCTGGCCTGGAACTGCCATGGCTGTTCAGAAAGACAAACTTGATGGACTTCTTTCTGTTTCCTCTGGTTGACAGTGGTTGCCTTAAAGTAACGTGTGCCTGTAAATGCCTAATCAGCATTTGCGGGGGAAAAGCCCAGATCTGTAGCATTTGCCGATTTCTGAGGTGTAAGCGCTGTCATCATGGTCAATGTCAAGTGAACAGTGTGATCTCACTAAACATGTAGTTGGGAGGGAATGCGCAGTAGCTAGCCATTATTTCTTATATCTACTGTATAGAGACCCAGACATTTAAAAAAAAACCCTCAAGAACATGGAGAATAGTAAAAAAAAATGGAAGGTGATGAATTTCAAGTATTTATTAACTTTGTTTTAATATAATTTATTACACTGTAGGTTTCTATAATTTAATTTTTAATAATAGCTGTGTTTAACAAGCAGTTTGCAGAGTTCCTGAGGATTTAACAATCAGCCCTTGAGAGCCAGAGCAAGCTGGCTCCAGCACACCATTGCCTAAAAGCCCCCTAGGGAGGCAGGAAAAAGGGTAGCAACAGCATTGATCTTGAACCCCAAAAGGCTTCAGACATCAGACATGGCTCACTTCAGATTAGACGTCCCCTCCCAGATCCCGGCTCACAGTCTTGTTTCTGCCCTTCCATTTTAAGATCGAGGTCTGTGGTCTCCCCTCCACAGAACACAAAGCCTCTGATGCTTGAGGCAGCACGGCCTCTGGAAGGAGATGGGGCTGGATGCCCTCTGCCTCTTTCGAGACACCAAAGGATTCTTGCAGGGTTGGAACTGCAGTTTTCAGCCTACAGCTTTGCTCTGATGTTTACACACACTGAAAGTGTGAAACATACGGCAAGAGAGAGAAAGAACGTGGGGGAAGAGGTCACTGCAGCTTCTCTACAAAGCACTGACTCAAGTGATTCAGAGTAAAACTAGTACCTTGGAACCAAATAATTAAAAGCCTTCCAAAAACAAAGACCCTGATTAAACCTGATAAGTAAAGTTTGGTCATGAAAATCCTTATTGGGGTCTGTATGAATCATTTCACTTCTCAGGAGTTTCTGTCTAGTTGTGTAAAGACAAGCTTTCCAAATGGTACTGCTGGGCCCAAATGCTTCCAACCCTCCCTTCTATGGCTAGCCTGGTAGCCTGGGGCTAATGGCTAAACAAGAATACGTGAAAGCGGGTCTTTGAGAAACCATGCCAAAACCTAAATATAAGAAAATAAAATAAACATTTAAAAAATAAATAAAAATCCTTTCAATGTAGTACTTCAGAATCTAATTTCCAGGGGCCAATTGTCACCTTCAGAAACTAATACCCACATCTCTATAAAGTCATGTCATTCTCACCAGGTATGTTTTACCCTCATGTAGATGAGTGTTTCACCACCTGGACTGCACCTTGGAATCATCTGGGGAGATCTTTAAAAATCCAGATTGAGGTCAGGCATGGTGGCTCATGCCTGTAACCGTAGCACTTTGGGAGGCTGAGGCAGGAGGACTGCAGTTTAAGAAAAGCCTGGGCAACATAGTGAGTGTCCAAAATTAAAAATAAATATATGGATTGTGTCTCACCCCCAAAAGATTGACTTAATTGGCCTGAGTGTACCCCTGCAACAGGATTTTTAAAAATGGATATAATTGATATAATTCACCTACCATAAAAACAACCCTTCAAGAAGTACACAATTCATGCCTGGTGCAGTGGCTCACACCTGTAATTCCAACACTTTGGGAGGCAGATCACTTGAGGCCAAGAGTTTGAGACCAGCCTGGTCAACATGGCAAAACCCCATCTCTACTAAAAATACAAAAATTAGCCTGGTGTGGTGGCACATGCATGTAATCCCAGCTACTTGGGAGGCTGAGGCAGGAGAATCACTTGAACCCGGGAGGTGGAGGTTGCAGTCAGCCAAGATCACATCACTGCACTCCAGCCTGGGCAACAGAGCAAGACTCTGTCTCAAAAAAAAAAAAAAAAAAGAAATACACAATTCAATGGTTTTTAATATATTCACAAAATTGTACACCCATCACCACTGTCTAATCCCAGAACATTTTCATCCCCCCACCAACCAACGACTATGCCCAATATTAGTCACTTCTCCTTCCCCTTTCCCTCCAGTCACTAATCTACCTTCTGTCTCTACAGAAGTGTCTATTCTAGGCTTTCATCTAAATGCCATCATACAATACGTGGTCTTTATGACTGACTTCTTTTCTTTAGCATCATGTTTTCAAGGTTCATACACGCTGTAGCATGTATCAGTGCTTCGTTCTCTTTTATTTCCTGGTACTATTCCCTTGTGTGGATATACCACATCTTGTTTATCTATTCATCAGTAGATAGACATTTGGGCTGTCTCCACTTTTTGGCTATTATGAATAATGCTGCTATGAACATTTGCGTACACATCTCTGTGTGGACATGTGTTTTCAATTCTGTGTATGGAATTGCTGGGTCAAATGTTTAACTTTTGGAGAAAATACCAGACTTTTTCCAAAATGGCCACAGCATTTTATATTCCTACCAGCAATGGATGAGGCTTCCAATTTCTCCACATCCTTGCCAACATCTGCTATTGTCCTGCTTTTTTATTATAACCCTCCTAGCAGAGGTAAAGTGGTATCTTAGTGTGGTTTTGATTTGCCTTTCCTTAATGACTAATGATGTTGAATGTCTTTTCATGTGCTTATTGGCCAGTTGTATCTTTTATTTATTCATTTTTTTTAAAAGTGTCTATTCGAATCATTTGCCCACATTTTATGTGGATTATTTTTCTATTGTTGTGAGAGTTCTTTGTATATATTCTGGATCCAAGTCATTGGCATGGTATGGATAGTTAAAAGCCTCCCAGGTGATCTGCATATATGCCAAGTTTGAGAACCACTGATGTAGAACAAAGCCTCAAACTGCTCATGTCATCCAAGTAAGAGAACTTTTCATTCCAAGTTTCAAGAAAAGTAATATTCTTTAAACAGCTCTTACAGTTTTAACAAATAATGAGAAATGAGTAGATGAAGAATCATGAATTAGAGGGTGTGGGCTGCCTTTTGGGCCCAATAGGCTGGGCCTTCTGATTTGTTTAGAAAAGCTAGAAATTCCAATTTTTACATAGACTTTCATAATTTTTACAATAGCTGCTAATTCAAAAATATTTAATCATATATAACTTGAATCAAATCATGAGAAAACATTGTACAAATCCAAATGGAGACATTCTACAAAATAACTGACCTGTACTATTCAAAACTGTAATTGTCATGGAAGATAAAGACGGATCGGAGAATTGTTCCAGATTTAAAAAGGCTGAAGAAACAGAGCACCTGAATGCAATGAATGGCCTGGAATTACCTCTGCCATAAAGGACATTCCTGGGACTGTCAGAAAAATCTGAATGAAGTCTGTAGATTAGATAAAAGAATTGCAGGAACTAGCTGGGCACGGTGGCTCACGCCTGTAATCCCAGCACTTTGGGAGGCCAAGGCGGGCGGATCACCTGAGGTCAGGAGTTCACCTCAGGTCAGCCTGGCCAACATGGTGAAACCCCGTCTCTACTAAAAATACAAAAGTTAGCTGGGCGTGGTGGCGCACACCTGTAATCCCAGCTACTAGGGAGGCTGAGGCAGGAGAATTGCTTGAACCCGAGAGGCGGAGGTTGCAGTGAGCCGAGATCATGACAGTGCACTCCAGTCTGGGTGACAGAGCAAGGCTCCATCTCAAAAAATAATAATAATAATAATAATTACAGGAATCATAATTACTTGGCTTTGATCATTGTATTGCAGTTATCTAAGAGAGTGTCCTTGTTTTTAGGAAATATACATTGAAATACTTACAGGTAAAGGGGCATTATGTATGCAACTTACTCTCAAATGGTTCAGAATATACATGAGAGAGAGAGAGAGAGCCAGCAAGAGAGAAAAAGAGAGAGAGAGAGGGAATTAGAAAGGTTGAACAAGAGAATGATAAAACAAATGGGGTTGGATGTTAACATTTGGGGAATCTGGGTAGTTATAAACTTTCTTTAAGTGTGAAACTATGTCAAAACAAAAAGTTAAAAAAAATACCTTTCCAACTCAAACAAAATCCATCTGCCAGCAGAACGCTGGTTTGTGACTTCTGAAGTCTGAGATTTGGGGATCCTCAGAAATCCCCCTACGCACCCCTGGGGGGTCTTTTCCATTCCCTCTCACTCTAGGGACAAGGCAAGAATCTACAGCATCGTGGGCATCTGGAAGGACCTCGCAAAAGACAACCTAAAGCCAGTAACCCAGGGGAGGAAGCTGGCCTGGTGCACCACCTGGAAGGGCAGTGGGAGGGCCGGGGTGGCCAGGGAGACAATGGCAGCTCCAGGGGTGCCCAGCAACGCAAGAGCAACACCACTCACATCCCTCCTTCCTCTCACTAAGTGTGTTCCCACATGAATCAGTCACTGACCTCACACACAACAGCATGATTCTCTTCATCTTGGGCCTCTATTAGTTCGGCCAGGAAGTATTCACCGTAAGTTTCCTTCAGAATTGTGTCATAGCGCATAAATATTGGCATGAGATCGTCATGGTCTTCCACCCTGTTTAATAGAAAGGCTGAAGTTCAGTGTTCGTTCACTCATTTTTTTCCTTCAACAGGGCACCAACTGTGTGCCAGACCCTGTTCTAAGTGCCGGGGCTAGAGCAACACTCATGATATCAACTTTCCTTCTTTTTTTTTTTTTTTTTTTTTTTTGAGAGGGAGTCTCACTCTGTTGCCAGACTGGAATGCAGTGGCGTGATCTCGGCTCATTGCAACCTCTGCTTCCCGGGTTCAAGCGATTCTCCTGCCTCAGCCTCCCGAGTAGGTGGGACTATAGGCATGCACCACCACGCCCAGCTAATTTTTGTATTTTTAGTAGAGATAGGGTTTCACCATGTTGGCCAGGATGGTTTCTATCTCTTGACCTCATGATCTGCCTGCCTCGGCCTCCCAGAGTGCTGGGATTACAAATGTGAGCTGCCACGCCTGGCCTGAACTTTCCTTCTAATAGGAGAAACAGACAATAAAGATGTAACCAATTTAGACAATTCTAAACATTTCAAATAATGATACATGCTTTGGGATAGAGAGTGAGAGGGTCAAGTGGTCAGGGAGGACCTCTATGAGGAGGGTCATCTGAGCTGAGAGCTGAATGAACAGAAAGGGAAGAAGCTATGTTGAAACCTAGAAGTGGAACATTGCAGGCAGAGGGAACACAGTTGGCATGTGTGGGTGTGGGATGCAGGGAAGCACTTGTCATGGGCCAAAGGACAAGAGACTAGGGGCAGCACTTCCCAAGGATGTTCTAAGAAACACCACTATGATATTGTCCCGAGCATCCTCTCAGCCCAAAGAATTCCAATGCCTAAAAACAGTAACCACTATAAGTCCCTTCCTGTTTCATAGTTACATATTAAAGACTCTGAGAAGCACTACAGTAAAGAATATTTAACCTTGTTTATGCATTTTTCAAACACTGGCCCATGGCATCCTTTATTCCTGAGATGCCTCTGCACTTGCCATGGAGGGGAAGGCTGGTGAAGTGATGGAGCACTGCTCACCCTCCTGGGGACATCCACTCCGCTTCCATTCTCAGGACCCTCTACAGAGACCTTGACAACTAGTCTGGCACAGGGGGCGGTGGCAGGTGGGAACAAAAACCAGATTTATTGCAGCTTGGGGAGGCTAGCTCCTGTGTTCCATCTTGCTGCAGGATTTAACACTCCTTTCTTCTTTTTAGCACATTCTTGGGTAAGTTTAGTGCTCTTTTTTACCTGTGTGGGATGTTCTTATACTTTGCTTTTTTTTTTTTTTCTCTGATACTCTTTCTGTAAAAATGTTTCAGCATTGTGTTATTTTTTTCTAGTATATCTGCTTTGGCTACTAATGTCTATTTCCTCCCCCTAGCTTTACTATGCTACCATCTTCATCATCCCATTTTATCTTCTAGTATGTTCTCTTTGACGTTAATAGCAGCTCCATCTACTGAGTGATCAGTATATATATATATATATAAAGCTCAGGGCTTTATCCAGATGATTTCTGCTACTGTGTTTCTCACAGTGATCCCAGGAGGGTGGCACTGCCATTTTCACTTTGCAGAGGGAGGAGAGCAAGGCCCATGGGGATGAGGAAATGCTTTGCCTGAGATGACAGAAATAGTTGGCAGCAGAGCCGTGATATGAGCTCTGGTCTAGTGACTTAAGCCCTGCCTTCACACTCTGCTAAGCTGACAATGCACTTCAAAATCTTCCTTTATTTTGACTCTTCTTTTGAACATTTGTAGCTGGAAGCAAAAGAGTTGAGAGGGGAGTCCTTGGCTAGGGGCCAGAGGTTATCGTCCTGCCAGCCCTGCCACCATTCCTCCTGCGCCCTGCAGGAACGAATCCCCTGATCCTGCCACAGCTGCACTTCCTAAGTCTAAATGCTTTAAACTGAATGACCGCATGCACTCTGGATGAAAATCTTCACCCTGCTCCCAGGATGAAACCTTTGCCTCTGCTGACACAAGTGTAACGGTTGAAATGATGCTGGTTTTTCATTAAAAACAGTAAGTATCTTGATGGAAGAACTACACAGTTGAAAAGCCAGGTCTCTGGTCTATAAAACTTCAGAGGGAAGGAGGGAGCCAGCCAACAAGACCACGGTACAAGGAGGAAAAAACACACACAGAAGATGACAACTCGGGATGGGAGGGACCATCACCATGACTCCACAGGTTGAATCTTCTTGTTAACCTCTTGATATGGTTTGGCTGTGTCCCCACCCAAATCTCATCTTGAATTGTAGTTCCCATAATCCCCACATGTCATGGGAGGAAGCTGGTGGGAGGTAATTGAATCATGGGGGTGACTGCCCCCATGCTATTCTCATGATAGTGAGAAGGTTCTCAGGAGATATGATGGTTTTATAAGGGGCCTCCCCTTTCACTCGGCTCTCATTGTTCTTTCTTGCTGCCTTGTGAAGAAAGATGTGTTTGCTTCCCCTTCCACCATGATTGTAAGTTTCCTGATGCCTCCCCAGCGCTGCAGAACTGTGAGTCAATTAAACCTCTTTCCTTCATAAATAGTCTAGTCTCAGGTATGTCCTTATAGTAGTGTGAGAATGGACTAATACACCTCTTGTCAAAACTCTCTGGAAGGAGAGACAGCAAAGGGTCCTTAACCAGGCAACCAGATCCTTTGTTTTTTAAAACTGTCAACCTGGCCCTGATGTCATCACCACCAAACAGTCTTATTCCATGATGCAAGGGCATCAGCAGGAATTTCTAGTGATGAGGCTAAAACAGGAAGCCAGAAACAAATGTCAACCATTTTTTGAATGGGTATGACTGTACTACTGATGCTGCAGTCATTTTTCAAGCTATTTCAGCCCTGCAATAATTTACAAAAGGTAGGGCCTTGACCACTTGTCCATCTATTTCTGCATGTGATCACTGAGCATTATCGGTGGTCACCTGTGGCCCAGTGGACTGAGGCGCCACCATAAATGCATTAAGTCTTATGGTGCTCTTGAAGAGATTAGAAAAAAAAAAATGATACAGCATAGTGGTCACAGCCTGAGCGGGGGAGCCAGGCTGCCTGGGTCTGGATCCTGCTTCTGCCCAGCTGTGACCTTGGGTACTTTACCTCTCTATGTTACCGTGTGTGCATCTGTCACAAAAATAGCAAACGTTAAAAAAGGGTTATGTGCAATGTTATTGTTATTATCATTATTACTTAGGCAGGAGAAACCAAAAAGAACTGAAGAATTTCTACAGTCAGTGGGTGGAATAAGAGAGTTTCTTACTACAGAAGCTTGAATCACTGCACTCACTTCCCATTGACTACTGTAAGGAGAAACTCTGTCATTCCATCCACCATCACTAATCTTCTTAAAACCCTGCTTTCTTCATCTTACTTTAAAACTTTTACATGCAGCCATAAGAAATAATGAAATCATGTCCTTTGCAGCAACATGGTTGCAGCTGAAGGTCATTACCCTAAGTGAATTAATGCAGGAACAAAAAAACAAATACTGCATGTTTTCACTTATAAGTAGGAGCTAAACAATGGGCACTCAGGGACATAAAGATGGTAACGATAGACACTGGGGACTTCTAGGGAGGGGAGAGAAGGAGCAGGGTATGGGTTGAAAAACTGTTGAGTACTATGCTCAGTACCTGGGTGATGGGATCAATTGTACCCCAAATCTCAGCATCATGCAATATACCCGGGTAACAAACCTGCACATGTACCCCCTAAATCTAAAATAAAAATTGAAATTATTTTTTTAAAACTCCACTTTTGCAAGCTCCCCACTGTTTCTGGGATGGGCACAAAATTCTTTGCCTGCATCTTTCCACCCTAGTCACCAATAATGATACAAGTTGATTTACTTATTGTCTCTAGAAGGAGACTTCACCATCTTCCCTCCTTCCCACCTCTATTTCTAGCCAGTGCTCTGATCCCCTTGCCTATCCCCAATTCCAGCATCCTCCAAAGCTCATCTCCACCCTACACCCTCCGGTGACTCTTCTCTCCCAACTTCCCTTCCCAGGAACCCAATGATGGGATCATCACTGGATATATATTGTCCAGTTCTGGTGCTAATTCTTACGGCCAAGGTGTGGCATCTTCCCAACCACGGAAAATGCTCTTTAGGGACACAGAAGGAATTCTGTAGCAGTTCTTTAGCATGTAACCCAGCAGCAATAGCCAACGTGAACTGGGCCCTTACCTTGTGCTGAGACCTTGCCAAGGGTCCCATTTACACTGACAGCAGTGAAGGGCAGAATTTTTATGCCCAAGGGGCAGCGTCTGGGCAGTCTGAACCTATGGTCCCATGCTGGTGGCATCACAGCCCCTCTACTTAGCCTTCTGACTCTACTGACTAAGAAACCGGCAAAGTCCATAAAAAATGATGAGTTCATGTCCTTTGTAGGGACATGGATGAAGCTGGAAACCATCATTCTCAGCAAACTATCTCAAGGACAAAAAAACCAAACACTGCATGTTCTCACTCATAGGTGGGAATTGAACAATGAGAACACATGGACACAGGAAGGGGAACATCACACTCCAGGGACTGTTGTGGGGTGGGGGGAGGGGGGAGGGATAGCATTAGGAGATATACCTAATACTAAATGATGAGTTAATGGGTGCAGCACACCAGTATGGCACATGTACACACATGTAACAAACCTGCACATTGTGCACATGTACCCTAAAACTTAAAGTATAATAATAATAAAATTTGAAAGAAAAAAAAAAAAGAAACTGGCAAAGTCACTTCAATGCTAAGACTTGGTTTTCTCATGTACAAAAAACAGGTAGGGACAAGAATAGCTGCAAGACACAGATGACGCACTAAAGCCTGCTCTCTGGGGCACACTAAGTCCTTAGCAAGTGTTTGTTCTCCACGTGAGCCCTCAGAACCTTGGCAGAAAAAGCCTAGAACATTCCAGGAACAACTCACTTCCCCACTTAACCTGCCAAAAGGGCATTGCTAATAAGAGGTGGTGGCTTTTCTCTGTAAAAAAGAGTCCTTGATGATATTGGCTAAGAATAATTTGTAAAAAATTCTAGGAGAGAGTAGTCAACAAATCCATTTTCAAACGTTTTGCCAAAAATAAAAGGTTGCATCAATATTTATTAACAGACATTTTAAATAATGGAAAAATAATTCAATAACCTAATCATTTAAGTGAATGAAGACAGCAATCACACACAATCAACTGTGCACCATAGGCTTTTAAATATACGATGGACACAGAAATATTACTCTGTAGCTATAAACATCAGGAATAAAGGTTCCGAAAGACCCAGAGCCCTAGGCCTGCTCATGAACCTCAGCAGCCCGTTAACAAAGTTATCCATAATCATACCTCAACACGAATTCTTCTGGGAAAAATAGAAAAACATCCAAATCTTGGAGTTCTGAAGAGGCTCTCTCTTAAGCCCTTTCCCAAAATGGATAAAGAGGAACTTGTTCTGCTAAATGCATTCCTTGGGGTAATTGATAATTTATGATCTTGCATCAGCCCGAGTGCTAATGATAAAGTATGACATCAGCCTCACATAGTCTCAAATGGCATATGACAAAGTCCAGCCCCACAGAAACAAAACACCCCAGCTATGGAAAACAACTCATGCAGTCAAATGTTTCAACGTGACTGTTCTGAGGCAATGAGCGCTGCCTGTCAAAGTCAGGATGCAAGGAGAGCCACTGTGAATTTGGCACCGCAGCGTCACATGCCCTGGCACTGACAGGCCGCACAGTGTTCCAGTGGCGATGAAGATGCGGAGTTTATAGATCAGCACAGAGTGCAACGGAAATAGTACAATTCTCTGAGCGAAAAGCAAAGTTACTTTATATCTTCCATTCTGAATGTGTCTTGGAGGGGGCAGCAATGTGCTTGTTAACGTCATCAATTATACAATATTTTATTTTAACTTCCCTGGAGGAAACAAAAGGTCCACCTCATAAACACTTATCAATCTCTCAGACACCCAGATTTCCATCAGACTCTGAAAACTGTGCCATGTGAAATGGAGTTGAACACACACCTTAAGGAAATCAACCCCCTTTCAGGACACCCTACTTGGGAAATGGGTGTCTTCTAAGTCCACAGCTAGAAATGAGCCGGTAGCTCTCACTGGCTTCCTGGAAGGTGGGGAGAAGTGAGGACAAACTCCCTCAGCACTTCCACCAGTCGGTTAGCTGAGCTTGCTAGGAGCACCGCGACATCCAGAACATGCAGAACTCTCCCTCGCAGCCTGATGGGTCTCTGGGTGACACGCAGATCCTGACATTGCTTCATCACCTCCACAGCCTGGCTGCTGCACTACATGATTACGGCCCCAGAGGAAAACCTGCAGGCCTGCTTCCCTCGAGTCTGAGAGGTGTGCATCACTTCCCTGCCAGCACAGAAACCACTGCAAATGCACAGATGGAAAACTCACACTTAAGGACTGGAGTGACAGCAGCAGCAGCAGCAGCAGCAGCAGCAGCAGCAGCAGGCCACCTCCGCATCCAGAATCCTGGCACAGCCTCCTCATTCCTGTCTGATGATATTCTCCATATCCAGAGAGGATTTGTATTTAAAGCTGGACTTTAAAATGTACAGTTGTAAAATGTACAACTGAATGTTGTCACTTCAAACACCATAAATATATTTCTTCAAACCTGTGTGTGTGTGTATTTTAAGAAACCAGTGAATTAAGAAAACAAGTCATAGAAAATCTAATTTAGTGGTAGTGATAGAGAATGCAGTGTGTTCTAGTTAAGCCAACTTTTTACCATGAACACCATCTCAACATGGGGTAGGAGAACCTAAGATCGGCGTCAACTAGATTTTTCTTTCACTTCAGGTATGCAAAACCAAGCACCCTTTTTCTTTTCAAGATCTCTTGTGACCTCTAGTGGTCTTCTTTAAGAAAATCAAATCTATCATTTCTAAACTCCATATAGTATTCCACTGTAGAACTTCCAAATGGGTTTTGGAGTCATTTAGCTTCTAGTCCTTGGAAAATGTCATGATTTTAAAAATTATGAAGGGTTTTAAGCTCAAATTTGTCATGTGCTTTTCAAAGCACATCTGATCTAAACGTCCATCCTGGGCTAGTATGGCTCCAGCTGGACTTGGCTCCACCATAGACTTGGTGGTCACTTACCAGTCTTATTCATGAAGATTGTTGGGGGAAATCTGTAATTGCCCTATCCCTTCTTTTGGAATGCTTTAGGATATTCATAATTATTCATATGAAATTGCTCAGAAGTCAAGTTTAAGTGGATTTCTAAAAAGCATGACATGGGACTATCAAATGTTTCATTAAAATGATTGCCTTAAGAGTTAAAAGTTTGTAATTACAAACCACCCATCTTAAATCTTAAAGAATGTTTTTTTCATCTATTTTATTTCTTTTAATTTCAATAGTTTTGGGAATACAGGTGGTTTTTAGTCAAATGGATGAGTTCCTTAGTAGTGAATTCTGAGATTTTAGTGCACCCATCACCTGAGCAGTGTACACTGTACCCAATAGGTTGGATTTTATTCCTCACCCCCTCCGAACCTCCCCCTCCCCAGCCCCCACGGTCCACTATGTCACTCTGTATGCCTTTGTGTCCTCATAGCTTAGCTCCCACTTACAAGTGAGAACATACGGTATTTGGTTTTCCATTCCTGAGTTACTTCACTTAGAATAATGGCCTCCAGCTTCATCCAAGGTGCAACAAAAGACATTATTTTGTTCATTTTTATGGCTGAGTAGTATTCCACGGTGTATGAATATCACATTTCCTTTAACCACTCATTGGTCGATGGGCACTTAGGTTGGTTCCATATCCTTGCAATTGTAAATTGTGCTGCTATAAACGTGTGTATACATGTATCTTTTTCATATAATAACTTATTTTCCTTTGTGTAGATTCCCAGTAGTGGGATTGCTGGATTGAGTGGTAGCTCTACTTTTAGTTCTTTAAGGAATCTCCACACTGTTTTCCATAGTGGTTGTACTAGTTTACATTCCCACCAGCAGCGTAAAAGTGTTCTTTTTCACCACATCCATGCCAACATCTGCTGTTTTTTGACTTTTAAATTATGGCCATCCTTGCAGGAGTAAGGTAGTAGTATCTCACTGTGGTTTAATTTGCATTTCCCTGATGATTAGAGATTTTTCATCTATTTTAAAAAGCAACAAGGTTGAGCCAATTTAATCAACCATTGTTATCAACAAAGAAGCAATACTCCACTAAGGAAACCAGTTATTTCACAACATTGTTTGAAAGCACATAATCCTTTCCTTGGCCAAGTCTCCTCCCAGCCCCAGGAGGACTTGAAAAAGACAGGTTTTCCCCCAGAAAAAGAGCATGCCAGTAGTTTCTAAATCTGAACACATCTCAAATCCACCATGGATGATTAATTAAGCCCACTGTAGATTTTAGAGGTGTGTCCAGAAGTAGCTATGCTTTATTTCAGATAGTATGAAAAGTACAGAACAGTAACTTCACTAATTACTGTCTAAGTAGATGGGCAGATTACAGCATAATTTTCCACATGGGTAAATCAAAGAAACAGGACAGGGGATTACAGTGTTAATTCATTGGTTTTGAATGTGTCACTAGCCAAATGGCTGAAGGATAATTACATCCCCAAACCCTTCACTGGTTCAGTGTCTTACGAATTGTGTTCTTCACCATTAACTATCAGTGCAAGTAACTATCGTTGAAACGGATGTCAAAAAATACATGTGAGGGAAATAAGAGAAAGGAGGCAACCTAAGAGGCACACAGCCACGCCCATTTGATGTTCTGTAAAGTCTCCATTTTTCTAGCGTTGTTAAGGAGGGAGGTAGTCCACACAACTGCAATCTCCAGATACATGAAATTCTGTGCCTGCAAGTATCAAAACTCGAATCTGAACATGTGGATAGAGGGCTTTCTAAAATGTGCCACACTCTCTACCTTCTGCAGGCAAAGGCACTGACTGCCATACTGTCACCATTTCCACACGAATTCACTACTGTCCACTTATCTTCTAATAAACATCCCTTCCTCACTGCAAAGTACCCACTGTCACCTCTTTGCTATCATTCCTCTTGTGTTTTGCTTCTTTCAGATTTTCTATGGGCACATCAGGGGCTGTATGTGCAAGACCTCAGGTTAAGGTATCCAGGTTTATTTCAAGTTTTGTGAACCTTGTCCACTGAAGGTTATAGTCCATAGCACTCAAGTTTTCAAGAGAAAAATGGAAGAAAAGAAGGAAGGGGTGTAGGAAAGGAGGCAGAAAGGGAGACCAAACCATAACCATCTGTTACCAAATGCTTACTGGGAGCCTGGCACTGGGCTGAGCACATCCCACATCTTTTCTCCTGCACCCTGCATCCTGAGTGACAAGTAGGCTATTAGCGAGTAAATTAACAGACAATACCTTACTAAAAAGTGAAAGGAATAGGGAATTTTTGAATGGGCTGCTTCTATACATGTCATTTTCAGTGTTGGATTTATATACAAGTTTTCTATTACAATAATCCCTTGCTGAATAACTAAGTTGAAAGTCCTTAATTAAGCCCTACATACCTCCAGAAAATGATAATTCCCAAGATACAAATCGGGTATCCTGACTAAAACTTAAGAAAATACTTTTAGAAATTTGCCTTTGTCAGTTGTAAGTAACTCATATCTATCCCCTGCCCAATCCTTTGGAATTGTCTAGAATTGCCTACTTTGTAGGAACATGTTTAATCATCTGGTAGGATGATAGCTTAACTGGAAGTTACTTTAAATTCAAGTATTTTATTCATTTAAAATGGAACCTGTAAAATGGCACTCAAACTCTCACAGATTTAGACAAATGCAATTTAAAGCAACAAAATACTATTTTGGTCTAACAGGGAACCTTTTTTCTTTTCTTTTTTTTTTTGAGATGGAGTCTTGCTCTGTCGCCAGGCTGGAGTACAATGGCACAATCTCGGATCACTGCAACCTCCGCCTCCCAGGTTCAAGAGATTCTCCTGCCTCAGCCTCCCGAGTAGCTGGGACTACAGATGCATGCCACCACGCCCAGTTAATTTTTGTATTTTTAGAAGAGACGGGGTTTCACCATGTTGGCCAAGATGGTCTCAATCTCTTGACCTCGTGATCTGCCTGCCTCAGCCTCCCAAAGTGCTGGGATTACAGGTGTGAACCACTGTGCCCGGCCAGGAAACAGTTTTAATAACTGAAAATACTCAGCACTGATGAAGATGTAAGGAAACAACTCTATTTGGTCAGAATATAAATGGATATGATATTTACGTTGAATAATTTGGTGGCATCTATTTTTAAATCTTAGAATTTGCAAACATCTGGGTATTTCCTACACCAAATTCCACATTTAGTTATCTGTTGTACACTACTATATATGAATGCTGGATGATATATGTACAATGCTGTTTACTACAGTATTATTTTTTATAGAAAAAGTGGTAAATTTTTTACAGGAAACAACTTAAATTAAATTTCCATAAATAAGCAAGAGCTAAATGAATTGTATTAGAGCTACATGATGGTTAGGCCATCATGGACCAGGCACCATCAGAAAAGAAAGAAATTGATCTCTAAAGATGATAAATGATGAGATGCTATGTTAAGTGAAAAATATAATTAACAGAACATATGATCATGGAGATATATATAGGTATATATGTAGAGAGAGTGCATGTATGCCACTATACTTGTGTGTGTATAGTTACATACACAGAAAAATGAAAGAATAACTTTTACTTTTAAGTTTTATGATTTGAAACTAGAATTCATTTTATTAAATAAACCCATCTCCCCAAAAAATTAGTAAATGGCATAAAAAATGAGAGATTTTAAAATGAATATAAAAGTGTAACAATTGTTACACTACTTACAAGATCCTAAGTAATTAATTTGTGGAGATTCTTGTAATTTAAAAACTGAAGGTAATATTTCTTTAAAAAATATAATTTCCTGAAGGACAGGAGGGTCTATTTGCCTCCCCTGACACTAACAAGAGACACTTTATAAATCAGGAATAAAAATTTGAAAGACATGAGAGAACCAATTAAAAATGTCATTTCATACACAAAATTCCATTTCTTCAGACTGCCTTTGGCTTGCATTAGTATTTGTATCATTATCAAAGGGTTTTATAAAGAGAGGATTATTTAGCTATTAATAAAAAGAAAGTAATGAAAGATCATTTTATATGAGGAATTTTCTTCTCTCAAACTAAATTAGGTAGATAATATGTATCTGAAGTTCATCTGCTTCTTGGTGAACTTCGTTAAGAGACATGCTGCCCCGCTCTCAGAATGCAAATAAAATGCTCCACGTGGATAGGAAAAACGGGATCACATTACACTGTTTGCATAATGTTCAGCATCTGCAGGTAGGTTTCTGGCCTCCCTCTCTCTGCTTCCCTTCAACACAAAACTTCTCTGAAGAGCAGTGACTTTCTCCAGCAAAAAGGAAAAAAAAAATAGCACTGACTACTCCTTTGCTTTCATTTCCTTACCTCCCATTTATTCCGCTCACTGCAATTTGGCCTCTCCTGTGAAACTCTGCCCTTCAAGGAGTGACAAGACCACACCCCAAACCAAGAGTTCAGAAGTAGGGCACTGGTTACTGAGTGGCAAGGTTGGCACAGAGGAGTCAAAGGGATGAGCTTGAGAGAAAACTGAGGACTAGGTCCTGAGGAAGGCAGAGTTCAGAGTCATGAGAACAAGAGAAAAAGAGGAGAAAAAGAGCAAATCAGGCTGTGGGTTGGGGAGAGGCCAATGTCTGGGCAGGAGGGCCCCCTTCCTCTCACCCAAAGTTCATCTGATTTTTCTTTAATAGATACGGAAGCATCCAAGTTACCTATTTTTTCTTAAATGAGTTTTGGTAATTTGTGTTCCTAAAGTAGTTGGCCCATTTTTATCTAAATTGTTAGATTTATCGACATTGAGTTATCTGTAATGTCCCCATATTAATCTTTCAATGCCTGTAGGATCTGTAAGTGATACCACCTCTTTCATTCCTGATACTGGCAATTTGTCTTTTTTCTTGGTCAGTTTGGCTGGAAGTATCAGTTTTATTCATCCTATCTGTGCCTTTTTAAATTGCCAAATCTAATGGCTTCTCTTTTACTTAAATAATTTCATTTCCCTGCATCTTTTGCCACTTTATGAGTCTTAATTTCTTCTGTATTCCTCTCCCTCTCTTCTAGTTTTCATTATTCATAGCTCATTTTCATCTTTCAAAGTTCTGCCCTGGTCCTGTGCTTTTTCACTGTGCAATCTCCCCCTCAGCAAGACAATCTCCTTCATTTCATGATCTCCCCACTTACTGACAAACTGACAACTCACAAATGTGTATCTCAAACCTGGCTTCTCCCTCTGTTTCTATTTCCTACCTTCTCCTGTCCATTTAAATCTATTATTTCTACTTTCAGTTAATGAAAGCACCATTTCCCCTAAACTTGAAAACCCTGAATTACCATAAACTCCTCATCCCTCAACTCCTCCATCCAACTGGTAGCCAAGCGCTACTCTCTAACATGTCTCTCTGTATCTATGCACCTGACCTGATCCTTTCCCTACCACGTAACCAAAAATAAAATTCTAAGCTCCCCCAAACCAATGGAATGGACTCCTCCTCTCAGCCAAGGGTATTCTAACATAAACCTGAAATACCAGTTCAGCGCATGATGGGATTGGGTGGTCGGTCATGCCTCATTATACTTTCCCTTTGGAATTTAGGAACATTTGACCAGGATTAACATGAAAACAGAGATCTTAAGAATGACAGAACAGACTCTTTGTAGGAATAAGATACAAACATGACAGCAGGGCAGGCCCTGAAATAAACTGAAGTTTTTTACCCCAAAATATATTTCTTTGACATACTTTGAAATGACCCTGCAAAACTGTCTCTTCGGAGAAAATTCTACATTCTGTGGTGAATCCCCTTCCTTTCCAGGCATTTTTCCTGATCCAAGAGAGAATTAACTAAGAGTCAGGCATATTTTTAAGTCTGATAAAAAAGATTTACAATCTATTCTCTCTGAAGCCTGCTACCTGGAGGCCTCATCTGCACAATAAGAACCTCTGTCTCCACAACCCCTATCTTAACCCAGACACTCCCTCATATTGATTCCAGGTCTTTAGATAAACCCTTTCAATCAACTGCCAATCAGAAAATCTTTGAATCCGCCTATGACCTGGAAGGCTCTTCTCTGCTTTGAGTTGTCCTGTCTTTCCAGACTGAACCAATGCACATCTTACATTTATTGATTTGTGTCTTATATCTCCCTAAAATGTATAAAACCAAGCTGTAGCCCAACCACTTCAGGCACATGTTCTCAGGACCTCCTGGGGCTGTGTCAAAGCCCTGGTCACTTGTATTTGGCTCAGAATAAACCTCTTCAAACATTTTACAGAGTCTGACTCTTGCTGTCAACAACCTGGATCTCTGTGACCTGTCGCTGCTAGAATTCCAGCCTGTGTCATGATCTCCATGATCTTGGTTTCTATCTCTATCTGATTCCTATCTCTGTGGATGCTTTTCACCCATTTTGTATATCACAAAAGTGTAATCAGCAGTACTGTATATGCTTTTCTAAGTCTGCCTTCACTCAGCATAAACCTTCTGAGATTGATTCATGCTACTATATGTAAATGGTTCATTCCACTGAATTGCTGAGTAGCATCCACTGTATGGATGTACCACAGTTTATAAGGGTAAACAACATTAACTGGTGGATGGACATTTAGAGGGGTTTTTTTGGGCGGAGGAGCAGTTGTAATGAAGCTGTCTTCATCTCTGTCTGTGCATCCCGCTTCTCAGCTACCAACATGACAGTTAACTGAAGATGAGTCTCTCCCCACCACTTAACTCTAAGCCCCTTTGTCATAATAATATTTAATATTTATTGGGCCCTTACATGTGGCAGGAAGTGTGCTAAGTGCTTGATGTTCATTAGCTCACAATCATCACAATCTTGTGCTGTAGACAATACGCTTACACCCACTGACAGAGGGAACTTACACCCCCGCAGATGTCACGTTCCTTTTGTAAGTTAACCCACCTCGTGAGCAGGAGAGCCAAGATCAGAATCCAGATCTATCCGATGCCAGCATTACAAACTCTTAACAACGATGCCATACCACTGCTACATGCCTGGTAAATCATAGGCTCTTACTTTTATAAAGTTTTTAAAACTTTTAAAATACTTTTCTAAAGAAAGTCAGCATTCCTCAAACACAGCAATGGCTGATCCCAAAAGATACAATTTATTCTTCACTGATAAGCCAAGCAACCACCTCTGTGAGATGATTTCATAATGCACTCTTATTTCCAAACAGCCACTCTACATTGCTCATGGTTTTGTGAGTCAGAACTCTGGCAGGGCTCAGCTGGGCATCCTCACTTGGGGTCTGTCATGTGGCTGCGATCAGATGTCAGCTGTGCTGTAGATATATGGGGCTCTCCTGGGCTGGGTGTCCACAATGGCTCATTCACACCACAGGCAGTGGAAGCTAACTGTCAGCGGGAGCCCAGCTGGGGCTGTCAACCACCCCTCCCCTTGCGAACATGTGGCTTCTCCAGACTTCTTACATATGGCTGGCTTCCTCCAGAGCAAGCATCCTGAGAGAGCCAGGCAGAAGCTTCCCAGCCTCACAAGTCCCAGAGCATCCCTTTGGCCACGGTCTACTGGTCAAAGCAGTCACAACCCACCCAGCTTCAGGAAGAGAGGACGGAGCGCCCAAGGCTTGAAGAGAGGAGTGGCAAAGTCACATCAAAGAGTAGCCTGCGGGGTGGAAAGTAGTGTGGCAGCCATCTTTGGAAAACACTGCCACAGCCATCTCCCTAAGACTGCTGGACTTGGGGCACCTGATGGTAGAGACCTTCAATTTGGAAAACCCCTCTTTGGGGTCAACAGCATCCTCATTCACTGAATGTCAGAAAATAGGTGGGTTTTACCGAGAAAACTGAATAGGCAGGTTCATTTTTAAGCTTGTTTTATTTGAAAGTTATCTTACTGGTGTGGGACCTAGGATTGTGTGTTTTCAGAAACCCCTAAGGAGTCAATGAATAATGTTATAGCCACATAGAACCAAATGAGTATCATCAGATAGTCCTGCAAATAATGTCATTAAGGGGAACTATAAAGATATCCAAATGAAGTAATGCTTATGAGTATTGTAAAAAATTTTGATCTAAGCTATAGTCACTTAGCATTGGTAGTTTAAAGAGTCTTGGGAAGATGACTGTCCCAGTGAAGCTTAGGTCACACAAGGCATGACTCCAACTGTACCTGGCTTTGCGAACGTGCAGCTGAGGATAGTGGCTGTGCCTGTGACATATATGCACTGCAAAGTCTTCCTCATACGTCAGACACGGGATGTTCCCCACTTGGTCAAAAACAGTTATGAGAGTTGAGCCTAAATCACAGAGATAAAGAAACATGTCCTTATTTATCAAGAAATAAATTTGGGATGTCAGAACAAAATGTAGTTTCCATTCTAAATTGTGCTTAATTGTTCTAATAAAATATGCACATGGTACATTGAGGACCTGGAGACCACTCTTATTTCTCATTCCCCAAAGCACCATTCTGGGAGTGAATTTTCAATGTTTGCTACCGGGGACCAGAGGTGGTTGGGCGGGCCTTACCTAGGCTCATGTAGGATGGCACGATGAGAAATATGAAGTGCAGCTCTGGCACTGCCTTATACACGGTTCTGGTGAGGAAAGAGAGGGTGGGGCAGTGTTACTAACAAAGCAATCCCATCAGCTGGCACTTGATGAAGACAAATGCTGTCACTAAAAAGGTGAGGTGTTCCTAAATCCACATGGGCTCCTTTGCTCCCCACCTGCAATGGCAAGAACAGCCTCAAGGCAATTTCTTTTTCTTCTCTACTTTTCCTTGGGTTCTAAAGGGCCCCTTTTCGATCTGTCCCATGGAGGCAGAGAGAATAAAGGGTGCCATGTTCATATGGCACACCAGATTTCTGCTAATATTAACCTTTGACCTGGCATCTGGACGGTCTGGTGTGACATTACAAAGTGACTTGAAAGCTGTGACCACCACCCCCAAATGTCTGTGCAGGCTGTCAGAGGCTGTCAGAGACACATCGCCATGACTCGGTAGCCCTGCTGGTCATTTTCCATGCATCCTATTATTCAGGATGCTTTGAAGTCTGTCATGTTAATAAACATTTCTAAAGATAAGATAAAGAAAAGCAGTTTTTAGAAATGTCCAAGCTTGCGACACTTAATTCTTCTCCTACTCCCCTCAACCTAAATCCATTTCTTTAAATTACTGCACTATCTGTTTGCCTCAAATGATAACAGCGTGCAGAATGGACAATAGATTCAAAGAACTATCTCCTTTCAGAAATATCATTGCTATTCAAAGTAAATATTTTAATATAGCCACAAATTACAAGCAAATTAAACACCCCAAAGAATTTCATGTCTTTTAAAAAATATTTCAAAACTATCCACACAGTCTCTTTCATGTTCACCACTGCACGGCCATATCCACTCACCGAAGAATCTCTTTGCAACAGCCAACAGAATACTCATCCACGGCCACAAAGAGGTGCATGAACAACGTATTCAGGGGCTGCAGAAGAAGAGAGAACACGGATTAAAGGCTGAGTCAGTATTCGGGCTAGGTCAGCACAGGGTGGAAAGAGGGTTTCGGGGCATCCACAGACACAGAACAGCCTGGCATTTAGGGTTGATATTTTATGTCTAAGTGATGCAACACCCAGGCGGCATTTGAGCTGTCTCACTGACTCCGTTTGCCGCCTTCTGTCCTCCTTACTCACAATTATTTAAGGAAACAGGGACTGTAAATGAGTCCAGAGCACCCGCCCTTCCTCCTGCCCTCACGAATGAGCTGCGGGAGAGCCTGCAGGGGAGTGAAATCGATTATTAACTCAGTAGTCTTGTCCTCAGGGGTGTCTATGCCAAGTGAAAGACAATCACCCTTTTCCCGGCGCTCTTGAGTCAGCAGCTGCTGCTCTATTCATGTGACAGGAGGGAGAGATGCTCTTATGAATTTGAAAAATGGAAGGCAGATGCCACGTTCAGAATCCATTGGCTTGTTTTGTTCAACATTCCCA
Source organism: Homo sapiens (assembly GCF_000001405.40). Classification (NCBI taxonomy): domain Eukaryota; kingdom Metazoa; phylum Chordata; class Mammalia; order Primates; family Hominidae; genus Homo; species Homo sapiens. Next base: position 20,073,796 of record NC_000020.11, on the reverse strand, counting down.
GAGTCAGAATCAAATATTACTCTTGGGATCCAAAAAACCTGGGAGCTGAAAACTCACAGTAGCAAGATTCTAGCAAGACTTTCCAGTTAAATCTTCCAAGTTTTAAAAGAGCTTTGTCTCCTCCTTCTGAGACTTTTAAAGTGGCCTAAATAATGAGTAAATGGTTCAAACATCCACACATTGGTCCACTCAACTCGGTACCCCTGTGCTTATGAACAAATCTTCAAATTCTGGAAACAGTGCAGATGTAGACTGGCTGACTGGTGAGGGTGGTGCTGGTACCTATATCAGGACAGCACAGGTGCTGCCTAGGTTTCTTGTTTTTTGAATAATTTTCTGGACAGCTTTGTGGGACCAGTGGCACTTCTGTGTGCCTTGTCCCCACTTCTGTCGGATGGTGTGTGACTCAGAAGCACTCGGAAAGAATTGTACGGTGACTAAAAGCGCAAGAGGAAAACCATGTTTTGATTCATGAGCTTGAAAACTCCCAAAAGGCAAACAACACAAATCCCAAAAGTCCAGATAACGATGACGACGACATGATTTCAAGTACTTGCTGTGTATTCACTCATTTAATCCCACAATAATCTCACTCAGCATTTGCCTTACATCCTGAATAGGACTAGCCTCAGGAGCATATGGCTTATTACTTGCTTGATTTGTCTCCCAAATTCTCTCTTCCATCATAAATATTACAATGCAAGATTTATTCTTTAGCTTTAAGATAAAAATCATTACTTCAGCTGCAAATATCCCTGGGATAGATACTGCATTAAGCCTTAAAGGCTCTATACTGGTTACATCCAGCAGAAAAGTAATGCAAGCCACAAATGTCATTTCAAATTTTCTAGTAGACACATTAAAAAAGAATAAAGATAAACAGGTGAATTAATGTTTAATATTTAAGTTAATATTTAACCTAATATATTCAAATTATATCATTTTAACAAGTAATCATTATAAAAATTATTAATGAGATATTTTACACTCTTTTTTTCCTACGAAGTATTTGAAATCTGGCATATTTTATACTTATGGAACACCTCAATTCAGACTAGCTACATTTCAAGCGCTCGTTAGTTACATAAGGCTGGTGGCTACCACATTGGACAGCCCAGCACTATACTGTCATAGAAGACAGCTTGAAAAGAAACAAAAGGGGCATGTGTTTATGAATAAGAGTGTTAATTTATAATTTTCAGAAAGGTAAAATCATAACCCTAATGCAAATATAAAATAAACATCTATCAGAGGTTTATTCAACTTCAACAAATCAATTAATGAGGCAACCAGTGAGATGATAAAAATGATTCTTTGCACTTGAAGAGCTGGATACTTCAGGTGATTTACTAGGAAAAGGAAAGAATAAGATTGCTGGATTAGGCCAGGCACAGTGGCTCACACCTGTAATCCCAGCACTTTGGGAGGCCGAGGCAGGTGGATCACGAGGTCAGGAGATCGAGACCATCCTGGCTAACATAGTGAAACCCTGTCTCTACTAAAAATACAAAAAAATTAGCCGGGCGTGGTGGCAGGCGCCTATAGTCCCAGCTACTTGGGAGGCTGAGGCAGGAGAATGGCATGAATCTGGGAGGCAGAGCTTGCAGTAAGCCGAGATCGTGCCACTGTACTCCAGCCTGGACGACAGAGTGAGACTCCATCTCAAAAAAAAAAAAAAAAAAAAAAAAAAAAAAAAAAAAAAAAAGATTGCTAGATTAGATACCAAATAGGTCACATCCTGTAAGACAATAAACCATAACCTTTGAGGTTAGCTCTATCCAGACAGGAATTCTTTACATCCTAATGGACAAAAATCTACAGGCTAATCACCATTCCTACAGAATTGTAAAACAGGCTACTCAACCAAAGGTGCAAGCATTGGACTGAAATAATCGTTTTGGTCTATTTCCAAGTTTGCGATAATTTTTCTGACAATAGTCCTTAGGTATACAGGGTGGCAGGGTAGGAGAGAACACAAAAGATGAGGGGAAGGCACCATCTAGTGAAATAAATGCTGAATAATATGCTTACGGGTGTGTGTATGTGTGCACATTCACACACATGTACGGGGGGTGAATTCACTCACACTCATTGGGCATTCCCTTTTCTTCTGACATCAGGGCTCTGGGGACATGCTGCAGAATTCCACCACAAGGCCAGGGTGCTGCCCAGAGTTGTAGCCTCTGGCACTCCACAAAAACTGGGGCCTGTCTCTGGCCTGGCTCTGGCAGGTTGCATGCAGAGAAAGCTCAGACTTGGCATCAGGTACCCAGGCCAGACTCCTGGGAACCACTAACCTAGCTTCTGTTGGCTGACAAGTTGTCATGTGTCAGCAGCTAGAAGACATCAAATAAGCCAAGGTCCATGAGGGCACTTTGAAAATTATAGAATGTGACAGAAGTCTGAGGCTCTGCTGTCATGATTACAAGGGCAATTGTGTAGACGGCAGGTGCTCTCCTAACATATCAATGACCTTGGACACTGACGCCTGGAGAACAACGTGAGACCTGGAAGCACACGTTTGACACTTCCACTAATTCCTCCCCCGCCGTCATTAGTGAAGCACGATCCAGGCCTTGCCAGCGGCTAGCCAACTTGGCTACTCCCTGCCCTTTCCTATCCCCCCTGGCACTACTCTCAGCCCTCTTTTCCTCCCCACCAGCTCCCTTCACTTTTAACTGTCATGATGTCATATACTGCTCAGTACAAAACTTGGAAAGACATAATCACAAACACAGGACTTCCCCTCAAGATTCAGGGTGTTCTAACAAGCACTGTATGTGATTTCTTACTGTGCATGGGATGTCACTGTCGAGCTCCCGGAACACTGACACCCAGTCATCCTGCTTGGCAACATTCCAGTTGGGGTAGTCCAGGAAGGTGGCCTGGGCCATGATCTCCTCCTTGTCATTGCAGAGGGTAACAGCAAGGTTGGCCTTTTCTCTGCAGAAATGATTACAATTGCAAACATGAATAAGATTACAAAAAGTGAGGTGAGGACATGCCATTTTTTTCCCTCTGGCTACTGGAGCTCAGCAGCCACTGCATGAGGTCAGATAATCTTTGGAAAAGGTGAGAATGATATTGCAGCCACTTTGGGGTACATCGTTCAGGACAAGTGGTGCTGTCAACTAAACTTGTATTCAAAATGACATTTCATTAGAAAGGTATTACATTTATGATATTGAGTATCTACTATCTTTCCCTTGGAGACTGACTAGGAAGATATTTGACTACACAGTTTCCCCTATCCTCTCCATGTTGCCAGTACCACTGTGTTTGGCCTAAACATCTATGGTTAGGGTGGCCAAGTGTCTCTCTTTGCCCAGGACTGGGAGTGCCCAAGATATAGGACTTTCATGGCATTAAAAAAATGAAAGTCCTGGGCAAACTAGGATGAATGGGTCACCTATGAACAGCAGTAAAGCTAACAGTCTAGCTCCATCTCAGTTACCATTCTCAAGCAATTCCTCCAAACTGTGAGTTCATGTCCCTGGACTTACTGATTCATTCATATGGAATCTGGGCATCTGGAATATCATCTGACCCAGCTGCAGAAATGGGGACTCCCAGGGGTCTTGCTTAAGCTAAGGTAACCCAGTGAGTTAATAAAGCGAAGAGAGGAGAAGCAGGCTTTCCAGTCTTATTCTGGTGGTTGTCTCAGAGGGACTATCTTGACAATCCCTCCCAACTGCTACCCTGTCTTGTGGCCCATCAAGGCAGCAAGACTTAAAGGCACTTAAAGGCAGCATATAGTTTACCACCCCAAGAACCATTTGTGCATAAATTTAAATGCATTTTTTACTTTCTTAGTGAAATGAAATCTACTGGCATCTTAAGTTGGAGGAAGAAATAGTTAAACATTCACTCAAAACACAAAGAAGGCAGCAGTTACCCATGTTCCTTCTTGAGGAGAACAGGAAGAAGCAAGCATGTAACTGGAGGAAGAGGCGGAGAGGAGATGACAGGAGGACAGAAAGTGACATGGGCTTTCCAGTTATGTTTTTATCACAGAAGGAATACACTGTCAGTGCAGACAAGAACGAGAAAATCTAAGCAAGAAGAGAAAAAATAAATAATTTGGAAAATCACTTTTAATCCCACCTTCCATTGATAACCAACCACTGTCAACACTTTGGTTTCTGTCTCTCCAGACTTATCTTTTCGTGAGGTAACTATACGTTGAAATGTACATCGTGTGTTTTTAAAACTAGAATCTGGCCGGGAACGGTGGCTCACACCTGTAATCCCACATTTTGGGAGGCCAAGGTGGACAGATTACTTGAGGCCAGGAGTTTGAGACAGCCTGGCCAACATGGTGAAAACCCATCTTGACTAAAAATATAAAAATTAGCCGGGTGTGGTGGTACATGCCTGTAATCCCAGCTACTCGGGAGGCTGAGGCAGAGAATCACTTGAACCCAGCAGCCAGAGGCTGCAGTGAGCCGAGATCGCACCACTGTACTCCAGCCTGGACAACAGAGCGAGAATCCATCTCAAAACATAATAATAATAAATAACAATAAAATAAAAATGGAATCTCACAACCTATACTATTTGTAGCCTGCTTTTTCCCACTTGACAGTGTAACCTTTTACAAGAGCAGTTCACCAAACAGCAGTCTCTCACACACATGCGCTTCCTGTACTTTTTTTCTTTAAATCAATTTACTTTGGGCTTAAAATTTTAATAGGAAATATACATCACTACCATAAATGGAAAACCAGTATCTCTCGGTATATATAGAAGGTAAAGGCCGGGCGCGGTGGCTCACGCCTGTAATCCCAGCACTTTGGAAGGCCAAGGCAGGCGGATCACAAGGTCAAGAGTTCGAGACCATTCTGGCCAACATGGTGAAACCCTGTTTCTACTAAAAATACAAACATCAGCTGGGCGTGATGGCACATGCCTGTAGTTCCAGCTACTTGGGAGGCTGAGGCAGGAGAATGGCTTGAACCTGGGAGGCAGAGGTTGCAGCGAGCCAAGATGGCACCACTGCACTGCAGCCTGGCAACAAAGCAAGACTCCGTCTCAAAAGAAATAAAAAGGAAGGTAACTATAAAGATGTAACATTTAAAACAAAAAATTTTTCCTGCATGTAGCAAGTGAAATCCCCCTGGGTACCACCGGATGTACGGGCGTCTTTGGGAAACATTGTGCTGGGGATATCAATCTCAGTGCCTGCAGCCACTGTCCCTTCTCAAAGGAAGTCACAGCAGCCACATATGATCACACTCCTCAGCCACAGGGGAATGAAGCAGGGCTGCTCCTGGTCCAGGGGCCCCATACGAGCACTGGCTATCAAGGAAAGGAGGGAGTAGACTGTCCCAGGTTCCTAGAATACAGTATCCACACAGGGCTCTTTAGCACAGGGATGCAGCCCCACAACTTCTCACTGAACCCTTAACTTCCGTCTACCTGTAAGTCATCTCCCTCCAGCTCTTGGTCTTCTGGGCTCCTCTGCCCCAGACTCCCAGAGTCATGACCTATGGTCTCAAGCTGAGAGTGCTCCCTCTAAACCAGATGAGAAAATGCACAAGACGCTGTACATGTCAGCTCTGACGATAGTGGTGATGGTAGGGAGGAGGAAGTGGGCAAGAATTTGGGACAGCGCAGCCACCATCCCCTCAGGGAAGCAAAGAACAATGTGTTCCTGGAATCCAATTCTAACGAAATGCATTTATCCATGGGAACCTCAGGATGCTGGTTGGGTCTTACAGTACAATTAGCACAATACTATATACCACATAGACATTAAAGATTCAGTATGCTTTTGTGGGTTGGCCTGGGAAGCCAGCCATGAATTACTTTGTTTCAATGGGAAAATGCACTACAGTTTACAAATAGCTGACTGTAAAAAGTAACTTTTGTAGCATTATCCTTTTATGTATATAATTTTCACTTCTTATTACCCCTTAGTCACTAGGTCCCCCATAGCACAGATAAAAATCACCATGGGAACAAAGGGAAAGAAGAGGAGGAAAAGGTAGAGGGAGAAGGTAGGTATATATATATATATAATAAATACATATATAATAATATAAATATATATTATATATAAAATAATATGAATATATATTATATATAAAATATGAATATATAAAAAAATTATATATAATATAAATATATATATTATATATATATATATATATTTTGAGATGGAGTCTCGCTGTGTCACCCAGCCTGGAGTGCAGTGGCGCGATCTCAGCTCACTGCAACCTCCCCATCCAGGGTTCAAGTGATTCTCCTGCCTCAGCCTCCCGAGTAGCTGCGACTACAGATGCCTGCCACAACGTCCAGCTAATTTTTGTATTTTTAGTAGAGACAAGGTTTCACCATGTTGGCCAGGATGGTCTCGATCTCTTTTACTTTTTTTAGTTTTTTTATTTTTTGAGACGGAGTCTCGCTCTGTGGTCTGGATCTCTTGACCTCGTGATCCACCCACCTCAACCTCCCAAACTGCTGGGATTACAGGCGTGAGCTACCACGCCCGGCTGAGAAGGCATATTTTTAAATGTTGGATTTTAAACTGTTCTTTGTAATAAGCCAAATCCAAACTGAAGGAGCCCTATTAACACACACACACATACACACGTATGTCACACCAAATCAGAGCTCTTTTCATTAGAGCAATGCCTCATTTATTCAACTGCTTCAGGAAATTTTCCGAGTATAGCCAAAACTTATTTTCTTTTTTTTTTTTAAGAGTCAGATGTTATAAAACTTTTTATAATATTTTAATGTGGTATAATTTACATGCAGTGAAATGATTTTGTGGGTATCATTTAACTAATTTTAGAAAATAAATACACCTTTGTATCACATCCGCCCCCTCCACACAGAAGTCAATGTTTACATCATCACAAAAAGTTTCCTAATTTATCACCCAGTAAACAACCCATAAAATAATGTGGACTTGTTACTATCAAATCATATTAGTTTTCCTGCTCTGGAACTTTTATTTTATTTTATTTTTTATTACACTTTAAGTTCTGGGATACATGTGCAGAACATACAGGTTTGTTACATATACACGTGCCATTGTGGTTTGCTGCACCCATCAACCCGTCATCTACATTAGGTATTTCTCCTAATGTTATCCCTCCCCTAGCCCCCACCCCGACAGGCCCTGGTGCGTGATGTTCCCCTCCCTGTGTCCATGTGTTCTCATTGTACAACTCCCACTTATGAGTGAGAACATGTGGTGTTTGGTTTTCTGTTCTTGTGATAGTTTGCTGAGAATGATGGTTTCCAGCGTCATCCATGTCCCTGCAAAGGACATGAACTCATCCTTTTTTATGGCTGCACAGTATTCCATGGTGTATATGTGCCACATTTTCTTTATCCAGTCTATTATTGATGGACATTTGGGTTGGTTCCAAGTCTTTGCTATTGTGAATGGTGCTGCAATAAGCATACGTGTGCATGTGTCTTTATAGTAGAATGATTTATAATCCTTTG